>NC_000021.9:24855575-25485497 GCF_000001405.40 Homo sapiens
TTGCTGGTGCATTGTCTTCACAGAGCAATAGTTACTACAAACCTATCACCATCGGTTATATCATCAAAAGATCACAAGTGATTACAGGTAAAGTTCTCATCGATAAAGGCAATAACATGAGTTCAAATATGGGTCAGATATCAGAGAGATTCCATATCAACAAAAAAAAATAATATGTGGTGACTTTAGAATATGATTGCAAATTACTTGACAGTCTTCTCATTAAGACTGTCATCTCCTAAAATCTGGTGGGCTAGTACTATTTCAACCATTTGAGTATAACTGAAGTTATGCCGGATGATTGTTTTAGTTGACTATGGTATTGCCATAATATAATACCACAGAGTGGATGGCTTAAACAACAGAAATTTATTTTTTCTTTTAGTTCTGGAGGCTAGAACTCCAAAATAAGTTGCCAGCAGATTTGGCTTTTCCAGAGGTTTCTCTCCTTGGTTGCAGACAGCTGCTTCTTTCTTTCTGTGTCTTTCTTTGGCCTTTCCTTGGTATTTGTCCTTCCCTAGTGTCTCTTCTTCCTATAAAGACATCACTCATAGTGGATTAGGACCCCACCATTAGGTTCTGGTTTAACCTTAATTACTTCTTTAAAGGTGCTATTTCCAAATGCAGTCATATTGAGTGTTAGGGCTTCAACATATAAATTGGTTGGGGGCAGAGAGGTGCACTTCAGCTCTTAACAATGACTTTTGAAGCTAGGTTATAACAGATTGCACGACCTCCAATTTTAATGCTGGAAAATTTAATTTCATAGCCTTGAGTTGTCATTTAAAATATTAAAGTACCTTGAGACTACATGCTGTGAAAAAACAAAAGTTGTCTGTGGGGGGCAATGCAGAGAGCAGCCATTCCATGTTTTAAATGAGACTTGAAGTATACATACAGATACATAGATAGGTTCCATGGATGTGAATATGTTGCATCATCAAGTTATTGACTTTTTACTTTCTACCCCTTGGGACTATAGTTGCAGTGTCTGGATCAGAGAATAATGTAATATTGAATTTGAAAGTGAATGTACGAAGAAATGAACATGTGAATGCTGGAATGTCCCAAGACTTGGTTCTCAGTCTCTTCTCAATGTACAAGTGTATCTCATTATTATTCCCAGTTATTTAAGTTGTGGCAGATTACATAACTGGAGGCAATTAAGCCAAATTTGAACACATCTGTAGGATCTCAAAGCTCACTGTCTAATGCATGTATCGATAATCTCTCATTTTCAAGTATATCTCCAAATGGACATATAAAAATAATATATTTATGTAACTACTGTAAAATATATGTGACTTTTGGAAGCAATAAGGATGATCAGAAAACACAGCTTCAAGTAGCTCCAATTGCAAGCTTTACCACATATGATCTTTGTGGCTTTGAGCTTCTACAGACATTGCTTCTTTAATAGGCAAAATGAGACTATTAATACCTTCCTGGAAGATTGGTTAAAAAAGTTAAATGATAAACGGATTCAATATATGAGAAAACATCCTAGAGTGTGTTAAGTACCATGCACATACACTATATTTTTATTATTTTAAGAATATAAATGCAGGGCCAGGTGCCAGTGGCTCAAGCCTGTAATCCCAGCACTTTGGGAGGTTGAGAGAGGTGGATCACTTGAGGCCAGGAGTTTGAGACCAGCCTGGCCAACATAGTGAAACCCTGTCTCTTCTAAAAATACAAAAATTAGCTGGGCATGATGGCAGGGGCTTGTAATCCCAGCTAGTTGGGAGGCTGAGGAGGGAGAATCGCTTGAACCCGGGAGGGAGAGGTTGCAGGGAGCCAAGATCATACCACTGCACTCCAGCCTGTGTGACAGAGCAAGACTGCATCTACAAAAAGAAAAAAAAAAAAAGAAAAAAGAATATAAATGTAGTATAAATTTGTTGATTAGTTGTTGGAATGTGCAAGCAAATAAAATCGGTTCGTAAATGGCTTTCAGTGACTCTCAACACACCTTGAAAGGTATACATGATTTATGTAGCATGCTTCCTACTTGATTAAAATTTAATTAATCAGAAATAATGAAAAACATTTCATATAATGTATATATGCTATATGTAACATATAGCATTTTTGTTGTAACATTTATATTTATTGAAGAAATATAATTTGAACTAACTTCAAAAGTATTTTAAGTTGCTAAGGTATTTCTTCATTATTTAAATGTATAGGAACCACAGAAAAAATATTGGATAGTATGTTGTTTGGCTTGCTTTAATCTTTGTGAAAATTCCCAGGTATTCTTTTTTAATATGGCTAGGTTTGATTATTTTGCTTGCAAAATTTTTTCATTATAATCAGTTCCACCTTTTCTGTATCCTGACATATGGTAAATAAAATATTGTTTTTACCAAAATAGGCATATAAAATAGATATAAAAGAGTAAAGACTAGTAACATAATTGTCTTTCTCTCCAATTAAAATTTGTAAAATTAAATCATCATAGAATTTCTAAGCACAAGCTCATATTTCATTTATTTTATGAATTACAATTTACGGAGTACTATACATGTGCAACTTTGCCTATTTAAAAGCAGGTGATTTCTATGCGCTGTCATATTAAAATTCATATTTCTTAACCTCATTTAATAAAAAGCATTCTATGTGATGTAAGTGAATCTTTAAATAGCACAACATATTACAAGGTTACCAATGCCAAACATTTAGGGTCAGGAGTGCAACACAACATTTCCTGATGGAATAAAGTAAGAGAAAAGTCTTCTTTTATTTTCTATCTCTGTATTTTTTTAAATCTAGAATAAGGATTTATTTTATTCCTTAACACTCATTAAGAATAATGGGCTTAGCCAAAATTGCAAGAACATAAAGGAGTCAAAATTAGTTACATGTAAAGCATTCATCTTCCTTAAAACACTTTCAGAAGGTCAATTTCAATCTATAAAAACCAGTTAAAGATTATTCAACTATGTATAACGACTTACCCTAGAGATCAATTCACTTAAAAAAAATTGTCTTTTGCCGGGAACAGTGGCAACACATGTAATCCTAGCACATTGGGAAGCCAAGGTAGGAGGATTACTTGAGGCCAGGAATTTGAAACCAGCCTAGGCAACAAAGCAAGACCCTGTCACTAAAAAAAAGAAAAGAAAAGAAGAAAAGAATGAAGAAGAAAGGTTTTTTGACCCATATGGGCATTTCAAAGTCTTAATACTTCCAAATCTGGCTCACAAATAATGATTTGTTTACATATATATGAAAAGTCAATATAATATGTAAATTTATATATAATATTAAAGGAACTTGAAATGTACAATGTTTGCTGTAATTATATTTATGTTTTCTTAACAGTTCTTCTCTTGTACCTCAGTTATATCCAAATATTCAGCCTACACAGGACCTTTCTTAATTTTACCTTCCTTGAACACAACTACTCAACAGCAGCTTGTTTTAAATAAGCAGCCAAATGCACAATTATTTTTCTTTTTTCTTTTTTTCAGACAGGGTGTCGTCTTTGTCACCCAGGCTGAAGTGCGTAGTGTGATCAGGGCTTACTGCAGCCTTGACTTCCTGGGCTCAGATCATCCTCCCACCTCAGCCTCCCAAGTAGCTGGGACTACAAGCATGTGCCACCACACCCAGCTAGTTTTTGTATTTTTAGTAGAGATGAGGTTTCACCATGTTGCCCAGGCTGGCTTTAAAGTCCTGAGCTCAAGCATTCTGTCTGCCTCAGCATCCCAAAGTGATGGGATTACAGGCATGAGCTACCATGCCCAGCCAAAATTTTTTTCTAAATGTTCATATATTATTGCCTAAGGCAATTAGCATACTTGCACGTGTGTGTGTAGATATATATGCATAAAATTATATTTCCGTGAATATTTATGGAGTGACAAGTTTCTGCTAAAATCTCAACTAGTTGTTGGGTATAAGTGATCACTATTCCCATAGCCAGAAAACTAACAATGAGGAGGCTCTCATTGAAAATATAGTCTAATATAGATGTACGTATGTGTGTGTGCATGTATATATTTTTTTCTGGGAGCTAGAAGTATTACAAATATATATATATATATGATCACACACACATACATACATCTATATGTGCACACACACATACATACATCTATATTAGATGCATATATATATATATATATACACTCACATAAATATACTAGTGTTCACCAGTCGTTGTCAAAATTATTTGCAATACTGTCTTCTTCCAGCCTCAGGGTCTCTGCATAGAAAGTTCCTGAGGGCTATTGTTATACCTTCTCCCTGCCCTTATCTCTTGCTTATCCTGACCCCTTCAAGTCATAGCTCGGCAACCACCTCCTTAAGACATCCTCCTATGACTCTACAGGGTATTGAAAATCACTTAACTAAGTATTTCTTATCACATCTATAATTATATGCTTATTTGTCTGATGAATACATAAGGCATTAACTATTCAACTATTATCAGATTTTTCAAGAACTATGACAATTAGCATTTAATGAATGATTACATGTATAATGGCTTAATGCATCATTTGCTTTAATCCTCACAATGACACACCTAGGATCTGCAGAGCTAGAATTGGAACTGAAACAGTGTCAGTCTGGAAATCACAATTCTGTATTTCTGAAAAACTTTCTTTTTTGTGAAGACATTTGTTTACATCACTGGGAAGCTATTAGTAGGGCATTAGAAGGAAACAGATTTTTTTTCAGTATAAAATATGTTTCATGTCACTCATGTATAAAGTGACGGTAGCATCCTTAAATCCCCAGGTTCTGAGTACACAGTTCCTAAGCTGATAATTGTCTGCTTTAGTTGAATATTTCTCGCGTTTTTAAAATCTCATACATAGAGAATAGATCTGTTCATTCTTCATGAGAGTAATAGCTTGTGTCTAGTTTGCTTTGTGTCACTATCTTTATCTTTTACTCTGTTTATGACACCTTCTTTGTGCCTTTTTGCCAGAGAAGCTTCTTGTTCTTCTGCTAATTCTGTCAGCTGGGCTGATCAAATGATAATATTTGGCTAGTTCATGGCTCATTTGAAGAAGTGTTTCCTTTTTTCCCACATAGCATTTTCTTAAAAAAGAACTTCTTGAGAATATTTTCACTGCTTGAACCTTGAAAGCCTGACTCACCACATGTGAGACAATTAAAAGTTATTATTAAGAAAATGTGGTACATATACACCATGGAATACTATGCAGCCATGGAAAAGAATGAGATCATGTCCTTTGCATGGGAGCTGGAGGCCATTGTCGTTGGCAAACTAACATAGAAACAGAAAACCAAATACCACATGTTATCACTTACAAGTGAGAGCTAAATGATGAAAACACATGAACACAGAGAGGGCAACAACACATACTGGGGCCTGTCAGAGGATGAGGGTAGGTGGAGGGAAAGGATCAGGAACTAATAAGTAATGGGTACTAGGCTTCATACCTTGGTGTTGAAATAATCTGTACAACAAACCCCAATGACAGAAGTTTACCTATGTAACAAACTTGCACATGTACCCCTGAACTTAAAATAAAAGTTAAAAAAGTTATATAAATTTACCATTCACAGCCATTTCATAGGTTTAAAAACATCACTCTTCAAACACAATTTTATTAAAAATTCTTGAATGACAATTTTTAGAAGTTCATGATTTATATCTCAGGTGCGAGAAACAAAACCCAAATAAAAGTGAACTAAAATTTAGAAAATATTCATTATGTCACTTAAGTTTTTAGATAGATAAATCACAGAGCTGTTCAATTTATTGTCTTAGTGACATTTTTAAAAAGTGGCTTTTCACCTTTCTGTCATCTTCAGTAAATTGGCTTAGTTCTCCTCATGAAGCTGGCCAGCATAATTCCACAATTTGCATTCATAACAGCCAACTTTGAACCGTAAAATGTCACTGAGTCTTCCTATAAATATTCTTTGATTAGCCAGAAGACCATCTCAGAAGCATCCAGTGGACTTTCTCTCTTGCTCCACTAGCTGGAAACCAAAATCATTCTCACTCCTAACTAATAATAACAAAGGAAATTAGATCATTAGGATATGTTCAAGCTTTACTAAAGACAAGAGGGCTACGTCCTCTTCTTTAAATAAACTAGGGATGAAGAGACAAAAAGGAATTTTGCCTCAAGGGATATAGGGCATAAATGGTTTTTTGGAAGGCAACCAAAAGTATACCCTAAGGTTTTTTTCAATATTTTACTGTTAAAATAATCTTCAAAAATATATGAAAATGGGTGACACATGGAGTTTTATTGTTTTGTCTTCAAATCAAAAATGATTATAAAGCAATTGATCATAGTAATATAGTTAAACTTTAGCTATTAACCATTTTAAAAGTAGTCAAATGAAAGTAAAACCTAACTCATTTATCATCAAACATTGAGCTGGTTGAATGTGCCAGATACTCTCAAAGTGTGAAATACTCTGACACAGAGGAATAAAACCCAGCCCCAAACCTCATGGTGGGAGCTGGCATCATATAATAAAAGCCTCTTCAGGCAAAAATTACGTGACAGAACCAAAGAATGCTTTTTGGAAGAGGTGATATTGTAAAAGCAATGAAAGCCAAGACTTTAATTTAAAAAAAAATGTATTCTGCCAACTAAGGAAAAAAAAAAAAGGTTCTCATTATCTAAACATTGAAGTGGAAAAAGTGTTTTGAGTCCCCAAAAGACTAAAGTTCTGATATTGTTATCACCAGATATTAAATTCATATTTATCATCCCATTCAGCAGATGAACTTAATTAGGCACTTAGAAGATGTATGGTAAAATGGGTATAATATAACAATCCAAATCAACATGGAACAAAATTAGAATTTGTGGGAAAAAGATCTAGATAATCAGACCTAATTTAAACCTGACTTAATAAATAAAGCTCGCAAACATCCCTTATATCTACATTTTAGTTCTAGAATCTATTAGGTTTGTCATGAGCACAGTGGAATATTTTGTTTGAGCACCTGAAAGCTGAAATGTTTCATATGTGCCCTCTTTAAGAGACATCAGATTATGCATGAGACAAAATTAAATGGTGAAAAGATACAACAAACAAACCAAACATTTCCAAAACAGTCTTTTTCTTCAAAAGCTTGTATACATCTTTGTGTCAGATAACCTGTCACTAAGACTGTATTAGGAATTTAAAATGCCTGTAACAAGGAGGAGTGCTGCAGACCTACATAAAAAATTCAAAGTTGATGTAAATATTTTCCTGGGAACTAGAAGTATTACAAATATAAATAAAAAATATTTTAATTACAAAGTTTAGAGTATTTGTTCTGTTAAAATACCATAAAATACACATTGTTATGTATTCTTAGTTTAGTATGTGCTGTGGACTGAATATATGCATCTCCCTCAAATTGATACATTGAAATCTTAACTTTCGATATGATGGTATAGAAGTGAGGTCTTTAGGAGGTCACAAGTTCATTAGGAAGGAATCCTCATGAATGAGATTAAAGTCCTCATAAAAGAAAACAGAGGGAGACCCCTCACCCCTTTCTCCAAGTGAGGTTACAGTGAGAACATAGCTGTCTATGAGGAAACAGGGCACCACCAGACACTGTATCTGCCATTGCTGTGATTGTGGACTTCCCAGGCTCCAGAATTGTGAGAAATAAATTTCTGTTGTATATAATCTATTCAGTTTATAGTATTTTATTATAATAGCCTAAGCAATCTAAGACAGTATGACTGTTGAAAAGTAGGAATGAGAAATGGGACTGTCAAAACAAGTTAGTTGTCCATTCTCAGACACACTGAGTTGACTTTCGATGTGTTGTAATGTAAACCGTCCAGAGCATATCCCTAAGCAGTGGAATAATATCACAGATTTTATGTTCTACAATCCCTCACTGATGAAAAATCTACCTTTTTGTGTGTGTATGTTTGTTTGTTTGTTTGTTTATCTAAAGGCCAAATAAATAAGTCATAGTCCACCTATTTTTCTGCCCCCGTCCTATAAGTGATCAGACTCAAACTTACGGAAAGAAACTCTAATGGTCTCATTTGTTTTTAGAGCTGGTACTGAGCTCATTTATTTTATTTATTTTACTTAAATAAATGGAAATACTGGTGTCTATTTAAAGCACAACTGGACAAACCTCTGGAAACATTTTCTTGTTACTCCAAAAATGTACAATAAAACACTATAATACAAAATGCATTATTAATAACACACAGATGTCCTGAATATTTCCTTTAGAGTTTTCAATTAATGTACCGTGGTTTCAAGTTGCAATTATTGTACAGTGCAGAGTGAAGGGAATGCTCATTGTGATCAGTTCTTTCTCTGTTCTTTAGTCAAAGGCAAAGCACTCTGTAATAAAAGCAACAATATTTCCTTAAATTTGATGTGAGTGTTGGGTCTAGGGACAATTATAAATTCAATTTGAAAAGGCATATTCTTTAATATCTGGTATTTAATGACTGGAACTATTTCTGTCCGGTGTACAATAAATGACATTTCATGCTAACCAAATGTCTGAGTTTTCTTTTTGTTAACATTGGTCAATATAGAGCTGTTTTTAATAATAAATGTAGTTTATGACCCCTCATAATTTTACCTATAACCCTTAGGTTTTAAAAAGGTAAGGTTAAATTCAGAATATTTTAATATTTTTATAATTATTCTGTTTTTTACTACATGTAAAATACATTGTATACAATTGTATAAAACATAATCTAAGAAACTGAACATCCAACAGATTTCCCTTCTTCTTATTTTACAGGTTTTGTTTTGTTAACGTTGGTTCCTGCAAAATCTATATTTTGAAATGCTTTATTTAATACTTTGGGTTCTTGGGCCAAACTAAAACTGAAATAGCTTCTTTTAAAATACATTTTATTGCAATATAATATTATATTGAAAATATGATCACATAGAAATATGGAGAGCTTCCCAATTTATTTAATGGGCTAGTATAAGTCCAATATTAAAAAACAGCTGGCTCAAAAATGAAAAGTAAGAAGGATATAACTTTCTTATTGTATATTTGCAAATAGAATTTATCACTGTGTTAAAAAGATTACTGTGCCATTAGGGTTTCTAATGTAAAATGGTAATTTCACATTAGAAAACTTATTATCTAACTCAGTAGATTTTAAGGAAAAATCTATTAATCTTTTGGGGTTACAAAAGCCAATAGAAGCAACAAAAAAATAAAGTTTGATGCATCTTCACAATAAAATTACTTGTGGATTTGAAATAGAACAAAATTTCTTTATCTTCATATGTTTGAAAAGATATATTAATAAAAGCCCTAAATTAAACATGATCATTAATATTGAATATGCTAAATGTCCCCATTGAAAATAGAAAGAAGCATGAGGGCTCATTGTCACATAAACTATTTATCTTTTACTGAATCTTAATCAACACAATCCATAAAGGCAGTAAAACATAAACAACATATTGCAAAAGAAAAACAAACCCTTATTATTTCCAAACTGTACTATTTCCAAGCAAGATAAAACCCAAATAGTAAAAAACAAAAAACAGAATAGTTTAGCAAGACGACTAAGTAAAAAATCAATTTACAAGAAAACAATTGCCTTACCCTCTATGAGAAATGGCATTTAGAACAAAATAAGTACAATGACTTAATTTGCAATGGCAGCATGATCAAAACATACCCAGGAATATGCTTGTCAAGATTTGCGAATTTTTTAAAGGACATAATAACAGCCATCAATTATATTCTGTGAGGTGGAAGAGGTGTTATGCTATTCAGAAAAGGGCTTTAGTCCCAGTTGTTTGGAGAGCTCTAGGCAGCTTTCAGCTGTCAGGTGCCTCAGCTAGAGAGAAACAGCTTATTAAAAGTCCTGCCTTTTACAGAGTGGCCCATATCAAATTGCTGATTGATAGAGGCATTGGTAAAAACACTTAGCTATTTTAGACCACTATGGGACAATATGGTGGGTGGTTGGTTTTAACTCCAGAGTTCCCAGTGCACTTTGCCAAAGTTTTCATGGAGTCTGTATGAGAGCTTGATTTCTCCTTCTGCCTAATCCTGATTTTTTATCCTCCCTTCCACATGTTCATATCCCAAAGGCGCTATCTAATAAAGTATCCTGCACACTACTTACCACCTCGGTTGGTGTCTTCTTCCTAGAGAATCCAACTTGCAATACTGGGTGCCAAGAGTGGTCCAAGATATCAGGCAGTAAGATAAAGTTTTAGACCTGAATTGTGATGACTAGTTGGTAAGAAGACTTCCATCAATGCTAGTAGGTAGAGCACAAATAGCCCTGGTAAAGGGTGAATTTCCAGTTGTTCAGGTGGTGATTTAAGTTGGCATGGGTCGAAAAAAATCTACTAGCCAGGAATTGGGTATGTTTGGCTAACCTCTGGTGAGTACTCTGGAACAATGGTTCTCAGAGTTTGAACCTGGAAATTTGTAAGAAATGCCAATAATCAAGTCTCACATTAAACACACTAACTTAACAGCTATGGAGGTGGGGCCCTGTGGTCCATGTTAGAGAAATGCCTACCAGATTATTCTGATATACTGCTTTATATGGCAATTAACAGGCATTTGAATGTCAATTTTACAAACTAGAAGTAACCTAAAATGAATCTATTATCTCCTGGAGCAGAAGAGCAGAAAAAGTAGACGCCAAGGCCCATGATTTTTTTGTCAATACAGACAGGAGAGCTAAACTCTAAGTTTAAGTAGTCATGCGGCTACAATGTCTAAATCTAGTCTGGAATGGAGACTTCTTGGCTGATGTTCCTGAAAACATTAAAACTTTATATTCCTGCCAATCTTCTGAGGCTGTAGAAGTGGCACATTTTTTTTAAACTTTTACTTTAAGTTCAGGTGTACATGTGCATGTTTGTTACAGAGGTAAACTTGGGTCATGGGGATTTAGGTAGTAAACCCATGGGGGAATTAGGTAGTAAGGCTAATTCCCATTAGTTATTTTTCCTAATCCTCTCCCTCCTCACACCCTCCACCCTCCGATAGACCCCAGTGTATGTCATTCCCCTCCATGTGTCCATGTGTTCTCGTTTCTATTAAGGATTAGCATCTGCTTGTCAAGAACACAAGACAAGGAAGACAAAGTTCTGAAAAATACACCAATAAAGGAACAATGAGCCATTTTAAGATTCAGATAATTTATTATTTCCATAGACAGTGAAGGAAAGAGTGCCCAAAGGTGCTAGCTTCCCAGGGCGCTTGTACAAGACAACACTAAGGTAAAAGGGGAGAAAAATTCAACATGGGTGATAGAATGCCATTTGCTGAGGCCATTCTAGACTGCAACCAACTTGTTTCATGGCCTGCAAGCTGCATCTCAAGAGGGACAGTAGAAATCTTCATGCTTCATCAGAAAATGGGAGGCAATGAAAACATCTCTCATGATCATCTCTTTGGTAAATGGGGGAAGCAAGTGAGAAAATGGCCTTGTGGAAGCTTCTTATAAGCCTCACGTGCTCTTATGTTCCAAGAGAATCACAAGGTTTCACACCAAAACTCAGATCAGTGGTGGCTCAAGCCTTTTCCATGTGGCCTACATGGATACACACAAGACCATTGAGTGCTGTCATGGAGTTCTCACCCGCATCACTGCCACTCCTTGTTGAAGACAATGCAAAGGCTTCTGCCTAGCAAGCCAATATGTACCCCCACCCTGAATCAAGATCCCACCCTGAATCCTGCTATTAGCCCTATTCCTTGGGTTAAGTAACAGCAAGACCAAGTTAGGGACATGGTCTCCCTCACGCCCTCTCCATAGGTATTGATCCCCAAAGTACTCCAAATTCAATATTCTGTATGTTGAACACTGTCTTAGGGTCTGCTTCATGGAGACTCAACTTTTGCCAGCAAGAGAACTATGAATCCAGTACATATTCTATTTATTCCCTGATACATCTTTTGTACATAAACTCACGGAGATTTTAACTAGTCATAGTTGTAAAACTAGTAAATGATAAAGAAGTACAGACATTATGGAGTGGCTGCTTTTAACCACAATGCTAAAATGCCTCACTCTCTGAAAGATCTGTACATCAAAAAGGGTGAATTTTACTCAATAAAAATTTTACCTTAAGAAACAAAGAATGATACTAAGTTAGTAAAGACATGAAACTAGTCTAACTGCTCTTCAATGGATGACTGAATAATGGAAATATGGTGCACATATACACAACAGAATATCATTCAGCCTTTAAAAAGAAGAAATTCTTACCATTTGCAGCAACATGGATGAACTTGGAGGACATGATGCTAAGTGTACTAAGCCAAGCATAGAAAAACAAATGCCACATGATCTAACTTATATGAAGAATCCAAAAGAGTTGAACTCACAGAAACAATGAGTAGAATGGTGGTTGCTGGGGCTGCTGGTTGGGGGAAATGGAAGATGTTGGCCAAAGGATACACAATTTCTGTTATAAAATTAATACATTCTGGCAACCTAATGTTCAGCATACTGTCTATAGCTAAAATAATGTATTGTACACTTGAAATTTGGTAAGAAAGTAGATCTTAAATGTTCTTACTACAAAAAATAGTAACTGTGAGGTGATTGGATATGTTAATTAGGTTGGTTGGGGTCACAATTTCACAATGTATACATATATTAAATTGTCATGCTGCATACCTTAAATATATATAACTTTTATTTGTCATTAATATCTCAGTAAAGCTGAAAAAATAAAATCTAAAAAGAAAAGCTACAGTCCATATTGACACTAGCATAGAACAAGTGTGTTTTTCTGTTTAATAACAACTATGTCAGCATAAAATTTTCTCTGTGTAAATCCTGTCAATTTTTGTATGAGAGCAAGAACAGTAAATCAAGCATAAAATATCTCAGATTATTTATAGATTCTAAAATTCCCTTCCTGTTTTATATGCTCAATAAACTAAATGTTTTTGTTGTCCATATGGGAGCCTTATGAAAACAAACTGAAGAACAGACTTAAGATGTTATCGACTGTAATGAATAACAATTACATATGGACTCATTTGTAGAGTACTCCAAAAAATAAAGGTTACCAAGAAATATACTAAGTGTTTACATTTTTCTAAGAAATATACCAATAACTAATTTTCTATGTTCTGTCAAATTTTTAAAGAGGTAAATGAAAAATAAAAAAGAATAAAAGTAAGTGAATAAAATGACAGAAAGGAAATATTTGGGGGAAAAGATGAAATAAGAAAAACAATGAGTTGATAACTATTGAAGCTGAATGATGGGCCCAGAGGATCATTGTACCATTTTGTCTGTTTTTGACTGGTTGAAACTTTCCACAATAAAAAATTTAAAATACAATAGTAAATTGCAAATTATTAAAGTCAAGATGTATGAGAGAGAGAAAATGACAATACCTTTAAAGAAAAAAATCTAGAAAAATAATCATCTCTTGGTATAGAAATATCTTAAAAATATGATTAAAAAGCCATATTGACAGGATGATACAATTTACTTATTTAAAATTTTAATCATCTCTGTCAAAAAAAGAATAGAAAAACAATTATGAAAATTGACAACTTGAGGAAAAACTTGGTTCAATTATAAGGGACTTTTACTATTCATAATAAAAGGTTTCTAAAAACTAATAGATATATGACATCCAGTTAGAAAACTGGCCAAAGAATATTGAACAGAAAATATCCCGAAGAACATATCCAAGTTTGCATGTATACACCACAATGATGACACTGGCTAATTCTGGGAAGGTAAATAAGATACATAAGGCGACTCAAGGGACATATTGGCATCTTCTGCAATTTTTACAAATGTTTTTAAAAAAATAATAAAATTAATTTTGTTATTTAAGCAGTGTAATAAATATAATAAATATATTTATTATAAAAATAATACTATAGGTATGCAATTTTTATAATAAATAGGTGATTTAAAATTATATATATTTTAAAAATTGTACTAGTCTATAAAGATAATTTTGAAAAGTTCAATAACAAGAACCACAGATTTGATTTGTTTAAAAAACATAAATTATAAACATTGGCTGATAATGTAGAACACCTACATTGTACTGAAAAATAAAAATGTCAAAGAGAAACCTACCCATAAAAACAAAAGTCACAGAAACACCCTCACCTATATCCCCAAGATCTCAGGTCCAGAGGCTTTTATGTGAGTATTTAAAAGTTAATAAAGAAGGGAAAATATTCATGGTATTCAGTGATCCTAGGATTACATGATACAAATCCGCTCAATTACTCTTCTAAACTCAACTTAAAGACAAACATTTACAATGATAATATAATAAAATGTCTGGATTCATTTAATTTATTAAAGAGACATGCAAAAACCTGACATAATATACTATCAAATTTGGTTCAAATATATATTAAAAGGATAATCCATGGTGATGAGAAGGATTTGCTATAAGAATGTAAAAATGACTTAGTGTTAGAAAATCTGGAAATACCGTGATACATTAAGTGTGGCGGTTAGGAGTTAAAATGAAAGTGACAGCTCAATTCTGATGCTAGTGACTAGAAATCCAAATTGTCAGGCAATCAGCAGTAACTCCAGACTCTGCTTACCTATAGTGCTAGAGACCTAAATATTGTCAGGATTGCCTTCATATGTTTGAGTTGTTGCAGGAATAAGTTTATAGATTTCAGTTATTTATGCCAGTAAAGAAAGCAGTTGCTGACACTGAAACACAGATGCTCCTTGACTTATGATAGGGTCACATCCAGATAAACCCACTGTAAGCTGAAAATTTCCTAAGTCAAAAATACGCTTAATAACCCAATAAATTCAACGCGAAGTTGAAAAATCATTAACAAACCATTACAAGTTGGAGATTATCTGCTTACCTAAGGGTAAAAAATAGGATCGTGGAAATTATGCAGCATGTTAGTATGTAAATACTTTTTTCTTAATCACAATCTTATTGCATAACACTTGAAAATCCCTTGGGTCAAACTACACAGGTTCAGCTATGTAATCAACACTTTACTTGATGTCCTAAGCTACTTAGAGTAAAATCTTAGAACCACTTGAAAAAAAAAAAAAAAAGTCATAGGCAGTTCATTCTGGAAAAAAGCAAAACCAGCTATTGAAATAAAGACACCAAGAGAATTACTTAATACATTAATCATTCAACTTTCCCTTCTGTCTAGATCTGGTTTGTCAAGAATTGTGGAGGCTCTGAGATTTTAGTCTGTTTTCTATTGATAAAATAACCTACCGCAATTTTATAGACACTGGCAGAGCCCATTAGAGTTTTTATTCACAACAATAGCAGTAAACAGATTAACATCTTTGCTTGGGTTGACTCAATCCCAATTTTCACATGAATGATGGTCAGACGTGCCAGCACACGCAGTGAGGTGCGTTACTGGGGAAGAATATTAGGAAGATGTGATCTTATTAAAAGGGCTGTTAGCAAACCTGCCCAATCTCTAGAAGAAGAGTTATTTAATATTTATGATCCTGGAAGGTAACCAAATCTTCTCCAAAAGGGCACATTATCTTTACCTTCAAATTCTTCCAATAATGCCAACGGCATTCGAAAGATACCCTGGAGAAAATTTGCCGATAAATCTTTTGCCAGCAAGATGGGGCAGAAATATTAGAGATCCATGAAGAATTGTCTTGGAATACAGACCCTTGCCTACCTTCATAAATAAATTTTTGTTGCAACAGAATCACACTCATTCACTTATGCATAGGCTGTGGCTACTTTTACATATCAACAGCACCGTTGAGCAGCTGCAACAGAGACTGTGTGGCACACAAAGGATAAAATATTACTATCCGAATTTTTAAAAACATATTGATACATGTGTTAGAAAGCAGACTAAATATAAACAAGATCACAGCAATATAGAAAGGCTCCACATGTCTCACTGAAGTTTCCTTCTTTCCTGGTAGCATTAGCTAACTTAAAATATATAAGCCACTCTCACATAAATAAAGATCCAATATCAACTAAATCTGTGTTTTAGGAAGCCATAATCCTGGTTTGTATGAATATAAATCTGAAAATCACATACACTTTTTCTATACTTTTCATGGCAAAGAATGTGTTCAATTTGTATTTCTAAATTTAAAAATAATTTAATTATATCTATTGTTAACCTTTAAATTTTATAATTATAACTCAATTATTCTTTGATTTAATATCAATTATGATCTTTAAAATAAATAAAATGCAACAGTAAATTTTTTAAATATAGAAATAAATATATAATTCATTGTTAGATCTGTTGTAGAAAAATTGCTCCCCATTGTGCCAAGCCAATGGTGGTGCTACAGTGTTCTATAATAGGCAATTAAAAGTTCTTGTTGAACAAATTGATGTGTGTACCATAGGGTGACAAAGACTGTATTCATTGCAAAATGATGTTGCCCATACATCCATATCAATATGAAATTAAAATTAATTTAACAACTAAAATGTGCATATTTTAATAAATTATATCAACTTTTACTTTAGATGCAGGGAGTACATTTGCAGATTTGTTACATGAGCATATTGTGTGTGAGATTTGTGGTCTGGATGATCCTCTCACTCAGGTAGTGAACATAGCACCCATTAGGTAGTTTTTCAACCTTTACTCCCCTTTCTTCTTCTCCTTTCTAGTCGTCCCCAGTGTATGTTGTTGACATCTTTGCATCCATGAGTACCAAATGTTTATCTCCTACTTCTAAGTGAGAACATTTGTCTGTCACTGCGTTAATTCCTTTAGGATTATGGCCTCCAGCTACATTCATGTTGCTGCAAAAGACATAATTTCATTATTTTTTATAGCTGCCTAATATTCCATTATGTATATGTACCACATTTTCTTTATCCAATCCACTCAAGTTGATGAACACCTAGGCTGATTCCATGTCTTTGCTACTGTGAATAGTGTTGCAATGAGCATAGAAGTCTGTGTCTTTTTGGTAGAACCATTCATTTTCCTGTGTGTATATCCCCACTAGTGGGATTGCTGGGTCAAATGGTAGCTCTGTTTTAAGTTTTTTGAGAAAATTCCAAACTGCTTTTCACAGTGGCTGAACTAATTTCCGTTCCTACCAACAGTATGTAGGTATCATATTTTCTCTGCAGTCTCACAGGCCTCTGCATTTTTTGACATTTTAGTAACAGTCACTCTGACTGGTGGGAAATGGTATCTCCTTGCAATTTTGATTTGCATTTCACTGATGATTAATGATGTTGAACATTTTTTCATATGTTTACTGGCCATGTGTATGCCATCTTTTGAGAAGTGTCTGTTCATGGCCTTTGCCCACTTTTTAATGGGGTTATTTGTTTTTTGTGTGTTTAATTGTTTAAGTTCCTTATAGATTCTGGATGTTAGACTTTTGTTGGATGCATAGGTTGTGAATATTTTCTCCCATTCCATGGGTTGTTTACTCTGTTGATAATTTCTTTTGCTGTGCAGAAGCACTTAATTAGGTCCCACTTGTCAATTTTTGGTTCTGTTGTCATTGCTCTTGAGGACAGTCATTACGACTTTTCCAAGGCCAATGTTCTCAATGATATTTCCTACACTTTCTTCTGGGATTTTTATAGTTTGAGATTTTTCATTTAAATCTTTATATCTTTAACGCATTTTGAGTTATTTATTTAATGTGCTGAAAGGTAAAGATCTAGTTTCACTCTTCTGCTTGCTAGTTATTCCAGCACCATTTATTGAACTGGGGTTCTTTTCCTATTGCTTATTTTTGTCATCTTTTTCAAAAACCAGATGGTTCTGGGTGTCTGGCTTTATTTCTGAATTCTCTATTCTATTTCATTGGTCTATGTGTCTGTTTCTGTAACAGTAGTATGCTGTTTTGATTACTGTAGCTTTATAGTATAGTTTGAAGTAGGCTAATGTGATGCCTCTGTCTTTGTTCTTTTTACTTAGGATTGCTTTGGCAATCTGGGCTCTTCTAATTCTGTGAAAAATTACGTTGGTAATTTGATAGAAACAACATTGGACCTGTAGAGTGCTTTGGTCAGTATGGTCACTAACAATATTGATTCTTTCAATCCATGAGCATGGGATATTTTTCCATTTGTTTGTGTCATCTATAATTTCTTTTAGCCATGTTTTGTAATTATCCTTGTAGAGATCTTTCACCTTCTTGGTTACATGTATTCCTAGGTATTTTGTGTGTGTAGCTGTTGTATATGTGATTGTGTTCTTGATTTCACTCTCAGCTTGAATGTTTCTGGTGTGTAGAAATGTTATGATTTTTGTACTCTTATTTTGTATCCTAAAACTTTACTCAAGTTGTTTATCAGTTCTAGGATTTTTTTTGGTAGAATCTATAGGATTTTCTAGGTATAGAATCATACTTTCAGTGAAGAAAGATAATTTGACTTCTTTTCTTATTTGGATGCCTTTTATTTCTTTCTCTTGCCTGACTGCTCTGACTAGGACTTCCCATAGAATGTTGAATACCAGTGGTGAGAGTGGGCTTTCTTGTCTTATTTCTATTCTCAAAGGTAATGTTTCCAGCTTTTGCTCACTCAATATAATGTTGGCTATAGATTTATCTTATATGGCTCTTATTGTTTTAGGTAAATTCCTTCAATGCCTAGTTTGTTGAGGTTTTTATCATGAAGGGATGTTCAGTTGTATCAAAAGATTTTTTCTGCATCTATTGAGATGCTCACATGGTTTTTATTTTAAATTCTGTTTGCATGATGAATTACATTTATTGATTTTCACATGTTAAATCAATTTTTCATCTCAAGAATAAAGCCTACCTGATTACAGCAAATTAACTTTTTGATATGCTGCTGGAATAGGTTTGCCTGTACTTTGTTCAGGATTTTTGCATCTATATTCAACAGGGATTTTGTCCAGTAGTTTTTTTGTGTGTCTTTGCCAGATTTTGGTATAATATTGAAGCTGCCTTTGTAGAATGATTTAGGGAGAAGTGCTTTCTTCTCAATTGTCGGGAATAGTTTCTGCAGAATTGGTACTAGCTTTTCTTTGTATGCCTAGAATAATTCAGCTATGGATCCATCTGGTAAAGGGCTTTTTTTCATTGGTAGGTTTTTTTTTTTTACTGATACAATTTTGGAACTTGATAATAATCTATTTAGGGTTTAAATTTCTTTTTGATTCAATCTTGGAAGTTTGTGTTTCCAGGAATTTATCCATCTTCTCTAGATTTTCTAGTTTGTGTGCTTAGAGGTGTTCATAATAGTCTCTGAGGATCTTTTCTATTTCTGTGGGATTGGTTGTAATATCACTGTTGTCATTTTTGATTGCACAAATTTTTATATCTTATATATGCTATAATATATGCTTAAAAATCATATTTAAAGTAATGAGATAAAGACAATGATTTTAAATATTGTGTATAAGCATAAACACTTGATTTGAAATACTTCATTAATTTTTGAAATTCCTTTATAATCCAGTGATTTGAACTTTTTTAAAGCTGTAGGAACTGGGGAAAAACCAAGCAAACACAGAGATCCAAGTGGAAGAACCTCCTCCTTGTCCGTGCTTATGGAATCATACTAATTTATTTACCAATTTTACCTACTGGCTTTACAAATGATTTTGTTGAACTTATGCAATTAAATGTCAACATTCTCTAAAGTCAACTGTATGTTGTTGGGGAAAAAGAAGAAAAAAACAAAAATTCTTTTTAAAGAATTTTTATTATACTAAAAGTTTCAAACATTAAAATTTTAAGTTATAAGATTTTTATATTTAACTCACTGTAGTGTTTATGGCAACTAAACAGTACAACTAGAAAAATATTTTTAAACGGAAGTTTATATCTATAGCATGAGTTTCTTTCAAGAAGAAAGTTATGTTCTTAATTATTGTTAAGATGTTGGCTTTGCTTTGAGTGGTGCTTCTGTATGTGTATTTCTGTGTGCCTGAAAGTTGGGTATGTGTATGTGTGATTTAATATATGCAGCATAGCAAAATACTATTGACTCTTTTTTATAGAAGTGCCTACAAAATCAAAATAATTGGATTTTTCTTTTTATAATACATTTTAAAAATTGCCTAATTTCATTTGATATCTAAAAATTTCTTACCACAGAATAATTACTGTGTGATATGAAATAGCTTATACTCATATTTATTCTTTATATTATCTTTTAAAGTGTCTCCTACATAAAACCTTAATTTTTAATTTTTAAAATTGTTTGTGGGTTCATAGTATTTATTTATGGGGTATACTGGATATTTTGATGCAGGCATACAATGTGTAATAATCACATCAGGGTAAATGGGTATTAATCACTTCAGACATTTATTTTTTGTGTTATAAACAATCCAAATGTATAATTAAATTACTCTTAATATTAACCATATCATCCTGTTGTGCTATCAAATACTAGATCTTATTTATTCTTCTAACTATTTTTTGTATCTATTAACCACCCCACCTATCCCCTTCCACTATCTCACAGTCTGGAAAGGGTAAAAATCTTATATTTAAAAACATAAGAACACATCTATTCCACAGTGCAGAAATAAAAATGCATTGCAGTATGAAGGAAGCTCATTAACACATGAAGGTGTCAATTATAACCCTTGCGCTGTGATTTTCCCTGTGTTTCCTCCAGAAGCCTAAATCTAGGCCATGTGACCCTCTGGCATCTGTAATGAGTGAAAGTGGTAGTGTCAATCCTTATTCTGAACATTAGTAAATATTAATGCTTCAACTTTTCCTTTTAGGCAAAAAATACACATGAAAGTCTAAGTTTTTTCTCACACCATTGACTTCTCTGCATATAATTTCTCCTTTTGGGGATGACTACATGGATACAGTAAACTATTACCTATAGGACTGTTTTAAAAATCACATTGGGCTTTTAAAATATTTTCATAATTAAACATTTCATAAGTACATATTTTTTCATAAGTAGATATTTTCATAATCATATGGAAATATATACATCAATGTTGAGGATCAAAATTGTATCCTTTGGGCTATATAAATAGGACTTCTGGTTTGAGACTAATTATGTGACAGAGGTTTTGGCAGGATACTTTAATCTTTAGGTGACATATTGTTTCCAAGGTTCTATCTTTTGTAAGAAATACACATTTGTTACATCAGAAGCTATATTTCAGGAGCTGGGCGTTGTGTTGATTTGCTAAAGCAGATGACCAATATGAAATGGAATTGCTACAAATGATCCTGGTGAAAGGATAATCAAGTGTTATTCCCCAGTTCCCACTGTTTTCTGTCCAGATAAAACATATATGTCAAATGGAGATTTATAGATATTTTCACCTTTCTTACATTTTTGATAGTGGAATAATCGCTTATGTGGGACATAGGTTTATCTTCCCCAAAATACTATTGGACTTACTGAGTGTCTCTTTGGCAATCATGATGGCCCATACAGTGTTGCTTTATACCATGAAAATTGCCTTCTAGCAAAATTGATTCTCACAGAATTAATTGATATCATCATATCCTCTATCACTCTGGTATAGATGACCTTATAAAATAATACGTTTGAATACTGAAGACAATTCCAGCACCAGCTAGAAGACACCTTGTAAGTGTGGATGTGATATATGCACTGAACCATGAAGTACAATTGTAAGGAGAGTGTTAATACATCTTTCTGTATTGAAAAAAATAACTGCAGACTTAGGCAGGATTTATATCTTATTATAAAATCTCTGGACATGGAAGAATTTCAGTTCCCTAAGTTAGCAGCTGTATCAGGTAATAAATTATTTACAAAATATTATCAACTAACTTTAGATAGCACAACTGTTCCATTGATAGGTACATGTATTTTTATTTTTAATAAGATAGAAGTTTACCTGTCTCACACAGAATATAAATCTATTAGTTTATGCATATCCCCATATTCCATCTACTGTTATTTGATACTTAGTACTTCACAACACTGTCTTAGATGGCTCCAACCATCTCATTCACATTAGCAGCGGGAAAGGGGAAGAGGTGAATAAAGATGTGGCCTATCTTTTATTTTTATGTCAGCCTTTTTATAACAAAGATAAGTGATGTACAGAAAAGTGCACACATTTACGTGTACAACTTGATGATTTCTTACAAAAAATGCACGTAACTATTTCCCAGATTATTAAAATATTAATAGCAACTGTCTTTTTCCAGTGCTATAACAGAATATCACAGGTTGGGTAATTTATAAACAACAGAAGTGTGTTTCTCACCGTTCTGAAGACTGGGAAGTCCAAGATCAAGGCATCGGCTTTCCAGCTGGTGAAGGTCTTCTTGCTTCATTCTCACATGGCAGAAAGTAGAGAGGCAAGAAGGTCTAAACGGCTCCTGCACACTCATTTTATAAAGATATTAATTCCATTCAACAGGACAGCGCTCTCATGGTCTAATCTCTTCCCCAAATATCCCACCTCTTAAGACTACCATAATGAGGATTACATTCCGATGTGAATTTTGAGAAGGACACAAACATCTAAACCATAGCAGCAACCAAGAAGCTTTGTTTATGCCTTCCCCATACTAATCAAAAAAACCAAAAACAATAAAAAAACCAAACCCACAACTTCTAAATTTCCAGGATCAAAAAAACAAATCCACAAACTTCTAAATTTATTCTAACAATATAGATTAGTTAGTATCTGGCTCATTTAAATCAAAGTTTTCAATGTTTACCAAAACCTTGCATGTAGAAGCAGTATGTTCATTTATTTGATGTTTAATATACATTGCTTTAATATACTAGCTTATATAATTATTACAATTTTGATAAATTGGATATCTGAGATTTTTCAGATTTCAATGATTATAATTAATGGTGGTATAAATACTTTTGTTTATATCTTCTTTCAGAGATATTTATTTCTTTTCAGTGTACACTTAGAAGTCAAATAGCTGTGTCATGGAAGATGTGTATGCTTCATGGGAATAGATATTGCCAAAGCCTCTTTTAAAGGAGTTGTACCAATTTACATTCCTACCAACAGTACATGAGAGTTTCAGTTTCTCCAAGTCCTCAGAGATTAGCTGACAAGGATTTTATCGTATCTTATAAATATATTCATAAACATAGGGATAAATGTACTATCATGAGTGAACACATTCAGAGTAACAGCAGATAAATGAAAACTATATGAAAGAGTAAATGTAAATTCTATAACAGAAGTACAATATCTTAAATTTAAAATGTACTAGACTGGCTTCTTTGTTTTGTTTGTGGTGTTTTTCTTTTGTTTCTTTTTTTTTTTTTTTTTTTTTTTTTTTTTTTGACAGAGGCTTGCTCTGTTGCCCAGGCTAGAGTGCAGTGGCACGATCATGGTTCGCTGCAACATCTGCCTCCCAGGTGCAAGTGACTCTCCTGCCTCAGCTTCCCGAGTAGCTGCAATTACAGGCGTGCACCGCAATGCTCAGATGGTTTTCGTATTTTTAGAAGAGACAGGGTTTCACCATGTTGGCCAGGTTGGTCTCAAATTCCTGACCTCAGGTGATCCACCTGCCTCGGTCTCCCAACGGGCTGGAATTATAGGTGTGAGCCACCGCGCCCGGACTTAGATTGGCTTCTTAACACCATATTGGAGATGCCAGGAAAAGGGTCTGGGAATTTGAAGGCAGATCAACAGAAATTATCTAACCGGAATCCTCTCACAATTCTTAAGATAGATCAACAGATTCAATCTACCAGATTCTGTCTAATCTAAGACAGGAAAAAACAAAGTCGTGAATTCTGTAATCTCTGGGACATTAAGCAAGAGATCTGACATATCCATAACTGAAATTCTATGAGGACAGGAGATAGAATAGAGAAGAAGAAAAACTGAAGAAAGAGGGGGGCTAAAAGTTTCCTAAATTTGAAAATGCAAACTTACAAATTGAAAACAAACAAAAAAACCCAGCGAACCTCACAAAAAAAAAGCAAAACAAACAAACAAAAAAAACCCACACACGCCTAGACCCATCATAGTTATACAGCTAAAAACCAAAGATGAACATGAAACCTGGAAACGGTCAGAATCAAACAGCCCATTACAGAAAGGGAAGGAAATAATCTCAGCTGACTTCTGCTGATATACAATAGATGCCAAAATACAGTGGAGCAATATCTTTTAAAGTTTTGGTGTTGGGGTGGCTAGCTCCAGATTTCTATATACAGTGAAAATATCCTTTTAAAATAAAGGAAAATAGGCTGGGTGCTGTGTTTCATGCCTGTAATCCCAGCACTTTGGAAACCCGAGGAAGGCGGATCATTTGAGGTCAGGAGTTTGAGACTAGCCTGGCCAACATGGTGAAACCTCATATTTTTTTATGTGTATTTATTTATATTTATTTTATTATAAGTTTATATATATTTTTATATATGTTTATATATATTTTATATATTTATATATACGTATATATATATACGTATATATATATATATATATATACACATATATATAAATGTGAACAGCCACTAGCTGTTCACATTTTCATCAGCTAAGCACCGGATAAGTGAAGAAGTCTTCAAAATGACTGTAACCACAGCTGCTTTCTGATTTTAGCCTCAAGAGGGACCTCATGAAACTCTCAGCCAGAAAATCCCACTTGAGTAACTCTGTCACCCAGGCTGGAGTGCAGCGGCGCAATCTCGGCTCACTGCAGCCTCCACCCGCTTGATTTAAGCGATTCTCCTGCCTCAGCCTCCCAAGTAGGTAGGATTACAGATCCCTGCTACCAGGCCCAGCTAATTTTTGTATTTTTCATAGAGACAAGGTTTCACCATGTTGGCCAGGCTGGTCTCAAACTCCTGACCTCAGGTGATCGGCTCACCTCAGCCTCCCAAAGTACTGTGGATTACAGGCATGAGCCAACACACCCGGCCCGATTGAAGAGATATTATGATTGAGGTAGAAAATGTTTGTATCATCAAAAAAGACATGCACCATATACGTGTGCAGATGATTATGATGAGAAGAATGTGGGGTCTATTACCAGTTATATATGAATTCAAGGGTATCATAAGAACTCTGAACTACCAAGTGTGGTTAAAAAAAAGAGAAACAACTGGTCTATTGCCTGCCTATGATATAAGCAGAGTCTCTCCTGTAGTCAAGGAGAAATCATGATTAAGATTTGCAGCTCTATGGAATCAGAATCAAGGCAAGGGCAGCTTTTACACTCTGATGGAAGACTAATTCATGTCTGAAGTTTGTGGCATAGTTAATTTTTTACTGCTCTTGCTAGGGTGAATGATATGATACTGTAAGTCTTCTGCACATTTATCACATGGAATCTTTCCTTTAGAAGTGTAAAAAACATACAGAATTCAATACTTGAACATACATATTAAAATATATAAATACACATTAAAATATGTAAATACATGTATTTTTTAATATTCATACTAAAAATTAGGCAACTAATAGTAACAATTTAAAACCCTACTATTTGAATGAAAAACTATCGTAGCAATATTTTAAGTTACCAGAGAAGTTATTCAAGGTGGTAAGAAGCTCCCTTCAATGGCTATTTGGATAACCTATCAGATTTGTTTTAAACAGCAACAGAAACCCAGTGGATGGAGTCACAGGGAGACTGATTTCAAAGATAAGTTTAAATATACATGAAAATGTGAATATGTAACTATGATGAGGACATGCACACATATACACATATGTAGACAAACCACACATAATATGTACTGTATATTTATCTGTGTACTTCAGAGCTATTAAAGAAATAGAATGGGATTGTTTAAGAGAAAGCAAGATCTGGCTTAATGGAGAGTGTTAGATCTGCCTTTTCATCCAAAGATTTGGTTACTCAAGCTGGATCCAGTGAGTGAATCCGCAGTATCACTGTATTCCATTGATGAACTATGGGCTTAAGGAAATCCATATGTGTAGTTACTCAGACACTTATAAAGGACAAATGTTTACAAGTGTATATTTATGGTCTAGAATCCTCCGCACAAAGCAATATTTTTATTTGTTCCTTCTGCACTGTTTTGTCTATCTACCCTCCTCATCTAGCACTTCAGTTAGTTGCCTTTTTCATCATCCTGGGGAATTCTCTTGTGTAAATACTCATAACCTGAAGGGAACTCACCCCAAAGAAGTGTCAAAATGCTTATGTGCACTGTGACTATCTTCACCTGCTTAGGGATTGGCTAAAGCTTGAGTTTGCTATGATGATCTGCTATAAAAATGCTCCCCATAGAGCAACCAACCTGTGAAAGATTACTCAGCCTGCAGATTGCACAAGCTCTCTCATACCAAACACAGTATCTCTACTGAGCTAAGCAGCAACAAATATAGCATCTGACATTTACTTACTTAAATCTTAAACATATGCCCACAGGGAGTTTCAAGTAGACACTGAATGAATACCTCGTGGTGGAGGTAGAGAAATGTAAAATATCGGATAAATGATGCTTTCACATCTGGATTCTGTGAAGTTCAGTGATTTAATCCATTCTTTGACCTCAGCTTCAGCACAGTGATTTCTGAATCCAATCCTCTTTCTGTTACACTTTAAACTCTAGGAGTCATTGTTCCCAATTTGTCCACCTATATTGGGAGAAACCAGTTTGGCTGGAGAAAATACAGCTATCATGATTCCACTTTTTAATTCAAACTGTTACAAATGTAAAACCTGTTAGGATTAAAAGAACACAATCAATCTGTAAGAAGTGGTGGGTATTTCATCAAATATTAAAAGGTCAAATAGTACTAAGCAATATTCCTACATTAGGAAAATTACTTAAGAAAATTCAATCTACTGGGAACTCTTATCTTTGAAATGTTATAAAGGTCATAGAACGAATGATTTAAAAGTATGGCAAACAAATAGTTGTTTATAATTTACTTATCTTGCTGTCTTTTTTTTAGCGTATGTCACTCCTTTATAAACTACTCTCACTGCAATGAATCACATCTCAAAGATAATTAATAAACTTTTATTTACAAAATATAAAATTATCTTTAATTTTCATACAGTGTGGTCTCTGAAATATTTGAAACTATTCGTATCACTTCTTTGAAACCCTTATATATTTGCTTTCTATGACATATGCTCAGTGATTATCTTTTTGATCTCTGAAATGTACCTCAATCTATTTGCAGCTTGGAAATACAGCTCCAGAAACCAAGTGGCATGAGCTCTATAATTTATTCACACAGAACTTCTCACTATGTCCCCTTAAAAAATATGAACTTTTGGCCTGGTGCAGTGGCTCACACCTGTAATCCCAACACTTTAGGAGGCCAAGGTGGGTGGATCACCTGAGGTTGGGAGTTCCAGACCAGCATGACCAACATGGAGAAACCCATCTCTACTAAAAATACAAAATTAGCCAGGCGTAGTGGTGCATGCCTGTAATCCCAGCTACTCGGGAGGCTGAGGCAGGAGAATCACTTGAACCCAGGCGGCAGAGGTTGCAGTGAGCCAAAATCGCACCATTGCACTCCAGCCTGGGCAACAAGAGCAAAACTCCATCTCAAAAAAATAAATAAATAAGTAAACGAACTTTTGTAAAGTTGCTGATTTCATGGAAATATATTCTTCTTCCTCCCCATACCTTTACACCTTTGATTACTGTGTTTACCAAATTCGTAGCCATTTTTCAAGATTTAGTTGATAATTTTCTTTCTCTGTGAGGCCTTTTACTCAAAATGTAAGTCAAATTCTACCAGAGAGCCTTATTCCCATGGCATAGCAAAGTCCTGGGCAGATAAGAGACATTCAATTTATGTAATAGATCAAACAAGGGCTTTAGATTCAGAAGTCCTGGATTTAAATTTTGGCTCTCTTGTGGGTTTGAAATCCTTCTCTGGAAGCCTTTGCTTCTTCATAGAAAACAGAGCTAATAACCACTTTTCTGTAAGAATTGCATGAGAAAACAGAGGAACATCACCTAGGACAATATCTGGTACTTAGTAGAAGTTCCGTAACCAGTTGCTACTACTGACACTATTATTATTATTTCTCTGCTCTCCCACCTTTTAAAAAATAATGATAAATAATTAAATATATAGAAATCTTGAAATGTCCTTTCTTTGTGAAGTTGTGTTACCAATCAAGATAATCACATCTCTTTAGACACCTGATATGGTTTGGCTGTGTCCCCACCCAAAAATCTCATCTTGAATTGTAATCCCCATAATCCCCGCTTGTCAAGAGTGGGAACAGGTGGAGGTACTTGGATCATGGGGGTGGTATCCCCCATGCTGTTCTCATGATAGTGAGTAAGTCTCATGAGAACTGATTCTTTTAAAGCATCCGGCATTTACTCCGCTTGCACTCATTCTCTCTCCTGCCACCCTGTGGAGAAGGTGCCTGCTTCTCCTTTGCCTTCCTCCATGATTGTAAGTTTCCTGAGGACTCCCCAGCCATGTGAAACTGTGAGTCAATTAAACCTCTTTCCTTTATAAATCACCCAGTCTCATGTATTTCTTCATAGCAGTGTGAAAACAGACTAGTACAATACCCCTGAAATATACATGGCATTTGTTTTTCTCCTGCAATGTATTTAGTGGTTTATCTGTTTATTGAATTCTTCTCAAGTCAGAAACAATAAAAATATAGTAGCTTCTTCTTAAATCATATCAGTCCATCTTTCCAATGTTATACTATTTTCTCTCATGGATTCAAAACTAAACCTAACTGTAGTAACATGATGATTTATATAACACAATAAACAAAATAATTATTGTGATAAGTAGTCATAGAATGTTGATGTTTGCTTATAAATGTATCATTCACATACAGAAGGTCCACATGATTTTTTGACTTTATGATGATGTGAAGTGATAGGCATTTGGTGGAAACCGTATTCTGAGTAGCCATACAAACATTCTGTTTTTCACTTTCAGTACAATATTAATTATATGAAACATTTAACAGTTTATTATAAGATGGGCTTTGTGTTAGATGATTTTGTCCAACAGTGTGGGCAAAATATAGGTATTCTGAGCACATTTTAGGTAGCTTAGCCTCAGCTATGATGTTCAGCAGGTTAAATGTATTAAATGTATTTTGACTTATAATACTTTCAACTTATAATGTGTTTACTGGAACGTAACTCCATCATAAGTAGGAGAGCATCTGTACTTTTCTACTTTTATCCTTCTCCCTCTTTGGGAGTTTGAAATATTTTTTAATTCACAAGAAAACCAATTAATTGTTAAAATCTAGTTGTTGAATTTCCACTAGTTCCTCCTCCAGGTATTTAGCAGGACACTTAAAATTAGTATGAGTTTTTCTTCCACAGTGGACACTAGTTATGCAAAAAAGAAATTGCATATTAGATAAATGTTGTTTAGCCTTGATGAGTGGATGGGTACATATATTTAGTCATATATGTTGGCTAACACTATGTAAGGGAAGAGATGTGATATTGGAGATTGTGTATTTCTTCGAAGGCTGTAACTGGATAAACAAAGGGGTCAGAGGAAAACCGGTGTAAGAAAAAAGCATTAAAAAGAATGACGATTAAGCAGGTTTAGGAGGAAAGCAGATCCCTGTCTATGACTAAAGGAGGAGAGAGAAGCCAGCATATTGGCAAGTCTTCTGTCCTTCAGAACACCTACACCTTATTTGTTTGGAGTAGTAGTGTTCAGCAATATTTATTTTCAAGATTGTAGGTCTGTGTATTAATCTGTTTTTATGTTGCTAATAAAGACATACCTGAGACTGGATAATTTATAAAGGAAAGAGATTTAAGGGACTCACAGTTCCACATGGCTGGTGAAGCCTCACAGTCATAGCAGAAGGCAAAGGAGGAGCAAAGGCATGTTTTACATGGTGGCAGACAAGAGAGCATGTGCAGGGGAACTGCCTTTTATAAAACCATCAGATCTCATGAGACTTATTCACTATCATGAGAACAGCACAGGAAAAACACACCCCCATGATTCAACTACCTCCCACCAGGTCCCTCCCATGAAACGTGGGGCTTATGGGAGCTACAATTCAACATGAGATTTGGGTGGGGACACAGCCAGACCATATCAGTCTTTAATGCTGCCTCTGCGGAAAAATCCCAATTTCTCTAATTTCTTTTATATATAAAATGTTTTGATCATGGACATCTCAGTGTGTTAAACACTCAGATGAAGACCATGAGGAAATCTGAGTTATCTTTGCAATTAGAATAACCTCCCAGATAATTAACATTAGTAAATACTAAATTTCAATGCTTTATTTACCCCTCAAAGATTTGCTAAAAATATTTTATTTATCAACATTCAGTACAGTAACTCTATATATGAGCACCACAATTTTATACAGAAATAAGTCTTTGTATCTTGATGAATACTTAAGGCTTAGTAGTTAACAACATTTTTATCTACTGATGATACTAAGTGCTTTTGCAAGGTTAATGAATTTTAATATGGAGGCCATTATGTTACTCTGTCTGCTTCTCACTGTCTGCTGCACTGAAAAAAAAATCCAATCTATTAAAACTCAGTGTGGAGCAAAGCCATGAAGACCCACTAGTAATTGCTGGTTGATGACGTTGCACAGTAGTTGGTCCAAAAGAGATCTGGCCTTGCAGATCTGGCAGAGGAGTCTAGTAAAATGCCACAAAAGTTATTGCAGAATATAAATCAGAAATTGAATAACAGTAGTCACCCCACTGATAGAACATTGAGGTTATGTTTACTCCAGTGGTAGCAACATGGTTATAGACCCACTGGCAGCATTCGTCTCAGGCAAATTAATTAGCTTAGTCTACTCCAAAGCCACTTAGCAAAGATTGCAAATCATTGGAGAAACCAATTAAACCACAATAAGGAAGCCCATGCTGATCAGTTTGGCCATATATTATGGACTGCAGAATCTCCCAAGCATTCTCATTTTATGTGCATTCACATAATTATGATCCTGGTCAGAATGGAAAAAGAGAAATTATTGAAACAATTGATTAAAATTTAAGTTTATATATGGGATGTTTGGATGTAATAAAATGCTAACAATTAGTCATCTGAGTGAGAGAATGGTTTAAACTTTTCTTATAACTTTTGTATACATTTTAAATTATTTCAAAGTATGAATTATTTTAAAAAATTAAACTTCCAAAGAATAAAAATGCATTATGAAATAAAAATAGTAATAATAAATAAATAACCTAACAGCCAAACCTACCATAATAATTTTATTTTCAATCAAGTCAACCTTAAAATTAAAAAGTAAATAGGAAAATGATGGTATCTTTGTTTTTATTGTTGGTCAAATCACTCTCAGTGAATGTAATACTTACTGAACAGAAACACAAAAGGTAATAATACATTACGGATATTTAAAAAGCAGGTCTTGATATAACTGTATTTTTTAGAAAGAGTCTATGTTTCCTATTTTAAGGGCGTGTACAATCAAGGCAGTGCATGGCACAAAATATTTTTTCTGTTTTAATATTGTTTGCACAGCTGCCCAGTACTTTAGAAAAAAATCAGATCAGGCATATTTTGAAGTAATTCATGGTCTTTGGGAGTGAAGTAGAACGTAGAACAGCCACAGAGATGACATCTTCAGTGCTATTTGCAGCCTGGATATACCCTCACATGCTCTCTTGTCCCAAAAGACATCCAAAGCAGGCCTGGATGGCTTCTGAATATTTGGTGTTTTCTCATATCATCACCTTCTAAATTCAGGCTCCTTATTAGAGGAAGACAAGCCTATCAGAACAGATGTTCAGTTGAGTGGAAAGAACAGACTACGGACTGAATCAGTAAATCATTAAATGGATACTTTAAGAAAACAAATTCATTATTTTTGTTTTTATATTACCCAGATTTTGACAAAATATATGCCTTTTTCATATCATGATCATTTTAATGAAGAGTTTTCTCTCACACAAACACTTACTAATGAATATAACAGGATCTTTGTTTCTGCTGAATTCAGACAAAAATTGTACATTTTCAACCAAATTTCCTGAAAGAAATGTGAAAACATTTAGGCAACAGAAGTTGCCTGACATTGATGCCTCACTCATTTGTGAAATGTCTTATTATTTAGTCTATCAATCAGGGCCATAGATTTTATTGGATTTAGCTACCTAATGTCTGCACCTCATTTCATTTTGGTAATTTATTTATTTATTTTTAAATGGGTAAATAAAAATTGTATATATTTATCAGGTACAACATGTTTTGAAATATGCATACATTGTGGAATCCCTAAATCAAACTAATTGACATATATATTTTCTCACATACCATTTTGTGGGAACAGTTAAAATCTATTCTTTCAGCAGTTTTCAAGAATATATTGTTATTAGCTATAATTCACTATATATTATCTCTGGAACTTGTTTCTCTTGCCTAACCCAAATTTTTTATTATTTGATTAACATCCTCCTAACACCATTCTCCTGCCCACCCCCAACGCTTGGTAACTACCATTCTAACTCTCTGCTTCTATGAGTTCCACATTTTTAGATTCTTCATGTAAGGGAGTTTATGCGTAGTGTTTTTCTTTCTTTTAGGCAATATCCAGTTCAAATCCTCATTTGCCATAAAGCCTTGCAAGAGCACTCCTTCAAAAAGTGATCTCTCCTCTTCAGGTGGTATGGCATGATTTCCAAAAGTTTGCTCCATTGAATGTTCTGATCCTTGAAATGATGTGTTTTCTATAAATTATATTTTCAATTAAGTTTGGAAAGTACTATAGACTACAACTCCTCTTGCAGAGATTGAGAAGGCAGATTCACTATTAAGAGTTCTGAAATTGCCAGAATTAATAAATCAAATTAGCTTGGTTTAGTCTAGGTTTTTCTAACGTACTTGATGATGGAAGCTTTCCCCGTCCGCTAAGATTTATTCACATCCTCCTGAATTATATTTCATATATCTCAATTTAAGAAATGCTATATTATGAAAAGTAGATAAAATATATAGTGATGAATTATTTTACTATTTTAGGGTGTGTTCATTTTTTGCAGTCAAATTGGTTATTTTCTTATTTTCCTTTTTGCACATTCATGACTGCTTTGAGCATTGTGTTCTTTCTTGGTTCTCCCAAAATACCTAACAGCATCATGGTAGGTTTTCAATCTTTTTGATTTAGCAAAATTATTTTTATAAAAATATGAATTAAACAAATATAAAAATAAAAAATATGTCTTGATGAAACACTAAGTAATACCATGTTTAATTAATTGTCTGAAAAGACATAAAAATGGCATAAAGAATAGTGTAGGTATACACATACCACAGAGCTTAAAAAATAAAACTTGAAAATAAAAGTTGAAGATCCTTGTATATCCCTTCCTGGTGGCATTTCATGCTATTTAGAGGAACTCACCATCCTAAAGTTATTCTTCCTCATTTTTAAAGCTTTTCTAACAGTTTATTACAAGCCCTGTATCCTTAAGCAGTAGTGTCGACTTATTTTATAATTTATATAAATGGTTCTGCTGTGTTTCTTTAACTTTTTTCTTATAAATATATTTGTGATTTTTAGCCTTACTAAAAAATAGTCCCAAGAATTTATACATTTAATGCTGAATAGAACCATGTTATTTGAGCACAATTATCATTATTATTATATTATTGTATATGCATTACAATTTGCTGGTGCTTGAAACAATACTTCTGTGAATATTCTGAAATGTAGCAGCATTAATGCTGTTGGATGTATTCCATTATACTTGGTCATAAAAGCAATTTCTGCACCATAATATATGCATATGTTTACTTTCATTGTGTCCCAGTTACCTATTACTGGGTAACAACTAACCTCCAAAACGTTGTAGTGAAAAAGAACCACGATTTGATTTCACTGACAGAACTGTGGATGTCTGGGATAGTGGAGAAGGCTGAGGTGGCTTAAATACTGATATATCTGAATCCTTTAGCTTGTGGACTCACATCTGCTAGTCCAGGAATTAAAGAAAAAAAAATACACACTGTAAAATCAGCCTGTGGCCTGATTGTATATGGCCCCTGAAATAGAAGTCATTTTTACATTTGTAAAGGGTTATTTTTAAAAAGAAAAAAAAAACTCAAGGAAGTAATAGAAGTCTTTATGTGATCCTCAAAACCTATATTATTTATACTATGTGGCCTATTACAGAGAAACAAAATAAAAATAAAAGCTTTGCTAACAAATAACTTGGATATGGCATGTGACGAATTTTTTAAAAAATATATTATTACAAACTCTGCCTTTACTGATAAATGTAGTACAGCTGTATTTATTGTGTTTACTAGAAGGTTTAGGGTGTTTTCCCTACCATCATGTGTACTACTTTCTATTCATTATTTTTCCCTTTTACACATTTATATTTTTACAATTTATTTTTGAAATAAAATGTACACAGTGAAAAAAATGTCTTCAATATCTTATTTTGTTTAAGGATCATAACAAAGCTCTTAGTGTAACTTTAAAATAATCTATAACTTAATCTACTATTTTGAGTGAGAACCGGTCTCAAAAATATATATATATATGTGTGTGTATATATATATATATATATGATGTTCTAGTGCTATTTCAATATAAACTAACTTAACTCCTGCCATAAGTTCTGCCCCATTAGCCAAATGCATTTTTAATATTTTTTCTTTGGATATAATTCCTAGGTACTTGCTTAGTGATATGATTCCATAATGCTTTGACCTAAAGCATCACATACATTTCAAAATTACCTGAATTCTTAATCTCTTATCCCCCAACTAATAGTCTTGTGCAAAGATGCACAAGAATGTGCCTGAAGGCAATTTATATGCAGAATAAGTAATGCAGAGAGTGAGGCAATTATCGCAGCTGGTTATCTATAGTGATTAAATTCACCTTCGAGTTGCTCTCTTCTCCAAATCATATGACAAACACACAGGTAAAGGATTCAGTTAAAATTATAATTCCTTCCATTCACCAGGTAATACGTGTCTTCTTTCGTGGAAACAGAACTCATCTGAATGATTATGATTTGGCATTCACATAGAAAAGTGGTTCTCAAAGTTTAGTGCCTATCAAAATCACCTGAAGAGCCTCTTAAAAAATGGAGTACTGAGTTCAAAAATAGAGTGCTGAGTCCTACTTCCAGAATTACTGATTCAATGGGTCTATAAGGGGCCAAGTTGTTGTGTTTCTAGCAGGTTTCCAGGTAATGGTAAAGACGCTATTCTCGGCATCACTTTAAGAATCATTAATCATCGCTACTATTAAAGAATCGATCATATTGCAACACCCGGAATAATAAGGAATATTAAACATTCCCCCATTTTCAGAGCAATCCTAGCTTTATATAATCAATTAGGGCTTACCCATTCTTTTTGCCAACTTCTAGTAATTTACCAACTCTGTCTGTTAAGTATAAATTAAGCTGCTGACCGAAGTTCTTATTATATTTCCTCAATTGTGTATGAGAAATGAAATATTGAATGAAATCATCACTTGACCAGAGATAAATCCTTACAATATTTTTAGAATGCTAAATCGTATTAGTATCTCCATTAAAGAAATTAGTACAAATTAAAGGAGATCAGGAAACTCTGTGGGACAGGTTTTGTGAATCAATTAGGTAGGCTGATTATCAAATTAATACTTCCAATTATTCTTGAAAGAAATAATTAAGCACCATAGCCTGTCTGCTTAAGAAGAAGAAGTTGGAACATAAATAGGTAGAACCATGTTTATATATGTAGGGTAAGGTTGAGAGAGAAGAGAAGTCCGGTAACAATGATGCATTTCATGAGGCATCAGAAAACATCCATGATTTCATCAATTCTAGAACTGCTTAGATTTCTTGCATTTCTGAGGTTGCTACATAAAATACAGAACACCCAGTTAAATTTGAATTTCAAATGAACAATGGATATCTTTTAGCACAAGGATGTCCTAAATATTGCATGGGAAATATATTACTATAAATTATTTATTATTTTTCTCAGCATTAAATTTAACTAAGGTTTTCATCTGCTAAATCTGGCAACCATATTCTAATTGGACCTGCTCATGTAAAACATTTGGCAGATGTATGGCTGTATATGACCAGGTAGGAATAAAGAGGTTTTTTTCTCTATTTTTCCCAATATATATCATTGTTTGTATCATACAGTGTTTAGTTAGGGAAACATAACTCCTTTGAGAATTAACAGCTTACACATTTGTTGGAAAAGCTAGGGAACAGAGGGTCCAAAAGTGGAAAAGTTACCAACGAGCCTCCTGAAACATTTATGTGGGTGGAAAATTTTTCAACTGTCAAGAAAATCTGGGAAGGCCGGATGTGGTGGCTCATGCCTGTAATTCCAGCACTTTGGGAGGTCCAGGCAGGTGGATCACTTGAGGCCAGGAGTTCAAAACCAGCCTGGCCAACATGGCAAAACCCCATCTCTACTAAAAATACAAAAATTAGCCAGGTATGATGGCACATGCCTGTAATCCCAGCTACTCAGGAGCCTTAGGCACGATAATTGTCTGATCCAGGGAGGTGGAGGTTGCAGTGAGCCGAGATCATACCACTGCACTGCAGCCTAGGTGACAGAGAGAGACTGTCTCAAAAAAAAAAAAAAAAAAAAAAAAGAGAAAATCTGGGAATCCAGGCATGTCCAATTTCTGGAGTAGGAATGTGAAGGAAAATTAATAAAAAAGATTATGAAGGGCTCTTCCCTCTCTGCCTTTGGAGGTTGGCCTATGGACAACAAAAATATAGCCAATGGGTGAATGATGTTCAGGATATAGATCAACAGGTCAAGAGTGAAGTTGGAATTGCAGATAAAGATTTCAGTTGCTCCCACCAACATAGTAATTTAAGCTAATTGGCACCCTATACTTCTTGTCTTAGTTGAGGGTTCTGTAACAAAAATACCATAGACTGGATAGCTAAACAACAAGCATGTATTTCTCACAGTTGTAGAGGCTGAGAAGTCCAAGATCAAGGTGCCACCAGATCCAGTGTCTGGTGAGAGCCCTCCTTCTGGTTGCACATGGCTGTCTTCTTGCTGCATCCTTACATGGTAGAGAGGGGAGAGCAAGAGCAAACATGTGTCTCTTCTTATAGGGGCACTAATGTTACTAATGAGGGTTCCACCCTCGTAGCCCAATTACGTCTCAAAGGCACCACCTCCCAAAATCATCACATTGGGGTTTATGATTTCAACATTTGATTTTTTGGGGGTGATGCAAACATTCAGCCCATAGGACTTTTCCTATTTCTATTCTTATCAGGCACTATGGCAAGTTGTAGATTTGTAAATCCCCTGTTAATAAAGAGATCTCTCTAACTGAATTCTCACACTTGTGCCTTGGTTTGTTATTTCAAAACACTAAAAATTTTTTGCATTACTTAGTAGCAGATATGTTTCAATCAAAAATACATAGGAAAAATAATAAGACAGTCAACTGTTTTATTTTTCAAAGGTAGGGGAGGCATTTTATTTTATTTTTTAAACTTTCCTAACCCTATTTATTACATAAATAGGAGAATTTATGAATTTCTTATGAAAACAAGACTAGAAGAGACTAAAGTGAAGACATCGAGCCTCCTCACTGGCTGACGTTTATTGTTGAGAAAAGTTTAAGCCCCTTCATATCTTCCACATCTCCCATAACTTCTATTTTGGCATAATGCTAAAAGAGTATTCTATATATTTAAATATAATGAAGGCTATAGTATATTCAAAAGTTGGATTACATTGACTAGTCAATTCAAACAACCATTAATGGTTGTCAGTCAATGTAATCCAACTTTTGAATGTGCTATAGCCTTCATTATATTGCATTAAATGCAGCTTAAACTTCCTGAGCAGTTTAAGCACTTTAAGCTACACTGCTAATCTGTTATAATAGACTAATGCAATGTTCCATTGTTTGTGTTCATTCTGAGTCTGCAAATTTAGTCCTTTCAATTCACTCTTTTTTTAATATTATTTTATTATATTTTTATTTATTTTTTATTTTACTTTAAGCTCTGGGGTACAAGTGCAGAACGTGCAGGTTTATTACATAGGTATACATGTGCCATGGTGGTTTGCGGCACCCATCAACCCATCATCTACATTAGGTATTTCTCCTAATGCTATCCCTCCCCAGCCCCCCACCCACTAACAAGCCCTGGTGTTGATGTTCCCCTCCCTGTGTCCATGTGTTCTAATTGTTCAACTCCCACTTTTGAATGAGAACACATGGTGTTTGGTTTTCTGTTCTTGTGTTAGTTCGCTGAGAATGATGGTTTCCAGCTTCATCCATGTCCCTGCAAAGGACATGAACTCATCCTTTTTTATGGCTGCATAGTATTCCATGGTGTATATGTGCCACATTTTCTTTATCCAGTCTATCACTGATGGGCATTTGGGTTGTTATCAAGTCTTTGATATTGTGAACAGTGCCACAGTAAACATATGTGTGCATGTGTCTTTATAATAGAATTATTTATTTTAATTTGAGATGGAGTCTTGCTCTGCTGCCCAGGCTGGAGCACAGTGGCATGATCTCAGCTCACTGCAACTTTTGCTTCCCAGGTTCAAATAATTCTCCTGCCTCAGCCTTCCAAATAGCTAGGATTACAGGTGCCCACCACCAAAGCCAGCTAATTTTTTGTATTTTTAGTAGAGACAGAACTTCACCATGTTGGCCAGGCTGGTCTCGAACTTCCAGCCTCAGGTGATCCACCCACCTCGGCCTCCCAAAGTTATGATTACAGGCATGAGCCACTGTGCCTGGCCTCAATTCACTCTCTTAACCAGAAAAATCAGTCAAATATTAGATTATTCCACAGTTAAATTATAATTAAAATAATCTGAGCAACTTAATCATCAACATTCTTTTATTTCTTAATATATATATTTTAAATTTCCTAACTAAAATGTATTGATTTAGTATTTTTTAAAAAAGTGTTTTTAGTATTCATATTTTGTACAAGTGCATGGCACATACGTAAATTTAAGAAATATTAAACTTATTAAGATAACAAGAATTTCAAGTACTTATTTTTTATGTTTCCAACACCACTTCTTTTTTTATTTTTTATTTTAAGCTGTTTATCATGTTAGGGCTAATGAGCATGCAGTATAATATGCTTACATATTATTTATGTAATTCTAGAATTACCTATTTTGATGACAATGCTAAATTCTTATGCCTCTTTTTTTTAATTACTACTGATAGCACAGTTAGATTTTCTACTCTCAATTTTATAAAAGTGGAAAAATATAATATTCATTTATATTTTAGGTAAAAATTTGAAAATCTATAATTTTAACAATTATTTTCCATAACCTAAATGTGACTGTATGTTTTGAATATGTATAAACAGTGAATATTTATTTTAATAAATACTGTTTTGCAGTCCATGTAAACCATGCAGAAGCAAATTTATTTGGGACTGATTACAGACTTTAATAGCTCATCTCATGAGGACATAAGCAGATCAAATTAAAGTATTAATAATACTCTGACACAATTGATTTGATACTCCAGGCGAAAATATTATCATGGATCACAGTGCAGGAAAACATGGTATTGGTTATTCTAGGTAAATAAAGGGTAGGAAATTTATTATACTTTTTTTATTTTGACCCCATGAGGTAAGATTTGGTCTTAAATGCTACATGATCATAGCATGAACCCAACAGCTTAGAATTTCTAAGCCATCCTAAAATTGCTTTAGTGACGTTTAGTAAACAAATATTTTTGGATGTTTCTTTTTACCAGGCAATATGCTGGGCATGGGGAATATGAAGATGACAGAAGTACACATTATCCCAGTTTATTAGTTTATGTTTACTGTTTGTTTTATATGTTATGAAAGAAAACAAATGAATAGAAAATTCAAATAAACAGAGAAAACAAATAGTGGGTAATGTGCACATGTTTACTTTAGAAAGGTGACTGGAACTGGCTTTTCTGTGGAAGCAATATTGAATGGGAGATTTAAAAATCAAGAAGAATGGCCAGGTGCAGTGGCTCACACCTATAATACCAGCACTTTGGGAGGCTGAGGCAGGTGGATCACATGAGATCAGGAGTTTGAGACCAGCCTAACCAACAAAACGAAACCTCATCTCTACTAAAAATGCAAAAATTAGCTGGGCTTGGTGGTGAGCACCTGTAATCCCAGCTACTCAGGAGGCTGAGGCGGGAGAATTGCTTAAACCCAGGAAGCGGAAGTTTCAGTGAGCGGAGATGGCACCATTGCACTCCAGCCCTGGGGGCAAGAGCAAAACTCCATCTCAAAAAGAAAAAAAATCAAGAAAAAGATAGTTATAGGAACCACAGGGGGAAGAGCAGTCCAGAAAAGTGTGGTAGCCCTTGGTTAATGTGAAGAAATTAAGAGAAGTTCAGTTTAGCTTCAGAGTATATCACATTGGATGATATCGAAGACAGACATGAATTCATATTTTATTTCAAGTAATAAGCAAACGTTGGCCCTTCATAAACATAAAAGATAAATTGTGCAATTTATATTTTTGAAAAGTCATTCAGTTTGCTGTGTTGATATTGCAGAGTTATATAAAAAGTGGGAAGACCCTTTCCGTGGCTGTAACAGTAAGATAACAGAGCTGATGGTGGCTTTCACTAGGGGAGTGGAGATGAAATTTGTGAGGACTCAGGGAGAACAACTGTGATAGTAATAGTGATTGTAATATATAGTGGCCAAGGGTATTTACAACAGGAATTATAATGTTGCGTAATGGAATCTAGGTTAGACAAAAGAAAAAAGGAATGCCAAAAGATACTAAATCATCATGAAAATAGCATGAGAATAATGGCCTAAAACTTACAATGAAATTAAATAATTGAGATATTGAGATTTTTAAGCAAGTATTATGGAAGATAAGAGGTTGCAGTTGGGAAACAAACTTCTAGAAATAAAATTCCAAAGGTAGCCCAAAATCTGAAGATGATACATCCAGCAGGGGGCTGTCTTAGTCCATTTGAGCTGCTGTAACAAAATGCCTTAGACTGGGTCATTTGTAAACAGCAGAAATGTATTGTTCACATTCTGGTGGCTGGAAAGTGTAAGATCAAGTTGCCAGCAGACACAGTGTCTGTTGAGGGCTTGCTCTCTCCTTCACAGTTGGCACCATCTTGCTGCATCCTCACACGGTGGAAGGGACAAACAGGGTTTCTCAAGCATCTTTTACAAGACCACTAATTCCAGTCATGCCCTCATCACCTCCTAAAGCCTCCACCTCTTAACACTGTCACAATGGCTATTACATTTCAACATAAGAATCTGTGGGGCACACCAACATTCAAACCTTAACAGTGTCCATGGCAGTGGATAGATAGGTAACTTGGAGGGGAAGGAAAGATAAATGATAACAAGACAGACTGAGGCAGTAGAGTGTTAGATAGTTAAGCTCTGCAGAGGTGGAATTCAAAGTGATTAATGACAGGCATTCAGGGAAAGGGGAACAAAGTCTTTAGTGAATTAGATGAAGTTAATAGAAGTTAAAAAATAGAGTCTGGACTTTTAAATATAATTGTTGAGCTTTAAAAGCAATCCAGAAGTTGAAGCTATAAACAAAGCTACAATTATTCATTAAAGTACTATAAAACAAAGCAATCTTCTCATCTCAAATGTAGAGATAATTATATTTGATTTGAAATTACATAAATTGAATTTCAACCTTAGCATGATAAAGCCCTTTGAGAGTCTTAGAAAGAAGCTGCTACATATATACAACTTATTACCATTAGAAAAGCAACTTGACCCTGAAATCTGTGCTTGGAATGCATTTTATTTTTCTAATTTATTATTTTAAGAGCAGTTGTAATACAAAATACAATTCCGTTTAAATAGATATATAGTATAGTATGACTTCAGATTTGTTTATTGTGCTTTATTATATAAGTAAAAGAAAAAATAATGTTTTCCTTAACAAAGCAATAAATTTATTGTGCAAAGGCAAAGATTGCTTCAGTTTGAATTTCTTGCCAAACCAGATAATTAGAACATACAAACAAGGGCTGATTTTTTTTCGCAGAATATAAAGACTGATATAAGGAGACATGCATTATTGGAAAGGCAATTATACATCAAGAGTTTGTCCAAAAGAGAAGATGCATCTGGCGTTTCTAATTTGATATATGAGTAATCTGAGATTGAATTTATCACAGAAAAACCTGTAATCATAGGACCTTTAGAAAGATCAAATTATGGGTGATCAGAAAGCATTAGCATCACCTGTGAATCAGGAATGCTTCTGCTCTAAGGAAAAGCCTCTTGATTCAAAACTTTTTCAATTTTTTTACCCCAGTTTTTTCTTACCACAGTTTCCATCAGTCTGGCACAAGAAATCTTTGGCTTAAAAAACAAATAGCAGGATAAGAAAATCTTAAAGTGCAAACTCTAAACACAATGCATAAATAAAGTTCGATATATTTAAAATATTTTTAATTTTCTTTGAGTTCCCTCCTAAATACTGGCTATATTTCTTTGGGTTCCTTCCTAAATGTGAGTATCAGCTAACATTATAAAACAAAACATGTAATTAAAAATTTGGTTTCATTGCTAATTATCCATTCCTAGAATTCTAGGCTGAAAGACAGTGCTTAGTTTTAATATTCGAGTAAGGTATTTCTAAAAAACATTATGCATCTGGAACAGTGGTTTCTAAAGTCCAGGGTTATTTCCACAGACTTACATTCTTAGCAGAGAAGTTTAGTTATTTATTGACATGGTAAATTATTGAGCTCTGAATTTTTGTTTCCTCTTCTCTGTGGAGGTAGATGAAGTTAGATGAAGCAAAAGATGATTTCTACCACTCTGTATTCTTTGGATTCCAGTGATGTAACTTAACTCAAAAACTTATAAAAGCAAATGAAGTCCATTGTACAAATGTGCAATGGAAATATTAAGACTTTGGTTGAAAGTTTGATTAAAATAAAACTGACATCATATAATTCTAACAGTGCTATCGAAGCCATGCATCTGATAGCATTGCTGCTTTAATTCATAATTTATAAGAATGAGGAAGAGCTGGCTAACATGTCTGCATCTGTCAACCTTAATGTGTTATGATTACTAAAAATCTGTAATTAAGTGAAGAACTGCTAGTCTTTTTTTGTGTTTGCGGACAGATCTTAAACAAATAAAATTCTATGGAAGTGATTTGACAGAGCCTAGGAAAGAGGAGGAATGCTATAGCATTAAGAGCTCATCCTCTGAGTTAGATAAACTATGTGTTCGTTCTGTCTTTCCCACTTATAGGGGTGTAATTTTCAGAAATTCAGCTGGTTCCCCTAAGCCTCATATTTGTTTGTAAAATATTATTATTAAATGAATAGAGTTTTGATAATTAAGTACATGTTATATATAAAACACTTAATGACCTTCATGTAGTTGACCTCAGTATATTACATGTACATATACATAATACATGTATGCATATGTGTGTTTATATGTATACTTGTAAATGTTTTCTTATTATTAGATAGATACTCAAAATGGATTTTGCTCAGAGAATTTACATCACAAATATTATTGTACTCTATAGCTTCTTCCATTAAAAAGGCATGTGCAAAATTCAAGTTCATAAAACCATTTCTTAAGTAGCAGGAAAATCACCATCTCCACTATATTCTATTTTAAAATTTTCAGAAAAATCAGTTGACATTAAGATGGTGTATTAGTCTGTTTTTACACAGAGCTGCCTGAAACTGGGTAATTTATAAAGAAAAAAGGTTTAATTAACTCACAGTTTCACATGGATGGGGAGGCCTCAGGAAACTTACAATCATGGCAGAAGGTGAAGCAGGCACATATTACAGGGTGGCAGGTGAGAGAGAGAGAGAGAGAGAGACGGAAAGAGAGAGAGAGAGACAGACAGAGAGACAGACAGACAGAGAGACAGACAGAGAGACAGAAAGAGGAAACCACTGCTGATGAAACCATCAGATCTCATGAGAACTCACTCACTCTCACAAGAACAGCATGGGGGGAAACCACCTCCATGATCCAAACATCCCCCACAGGTCCCTCCCGAGACAGGTGGAGACTACAGTTTAGATGGCAATTCAAGATGAAATTTGGGGTGTGGACACAGCCAAACCATATCAGATGGTAAAAGAGATTTCATTTGCCATGTAAATACATCACAAATGTAATCTTCTACCTTTTTGTGTCTACTTTGCTGCATGTCATTCACTCATTTATCTATCCCTTGGTCACTACAAAATATAGAAGTGCCTACTAAACCACATTGAATTACTCTCAGTGTGATTTTTAAAATATGCTCTAATATTGCTTTAATCAGACTGTCTCAATAACCATAGCAGCTCATTGTACAGCTGTTAGATAAAAAGAGTTTTACTTAATTGCCTTGAAGTTTACTTGATTTTGGAACTGTACATATCTGAGTCACTGATAATGTTCTAGAAATGGTTTCTGCAAATTTGCAGATTAACAGACCGTTTCTATGGATTACTTATGTTTGAGTTCTGTAAATCTAATTTAAATAAGTAGCTGTTTTCCTCGATGAGCAATTTTATAAAGAAGCAACTATTAATGGGGATCTGTTTATGGATTATTTAATGTCACTATGAAGTTTTAAATTTTTTTCTTGGAGAACAGAAACACCAAATCTTAACAACAAACCAAATAAACAAACTTCTCAAACACTTAAATTAGAAAATAAAATTAGATAAGCATAATAAAATTAGAAAAATGTGATATTCTTATTATCTTGAAGATAAATTATTTCTGCTCCATAATTTGTTTTTAGAATAATTTCTGCTCCATAATTTGTTTTTAGAATACTTTCTAAATAATGATTATTTACACATTCTACAGTAAATTATTCTTCTGTCTGCACATTGGTTGTTTCTAACTCTAGTGGGGAAAAGATTTTTACTGACTGATAATCAGCAAAATATAAAGTAACAAGAATACACCACCAAAATTTGAGAATACCAAGTGCTCTTTAAAACACACTGATATATGAACTCTCATAATTTCCCCACATTATTTTTCTGAGATTGTTTCACAGGCAGAATTCTTAAGTTTCTAAGTACTGTGATTTCAGCATTTGGCATCAGAAGAAAACAGCAGGCCTGAGAAGCTTATACTTACAATATTGAAAAAGAAAAGTGAAGAAGAAATTTTAGAAGCAGAATATGGGGAATGTAAAGCCCCTTTTTCACTGCATCATATGCAGACTATCTTAAATTTATTAATAATATATTAACAGATAAAGCCTTTATTATTTTTAGATTTCATGTTCTATCTAAATTCTTAGTGGGCTTTGCTTCTTTAGGATCCAGGTGATAATATTTGTCATGCACTCTTTCATAGCTACAAATTATGTAATATTTTCTTAGCACCCACTGAAGACAAACTTTCTACCATTTCTCAGTGCCATTAAAGCACGTTGTACACATATGTATACCTTAAATTTTTAAAATGCCAGCAGCCCATGAAAATACAGCCCAGTTTTAGTCTGATATAATTTGGAGACTTCTTTTTGGCTATTGGACTTGACAACTATGGATAAAATCCAATTTGTCAAAATGCACATGATAAATTCTTACCAAGATAACACACTCTTTTGTAGGGTAAAAAGAAACTAATTTGTGCAATTGTATAAATTGATATTTTTAAAGGTTATCACCCAGTGACCTTATCATTAGCCTTATTATTGCCAACTTGTCCTAAAATGTTAACTAGGACTTTGGTCTCTCTGGCAGAGCAAGAAACTCCATGCGGTAGAATCGTCGTGGTTCTTCATGGCCTGGCTAGGTGTGTGGATCTTTTCCAAAAGGAAAGCTAGGAGATAATTAATGGCTGGGTGCCATAATCTATAGTATATGAGTTATACGAATTGCCTAGAAATCCTAAATAAACCCAGGTTTTACACATTTTATAAAAAGATAAAGCTTTACAGATGTATCATGTTTTATATGTAATGTATAAGACGTTATAAACTGTACGAATTTAATTTTTAATACAGCTTAGGTTTTGTTTCTAAACCCAGTGCTATAGACTGCATGGTTTCATCCCACCAAAATTCATATGTTGAAATCCTAACCTCCAATGTGATGGTGTTAGGAGGTGCAGCCCTTGGTAAGTAATTAGGTCATGAGGGTGGAACCCTCATAAATGGGATTCGTGCCCTTATAAAAGAGATCTCAGAGAGCTCCCTCCTCTCACCATGTTAGGACACAGCAAGAAGACATCTATCTATAAACCGGGAGGGCAGCCTTCACTTGACATAGAATCTACTGGTGCCTTGCTCTCAAATTTTCCAGGCTCCAGAACTCTAAGAAATAAATGTGTGCTGTTCATGAGCCCCCCATTTTATAGCATTTTGTTATAGCAGCCCAAATGGATGAAGCCACCCTCTTTTTCAAGAACACAGTAAAATCTTGCCATAGTATGATTATAGAGAGAAAGATTTCAAAAGGGAAAGCATTTTTTAAATGACTAGTGCAAAGTAGGAAATTACCATTTTGTGGCACATAGAGCTAGCTAATACTAATAATTTTTAAGCTGGCTTTCAACTGCAGCTATCCAGGTGCCACACCTGTCATACCAGAAGCTGTCATCTGCCCTAGGCATTTTCCTCTTATTATAATTTAGCAGTATAAGTAAACCAGACATTTATTTAGGTTGATGCAAAAGTAATTGCGTTTTTGTCATTGAAAGTAATGGCAAAAGTAATAGAAACATAATTTTTCTGTGTTTGTTGATAACAGAGAAAGAATTAACTAAATGTATCTTTGCACTTCTTTAGACAATATTGCAATACAGTAATGAGGTAATGTCTATTGCTTTAGGTGGAGGCAATCTTATTCTTTAATAATTCTGAACTAATAGTTCAGAGCAGAAATTTCAGCTCAACCAACACAGCAAATAGCATCTCCCAAGACATTTATTTGCTTACTGGCACAACTGTTGGTGGTAATTATTTGGCTGATTTTCTTCCATAGAGGAGGTAATATTAGCAATGCTGCCCAGTCCTTGAATTGTTTCGAGTAAGGAAACTTTTATAATGAGGAAGTCAGTTCTATGTTGTGAATTACAAATAAGGTAAATGAGGCCCATACTTAGTTTATGGGGTGGCAGGGTGGAGAGAAACAAAAGAAATTATTAGCTATTGACAAACAGGCAGGAAGGCTGTCCTATTGAAGACTTTGCTAACCACACAGCATGGGATAAAACTCATTTAGAGCAGTTGTGAATGGTGGAGGAACAAGTCTGGGCTTGATTTTGACATAGGGTTGATTTTACTAGTTAGCAGGAAGAAGTTAAATTAGGAGATCTACTACCAGCAACCACCAGGATCTTCTTGTCAGCCATCATAACCAGAGCAGTGTCCAAGTGAGGAGTGGATTTTGGGTCATATTTCTAGGGAGAAAAAGATAAATTAATATTATAAAGCTGTTTAGTGGGGGCAGCTGACATTTTCTAGTATTTGGTGACATAGATCTAAGATGGTAGTTCTTGGCACTTAATAGCTAATTATTAGACCAGAAACCATGAAAAGGCTTTTCTAGTGAAGTTCCGGTGATGTTTCAGCTGGAGATCCTTGTTGTGAACCCCATCACCAGGCATTTACCTTGGCAAGGTTTGTCCAAGTTAACCCGTGAAAGGAATTCTGTTGACTCACTCTGATTGTTTGAAAAACATATAACATGAACCGCATAATGGTAGTACTTCCCAAATTTGTTTATATCACTATACACAGAAAATGTGACATTTATAGGCCACACTAGGGTTAACAGACAAGCCTGTCAAGGTTAAGGTGGGTGGTGGTGGTCGGGTGTGCTATGAGGCCTTGAGCCTGGCCATCCTGACTTGGCTCCTCTACCTGGTTCTAATCATACTACTTGGGCTATCTGATCTATCAAATAAATATCTCAGTACACTAATTAACACTTTATATGTACTGCAAAGAATCCAAAGCTCTTTTTCTGCAGCTGCCGTATTTTTAAGGGCCATAAGCAGAACATTTTGTAATGTAAACCTGGTTCAAATCATAGTACTTGAACATGGTATTTTGGAATTTCCGATTCAACATTTCAGGTGCTTTAGGAAACAATAGTGCTAATGAATTCAAGGTAAATGATAACTTTCTCTACCATAAGACTTGTGAAGTGTGTCCACACTTTACATTAAGAAGTATTTAAGTCATTAAGTCGTTAAGAAGTATTCATACCTCGGGCCAAAATATTTTAGAAGAATCCTGCTGATGATCGCTGCATCAGACTTGGCATATGGGTCTGTTTTACCCATTGTCAATATCATAAGTGCTCTTAAATTTTTTCAGGTGAACAAATGGAACCTGAATGCATTTACATGTGTGTTCCCAAGGGCAAAGTGGAAGAAAGCGAACCCTTTTTATTTGTCTTGAGTGTCTCTCCCCAATCCCCTACCCTGTTGTTGTGGCTGACAATAAAGCATCTCCAATATTACTAATGAGACACTCTGGAGAAATTTGGGGACATATTATTCATGTTCAAATCATCCTGGTATTACCCCTTTATAGTATATGCCAGGACAAGGGTTATACAATAGAAACAGAATGAATACTCTAGTATTTTGAGCTACTATTGGGGAGCAACAAACACGACCTGAGGAGGGAGAAGAAAGACATCATGACTGTCTTCAAAGCTGCTTTCTCCTTCCCTTTTCTTTCCTTTTATTTGCTTGTAATTTAATTAGTGAAGGCCAGTATCTGAAAGAGCTGCCAAGAAAGACTGCTCTGTTGATAAAGTAGAAAGAGAAAGCAATTTAAGAGTGAGAAATAACCACAGCCTTGGCTGTGTTATTGGACAGAAAACCATCTTTTTTTTAATAGCCTAAGTAGAAAGAAACCATTAACAGTTTAGCTTCTCCAGGAGTAAGAAACCCTCATTATTTTAATAATTTTTCTCAGCCAAGAAGCACCCAAAGGCATTATGAAAGGGGTGATAACTGATGCTTTTTAATATGTAAGTGAACATTCTGTAGGAGAGCTGCCAATTCTGGCACCTGGGCAGAACACAGAGGCAAGGAGGAAATTTCACCACCTCACAGAGCACAAAGTGCAGAATGGAAACCAATTTTATTTACTCTCTGACCTACTAGTCTGTTTCCTTTTTTATCTACCATGTATAGGTTTCACTTACTACCTTTTAAATACATTGACTTAGTTTATATCTATGTAGTCATACAGGTTATATTTAAATGACATTATTCACAGATCTAAAACCGTTCCTGGTAACAGGCATATCAAAAGGCAAGCATATCACACAGCGTCATAACTAGACCTAATAATATGTTGCATAATTGAAATTTTCTGGGAGAGATTTCAAGTGTTCTCACCACACAAACTGGTTACTAGGTAAAGTGATGGATATGTTAGCTTGTTTGTGGTACTCATTTCACAAGGTATATGTGTATCAAAACACCACATTATATACTTTAAATATATACAATTTTTATTTGTCAATCATACCTCAGTAAAGCTGCAGGCAGGGGGTGTGGGCAGGGGATCCAAGCATATCAAAAGTTTGTAACATGTTCATCTAGGCTACTGTTTTCAGTGTCATAAAAAATTGCAAAATAATACAGATACATAGATAAATTAGTAGGTATTGTAATTTTTTTCTTTTTTTTTCTTTGCAACTATTCTTTTCTCAGAAGGCTTTTTATACATAGCTATTATTAATACTTCAGATGTTAATAAATAACTTATTGTGTCTGCTCAGATTTCTTAAATGTATTATTATTACCTAATATTTAATATTTATGTATCACTTAACATTTAATTATTGATAATATATTATTAAATATGAATGTTTAATATTTAATTTATTATTATTTAAAAGTTAACTTATTATATTATATATATCTCTCTCTCATTTAATGTTGGTAATACATTTCTAAAAACAGACATTCTGCTTGAGAATGTAAATAGAGAGGCTATTTTCCATTATTTTAAGAGGGAAATAATTACAATTTACTTACAACGCTTGTCAATTTCTCAAAATGTAACAAATATACAGAAAAAATGTTTTAATATAAGTAACAAATAGTCTTGCCAAGGTGTAAAATGCCTAAAGCACCACTTCTGCTTTCTGATCACCAAAAATTAACGTAGTTGTTACCTACCAGATAAAGCAACGCAGCAATATATGCTCAAAACCAGTAGCACTTTCAATGTACCACTTCTTTGCTGACTTTTAGGGAGCTTTTCAAACCATTTACATGTGATTCTGATATTCCTCCAGTTGTATTGGAAGTAAAACCTATAGACTTTTCCCCTTGGGGACTTTTACGTTCTGAGATATTAATATCATTTTTCCTACATGGTCATTAACTGAAACTCTAATTAAGAGTTAGATGTATACCATTCAGTTTGTATCTTAAAAACTGAGGGGCATTCTGGCCGGGCGCAGTGGCTCACGCCTGTAATCCTAGCACTTTGGGAGGCCGAGGCTGGCGGATTGCCTGAGCTCAGGAGTTCGAGACCTGCCTGGGCAACCTGGTGAAACCCCGTCTCTACTAAAATACAAAAAAAAAAAAAAAAAAATTAGCCGGGTGTAGCGGTGTGTGCTTGTGGGTATCATCCAATCCTTTGAGGGCAAGCATAGAACAAAAAGGCCAAGAAAGTGCAAATTTGCTCGTTTGAGCTGGGACATCCATGCTCTCCTGTGCTTAGACATCAGTGCTCCTGCTTCTCAGGCCCTCAGACTGAGCTAGGGACTTTTACAGCATTTGATCCCCTGCTTCTCAGGCCCTTGGGTTTGAACTGAAATTACACTGCTGGCTTTTCTGGGCCTCTACCTCTAGAGAACACATGTTGAAACTTCTCAGGTTCCATAATTGCCTGAGCAAATCCCTCAAAAAAGTCACTTCCTATATGTCTTTCTATGTGTCTTATTAGTTTGTTTTTTTGGGGGAAACATGACTAAAACACCTACTTTGATATTTTCCACTGGAAACTAAGTTAATAAAAAAGCTTTGGGGCATTTTGTTTGCATCCAATTCTCATTCTATTTCTCTGCTCACCTTCCATCATCCTTTCTATGTTTCAATCTTTGATGCCAAGAAATACATCTTCCTCTTTGTGTTATCCGTGAAAGTAAAACATTCTCTAAATTTTGATTTTTGAAGCAGCAGAAAATAAAAACAGATGAGGTAGATACGTTCAGACTCCATTCATCTTGGAAGAACCTATGTCTTCTGAAAAGAAGCTGTTTTTTGGTTATTTTTAATTAAATTTTTAAATTTATTAACAAAGTGCCCTAGGCTCTATGTTGAAAGAGCAAGGCTTCATATGAGGATATGACTCTCTATACAATTCCACTGTTTTTAAACTTGTTCAATACCTGTAAATCAAGTGTAAGTTGCACACACAGGATGCCTTATGTTGGCATGAGCTTGCCATTGGTAGGTCTGCATTTTCACCATCCTCTTTGTTCATTCTCGCTTTCTACAGCAGAGGTGATTCTACATAGAACAATGTGTGTGTATGTGTGGGGCAAGTTGTGAAGGGAGGTTGGGGAACATAACAGAATCATGAGTCTTTCCATTGCTGAACAACCAGCATATCAGTGAAAGAGGAGTGGCCTAGAGTTTGAAAAAATTCAGAATAGAAAAGGGGTGACTGAAAGGAAAGGGATATTTAGTATCAAGGAAGAGTCCTAAAACAGGCATTAGGACATCTGAGTTCAAGTCCAACTTCAATATTTATTAGCTGTGTGATTGTTAAAAGATAACTAAATTAGTTAATATTTGTGTTTAAAAACCCAAATAATAATTATTAAAGAAAATAAAAAATTACCATAAGTCCCAGCTACTCGGGAGGCTGAGGCAGGAGAATTGCTTGAACCCAGGAGGCGGAGGTTGCAGTGAGGCAGGATGGTGCCACTGCACTCCAGCTGGCGGCAGACGGAAACTCCGTCTCAAAAACAAAAACAAACAAACAAAAATGTAAAACAAAACAAAACAAAACTGAGGGACATTCGTACAGATAAATACTTCTCCATGAAAATATAACTATATGAAACGTTATTTATTTTTCTATTTTATTGCCTCTATCTTTCTACTCCTAAAGTACACCCACAGATACAATTTTAGTCACTCACAGATGTCCGCAATTGACTCTTTTCCTGTTATTCTCTGTAATTCTCAGGTAGGTTTTCTACACAAGGTATCAAAAATGGTCCATAGCTTTCTTAGGTTTGCATGATTTATGCCATTCACAAGATCATAAGAACAGAGTGCTTCTCTCTTCCCGAATGCACATCCAATCCTGAAAAAGAACTCTGACTCCACTTGAGCCATCCATGCATCTCTGGATGAATTAACATGTGAAAGGTCACAGGGTACACGAATTGGACAACTTGGACATGAGAATCTATTCCTGTACAGATGGGGAGTCAGGAGATGACAAGGAGGATTTCTAGAAAAGAAAAATTCTGGATAGACACAAATGAAAATAACAGATTTTCATCAAATTCCATGTTCAGGGCAGTTTATCCATGCCGATTACCCTGAAAGATATATTGGGAAGTCAGCACTGAATTCTCATCTTTCTTTCCTCCTTCCCAGATCAATACAAAAAAGAATTACATTCATCTAAATGTCTTTCTCAGATGGCTTGAATCATTGGAATGTTATATGTCATAGGAGATTACAGTTCCTACAATAAAGCAGTGCATTGACAGGGAAAAATTAAATATATATGCAAGCTTTCCCAAGATTTCTAGTTATATTCATGTAAATTTGGGTCATCTCAATTCAGGGTGAGTGATTTTGTCATGCTTTCACCACAGTAAGAAATTCAGTAGTAGATTTTCTTTAATACCTTTGCCATTATGTCTTCGAGCACATGGGAAGAGGTTTTAAGACATGCGTTAGATTTTTGTATAAGGAGTTCATGTCCTTTGTAGGGACATGGATGAAATTGGAAATCATCATTGTCAGTAAACTATCGCAAGAACAAAAAACCAAACACCGCATATTCTCACTCATAGGTGGGAATTGAACAATGAGATCACATGGACACAGAAAGGGGAATATCACACTCTGGGCACTGTTGTGGGGTGGGGGGAGGGGGGAGGGATAGCATCGGGAGATATACCTAATGCTAGATGACGAGTTAGTGGGTGCAGCGCACCACCATGGCACATGTATACATATGTAACTAACCTGCACAATGTGCACATGTACCCTAAAACTTAAAGTATATATAAAAAAAAAAAAAGTCATGCGTTAGAGAAAAAAGAAAGCTGTTTCTGTTGTCAAAAGTAAATCTCTTATTATTATAATTTGTTGGTACTGTTGAATTGTGGCAAGAAAACAAATAGCACAGAAAATAGTAATACCTTATAGCATGGAAAATATTTCCTTTTTAAAAATTAGTATACTTATACTGTGATGAAATTGTTTTCCATCTCTACATGGAACCACATATGTAAAGTTAGGCAATCAAATATTAAGTAAAACTTTTTCATTAATATTTTATTAGGAGGTGCATGAAGCAAGGTTAAGAAGATGGGGGATGAAGAATGATGAATGGTAACATGCTAAATTCTGTTAAAAATGAGAAATAAGGCCGGGTGTGGTGGCTCATGCCTGTAATGCCCGCACCTTGGGAGGCCAAGCCAGGGAGAGCACCTGAGGTCAGGAGATGGAGACCATCCTGGCCAACGTGATGAAACCTCATCTCTACTAAAAATACAAAAAAATTAGCTGGGCATGGTGGCGCATGCCCGTAATCCCAGCTACTCGGGAGGCTGAGGCAGGACAATCGCTTGAACCAGGGAGGTGGAGGTTGCAGTGAGCCACGATCATGCCATAGCACTCCAGCCTGGCGACAGAGTGAGACTCCATCTCAAAAAAAAAAAAAAAGAGAGAGAAATAAAATAACCTTTTAGGTCAGATATAATAGGTGGTCACATGAAAATTACCTTCATAAGAAAAAGGAAATTAAAGAGGAACTCAAATTTTTAGTGTCTGGGAAGTAACCTGAGGTGAAAAGAGGATAGTGAGAGGTCAAATATAGGTTATGGAACCATGCAATTTCAGAAGGGGCTTGATTCATAGTGTCTATGTCATAAGGATCTAATTATTCAATGTAGGGGACTAATCTACAAAACTTCACATAAAGCAATAATTCCCAATGCAGATTTAGTGGCTGTTTATTTATGTCTGTGTTGAGATTCTGAACTTCTATCACAGTTTGTCTTACTCTGCAGCTTTTTTGGTAACCAGGCTTCTTTGTCTTAACTCTGATTTTGTAATTTGACTTAATTTTCCTATAGGATCCCATCAGCATTTAATTTACCAGTTTTCCCTTGGTTTTCAACTTCAATAAGATTCATCTTTAAAAAAGTAATTTCTTTCAGTCTGGAACATTAGCATAGGATAAAGAAAAAAACTGAAAATGTCTTATGTCCTCAAAATCATAACATGTGGTAATTTTAATGATGTTAAATATATATTATCATACATTGGAAGGGCTTTAATTCATGAAAATTGGCAGGTTGACCACAATTATGTAGTTAAATTCTATTTAAAATAAAAGGGTCATATATGATACCTCAACCACTTTTATCAGTTCCCTACTCTGTTCTCCTTTCCCCACTCAGTTCACCAAGCAAAGGTAATCTGAAGCAATAAAGCAACACTACAGTCATCCTACATACTCCAAAGTATGTTTGGGCAGCATGGGATTCAAAGGAAGAGGCCATCAGTCACTAAGCATGAACAGTAGATATCAGGGCCATTGCCATAGCTTTATCAAAAATGCAGTCTACCCCAGGCCTTTTAAAATTTTTGTTACATTGCATTAATACACATTTATGCGGTACATATGAAATTTTGTTACATGCAGAGAATGCGTAATGATCAGTTGAGGATATTTAGGGTACTCATTGATTTATCATTTCCATGTGTTGAGTATACTTCAGGTCCTATCTTCTGGCTAATTTTAAAGTACAATATGTTGTGGTTAACTATAGTCACCTGCCCTTCTATCAGATGAGAACTTATTCCTTCTATCTAACTGTATGTTTGTACTTATTAATCCCCCCAATTTTTATGTCTGTGTTCTCACAAGGACTATTCCTAAAGGAGGGCCTAATTGCTAAGGTTTAGACAATGGGAGTTTCTTTTGGAAATCTGTCTTTGAAAGAGGAAATGCTTCTGGGAAGGAAAGGGTAGTTGGAGATTGGAGTGGTTACTTTTACATGTCCACTTGGCTTGGCTATAGCACCCTTTATTCAATCAAACGCTGATCTAGGTGTTGCTGTGAAGGTAGTTTGCAGATGTGTGTAACATCTACAATCAGTTGACTTTAAGTAAAGGAGATTATCCTCTGTACTGTGAGTGAGCCTTATCTAATCAATTGAAGCCCTCAAGAACAAATGGAATTTTCCATGAGGAAGAAGAAATTCCAGCCTTAAAGCCTGTCTGAGAGTTTCCAGCCTGCCAGCCTACCCTGCAGATTTCAGACATTCCTATCCAGATCCCATGATCATGTAAGCCAAGGTCAAGTCCTTGAAATATACCTTTTTACACACCTGCCCTCCCCACCACACACACACATAGGATATACCTATATACCTTCTATTGGCTCAGTGTTGGTCTGGTGGATACAGAAATCCTATTAATTATTCATTTTATTCCTCTTATATCATACCGACCTCAGCCTGACAACATACCAGATTTCTCCCTTGTTCTAAGCTTTGGAGGGATAGATGAAATTCCTGATACATCACGTATGTCCTGATATGCTTGATAGACCTTAAGTATTTATATTTAACAAAATGAAACCATGATCATTTTGAAGCAAAAGATATCTAAAGCTGGAATGAGAAACTTAAATGATTTCTTTATGAATATGAGATAATTTACTTGGATGTCATTCTTAGAGTAGCTTAATTTTAAGGATATTTTTTCTTCTCTAACTATACTAAATCAACAGTGGAAAAATCCCTAAACTCTGGAGGTGTTTTTATCTTACCAGTCTATCTAAGACACACTCAATCATAGTCGCTATTGAATTTGGCATTTCAATTCTTCACTGTCACTTCTCATTAATTATTGGTTCTAATACTGTCTTTGATGACTTCTTCCTTGTCATTTTACTTCATGAACTCATTATTTCTAATTGCTATTTTATGCCACTTTTTGGTTCATCAGTTTTTAATGTTCCACTTAATTGGCTCCGTTGTTTAAATGATGTGAGGAAAAATGGGGTTAAATTTATCATTTATCTGATACATTCTGGTATGAGAGAGCTTAATTTGGTTGTTCCATTTTCTAGATAGAAAAAGTAAGGAAATATTTTCTGCATTCTATTCAGATTGTTATTGCTGAAGTCATCTTATACTATGACCTTTTAAAATATTTTCAAAGGCTTTAGAAAAAAATTATAGGTACACTGACATTTGCTTATTGTGAAATGTTATATCATGTTCCTTTTTATGTTGTAATTTGTAGTATTCCACACGACAGATTTCTCTGTTAATCGTACATCAGGTCTCACACTCTTATAATTTAGCCAAGAATTAAAAAAAGACAAGTCAAAGAATTGGTTTTAACATGCCAAAATATGTCAGGGATATATCTGTGGATTTAAAGTTAAAGAAAAATTACTAGAAAAAATTGATAAATATTAAAGAAGTATTTAATGTTTATAATAGTGCAATTTTTTACATAAAAAACAAAGTTTGTAAAATGTAAGCAGGGATATTTTATTGTTGATGTTAACTTAATGAAAATAAAAGTATGCATTTTATAAGACAAAGAATCTAAATCATAGTAAATCTAAAAATTCATTGATTTAAATACCATAATATTCTTAATTTATGAAACCCTCCTTCTAACAGATGGAATTTAAATGTATGACTTGGCCATCTATCTTTGACTCTAAATGTATTTATATGAGTCCCACATGTTAAATTTATTCCTGGAGATTATCATGACCAATAGAAGACTTTTACGTATGTGTCACAATAAGCATGAAATAATGTGATCTCTTTCTCCTTTATTATATACCTTTGCAGCCACCAGACTGCAGTATGTGACTTAATCCCACAGAGATATTTTACACTGAAAGTTTGTCTTAAGTTGTCTTGCAAATCTTTTTGAACTCTATGCAAAATGGTTATTCTAATTCTCAGAGTACAGCCACAAGCTAGGTAGGTGTAGATCGTGACATATGGGCAAAAATATGGTGGGTGTCACTGGAACCACACTGGATAAAAGGAAATTTATCATCGCAAGTATCTTAAGAATGAAAAATTTTGAGGCAGTATTTTATTATTTGCAATGAATTTATATTAGTGAACTGACATATAAAATAAAATTTTATACAGCATATAATTGATTAAAATCACACATACTTGGAAATTAAGCCCATGGGAAAGTTTTTGCAAAAACAAATTTTATGAGAATTTTTGACGTTGGTAAAATATTTATAACAAAAGTTAATATTTATGGGGCTCTCTCAGAATTTTCAGTCTAAATGTAATAGGAAAACAAATTCCAATATATATCCAAGAATCGTAGAGAGCATGGCGACAATATCAGCACGGATTTCCAGTTAAAAATAAAGAGAATAATGACTTCCAGCTCCATCCATGTCCCTGCAAAGGACATGATTTCGTTCCTTTTTATGTCTGTATAGTATTCCATGATGTACATGTACCATATTTTCTTTATCCAGTCTATCATTGATGGCATTTGGGTTGATTCTATGCCTTTGCTATTGTGAATAGTGTGCAATGAACATATGCATGCATAGATCTTTATAATAGAATCAGCAAACTAACGCAGGAACAGAAAACCAAACACCACATGTTCTTACTTATAAGTGGAAGCTAAACAATGGGAACACATGGACACATGGTGGGGTAAACAACACACACTGGGGCCTGTCAGGGGCAGTGGGAGGGAGAGCATCAGGAAGAATAGTTAATGCAGGCTGGGGTTAATACCTAGGTGATGGGTTGATCTGTGCAGCAAAGCACTATGGCACACATTTACCTATGTAACAAACCTGCACATCCTGCACATGCACCCCTGAACTTAAAATAAAAGTTGATGAAAAAAATGAAAGAAATAAAATACAAATGAAATGTGAAAGATGGAACTGTTGCTTTGCACATCCAATTGGCTGAAAATAGCTAATACTAGTTGCTCTGATGCCCTTTTAATTCTGCATGTAGAGCTATAACTTCATTTCATGGTTAGAGATTAGTAAACATAAAACCTCACTTCCTAAATCTCTGATTTACATCTACTGATGTAATAGTTGATATTCTAAAGTCAGAAATCTTCCCATACTCTCTATCTCTACTATGTGTTTTGCGAGTCCCCTTTTTAAAGAATCTTGTTCCTCTTAATGAATTCAGAAAAGAAAGACCATTTAATACACATGGCAGCATTATTTGTCAACATTATGTTACAAAAATATGTTTTTATTTTACCAGCTTTATTATATGGAGTAATTGACCCACACTAAGCTGCACTTATTGACAGTGTACACCTTGAGAAAATTTGACATATGCTTATATCTGGTGAAAGCATTTACTAAAATCAAGATTTCAGACACGTCAATAATTCCACAAAGTTTCTTCCTGCCTTTTTTAATCCCATCCTCCTACAATTCACCTCTATTCCAACCTCAGTCAATCACTGATCTACTTTCTGCTACTACAGATTAGTTCAAATTTCCTGGTATATATTTGAATTCATATACTATGTATTCTTTTTTTTCTTCTGGATTCCTCACTCAGCATATTTTCAGATTCATCCATATCGTAGTGTATAGTTGATTCATTTGACTATATGACTAGCATTCCATTGTATGTATGTACCATAATTTGTTCATCGGTACATATGGAAATGGACATTGGAATTGCTTCCAAATTTCATCTGTTACAAATAAAGCTATTATGAACTTTTCTTATAAATCTTTGTATGGATATATGCTTTCATTTTTCATGGGTAAAGTCTACCTAGGAATAGAATGGCTCGACTAAGTGGTAAATGTTTGCTTAGCCTTGTAAGAAACTGTCAAACTGTTTTCCAAAGTGGTTGTCTCATTTTGCTTACCGACAGATGTATCTAAGAGTTCCAGGGCACACTAGCACTTGGTAGGGTCAGTTCTTTTTTAAACGTGGGCCAATCTAATTGATGTTTCTCATTGTGGTTTTAACTTTTATACCTGTAATAATGAATGAAGTTGAGCTTCTTTTTTTTTTAATTATACTTAAAGTTCTGAGATACGTGTGCAGAATGTGCAGGTCTGTTACATAGATATACACGTGCCATGATGGTTTGCTGCACCCATCAATCCATCATCGACATTAGGTATTTCTCCGAATGCTATCCCTCCCCCAGGTCCCCACACTCCAATAGGCACCAGTGTGTGAGCCCCTCCACCACGTGTCCATGTGTTCTCATTGTTCAACTCCCACTTATGAGTGAGAACATGCAGTGTTTGGTTTTCTGTTCTTGTGTTAGTTTGCTGAGAATGATGGTTTCCAGCTTCATTGTGTCCCTGCAAAGGACATGAACTCACCCTTTTTTATGGCTGCATAGCATTCCATGGTGTATATGTGCCACATTTTCTTTATCCAGTCTATCATTGATGGGCATTTGGGTTGGTTCCAAGTCTTTGCTACTGTGAACAGTGCCGCAATAAACATACGTGTGCATGTGTCTTTGTAGTAGAATGATTTATAATCCTTTGGGTATATACCCAGTAATGGGATTGCTGGGTCAAATGGTATTTTCTGGGTCTAGATCCTTGAGGGATCGCCACACTGTCTTCCACAATGGTTGAACTAATTTACACTCCCACCAACAGTGTAAAAGCATCTCTATTTCTCCAAATCCTCTCTAGCATCTGTTTCCTTATTTTTTAATGATCGCCATTCCAACTGGTGTGAGATGGTGTCTCATTGTGGTTTTGATTTGCATTTCTCTTATGACCAGTGATGATGAGCTTTTTTTCATGTTTGTTAGCTGCATAAATGTCTTGTTTTGAGAAGTGTCTGTTCATATCCTTCACCCACTTTTTTGTGGGGTTGTTTGTTTTTTCTTGTAAATTTGTTTACATTCTTTGTAGATTCTAGATCTTAGCCATTCGTCAGATGGATAGATTGCAGAAATTTTCTCCCATTCTGTAGGTTGCCTGTTCACCCTGATGATAATTTCTTTTGCTGTGCAGAAGCTCTTTAATTTAATTAGATCCCATTTGTCAATTTTGGCTTTTGTTACCATTGCTTTTGGTATTTTAGTCATGAAGTCTTTGCCCATGCATATGTCCTGAATGGTATTACCTAGGTTTGGTTTTTTTCTAGGGTTTTTATGGTTTTAAGTCTTATGTTTAAGTCTTTAATCCATCTTGAGTTAATTTTTTATAACGTATAAGGAAGAGATCCAGTTTCAGCTTTCTGCATATAGCTAGCCAGTTTTCCCAACACCATTTATTAAATAGGGAATTCTTTCCCTATTGCTTGTTTTTGTCAGGTTTGTCAAAGATCAGATGGTTGTAGATGTGTGGTGTTATTTCTGAGGCCTCTGTTCTGTTCCATTGGTCTATATCTCTGTTTTGGTACCAGTAGCATGCTGTTTTGCTTACTGTAGCCTTGTAGTTTGAAGTCAGGTAGCATGATGCCTCCAGCTTTGTTCTTTTTGCTTAGGATCGTCTTGGCTATGTGGGCTCTTTTTTGGTTCCATATGAAATTTAAAGTAGTTTTTTTTACAGTTCTGTGAAGAAAGTCATTGGTAGCTTGATGGGGATAGCAATGAATCTATAAATTACTGTAGGCAATATATCCATTTTCGTGATATTGATTCTTCCTATCCATGAGCATGGAATGTTTTTCCATTTGTTTGTGTCCTCTCTTATTTCCTTGAGAAGTAGTTTGTAGTTCTCCTTGAAGAGGTCTTTCACATCCCTTGTAAGTTGTATTCCTAGGTGTTTTATTCTCTTTGTAGCAATTGTGAATGGGAGCTCACTCATGATTTGGCTCTCTGTTTGTCTGTTACTGGTGTATATAAATGCTTGTGATTTTTGCACATTGATTTTTTATCCTGAGACTTTGCTGAAGTAGCTTGTCAGCTTAAGGAGATTTTGGGCTGAGACGTTGGGGTTTTCTAAATATACAATCATGTCGTCTGCAAACAGAGACAATTTGACTTCCTCTTTTCCTAGCTGAATACCTTTTATGTCTTTCTCTTGCCTGATTGTCCTGGCCAGAACTTCCAATACTATATTGAATAGGAGTGGTGAGAGAGAGCATCCTAGTCTTGTGCCAGTTTTCAAAGGGAATGCTTCCAGTCTTTGCCCATTCAGTATGATATTGGCTGTGCGTTTGTCATAAATAGCTCTTATTGTTTTGAGATACATTCCATCAATACCTAGTTTATTGAGTGCTTTTAGCATGAAGGGCTGTTGAATTTTGTCAAAGGCCTTTTCTGCATCTATCGAGATAATCATGTGGTTTTGCCATTGGTTCTGTTTATGTGATATATTACATTTATTGATTTGCATATGTCGAACCAGCCTTGCATCCCAGGAGTGGAGCTGACTCCATTTTGGTGGATAAGCTTTTTGATATGCTGCTGGATTTGGTTTGCCAGTATTTTACTGAGGATTTTCATATATATGTTCATCAGGGATATTGACCTGAAATTTTCTCTTTTTTTCTTGTATCTCTGCCAGGTTTTTGTGTCAGGATGATGCTGGCCTCGTAAAATGAGTTAGGGAGGAATCCCTCTTTTTCTATTGTTTGGAATAGTTTCAGAAGGAATGGTACCAACTCCTCTTTGTACCTCTGGTAGAATTCGGCTGTGAATCCATCTGGTCCTGGACTTTTTTTGGTTGGTAGGCTGTTAATTACTGCCTCAATTTCAGAACTTGTTATTGGTCTCTTCAAGGATTCGACTTCTTCCTGGTTGAGCCTTGGGAGGGTGTATGTGTCCAGGAATTTATCCATTTCTTCTAGATTTTCTAGTTTATTTGCATAGAGGTGTTTATAGTATTCTCTGGTGGTAGTCTGTATTTCTGTGGGATAGGTGGTGATACCCCTTTTTCATTTTTTATTGTGTCTATTTGATTCTTCTCTCTTTTCTTCTTTAGTAGCCTGGCTAATGGTCTATCTATTTTATTGATCTTTTAAAAAAACCCAGCTCCTGGGTTCATTGATTTTTTTTTTTGAAGGGTTTTCTTGTGTGTCTGTCTCCTTTAGTTCTGCTCTGATCTTGGTTATTTCTTGTCTTCTGCTAGCTTTTGAATTTATTTGTTCTTGCTCCTCCAGTCCTTTTAATTGTGCTGTTAGGATGTTGATTTTAGATCTTTCCTGCTTTCTCTTGTGGGCATTTAGTGCACACTACTTTAAATGTGTCCCAGAAATTCTGGGACGTTGTGTCTTTGTTCTCATTGGTTTCAAATAACATCTTTATTCCTGCCTTCATTTTGTTATTTACCCAGTAGTCATTCAGAAGCAGGTTGTTCAGTTTCCATGTAGTTGTGTGGTTTTGCATAAGTTTCTTAATCCTGAGTGATTTGATTGCACTATGGTCTGAGAGACTGTTTGTTGTAATTTCCATTCTTTTGCATTTGCTGAGGAGTGTTTTACTTCCAGTTATGTGATCAGTTTTAGAATAAGTGAGATGTGTTGCTGAGAAGAATGTATATTCTGTTGATTTGGGGTGGAGAGTTCTGTAGATGTCTATTATGTCTGCTTGGTCCAGAGCTTAGTTCAAGTCCTGGATATCCTTGTTAATTTTCTGTCTCATTGATCTGCCTAATATTGACAGTAGGGTGTTAAAGTCTCCCACTATTATTGTTTGGGAGTCTAAGTCTCTTTGTAGGTCTCTGAGAACTTGCTTTATGAATCTGGGTGCTCCTGTATTGGGTGCATATATATTTAGAATAGTTAGCTCTTCTTGTTGCATTGATCCCTTTATCATTATATAATGCCCTTCTTTGTCTCTTTTGATCTTTGTTGGTTTAAAGTCTGTTTTATCAGAGACTAGGATTGCAATCCCTGCTTTTTTTTTTCTTTCTTTCCATTTGCTTGGTAAATATTCCTCCACCCCTTTGTTTTGAGCCTTTGTGTCTTTGCACATGAGATAGGTCTCCTGAATACAGCACACCCATGGTGCTTGACTCTTTACCCAGTTTGCCAGTCTGTGTCTTTTAATTGGGGCATTTAGCCCATTTACATTTAAGGTTAATATTGTCATGTGTGAATTTGATCCTGTCATTATGAGGCTAGCTGGTTATTTTGCCCATTAGTTGATGCAGTTTCTTCATAGCATTGATGGTCTTTACAATTTGGTATATTTTTGCAGTGGCTGGTACTGGTTGTTCCTTTCCATGTTTAGTGCTTCCTTCAGAAGCTCTTGTAAGGCAGGCCTGGTGGTGACAAAATCTCTCAGCATTTGCTTGTCTGTATAGGATTTTATTTCTCCTTCACTTATAAAGCTTAGTTTGGCTGGATATGAAATTCTGGGTTGAAAATTATTTTCTTGGTCAGGTGTGGTGGCTGGCACCTGTAATTCCAGCACTTTAGGAGGCCGAGGTGGGTGGATCACAAGGTCAGGAGATTCAGACCATCTTGGCCAACATGGTGAAACCCCGTCTCTACTAAAATACAAAAGATTAGCCAGGTGTGGTGGTGCGTGGCTGTAATCCCAGCCACTTGGGAGGCTGAGGCAGAGGAATTGCTTGAACCCAGGAGGCAGAGGTTGTGGTGAGCTGAGATCATGCCACTGCACTCCAGCCTGGCAGCAGAGTGAAACTCTGTCTCTAAAAAAAAAATTCTTTGCTTTAAGAGTGTTAAATACTGGCCCCCACTCTCTTCTTGCTTGTAGGGCTTCTGCGGAGAGATCCGCTGCTAGTCCAATGGGCTTCTCTTTGTGGGTAACCTCACCTTTCTCTCTGGCTGCCCTTAACATTTTTTCCTTCATGTCAACCTTGGTGAATCTCACGATTACGTGTCTTGGGGTTGCTCTTCTCGGGGAATATCTTTGTGGTGTTCTCTGTATTTCTTGAATTTGAATGTTGGCCTGCCTTACTAGGTTGGTGAAGTTCTCCTGGATAATATTCTGAAGAGTGTTGTCCAACTTGGTTCCATTCTCCCTGTCACTTTCAGGCACACCAGTCAAACGTAGATTTGGTCTTTTCACATAGTCTCATATTTCTTGGAGGCTTTGTTTATTTCTTTTCACTCTTTTTTCTCTAATCTTGTCTTCTCACTTTATTTCATTGAGTTGATCTTCAATCTCTAATATCCTTTCTTCTGCTTGATTGATTCTTCTATTGATACTTGTGTATGATTCATGAAGTTCTCGTGCTGTGTTTTTCAGTTCCATCAGGTCATTTATGTTCTTCTCTAAACTGCTTACTCCAGTTAGCAATTTGTCTAACCTTTTTTCAAGGTTCTTAACTTCCTTGCAGGCTTAGAACATGCTCCTTTAGCTCGGAGGAGTTTGTACTACCCACCTTCTGAAGCCTACTTCTGTCAGTTTGTCAAACTCATTCTCCATCCAGTTTTGTTCCCTTGCTGATAAGGAATTGTGAGAAGAGGCACTCTGGTTTTTGGAATTTTTCAGCCTTTTTGCACTGCTTTCTCCCCATCTTTGTGAATTTATCTACCTTTGGTCTTTGATGTTGGTGATCTTTCTGTGTCTGGATGTCCTTTTTGTTGATGTTGATGCTATTCCTGTTTGTTAGTTTTCGTTCTAACAGTCAGGCCCCTCTGCTGCAGGTCTGCTGGAGTTTGCTGGAGGTCCACTCCAGACCCTATTTGCCTGGGTATCACCAGCGGAGGATGAAGAACAGCAAAGATTGCTGCCTGCTCCTTCCTCTGCTGTATGTTTTGCAAGTCCCCTCTTTAAAGAATATTGTTCCTCTTAATGAATCCTGAAAAGAAAGACCATTTAATACACATGACACTACTATAAAATATCATATCACATCATCCTGTCAGGATGACTATTCTCTAAAAATAACCATACTAACAGAATCTCTTATACATAAATATAAGAGATAACAAGTGTTGGGGAGAGTTTGCAGAAAAGAGAACATATGTATGCTCTTGATAGGAATGTGGATTGATGCAGCTATTGTGGAAAACAGCATGAATGTTCCTAAAGAAATTAAAAATAGAACTACCATATGACCCAGCAATCCCTTTTTGGGTATATATCCAAATTAAATGATATCATTATGTAGAAAAGATATCTTCCTTCCAATGTTTATTGCATCATTATCCACAATTTTTAAGACATTGGAATCAATCTAAGTGTCCATGAATAGATGAATAGACAAATAAAACTGGTATATGTACAAAATGAGTACTATTCCGCTTTAAAAGAGGTGGAAATCCTCTTATTTGTGACATCATGGATGAACTTTGAGAACATTATTTCAAGTAAAATAAGCCAGGCACAGAAAGACAAATACTACATCATAGATCCACTTACATGTAGAATCTAAATAAAATAAACTCTCAGAAAAAGAATATAATGCAGCATTTACCAGAGACCAACAGCATAGGTGAAGGGACTGGGGAGATATTGGTCAAAAGGCACCAAATTTGAGTTAGATGGCAGGAATAATTGCAAGAGATCTATTGTACACCACGCTGACTGTAGTTAATAACAATGCATTGTATACTTAAAAATCACTGAGAGAACCATGTTCTCACCACAAAAAATTTTGTAAGTATATGAGGTAATGCATATGTTAAATTGCTTGATTTAACCATTCTTCATTGTATCCATATATCAAAACACAATGCTGTACACCATAAATATATACAATTTTTACCAGGCATTTTAAAAATTAATTTTAAAAACTGAGAGCAGATTTGGAAAGTTAAAAACAGAAACATGTCTGCATTTATTCTGAAAGGAAAGAGAAGTAAATTGTTAAGTATCACTTAACTAAGAAAAATGAGAAAGCCTTTCAAAGAGCAAAAGTTTTAATTTTTTAATCTGCTCTTTTTCTGCCCTCTCTGGTTTTAATCAAATATTTTAAATGATTCCATTTTCTATCCTTTCAGCATTTAAAATTATGCTTTATTTTTTGAATATTTTAGTGTTTGTTCTAGAGTTTGCAATATACTCTAAATATAAAGCTAATCTGTGTATACTTTCAAATAATACTATATTATTTTACAGTTAATGCACACAACTTATAGCAGAGTATTACCATTTCCTCTCCCTTATAACAATGATGTCATTCATTTTATGTATACATATTCTATAATCAATATATAATTGTGATTATGGCTTTGAATGCAAATTTATCTTTTGGATCAATTTAATTTTTTATTTATTTATTTTACCTTTGTTTATTCCTTCTGGGACAGTATTCTTTTGTGTGTGTGTAGATCTGATTTTGTGTTCTAGATTATTTTTCTTCTCACTGAAGAATTTATTTTAACTTTTTTTTTAATAGTATGGGTCTTCTGTTGGCAATAAATTTCCTTGGTTTTAGGTTGTCAGAGAAAAGATTTCTTCATTTTTGAATAGTAATTTTCCTAGATATAGTATTCTAGTTTGGTAAATTTTTTCCTTCATCGCTTTAAAAATGTTGCTCCAATTTTTCTTGTTGCCATGGTCTTTTAAGAGAAGGCTGATGTGTGTGTGTGCTTGTGTGTGTGTGTATATATATATTTATGGTGGTGAGTAAATTCTTTCAGAAGGTTTATTTGAAGGCTTCTATATATATATCACATATAGTATATAATATATATATCAGCCTTCAAAATACATATATATAAAGTATATATATAACTGTTCCTTATTTCTCTGATATATATGGTATATATCATATATATATCAGCCATTTATATATATATAAATATATATTTTTATTAACTTTCCTTATTTCTCTATAGTAAGGTGTATTGTTTTCTACTTGCTGCTTTCAAGATTTTGTCTTTGTCCTTAGTTTTCAATAATCTGAATTTGCTATAACCAAAAACAGCTTTGGATTTTTTTTCTTTTTTTTGCTTTATTTTTGGTATTTATCCTGCTTAGTGTTCACTGAGATTCTTGCTCTATGGTTTGGTGTCTATCATTACTTTTAGAAGCTCCTCAGCCATTATTACTTCAAATATTCTTCCTCCCTTCTCTGTCTTCTCATTCTCATCTACTACTCCTATTACATATATGCTGAATATTTTGAGATAGTCTGCAGATCTTGAAATTTCTATTGTGTAGCTTTTTAAAATTAATTTTTCTTTTAATTTCTGTTCAAAAATTTATATTGATAGATCTTCATTCTTTCTTCAGCCATGTCCAGCTTGCTGATGAGCTCATCAAAGCATTTCTGCATTTCTGTTAGCATTTTTTTATTCCTAGAATCTCTTTTTAATTCTTTCTTAAATTTTCTTTATCTTTACATTATTTACCTGTTAGTACATGTTGTCTACTTTTCTCATTAGAGACTTTTACATATTAATCATAGTTATTTTAAATTCTGTCTGATAATTCCAAAATCTGTATCATATATGAGTCTTGTTCTGTTCGTTTTATATCTTCAGACATTTTTTTCCTGTCTTTTGGCAAGACTTAAACTTTTTTGTTTAAAGCCAACATGATGTATTGGGCAAAAGGAACAGAGCTCTGTAAGCAGTCCTTTATTTTGAGGTGTGACATCAATCTGACTAGGATTTGGGCTAATTTTAAAGTCTCTTGTAGCTATACGTTTCAGTCTTTTATTTCCTCTAATATCCTTGTTCTTGTCATTTGTTTTATCTTTGAGTTTCCCTAAAAACTCCTTCTTAAGTAGAATGTGCACCTGACAGCTCTTTCAGCTGTAATCTACTTTTATTATACAGGAACCCTGTTGATATGACAGGAGGGTGGAAGAGAGGGGAAGCATTTTATAATCTTATTATCAAATCTTGGTAGTAATGTTATATTCCCATCCTGATATTGACAACATGTGTCTACTCTCTTTTTGTTTTGGTCAGTCTAGCTAGACGTTTATCATCAATCTATATTTTTAAAAAACTAGCTTTTGGTTTCTTTTATTTTTCTATTGTTTTTCTGTTTTTTACTTCACTAATTTTCATGCTGATCTTTATAATTTCTTTTATCTTCCTACTTTATGTTTAATTTGCTCTTCTTTTTTAGTTCTTTAATAAGAAGATAAAGACCATGATTTATGAACTTTCTTCTTTCCTAGTATAGGTATACAGTGTTATAAATTTCCAATTAAACACAGTTTTTGTCACATCTCACAGATTTTTATATATCTGTATTATATTAATTATATTATATTATATTATATTATATTATTATATTATATTATATTATATTATGTTATATTTTTTCAACTTTTAAGTTCCATGGTACATGTGCAGGATGTGCAAGTTTTTTACATAGGTAAACATGTGCCAGTATTGTTTGCTGCACAGATCAACCCATCACCTAGGTATTAAGCCCAGCATCAATTAGTTATTCTTCCTGTTGCTCTCCCTCCTCCCACACCTCCACCCCTGACAGGCCCCAGCGTATGCTGTTCCTGCTCATGTGTTCTCATCATGCAACTCCCAGTTGTAAGTGAGAATATGTGATTTTTGGTCTTCTGTTACTGCATTTTCAGTTTACTGAGGATAATGGCTTCCAGCTCCATCCATGTCCCTGCAAAGGACATGATCTCATTCTTTTTTATGGCTGCATAGTATTCCAGAGTGTATATGTACCATATTTTCTTTATCCAATCTATGATTGATGAGCATTTAGATAGGTTCCATGTCTTTGCTATTGTGAATAGTGCTACAGTGAATATACACGTGCATGAATCTTTATAATAGAATGATTTATATTCCTTTGGGTATGTATCCAGTAATGGGAAACCTGGGCCAAATGGTATTTCTGCTTCTAGATCTTTGAGGAATCACCACATTGTCTTCCACAATAATTAGACTAATTTACACTCCCACCAACAGTGTAAAATATTGCTTTCTCCACAACGTCACCAGAATCTGTTGTATTTTGTGTGCCTTTATTTTAATTGAATTTGAAATACTTTCTATTTTTTTGACACATGGATTATTGTGTTATTTATGTACAAATATGTGGATATCTCCTAGAGAATTTTTTATGAATTTCTAATTTAAATCTATTGTGGTTATATTGCAGGACATATATTGTATGATTTCAATGCATTTAGATACATTGAGAGTTATTTTATGGCCTGCTCACTTGATTTGATTCTGTTTTCTCTCTGAGTTTCATGTAAGACAGTTTTTCTTGCTATAAACCTTTGAACCTCTCTTTTTAGGTCCACAAACCTTTCATTTTGCAGTGTATAATTTGCTGTAATACCACCGAGGATATTTTTCACTTACCCAATTGCTTTTATCACTACAAGTTCTGAGTCTGTTTAATGGCATCTATGTGTCTTTGAACATATGAGGTAGAGTTGTATTTGTTTCCATATGCTTGTCCGTTAATTCTAAAACCTCTGTCCGTTCTGCATTCATTTTGATTGATTGATTTGTCTCTATTAGTAGTCATATTTCCCTGCCTCTTTATATGTCTGATGATTTTTATTAGATTTCAGTTACTGTGAATTTTATCTGGGTAATTGATATTTTTATATTTTATAAATATTTTCTTCTAGGAAGTGGTCAAGTATCAGGGGAGTCATTTGATCCTTTTTGTCTTTTTGGAAGAGTTTTAGGCAGAATTGGCACAGTGCTCAGTGTAGGGCTAATTATTCTGCACTATTGAGGCAAGACCATTCTGTGACCTCTACCCAACGCAACATGATTCATGAGGTTGTCTGGGATGCTTGGTGGAAACATCACTATTCCCAGCCCTCTTACCATTAATCCTTTAGGTGATTTTTTTCCCTAGCCTTGGATTGTTTTCTTACACTTGAGTGCTAATCAGTATTCTGCTGAGCACTTGACAGGGAAACTCTACAGGTTCCCAAATTTCTCTTTAAACTTTGCAGTTCTATAATTACCAGTACTCAGCCCTACAAATGTTAGGTCCTCTGTTCCTCTCCGACTGTCAGTTCTGTTTTCTCAATTCAGAGAGAACTCTGGTCTCCAACTGGATTAACTTTTCTTCACCGTGGCCTCAGAACTGTCATAAAGCAGTAACCATGGACAACCATAACGCTCCCCTCATTTGCTTCCCATTTCTGAAGAATCACTACTCTTTGTTGCTAAATTTTTAGTGCCTTAAAAATTATTGTTTTATATTATTTTAGTTTTTTGTTGTTGTTATTTTAGTCAGGAGGGTAAATCAAGTCCTCTTTTCTTCATCCTGACTGAAAGCAAAGTCTCTGATAGTAGTATTATCAAATACATTAAATTTTGAAATAATTTTGTATACTTTATTAAAACTTTGAGATTTAATCACTTTGAGATTATTACAATGTAATATATATGCCCTAAGAACTGTGGGGAAACTTCAAGTAATTTAATATAGACAATTTTGTTATCTGAAAATTCTGAAACCAAACATTTAAGTGAGAAGCAAGAAGAAAACTCAATACAGCACAAAGTAGAGTATAATAAGTTTTGTTTTGTTCTTCACTTTAGCTTTTTGGATATACGTGCTCTAAAATAAAGTGTTTTGTTTTTCTATTCCAATTTTAGTATAATGCTTAATGCCTGAGAAAAAACTGGATAGATTACAAGCAAAATAGAACCTTAGCTTGGAGAAGGAAATCTTGATAAACACTTTTATTATTTTTATTTTTCTGAGACAAACATCTTAACTCTTCTTTAAAAATTGGTTAGTGGTACTTAACTGATGAAGAGGGCTCTCAAAATAGAGGAAAACAGTTATCCTACCACTGTGAACATTTTTCTTTCATACAGTGCAATGTAACTTTTTTCACTCTTTTTAAAAATTAAAATAAAATTCAAAGTCATTACCATTAGTTAGAACCACGGGAAATAGCCTCCCAGTCAGACAGATGGCTCAACAAGCTTCTTAATGATGGTATTTTCCATTCTGGATTTCTCCACATAGAGACCAAAAAGGAAAACAAAGCAAAAACCCCAGGATATCTGATTCAAAATTGGAATAGAAAATTTCAATAAAGAATAAGAAACATTGGCATGTATTTCAGAATGCACTTTAGAATCATTTCTTGCCTGCCCGTTTCCACCTTATTTCAGGTCTTCATTACTTTTCATATGAATTCTGTACTAGCCTTCTAGGTATTCCCAATTCCTGACATTCACAGCTCCAAATTGTTTTTCAAACTTCTGATAGCATAAGTTTCACATGGCCCAATTTCCATAACTTTCAAGTCCCTGTGTATAAGCATTCAAGGTGGATTGATTTAATTGTCACAGCTAATCAAAATTTAATGCCTGTTTTTAAGAAACTTGTCTTCAACTTTCATCTAAACTTGTTTGTTCTTTATCTCCAAAATAAGCCACTAGTCTACTCATGTCGGACTTAATCTAACAGCCCTATTAATTACCCCACTGATATGGCTTGGATCTGTGCCTGTACAAATTGCAATTCCAATTATAATACCCAGTGTTGGAGGAGGGGCCTGTTGGGAGGTGGTTGTATTGTAGGGGCAGATTTCCCACTTGGTGCTTTTCTCATGATCCAGTGAGTTATCATGAGATCTCGTTGTTTCAAAGTGTGTAGCACCTCCCCCACCCCTCTCTCTTGCTCCTACTCTGGCAAGTAAAATGTCCCTGCTTCCCCTTCACCTTCTGCCATGATTGTAAGTTTCCTGAGGCCTCCCCAGAAGTCAAGCAGATGCCAGCGTCATGCATCTTGTCCAGCCTGCCAAACTGTGAGCCAATTAAACCTCTTTTCTTTATAAATTACCTGGTCTCAGGTATTTCTTTATAGCAATGAGAGAACAATTCAATACAAAAAATTGGTATCAGGGGTGGAGTATTTCTATAAAGATACCTGAAAACATGGAAGCATCTTTGGAACTGGATAACAGGTAGAGGCTGGAAGAGTATGGAGGGCTCAGAAGAAGACAGGAAGAAGAGGGAAAATTTGGAACTTCCTAGAGAGTTGTTAAATTTTTGTGACCAAAATGCCAATAGTGATACCAACAATGAAGTCCAGGCTGAGGACGTCTCAAATGGGAATGAGGAACTTATTGGGAACTGGAGCAAAGGACACATTTGTTACACCTTGGCAAAGACCTTGGTTGGATTGTTCCCCTGCCCTAGGGATCTGTGGAACTTTGACCTTGAGAGTGATGATTTAGGGTAACTGGCAGAAGAAATTTCTAACCATCGAAGTGTTCAAGTTGTGACCTGGCTATGTCTAACAACTTATGCTAACATGAGTGAGCAAAAAAATGACCTGAAACTGGAACTTATATTTAAAAAAGAAGCAAAGCATACAAATTTGGAAAATTTACAGCCCAATAGAAAAGAAAAGTCTGTTTTCAGGGGAAGAGTTCAAGCTTGCTTCAGAAATTTGGATAAGTAAAAAGGAACCAAGTGCTAATATCCAGGACAAAGGGGAAAAGGCCTTGAAGACATTTTAGGGACCTTCAGGGCAGCCCCTCCCATCACAGGCCTGAAGATTTAGAATGAAAGAATGGTTTGGGGTGCCAGGTCCAGTGCCCCACTGCCCTGAGCAGCATAAGGACATCACTCTCTGTGTGCCCACTGCTCTAGTCTCAGCTGTGGCTCAAAGGGACCCAGGCACAGCTTGGACCACTGCAAATCATAAATCTTGATGGCTTCCATGTGGTGTTAAGCCTGCAAGTGCACAAAATTTAAGAGTTGAGGCTTGGGAGCTTCTGCCTCAATTTCAGATGATGTATGGAAAAGCCTGGATGTCTAGACAGAAGCCTGCTGCATGGGCAGAGCCCTCATGGGGAACCTCTATGAGGGCACTGTGGAGGGGAAATGTGGGGTTGGATCCCCCACATAGAGTCCCCACTGGAGCACTGCCTGGTGGTGCAGTGAGAAGAGACCCATCATCCTCCAGACCCCAGAATTGTAGACCCACTGGCAGTTTGCACCCTGCACCTGGGAGAGCCACAGGCATTCAACAACAGCCCATGACAGTAAACATGAGGGCTGAACCCTGAAAAGCCATAAAGGTGGAGCTTCCCAAGGCCTTGGGAGCTCACCTCTGGCCCCTGTGTGTCCTGGATGGAGACATGGAGTCAAAGGAGATTATTTTGAAGCTTTATGGATTAATAACTGCCCTGCTGGGTTTCAGACTTGCATGGGGCCTGTATCCCTTTTGATTTGGCCAATTTCTTCCTTTTGGAACAAGAGTATTTGCCTAATGCCTATAGCCCCATTTTATCTTGGGAGTAACTAACTTTTTTTTATTTTTTTTATTTTACAGGCTCATAGGCCAACGGGGCTAGCCTTGTCTTAGATGAGACTTTGGACTTTGGTCTTTTGAGTTAGTGCTAGAATGAGTTAAGATTTTGGGGGACTGTTGGGAGGGTATGACTGCATATTGCAAAGTGAGAAAGACATGAGATTTGGGAGGGACCATGGATGGAATGATATGGTTTGGATCTGTGTCCCTGCTCAAATCTCAGTCAAATTATAATCACCAATTTCAGAGGTGGGGCCTGGTGGTAGGTGGTTTGATCATGGGGGCATACTTCCCCCTTGGTGCTGTTCTCATGATATGGGTGAGTTGTGAGATCTGGTTGTTTAAAAGTGTATAGTACCTCCCCTGTCTCTCTGTTGCTCCTGCTCTGGTTATGTAAGATGTGCCTGCTTCCTCTTCACCTTCTGACATGATTGTAAGTTTCCTGAGGCCTCCCCAGAAGCCAAGCAGATGTCAGCATTATGCATCCTGTACAGCCTGTGAAGCCATGAGCCAATTAAAACTCTTTTCTTTATAAATTACCTAGTCTCAGGTGCTTATTTATAGCAATGCAAGAATGACCCAATACAGCCACTAACAGATTTGCTCATTCTGTATTCTAGCCGTGCATGCCCTGCTCCTTCTATAAAATCTGAGCCACCTCTCACATCCCACTTTCTGTGGTATTCACTTACCAAACACAAAACAGTGAATCTATCTCTCTTCCAAACAGGCATTCATTTTCTTCTGTTGTTATTTAATCATCATCCATAGTATTCCTTACAATAACTGTCCATCACATTTTTCAGCCTATAGGTATAGCGTGCATTTCCCAAACTCCCATCCTCCCATTCCCACTCCATTTCAGCAGTTAAGTAGGATTCAACTTCTCACATTCTACTTTAGGGAGAATAGAAGGCATATCCTTTATTTTCCTGTAATTAAACATATCCAGGATCCTTTGCTACCCTTCTCCCCTCCTATTACTATAGCAGAATTATTCTTCCTGTTACCTAAAGCCAATTACTCCACCTGTGATTGGTTCTCATCCACTCCTATCTTCTAAGCTATCAATGATCTCTTTTCCCTTTTGATATTTACCTTCTCCTCGGGTGAGTTCCTCTTACTGTCTTAAAATAAAATTTCTCCCATTGTGCTACATTTCTGCCTCTCACAGTCCCTTTCTCTATCTACCCTTCTGATCTTCAGACCAGCATATTCAATAAGCTTTTTCCACTCATGTATTTAGATAACTCCAAGTCATTTGAAGCTCAGTATGCCCAAAATAAAATTTACAATTTCATACATTCCATCCCACTAAAAAAAAATAATAAAACCCCACAGCTTGTCTATTTCCAGGGTTTTCTGTCTCAGTAACTATCACCATCAGCAAGCCAGACACTTAGACATCATAATTTATTTTATCTTCTCCCTTTCATTCCATGTAGAGTCCATCAAAAGATCTGATCAATTGTGTATCCTAAATACCAATGACATTCACCCCCTTCTCTCCATCTCCACTTCTACCATTTCAGAAAAGCTGCCTTTATTCATGACTCTAAACATTTTAATCTGCATTTTCTGTCTACAGCATCCAGCCAAGATCCTGCTAAAGTGTCCAATGACATCTCTATCGCTAAACCAAGGGAAATTTTTGTCTTTATCTTGCTTGACCTCTCAGCAAAATTCAGTACTGTTCATGATCCTGTCCTTCTAGAAACACTGTTGATCCTTGTCTTCCATGAAAACTTCTAAATTTTTGCCTATTTTAGCCTCTCTTTTTCAGTTCTCTTTTTTGACTTTTCAATTTTAACTGGACCATTAAAACTGAAGTTTCATAAGAAGTCTCTCTCTCTCTTTCTCTCTCTCGATCTTCTCTATTTCTACCATTTCTCATTAGATGATCTTATTCATGACATGACTTCAAAGAATATTTACATACACTACTCCATTATCTTAGCTCATTAACATCTCCCCTCCTGAAGAAAAGCCTTCTCAATCTTATAGTTAATGTTAATTCCCCTATTAATTACTTTCACACCTTGTATGTTCCTTTATAGTGCTTACTGTTTTCAATTATAAACTTATTTACATGATTATTCTATTATTATTTTTTACACCATTACACTATTTGTTACATGAGATATAGTTTCACATTTTTAACGTTCATTTTATTTTTTATTTCTATGCAAAGGTCTTAGAACTATACTTTAAATATAACAAAATCAGAAACTAAAATATTTCCAAATTAGAAAACATTGAATGTTCAAATACATAATATTCAATGTACTATATTGGTTATGATTGATAGTCAAGAAACTCTTTACATTTCTAATGTCTATAAAAATTAAGCAAATTTACCTCATAATACGTAGTGTGAAAATAAAATATCTTGGGTGCCCAGAATCACTAAGGAAAACTCAAGCTGGAAAGTGCTTAGGGCAAACCTGCCTCCCATTCTATTCAAAGTTATCCCTCTGCTCACTGCAATAGATGCCTATGTGATTGCCTCCTTTGGAAAGGCTAGTTAGAAAGTCAAAAGAATGGAACTCTTTGTGTCTCACCTATCTGTGACCTGGAAGCTCCCTCTCCATTTCAAATCTTCCTGCCTTTGCTTCAAGTTGTCCCGCCTTTTCAGACCAAACCAATGTACTTCTTACATATGTTGATGAATGTCTCATGTCTCCCTAAAATGTATAAAATTCATAACCTCGACGATCAGCAAGCTATCCAAAAAATAGGAGGACTATTCCAGACTTTACCCCTCACTTCCTCCTCCCTTATTATTGGCAGCCTAGTTGTGTTGCGGGCGCATTCTCAACCTTGGCAAAATAAACTTTCTGAATTAACTGAGACCTGTCTCAGATTTTCTGGGTTCCCAATAGTATTGCTTGCAAAGCAATTACAAAGATGACAGCCTTGATGTGATATATTATTTCCTGTTTTACAGTGTAAATGTTGTAAGCTGTGACATAGTAAATATGTTTCAGTTATAAGGATCAATACACATTCTCTCACAAGTTAATAAGTAGATGTAATCTGGTGAAAAATTAAGAAATAAATGTTTAATTGCATTAAAATGATGGTTTTCCCAAAAAATGATGAGCTAACCCACTTCTGTGCCAGCATAAATTAAATCATAATACTACAATTCTTTTTCCTTTTTCTCTGCACAATACAATTATTGTGCTCATTGAGCTCTGAGAGCAATTATGGTCAATGAATTTATTTTCTCCATAATAAAGAACAAGATCATATTAGTACTTGAGAATTCAATCGGCATAATAGGCCTTTCAGTCAATGTATTCCTTCTCAAGTTGCCTTCTATATTAAGATCTCCTTTATACTTATCACAATAGAAAAAAATATACATGGCATTTCATTTTAAAGCAACTTTCATCTGCAAAGTCATCTGCTATGAAAATCCTATTGAAACAACACAGTAAGTATCATGTATGTGTCCTTCTTACTCAAAGGTATATGTAAATGTCTATTTGGAGAAAAAAGTTTGCTTTGAAAGATCGCTTTCCAAAGAGAGCATGTTTTGTCCTTAAAATACTGCACTTTTAACAAATTGATAGAATCAGTCACATCCTATCACATCATAGTAGTATAATTTTCTCCCCTTCCCTTCCCTCATTTATGGATCATCTCAGAATTTTGCATTCTATTCCCCTCTTTCTATCTTTAGAAAAACAATAATACTTGCTTCATTATTAGAACAAAATTAATTTTAGTTGTCAATTTGTGAAAACTAAATGCTGTGGAAGAAAACCAAAAGAACTGAGAGTAGAATAGCAAGCAAGAGGCAGTTTGTTCTCAACCACCTATTAGCTAAAGTGTCTTTAATCCCTCAGAACTGTAGTTTGCCTGCATAGAAAGGAATGTTTTATATATGTTATATATGTATAACATGTCTAATTTCATTAGTAAAGATAGAGAAGTTGGTGAAGTAATTAGCTTTAAGGTTTTTGTTCATTTGTTTGTTTTCCAAGACAGAATCTTGCTCTGTCGCCCAGGCTGGAGTGCAGTGGCACAATCTGGGCTCACTGCAACCTCCACCTCCCAGGTTCAAGCAGTTCTCCTGACTCAGCTTCCCGAGTAGCTGGGATTACAGGCGTGCACCACCACGCCTGGCTAATTTTTGTATTTTTAGTAGAGATGGGGTTTCACCATGTTGGCCAGGTTGGTCTAGAACTCCTGACTTCGTGATCTGCCCAGCTTGACATCCCGAAGTGCTGGGATTAGAGGCGTGAGCCACCGCACCCAGCCTAGATTTTTTTATTAACCTGCACCATAGATATGCTTTGAGCAAATCTATTCTTCTCTATTTACATTATACCAAAATGTTTTTATGTGGCCTAATATGGTCTAATATTAATCTGTGTCTTCAAATTAAATACTATCATACATGATGCCTTTTTCTACCAAAAGATCTAAATCTTAAAAATATAATAAATATAAATTAAAAAAATAAATGGAGATGGTTTAGGACTTGTTTGGATTCAGTTTAGTTCTACCACTTACTATCTATAACCATAAACATGTTTTATGATCTCTATTAATAACTTTACTGTTTATTGTGTTTTCTTCTATATAATAGAGCATTTGAAAATTTAAGAAATATTTAAAAATTTAACAAAAAATTTAACAAAATTTTAAGAAAATTTAACAAAAAAAAATTTAACAAAAAATATGGCCAATATGGTAGCTGCTGATCTGATAATTAAATTAATTCCTAAGATCAATAATTTCTATACAGTCATGTGCCACATAGCCATGTTTCAGTCAACGTTGGACTGCATATGTGACGAGGGCCCCATAAGAGTATAATGAAGCTGAAAAATTCCTATCTCCTGGTGATATCAAAGTGCATTTTTTGTTTTCCTTATAAATTTAGTGTAGCCTGAGTGTACAGTGCTTAGAGAGTCTACAGCATGTACAGTAAAGTCCTAGGCTTTCAGGTTCACTCACTACCTATGGACTCACCCACAGCAATCTCCAGTCCTGCAGCCTCCACTTATGGGGCCTGCCTGTACAGGTGTACCAGTTTTTATCTTTTATACCATATTTTTACTGTCCCTTTTCCATGTTTAGGTATGTTTAGACACACAAATGCTTACCATTGTGTTATGATTGCCTATAGTTTTTATTCATAATTAGTTAATTATTAATTTTTTAATAGCATAGTAGCATGCTGTACAGGTTTGAAGACTAGAAGCAATAGGCTATTCCACATAGCCCAGGTGTGTAGTAGGTTATACCACCTAAGTTTGTGTAAGTACGTCCTATGGTGTTTGCACAATGATCAAATGACCTAATGACACACTTCTCCTCATGTAGCCCTGTCATTGTGATGTATGGGTATTTTAATTGAATGATGAAACAAGAGGATACCTCCTTAACAACAGGAAATAAAACACATAAAGGTTATGTCAATAAATTATGCCAGACAAAAATGATAAAGTAACATCATTAGGTAAAAATGTTAAATAATCAAAAAGAGGTGTTTTAGTTTTTTGTTTAGTTTAACAAGTATTTATTAACAATGTAATATATAGCTAGCTTCATACTATGCTACCAGGAGTGTAGAATAAGAAGATGGTAAACTCTTACCTCTGTTAATTATTGAGTTAGAAATGCAATACCTGAGCATCAAATCCATAATCTTGCAGAAAAAATAAGATTTGCCTTTTGCAATCCCAGGACTTTGGGAGGCTGAGGCAGGATCACCAGGTCAGGAGTTTGAGACCAGCCTGACCAATATGGTGACAACCTGTCTCTATTAAAAATACAAAAATTAGCCAGGTGTGGTGGTGCATGCCTGTAATCCCAGCTACTCAGGAGGCTGAGGCAGGAGAATCGCTTAAACATGGGAGGTGGAGGTTGCAGTGAGCCAAGAGCGTGCCACTGCACTCCAGCCTGGGTGACAGAGCAAGACTCCATCTCAAAAAAAAAAAAAAACATTGTGGTGAGAATGTAAGTTTGAAAGTAAACACTAAGAGGCACATGGCATAATGCTTTGTTCAGTAAACCTGTGCTCTGGATAGTCATTAGAATGAAAAATATTTGTTACAACCATCTGAGAAAGTCTCACAATAGAGTTGGGATTTATATAAACCTTAAGAAGTGATTGGCTTAGAAAAAGAAAAGAATACCCATCACCAGCAGAACATACAAACAGAAAACCACAAGAAAATATAGAGATGAGAAAATGCATACTGTTTATTGAGTGACAGACCAAAATACACTGTTGTCTAAAAGAAAACAGGCTTTCAAAAGTAGTGAAAAGATTAGGTTGAACTACTGTGAAATGTCACATGTACTGTTAATATGTTTTTGAACTTTATCTGAAAGGTAATGTGAATATTTTTGATTTTTTGAGCAAAAGCATTTCTCTTTGTTTAGTTTGTTGCCCAGGCTGGAGTGTAGTGGCATGATCATAGCTCACCGCAGCCTCAAACTCCTAGGCTCAAGTGATTCTTTCACTTCAGCCTCCCAAGTAGCTGGGACCACAGACACCTGCCACCATGCCTAGCTAAGTTTTTATTTTTTGTAGGGGATAGGGTCTTGCAATGTTGCCCAGGCTGGGCTCGAACTCTTGGATTCAAACAGTCATCCTGCCTCAACCTCCCAAAATGCCTGGATTACAGGTGTGAGCCACCACGGCTGTCCCAAAGGCATTTCTATTTTTGTGTTTCACAGTAAGTTTAAGTTAAAAATGTACTAAACACAATAAACTCTATTTTTAGATTGGATATTATGCTGAAACTTTGTTTTCCTTAGATTCATTGTATAATCAAAAGATAAGGAAAATGACAAAAAATCTTGGCATTCCCATGAGATTGCTTTTTATCAGCTGACCATCTGAAGACAGCTGGGACAATAGCTGGCAGTGGATCACCTCTACTTCTGCCTGGCTAAAAATAAATGGTCAGTGAAAATTGCCTAAAACTCTATCATAAAGATTTGCTCATTTTCCTAGGCATATTCCTATTACTCTACACTCAGTGCATACTGTTTACTTTTGTGAGTCTTGCTATATTATTATTAAAGTCTATGGTGATATATGTTGGCTCATTTAGTTTAGTATCTTAAAGATCAATGTATCTAACTCAGTAATTTTCCCAGTAGCACAGGTATTGACGAATGGCTTGCAATAACACAAGGAAATTTTCCTTGAACTCTCACATATTATCATCTCTAAAGGTATTACACACTAATTAGAACCAACCTTCCTTGTTATTTTGTTAACTGGAGATCAATTTGCTAATCACTAAATAACAGAAAAGCATGACAGGGATAATACATATTGCCTCTGCCTTATAATCTCCAGACTTGGCTGATGTCTTGGAGCCTGTCAGGACTTCTGGATTTAGAGCACAGGCTAATGCAGTAGCCTTCATCAACAGGCAGGAGACTTGCCTACTGGAGAAGCATAAAGATGAGCATCTCACACTACCACAGACAGGACCTTCTTGAGAAGCAGCACCATGCTCTGGGCTTGCTTTGAATGTTTCTTTCCCATGAGATATGTGTGTACAGCTGGTGCTGGGACTCACGAGTCTCTCGCTTTTGGTTAAGTGTCATAAAAAAAGACATATTTTTTTTCTATGCAGATTTGAGAAAGGAAAAAAAACTATATTTATGTTTACTCTAGAAGATAATTTATCTTTTCTTGGAAAAATTGTAACAATACAAAATTCCCATAGCAGTTTCAAAATGCAGAAGTTACAAAAAAGTGAAATTCCTTATAAAATATCCATGTGAATGCCAGAGGCTAATTTTATTCTCTCTCATGGAAACAAAATCTCAAGTGAGCCTAATTTATTAGTTCATTGATGTTGTTACTATCTCAAACTAAAAGACAAGGGGCTTTTTCTTTGCAGTAAATTCACCAATATTTTTAAATCATTGGTCAAATGCATTATCTATTTATTTCCAATATACAAGAGAAAAATAAAAGATAAAAGTTCTGTGCATTACCAATGTACCCATATTCTATAAGTGAGAAATTGAAGCATAGAATTTATTCATTGTCTATTTAACATTAAGTAAATTTAATAAAAGCAATTTATTTCAAAAATAATTCTGACTTGGACCTATGTGGTCCATCAAATTTTTCTACTTGCTTTTCTTATGAAACATTCACAGTCTTTCTGTGTGCTGTTTGTTAAGTATATTTTAGTTTAAGTGTCCTAAAACTGATACTGTTATATTTTCAAATGTCATATTGTAGTATATCAGGAATTTTTTTTTAGAAATATATCATGGGACTAGAATTATGGAGGAAAAAAAATGGAGGTTTAAGAAAATGTCAATCCTTATAAGTTAGTATTATTAAATTAATATTAAGAATGTTAAGAAAACATGTGGTTTTGGCCAGGCGCAGTGGCTAAACCCCAGTACTTTAGGAGGCCAAGGTCGATGGATCACCTGAGGTCAGGGGTTCAAGACCAGCCTGGCCAACATGGTGAAACCCCAACTCTATTAAAAATATAAAAATTAGCTGGGCGTGGTGATACACGCCTGTAATCCCAGCTACTCAGGAGGCTGAGGCAGGAGAATCACTTGAACCAAGGAGTTGGAGGTTGCAGTTAGCCGAGATTGCACCACTGCACTACAGCCTGGTGACACAGCAAGACTTCATCTCAAAAAAAAAAAAAAAAAAAAAAGAAAACATGGTTTTAAAGGATTATGGTTGTCATAGGTGAGGAGTCTGAAAGATTGACTGCTTAGTACTTAATTGTGAGCACTAACACTGAAAGTTAAAGGAGAGAGACAACAAAATGGGCAAACATAAAAAAAACCTCCCCTGCTGTCTCCTTTCTTAATGATTCTAGATCTTTGTTAGTAAGTGTGACTTTTTACGCAAGTGCATGGTTTATGGAGTACATTAGTCAGGGTTCTCCAGAGAAACAAAACCAATAGAATATATATATAAATACATATATATATATAGAGAAAGATTTATCATAAGGTATAATAACAACAGTCTTGCATGATTACCAAAGCTGAGAAGTCCCATGCTCTGCCCTCTGAAAGCTGGAGATGGAGGAAAGCTGGTGTTGGTATAGTTGGAAGGCCTGAGGGACAGAGAGCTGATGGCGAACATTCCACTCAAAATTTGACTGCCTGAGAAGCAGGAATGAGTGCCAAGGGCATGAGAAGATTGCTATCCCAATTCAAGCAGTCAGGCAGAGAGTGAATTTAACCTTATTTTGTCTTTTAGTCATTTTCAAGTCCTGAATGATTTGGATGATGTAAACTTACATTTGGGCAAATGAAGGGCCATATGCTTTACTCATGCACCAATTCAAATAAATGCTCATCTCATGCTGAAATACCCTCATAGACATAGCCAGAAATGATATTTTACCAGCCATCTAGGCATCCATTAGCCTAGGCAAGTTAACATATAAAATTTACTATCACAGGAAAAGACTGGAAAAATAATATAATCATCAGGAAAGGCTTATCTATATAATTTGTCTGGAAATTTTCTTCTCCGGGCCAAGTTGTGCATTGCTTTTTGCATACTGTTACATTGTATCTTTCCATGCCACTCTATCCTCTTATTCTGCTTTAATTTCTATTAGTTCAATTCACCCCCGACATAGTATGAAAGTATTTCCTTAGTTGTTTGGTTGTTTATACCTTCCTCTCATCCACATTAGAAAGTAAACTCTATATTTCTTTGTTCATAGAAGTATGTCAAGAACCAAGAATAGTGCATGGCACACAGTAGGAGCTCAGTAAATAAATAAATGAATATTCATTTATTGAATTAATAAAAGTATCCAACATTAGCATTTGGTTTTAACCATATAACCATTCCTTCCATCATTGAAAATTTAGTTTCCCGAATTGTTGTAGTAAAGGAGTGTGTTTATTTTATATATTGGTCCAGTTGTGCTTTTTTGGTCCACATATTAACTGGAAAACCTAAAAAAAATAGAATTAAAGTGAGTCAGTACAAGTATGCAACAAATTATTAGTGAAGAGTGTAACAAAACTCAAGTCCGCAGCATCAGACTGAATGCAGATTAGGGAGGTGTTTGGCAAGCTTCCATATTACCATTCACACATGGGGTGGAGTCTAGTGTAGGATGTAATGTGCTTGTGGAAGATAAAACCTGTACTTTCTCAAGGCGTACTCTCTTTGGACGTCCCTTCTGCATTTGTTCTTGCATGCAGAACACACAGGTGAGGAAAGACGTGTTGTTGCCTCACAACCTGGGGCATCAAAATGCAGCCTATGGGAATCCCGAAGTCAAGGAGGAACAGGAATATTCTACTTATTTCTGTCTTCATTGACTGTGCTGGAGAGTCATGATGAAAAAAAAAGACACAGCCTAACGCAGAACAAAACAAAAATGGACACTGGGCTTTTGCAATGTAAACTGAGCAAATGCGGGCTATGTGAAATGGAAGAATTGAAAGCCCTGCAAAAGCAAACTAATTTTAGCTATTAGACTTAGTTTCTGCATGTACTACAGATCATCAATGTCTGAAACTGCTGAAAGGTCTCTCTATGAGTACCTTTTTTCCCAGGGCAGAGCAAGACAAAGGATTGTGTCCAACAGTACTTACAAGCTAGCTTTGAAAATCATGGGTGTGAGATTTGGTGAATAAAGTGGGTGGGTAAAGACAACTTTCCTTCAATTAGGACTCTGAACAGAGAGTGATTTCCCTCCAAGCACTCTTTGTTTGGGAAAGATTGCAAAGCTGTACTCCTAAATCATTATTGTGGCAGCCTTTACCTCTGCTGCCAGACTTGGCATAGATTCTGCTGGCTTCCAGTGTGTTGCTGCCAAGGCTGTTTCTATTCCTTTTATTATATGTTGGCTCATTGGAAACTCTCCTGGAAATTGCCCAAATGCATATATACACCATGCCACAATGCTGCCAAGTTCTCTCCCTGGGTGTCTTTACCTCATTAAAGTATGTGCGACTGTGTTGCAAGCTGCAGTTCTAAAAACTCATTTTCAATCCACAGGGCTGATTTATTTAATTAAACGATCAATATCGTCTCCTTAACTTTTTGGTTTCAGTAGTTCACTGGAGTTTTATTTCTACTGCTGTGGTCTCTCTACATAGACACACGCTTAGAATTTCCTTGATAATGGTCTCCCAAAAATGTTGCAATGGTAGACCACAAAATTAGATGACTTTGGTAAGCAAAGTCTAATTCTACTTACTAGAGTTTATGCATATCTCCACAAATATTTGTGTCTTATGTTTGACTTATTATAACACCGTGTTTTAAGGGAAGATGGTTTAATGTCTTTCTAATTTTCACAATACTTCCAAGGCCCCTGATTTTTAGAGACTCCATAAAGGGACTTCTACTTCTCAGTGGCCTGATAATTACATTGAGTTTATGTGTTCACTTTGTTGAAGCCACTTATCCCACTGCAAGATTTCTGCAAGACCTCTTATTTGTTCTCTCTCTAAATGTGACCCACAACAATATCATCCAATCAGTTGGGAGGTGTATCCCAAACTCGTTGAACTATTAATAAGTTCCTTGTCTTTATGGTTGCCTTTACTTTAAAATATAAACTAAAACTGTTTAAAACTTATGTCTACAAAATCATTTCTCTCATAAAATTTTCCTGTGCTTTCTTCATTGTGATAAAAGGGATTTGAGTCGAAGTTGGAATGCAGGGAGAGCACTTAATTTTCTGTTTAGTTCCAAACTGACACACCTTACCCAAACATTTTATAAACTCATGGCCTTGGTCCTTAAATTCAGATTAAAAACTCACTTCCAGTAAAGCATGTTCAAAATTAATCTCTCTATAACTTTTGATGAATATTCTTTCCATTTGTGTTTGCTGCTTCTTTTTTTTTTTTTTTTTTTTTTTTTTTTGAGACGGAGTCTCGCTCTGTCCCCCAGGCTGGAATGCAGTGGCGCGATCTTGGCTCACTGCAACCTCTGCCTCCGGGGTTCACGCCATTCTCCTGCCTCAGCCTCCCAAGTAGCTAGGACTACAGGCGCCTGCCACCACGTCCATCTAATTTTTTGTATTTTTAGTAGAGACAGGGTTTCACCGTGTTAGCCAGGATGGTCTCGATCTCCTGACCTTGTGATCCACCCCCCTCGGCCTCCCAAAGTGCTGGGATTACAGGCATGAGCCACCATGTCCAGCCTGTGTTTGCTTCTTTACCATGGTCTGTTTTTATTATTAGGTTTTATAAGAATATTATATTTTTCTTGATCCAATTTTTGAATTATTTGGAATGTGTGTTTTAGAATGTTTATCACATATGTGAAAATAAACTTGTGGGTGTTATATATCCACGAAAAGTTAAAATGAAAACATTTTTAAAAATAAATAAAATTGTGGGTAAAAAGCAAAGTAAAAAAAACATGAAATCTGATTCAAGTCTTAAAATATATGTATTGAAAAAAACTCAAGTGATCTATAACTCCTTATTTCTGAGTTGAAACTAAGAAAATGTAAAAATAAAAAAATAAAATATTTGATTAATCTATTGACTTTGAGTGTCTTTCTACTCCTCCCTCTCTTTCTTGATTTATATACTTGATTTATATACTACAATTTCCAAAGTCTTGAAATACCTTGTAAATTTCAAGATGCTATGAGAGAGGGTACTCAGAGATAATGAAGGAAAAGTGTAATTTGAAGAACCTGAACTAATAGGTGGTTTTTAGTACCTAAGTTAAAGAAATAATAATATTTGCATTAGGACAAACTAAGTACTTAACAAGTATCAACTGCATAATAAATTGATAAATTAATTATAATTAATTTAAAATTCAAAATAAACACATTAGTAAATTAATTTAATTAATTGGTTACTTTGTAAATTAATTGGTTAATAAATTAGTAAATTAATTTAATTAATTGGTTAATTAATTTGATTTCCAAGGTATAAGTATACTAGATTGTATTTTAAAATGCACCCAAGATTTGTATTCATCAGGTCTAGTAAAACATGCAGACACAGAAATGACTGGCACGAAGGAAGAAGTTTATATGCACAGAACTCTAGAAGCAGGAGTCAGTGCACACATGCAGGGCCATAGGCAGAAACACCAGGTCAGCCAGGAGGCAGAGGGAGCAAGCAGAAAATGTGAGTCAGAGCTTTAATGAGCAAGGCAGGATAAACAACTTAGAACTGGCAAGTGTGAACAATTTCAGTGTACTCTAGATTGTAGGGGTTTCCTGAGTTGTCTAGTACCTGGCAATGGAGTGATTAGGGCAGGGAAATATTGGCCTGGAGCGTAAGAGCTTCAAGGCAGTGAGTGAGCTCTGGATTGGTTAATTTGCCTAAGAAAGATTCACTCCTGGGGAGTTGTTTGCTATCTGTAGGATTTAGCTAACTCTGGGGGAACAGTCTCCTCCGGTGTCAGGAAGCCCACAAATTGTAAAGGTATCAAAATAAAAAGACATGCTCAACAGGTTAGATAATTTGTTGTCTATTATTTTTGTTTGCTCAATTTCTCTGTTTTGGGGTGAGAGGATCTCCAGTCCGTTTAGTGTAGTTCTGGGAAGGCTTTTCAACAAGCAGCCCTATCATGCCTGCCATTCATGGTTCCCCAACCAGACGATTCAAGTCTATTCATATCCAACTGCGTTAAACACTGTTCCCTTCATTTGGACTTCTCAAGCATAAGGCAACAAAAAGCTTTTATTTTTTTTCTTCTTAAGAAATTTTAAGTTGTGTTTATCAACTTGCAACCCAAATAATTGTAATGAAATAGTTTAAATTTTCTATACTAGAAACTATAACCAATACCGAGGATAAACACTAACCACCAACCCTGACCTCAATTAATGTCAAGCGTTCATGAACGGCTTCCGCCAGTTCTACATAGGGTAGACAAATTTAATTCCTCCTTGTGGGATACAGAATGTAATCTGTAATATTATAATTGGGATTTAAAATAAAATAATTTTGATTTCCAAACTTGAACCTGTCGATTAACTTGTGTTCATCTATTTTCTTTTCAAATTTAAAAAAAGGCCTGTGTAAGTGTATGTAAATGAAGGGTGAAAAAAGTAAGTTAAGGTACTAACGAAAATAGTATAAACTAGTGAACAAAAAATAATACTAAGTGGATTCTGGCCTCTTCTAGTGCAATATTTAAAATAATCAATAACTGGAAAAACTAGTGCTGGCTTTGGAGATCAATACTGTAGGAAGGGGATAGACAGCAGTATAAGGGAAGCTTAGGAAATTCTTCATCATACTCTCTTTTGTACTTATTCATTCCTAGAATACCAAGAAATGTTATAATGTATGCCTCATTTTCCCAGCTTTCATTTAAGGACTTGTAACTCCCAGTAGTCTGAAGATAATAAAAGAGCCTTTAGCCTTTAACTAAAAATACTTTCCCTATATATTTCCCACCTCATCTACTTCACCCTTATAGACTTCTGTTCAAAAACATTTCCAGAGTTCTAAAAACATTGTTCTTGCATTCCATTTTAATTTCCCTAGATGTGACACGTTTTAAGTTATTCATATTTAAATTAGGGGACAATTGCAGATAGTGCAAGTTTCTCACCCTTATTTAGGACTGCTGAAATGTTAAGGAGCCATGTTTTAATGTTGTAGCTTTTTACTGAAGTGCTCCATCCTACTCTCATCATGTAGCAGCGGGTCACCTTGTCAATCAGGAGGGCTGTGTTGACACGGTGGTGCCTCTACATTACTCTCTACTTATAGTAGGTATCTAAGACTCCACAAAATAATATGTATAAACCCTGTTTCTTTTTTTTTTTTCTTTTTTTTTTTTTTTTGAGATAGAGTCTCGCTCTGTTGCCCAGGCTGGAGTGCAGTGGCCCAGTCTCGGTTCACTGCAACCTCTGCCTCCCAGGTTCAAGCGATTCTCCTGCCTTAGCCTCCCAAGTAGCTGGGACTACAGGTGTGCACCACTATGCCCAGCTAATTTTTGTATAAACCCTGTTTCTAAAAGCTACTCTGAATGAAATGATGAGATTCCTGAGCCTGTTCTAAACATGCAGTGCCCCTACTTCTCCATATATCTGTTCACAGTTATCTGTCATAGAGATCCTTTGATACTAGGGCAGGAGTCCCCAACGTTTTTGGTGCCAGGGACAGGTTTCGTGGAAGACCATTTTTTCACTGACTGGGAGCGGGGAGAGGGGGTGGTTTCAGGATGATTCCAGCACATTATATTTATTGTGCACTTTATTTCTATTATTATTACATTGTAATATATAATAAAATAATTGTACAACTCACCATAAGGTAGAGTCCGTGGGAGCCCTGAGGTGGTTTTCCTGCAACTAGATGGTCCCATCTGGGGCTGATGGGAGACAGTGACAGATCATTAAGCATTAGATTCTCACAAGTAGCACACAACCTAGATCCCTCGCATGCACGGTTCACAGCAGATTTGTGCTCCCGTGATAATCTAATGCTGCTGATGATCTGACAGGAGGTGGAGATCAGGCAGTAATGGGAGTGATGGGAGTGGCTCTAAACACAGATGAAGCTTCACTTGCTCACCTGCTGCTCACCTCCTGCTACGTGGCCCGGTTCCTAACAGACTGGTAGTGGTCCATGGCCCAGGGGTTGGGGACCCCTGTTCTAGGACATTAGTTTAGCCCTGCTCTTTCCAAAGATTTAATATATGAATACTTCTAGATCTTTTTGTTTTCTTCTAGAGACAGGGTCTCTATCACCCAGGCTTGAATGCAGTGGTGTGATCACAGCCCACTTCAGCCTCAACCTCCTAGTCTCAAGTGATCCTCCTGCCTCAGCCTCCCATGTTGCTGAGACTACAAGTAAACACCACCGTACATGGCTAATTTTTTAAATTTTTGTGTAGACGGAGTCTTGCTCTCTTGCCCAGGCTGGTCTTGAACTAGTGATCTCAAGAGATCCTCCTGCCTTGGCCTCCCAAATTGCAGTATTACAGGCATGAGCCACAACACCCTGCCTCTTAAAATGTTTATGACATATTTTAAACAAAAGATAATAAAAAATATATTGCAAACATATAAAAAGATGCTCCACATCATATGTCATTTAGGAAATGCAAGCTAAAACAACAAGGTACCACTGCATACCTGTTCAAATGGGCAAAATCCAGAGCAATAGCAAATGCTGGTGAGGATGTGAAGCAACAAGAGCATTCATTGATGATGGGAATGCAAATGGCATAGTCACTTTGCAAGACAGTTTGGTAGTCTCTTACAAAACAAAACATACTTTAACCATATGATATAGCAATCACACTCATTTGTATTTACCCAGAGGAGCTGCATAAAATGTGCACAAAAACCTACATATGATTTTTCATATCTTTATTCATAATTGCCAAAACTTTGAAGCAACCAAGATGTCCTTCAGTAAATAAGTGGATGAATAAACTGGTAAATCCATGAAATGGAGCATTGTTCACCACTAAAATGAAATGAGCTATCAAGCCATAAAAAGACATGGAGGAAACTTAAACGTATATTACTAGGTGAAAGAAGTCAATTTGCAAAGGCTGTATACTGTATGATTCCAACTATGTGACAATGAAACAGGAAAAATTATGGAGACAGTAAAAAGATTAGCTATTTCTAGTCCAGGAATTAGGAAAGAAAGGGATACATGGATGAAGCACAGAGGATTTTTAGTGCAGTGAAACTACTCTATGATTCTACAATGGTGGATAAATGTCATTTTATATTTGTCCAAATCCAGAAAATGTTCAGTATCAGGAGTGAGCCCTAATGTAAATTGTGGGCTTTGGGTGCTAATGAGGTGACATTGTAGGTTCAACAGTTATAACCAAGGTACCATTTTGATGGGAGATGTTAATAATGGAAGAGGTTGTGCATGTGTGAAGGGAGGGCATATATGAGACCTCTTTGTATCTTCTGCTCAATTTTGCTGTGAACCTAAAACTGCTCTAAGAAATAAAGTCTATTTTTGGTCGGGCAAAGTGACTCACGCCTGTAATCCCATCACTTTGGGAGGCCAAAGCAGGTGGATCACCTGAGGTCAGGAGTTCAAGACCAGCCTGGCTAACATGTTGAAACACTGTTTCTACTAAAAATACAAAAAATTAGCCCAGTGTGGTGGCACGTGCCTGTAATCTCAGCTACTCAGGAGGCTGAGGCAGGAGAATCACTGGAGCCTGGGAGGCGGAGGTTGCAGTGAGCCGAGATCATGCCATTGCACTCCAGCTTGGGCAACAAGAGCAAACTCTGTCTCCAAAAAAAAAAAAAAAAAAAAGAAAAATGTCTATTTTAAAAAATACTACAAAATTTAAACAATAATCTATTGAACACACACACTCACCTTCAAGTTTAGTAAGTTAAAATTAAAATCACAATTATAGCTTTCTGTGTACTCCTCCTACTCTGCTCACTTTCCTTCACCACCAAGGGAAAACATTCTTTAACTTCTTAGTCATTATTCAGATGTGTATGTGCACTTTTACCTCTGGCTATGCTCATATGCAACTTATAGTGCTGTTTACCTATTTTGAAAATTCCCACACAGAGTATCACAATAATGATGAGGGTTGTTTATGATATGTAATGATGCTAATTTATGTAATAATATTGTATACATTTTCATTTTCATTATTCTAAATATTCCATTTAAATTGACCACTTTTTTTTTTTTTTTTTTTTTTTGAGATGGAGTCTTGCTTTGTATCCCAGGCTGCAGTGCAGTGGCGCGATCTTGGCTCACTGCAACCTCCACTTCCTAGGTTCAAGCGATTCTACCTCAGCCTCCTGAGTAGCTGGGATTACAGAAGTGTGCCACCACACCCCGTTAATTTTTGTATGTTTTTAGTAGAGACGGGGTTTCACCATGTTGTCCAGTCTGGTCTTGAACTCCTGGCCTCAGGTGATCCATCCTCCTTGGCCTCCCAAAGTGCTGGGAATACAGATATAAGCCACTGTGCCTGGCAAATTGACCATTTTTAACCACCTATTTTTTTTTCATAAATAGATATTGGTTTTGTCCTAACTTAAACTTTTACAATTACTAAAAATTACAATATAGCAATAAACCTGCTGTAGAACAATATGCATTCTTGAACATAAACCTAATGTAAAATAGCTTTTGCCATAAGAAATAAGCTATTTAGCTTTGTTACATAATGCTCAATCGCTCTCTAATGTTGATGTACAATTTTCAGTACTACTTATAGTATTAGGTTGGTGCAAAAGTAATGCAGTTTTGCCATTACTTTTAATGACAAAAACCGCAATTACTTTTGCATCACCTAATAGTATATAAATGTCTCCACTGCTCCACATACTTACCAAGGTAGTCAAATCTGGTAAAGAATTTTATTTTTCCATTTTCCTCATTAACAGTGAAATGACTCAGGCATAGTGGTGCATACCTGTAGTCCCAGCTACTCTGGAGACTGAGACTGGATGATCACTTGAGCCCCCAGGTTTGAGGCTGCAGTGAGCTATGATCACACCAGTGTACTCCACCCTGGGCAACAGAGCAAGACCCTGTCTCAAATAATAATATTAATAATGATGAAATGAGTGTGAGTTGTTATGTTTATTGGTCATTTAGGCTTCTTTGCTTGTGAATGTTTAATTCATATACTTTGCTAATATTTCCATACTGTTTATCTTTTCCTTATTGCTTCATAGTGGCCTTACTATGGCCATTAATTATGGATATCTATATTTATTACATATAGTCCCACCTAAACTTGTCTCTGCACTGATTTTATGGGGACTTTGCATTAGTAGGAGCATTTACACAATTCTTTATGAGTTGAAATTTTTAAAATATCATGTAAGAAATTATTCTCTATTCTAAGACCACAAGAATATTTTCCTCTAAAATTTCTCCAAAGGTTTTAAAGTTTTGTCTTTTGTATGTATGGAAATTATTTTTATATATGGTCGGACTTCAGGGATCATTTTGTTTTGTTTTGTTTTAGTACAGGTAGCCTATTGTTCGTTATCATTGATTGAATGGTTCCTTTTTACCTCATTGTTTTCTAACATCACTTTTCTCATACATGCAATGATCTTTCCCAGACTGTCTATTCTTCGAGTCTATTTGTCTATTCTGGCAATAACATTACCGTTCTCTTTGTATATTCGCATAACTTCATGATGAGTTAAGCTACCTGGGTAGCCTCCACCTTTTTTAGCTTCTTAAACATTGACTTAATTATTCTGAGGCTTCTTTGCTTTTGAATTACTCTCAGGCCTCCTTACTTCTACATACATTTTAGAATCGGCTTGCTAAGTGCCTTAAAAAATTCTGATGGAATTATAATTGAATGTATGAATATACATTAAATTAAATGTATGGATTAATTGAGGGAACATTGACATCATTATGACATTGATTCCTTCAAAAGTTTATGAACGTGGAATAACTTTTCCAGTAAATGTTTGATTTATGCTGTTACTTTGTATTTTGTTTCTATATTAAATAGTATATTTTTCTTAGAACTAATTTTTTTTATTTAGTACTAGTTTATAGCCTAGTTTATAGTGATCCTGTATTCAACAATTTTATTAATTCTCGTTCTAATTGGCAAGTAGAAGAATCTCAGAATTTATTTTTGGTGGGGGATGAGGTAAACAAATCTATAAATTTTAAATACTAGTGTATTTACAAACCATGTAGCAAAGATAGCTTTTGCTTCTTAACAAGCCAGCCATCTGGGTTGTGCAGTTCTGATTTTGGCAGGGCTCCTCATGTATACAAGTGCCTCCAGCAGCCAGCCAGCAAGCCACGTCCTCTTCAGAGGGATCGGCTGGGAACATGGTCCACTGGCCTCTCATATCTTTCATTGTCCCCCATCTAGCTCAGGGTAGCTCTGCATGGTTTCCAGAGAAAAGAGGTGTGTGTTGTCTCTTAATGTCTAGGCTCAGAACTGGAAAAGCATCGTGTATGCCACATAATTCTGGCCAAATAAGGCAAAAGTTCAGTTCAAATTCAAGAAAGAAAAATTGGCTATACCTCCCCTTGGAAGTAGATACAAAATCACTTTGGCAAAGGAACAGGGATTACAGGTAAAGGGACCTTTTTACAATCACATAATCACACCTTTGTTTCTTGGTCTCGCATATCATTTTTGTTGGCTTTCTCGTTAGTTTTTACAAAGTAAGATAATACTTTATTACTTATTCTTTTGGATCAAGATTTTTGTGATGCTTGTTAGAAATTATTTGTAGTAGAGGAGCTGATGGATTAATAGACAAGAGCTTTGACTGTGGTATAAATCATCACATGAATTGATGTTGGCAAAGAGTGTCAGGCTATCTATGCCAAAGCCTTTGTATTACTTCTTTTTTTTTTTTTTTTTTGAGACGGGATCTCACTCTGTCACTCAGGCTGGACCACAGTGGCACGATCTTGGCTCACTGCAACCTCCACCTCCTGGGTTCAAGTGATTCTTGCGCCTCAGCTTCCCAAGTAGCTGGGATTACAGGTGTGTGCCACCATGCCCTGCTCATTTTTTTGTATTTTTAGTAGACCCAGGGTTTCACCATGTTGGCCAGGCTGGTCTCGAACTTCTGACCTCGAATCACCCACCTTCCTCAGCCTCCCATGTGCTGGGATTACAGGCGTAAGCCACCGCGCCCAGCCTGCATTACTTAAATAGACTTTTATGCACATTTTGTGTGTATATTATAAATTTTCCATGCTCCTATACTTCCTGTTTTTATTCTTCACGTATACTTCTCTAAAGCTACCTTAGTTATGTGCCGTGTTGCACGTGACTGCTTCACCTTTCATTGATCAATTTTGTGTTGGCTGTTTACATTTTCTTTTTAGTACAGTAGCTTCATATTTTTTCTGTCTCCTTTTACCCCCAGCTCTTACTATCTCTTTGATAGAAAGAAGGAGTTAAATAATTTATTAAATCTCTTTTTTTTAACTACTTTGGTCTACAGATCCTCCTTTATGTCAGTCAATCAATCTGTCAACAGTATATTTTAGATTCCGCTGTCATAGAAGTTAAAAATATAGAATCAAACAAATGATATGATTTCTGCTCCCTTAAAGTTTACACTCCAATAAGTAAACATAATTGTACTATGTGGAAGAGAGTCACCCATCTTCCAAGCTTGAGAGTCTGTTTAGTATTTTCTATGCATATGCAATCTGAGAATGGCCATGAACAGGTTGCTTTATCATAGCACATGGATCTTTTAGGAGGCATTGGGGCTCCAGTTCTCAAATTTGCTATTCTTTTTTCCTCATACCATTAAACAAATCTGAGCTACATGAGAAAAAGTGATTTATCATTTTAAAAAGTCATCTGCATTACTTTTACTTTTAGATCAATTTTAATGCTTATATTGAATCCAAATTTGTCCACCACTTTTGTAAAGTTAGATTTCTTCGATGGCGATAATTTATATAAGTGAGTGATCAGACCATAAGAGAGAGAAGAATGAAGAGTCTGAACTGAGAAGTTCATCCATATTCTTACCCTTCACTTTGGAAAGAATGAGTCTGCACAGCTCAGCAGGTAGTGACTCCTCTCATGCGTTGGCATCACATATAAGCATACATGGGAGTAGACATATAAACTGTATGGCCCCCAGCAAGATGCACCACCACCAAGAGTTCAATTGTCTAAATTGTATTAGCTTAGCTTGGTGTGGTGGCATGTTCCTGTAATCCAAGCCACTCAGGAGGCTGAGGCAGGAGGATCACTTGAGCCAAGGAGTTTGAGGTCGCAATGAGCTGTGATCGCACCCTTGTACTCCAGCCTGGGCAACAGAGCAAGAGTTTGTCTCTAAAATAAATAAATCTGATTAGTCTGGGAGTTCCTTGAGAGCCAGAGTGCTTGATTCTCTTTCAGCTCCAATGTCCCATCCTAGTGCAGTTCCTGGAAGATATTCAGTAATAGCTGGCAAGAGAATATGAGAACAAATTATATGTGTATTGACATAATTTTAAAAAACTGCTTTCTCCTTCAAGCTTGTTTTGGTTCATAGATACTTTGAAAATGTTATTAATAGCATGATCCCTGGACATCACAGATATAAGGGCTTGCATTCACCAGCCTAATTCCAAATCTATTTTCTGAGTAACATTTTGAAATAGGGCGAAGCAGGACAACGCTTATTGCAAACCTCTTGGTCCCCTTCAAGGGGACTAACATTGAGGGAAAATGTTGTGGAAAAGTCAGCTGATTTTGAACAATGTATTAGTCAGGGTTCTCCAGAGACACAGAACCAATAGGATGTGTGTATATATAAAAGAGAGTTAATTAGGGAGAACTGGCTCACACAATTACAAGGTGAAGTCCCATGATAGGCCGTCTGCAAGGTGGGGAAAGAGATAAGCTGGTAGTAGCTCAGCCCAAAGCCTCAAAACCAGGGAGGATGACAGTGTAGCCTTTAGTCTGTGGCCAAAAGGCCCAAGGGCCCCCAGGAAGCTGCTGGTGCAAGTCCCAGAGTCCAAACGCTGTGGAACTTGGAGTGTGATGTCCAAGGGCAGGAGAAGTGGAAGCAAGTGTCCAGCAGGGGAAGAAGAAAGAGAGTCAGAGCAGGAGCAAGAAAGAGGTAGTGCGAGAGGAGGTGCCACACACTTTTAAATGACCAGATCTCTTGAGAACTCACTCACTCTCAGGTGAACAGCACCAATAGGATGATACTAAACCATTCATGCCCTCATAATCCAGACACCTCCCATCAGGCCCCATCTTTGACATTGGGGATTACAACTCAACACGAGATTTGGGCAGAGGCAAATATACAAACTAGATCAAACATTTTTAATGAGCCAGATGTTTGTCACTGACGTCTTCTCAACGTCATCTCTGAGCACTATATGATGGTTTCTTATACACCCTGGAGAATGAGTCTTCCCTCTCCCCTCAAAATGCAGAGATTGGTCAAATAACCATATTAGTATTGAATCTACTTAGTCAAAAGCAGGATGGGCCCTTCTGCAGCAAAGGGAAGGCACATCTGTTTAATATGTAGGATATGGTGAATGTCTGTTTAATATGTAGGGTATGGTGAATGTCTCATTCTTGAATCCTGAAGTAGGTTTGACTGCAGATGTCCAGAAGTTGATTGAAGCTCTGCTCCAAAGGGGGGAGAAAAGGTTTTGTATGATTGAGACAGTTTCTGTAATAAGACTACCTGCTACAAAATACTTTTAGCACTGATATTATTAAAATGAATTAAATGGGAAGTCATATTAAATAGTTTGATGAGGGTTGAAGTTCCAAATTTCTGAAAATGATGCTTTTACTCACTCATACTCACCTTCTTCAGAGACTTTGCTGCTGTTAGTGACCTAGTAAGATATGCTCTCACCTCTGGTAGGTGGAGAATCGCCTGTGTAGGTGGCAGGATTAAAAGATTTATTATCACTTTTTCACCTTCTTCCTGTTAATCTAGTTCTTCTTAGGCCCTTCTCCTGATGGTCTCACTTTTGGCTATGTTTCAACATCCAAGAACTGTTGATGTTTTATTGTCACTTTCTTTAGAAATGTGGAAATGTGTCCTGAAATGAGAACTTTATTACACTTGATATGGAAGTTACAATGTTGCTTACACCTTTAATGTGTAAAGCTCTGAATTCTTGTTCTTGTTTTGTTTTTTGCTAGATTATCTTTCACAGACTGGATTATAATCTGTGGCTTTTCTAACACAAATAAGGCCTGCTCATATATCAAGATATTTCCTAATTGTTTCTGTAAATACATCAGCAATCATTTAATTGACACCTAGTAATGGTCATTTCAAATGAATGTTAATTTATTATGTCATCTTTCTCAAAATGTTCAAATCAATACTATAATCAATATTTTATTGACCAAATGTGCCATATTAGTGAACAAATCCAGAAGTCTAGATCTGATTATTATAGTTACTTTCTTAGAATACAATTCAGACTTTGATACAAAAGCTATAGCCCTTGAACAAATCACATTTCTTAGTTTTGTTAAAGACACTGGTTGTTACCATCGATTAAAAATATTATTTTATTAAGATTTTCTCTGAAAGCAATGAATAAGATACACTAGCTATCATGAAGTTTACAATCTAGTGTGAAGTATTAGAAAAGGACTAGTGAGATCCAGGCAAGGACAGAGTAAGAGAGAAGATATAAACATCAGAAAAATAATAAACATGAAATTTTCAAAGCATGGTGAAATTGACATCAATGTCTTTGACGGAGAAAAGTAGACTTTTAAGTTTTTCTTCATTAGTTCTCTAATATTCCACTCATGTTTAGGGCACCAGTTATTGGATTCTTGCATCTTATGCAGTGAAACTGTCTTTTAAAATTAATACTGTAGCTCTATAGTTTACTAGCTATTCATTGTGTGTATAAGTAGTGCAGGAGAAATGAATGTAGAATGAAGCTAGGCTAGTTTTTCCTCTTACCCGTTTAATAAACAAATGTTGGGGAAAATATGGTCAAATATGAAAACTGTAGTGAATGAAAGATATTGAACCCAGGAACATGATATGCAAAAAATATGTAAGAATAGGGTTTCATAGAAAATATTTTACCCATTTCCATTCTCCTATCTGAAACATAGTAAGTATGTATTAGGAAATTTAGCCTTTCATTAAAAGCTTATGTTGGAATTTTGTTCAACTTAGCCAAGCATGTCTAATTAGCATTCCCGAAAGTTGATTGGTGCGGTGTAGTAGTTAGAGTTGCCTGCTGCAGAGTCTATCTCTAACTGTCTCAGACAGCTTCAATCCTGGCTATTCCATACATATGCTGACTAAGTGTTTGGGATTCAACTCTAGAAATTTATCAACTTTTTATTTTGTAGATTTCAGGTAGAAATACAGGTCAATAGTTTAAGATGTTAGTTGGCACTTTTATATTTTAAGGCCAATGAATATATAGTTCTTTTAATGTCCTCCAATTTACTTCCAATTTATTTTTACTTATACATTCCAGAGCCATATAAAAAATATCCTAACCTTTTACTCTTTTTTTTAAAGTATTATTTGTTTGATATTGCCCAGATGGCAAAGAGTTTTAAGCAATTTTTCACATGTTTTTGCCTACATTTTCAAATGATGTGTCAAAATGACAGAAATTTTGATGGCACTTTATTGTACTGTGATATATTACACTTAATGTTTCTATTTTCACTTAAAATTAATGATGCACATTGAAGCCCACACATTCTCTTTTAGCTAATTCATAATTTCATTCAATTTGGGGTTTTTAATTAATAAGTCTTTTTTACTTAAGCTTATTTCTTCACTTTTTAAATGATTTTATTTACGATTTGAGAAATGATGACTTCGGACCTGATATATTTATTTGGGTCAATGTCATTGGTATTTTCTATTAAAAAAGCATATTTTAATAGGCAATGTTTTCATATTTACTATTTGTGACTATAATTTAAATTTCAAATTCTTATCAAAATATTCTAGTTTGTGATAATCTCATCAATATGTAGCATGATTAATTTGCTACGTATATTCATTTCTGCATTTTATTATGGGTTTTTTGGTTACATATTTCTTTAGTCACCTCCAAATATTTAATATTATGCTTACCTAAATTTTTAAATCAGCTTTGTTCAGCCATAATTTTAGAATAAAATGTACCAATTTTTGGTATAAAATTCAACATATGTATGGTCAGTAATACTAGCAAAATAGCTTCGTCACCCCCAAAATTGTACTACTTAGCTCTTTCCTGTCAATTAGCTTTCCCTACCTCCCTGAAACTGGCAAACTCTATTCTTTCTAAAATAATAGTTTTGCCTTGTAAAAAATATTTTTACATAAACAAAACCATATAGTTTGCAGCCATTTGTGTTTCACTTCTTTCACTTCCTATAATGCTTTTGAAATTTAACCATGTTGATATTTATATTTGTTCATCTCTTTTTATCACTGGTAACATTCCATTGAATGGTAGCTTAGCCCGTTTGGGCTGCTATAAAAAAAATACTCTAAACTGGCTTGCTTATAAACAAGAGAAGTTTATTTCTCACTGTTCTAGGGCTGGAAATCCAAGATCAAGGTGTCTGCAGATTGGTGTCTACTAAGGGCTCACTTCCTAAACAGCTGCTTTTTCACTATAACCTCACATGGTTGAAGATGTAAGGATCTCCCTAGACCCTGTTTTACAAGGGCACTAATCCCATTCACAAGAGCTCTGCCTAAACACCTAGTAACCTCCCGATGGATCAGTTTCCTAATACCATCACCTTGGGAGTGAGGATTTCAACATATGAATCTTAGGGACACATGAACATTAAGATAATAGCAGGTTAGGGCCCGGCACGGTGCTCACGCCTGTAATCCCAGCACTTTGGGAGGGTGGATCACAAGGCGGGTGGATCACGAGGTGGGTGGATCATGAGATCAGGAGATCAAGACCATCCTGGCCAACATAGTGAAACCCCGTCTCTACTAAAAATACAAAAAATTAGCTGGGCATTGTGTCGCGTGCCTGTAATCCCAGCTACTTGGGAGACTGAGGCAGGGGAATCACTTGAACCTGGGAAGCAGAGATTACAGTGAGCCAAGATTGCGCCACTGCACTCCAGCCTGGGCGACAGAGCGAGACTCCATCTCAAAAAAAAAAAAAAAAAGAAGATAATAGCAGGTTAGTTCACTACAATTTGTCTAGCCATTCATCAGCTGAAGAACACTGTTTTCTTTCCTATTTGATCATATTAAAATATACCCCAACAGACAGGCAAGATGAACTCTTCATGGCTAACATGAGGCACAACCAAACAGAATCAAAGGGTCATGGCAGGGTGAGGAGCTGGTCACATATCCCTGTGTTACTCAGTACTGTCACGAAATTTTCTTTCCTGTAATTAAGCAGAAACCAGTTCCTAAAGAGCCTTGTCAAAACAACTACAGCTAGAGTGTCCCCTCTGACCCTCACAAGCTCAGCTGACACCTGGAACCTCCTAATTGAAAGACTTGTAGTTTCTATTGAAAGACTATCCAACCCAGGCTTTGCCCCTTATCCTACTGTTTCCCCTCCGGTTCTGCAGTCCCATCACAAATTCTGATTAGACAGGGTATTGGTCCTTCAAACATTCTTTCCTGATACACAACCACAAACCTCAAGCCAGTTTCGGCCGCCTTACACAGGATGTACACAAAATGCTTTGAACTCTGTAGTTCACCTTTTAATGTAGTCAGCTAAACTCCCCCTCATTTTAATACTAAAACTCAACCACAAAGTGAACATAGAGTGTATGTTACATATCTGTTTACCCATTGTGCATGTGCCTGACTTCCCTCATAAATATACATAGATTTTCCCCAAACCCGCTGAAAACGTATGACCCAATTATGCAAAACAGACCATGTAAGGCATAAACATCAGCCTCACCCTACCCTCTTTAGAGAACACATTTCACTTACACTGAAGGCTTTGCTTCCCCAGTTTGCAGATTTTTTTTTAATATAGAAATTAAAGCTACTCCTTTTCCCTCTGCAAATCTCATGACTTTTGTTAACATTTCTTTGGGGACAACGATGGGATCAGAAGTGGCCCCCAAGCTCCTTCCCAGCCACATCTGGAACAACACCTGATGCCTACAAGAGTCCCTTGAACTCAGTTATCTTCTGGCTGCTTTCTAGGATTTAAGATCTCCCATTTTTAGGTTGAAGCCTTGAAAACTTTTCTTCAGGAAGCCAGTTCATTAGGCTCTATCAGCCCTGTGGGGTCCACTCACATTTTGTAGGGTACACTTGCAATTTGTGGGTACACTCGTGCTTCCTGGGGTGTGCTCACATTTCAGGTTTTGCTGTAATGCTCACACTAAGGGTATCAGAAGGGACACCTTTGTCAGGTCCCTGCAATGAGTAATCCATGTCCCGAGGGGATGGTCTCTGACCAGCTGCCTTCAGGTACCCAGGTAAGCTTTACATTTAAAAACTATAGGGAAAATTCCTGCACCTTAAGGCTTTGGATAAACTCAACCTGAGAAAGTTTAAAGCCATGCCAAGACATTTTCTGGGACTCTGATTGGTAACATGTTTAAACATTATAGGGATCATTCAAACCACCTGTTGTTTTAAAACTAGAATAAAAGATTGCTGCTATAAAATTTTACATTTTAAACAAGATATGCTTATCGCATTGATATCTTGAGGCTAGGAAACAAAGAACCATTCAGGACTCAAAGACTGCCTTGCTACAAAATACTGTCTCAAAGCTAACTAAAACTTTTTTTCCTTTCCAGAGCTCCCCCTCCTTCTTTTGACAATTCTGTCTCTTTATCTTTCTGTGAGCTAAACTCTCTTTATCCAAAACTCCTCACTATTCTGACATACTATTTAGAAAAAACACTTAAAAACCCACAAAGATATAATTCCCATGTAAAGACCCCCTTCTTATGCTCAACAGAATGGCAACATTCTTACCTTAAGGGCAAAGAATTGAGTCCAAAATCTGCTGCATAGACTTTGTTAAAATAAATTTTATTTATATATATATATATATATATATATTTGTTCTCTTTACATAATTCAGTTAGATTTTCACAGTTAACTATTATTTGTCCAATTCAGTATATTGATAACTGCCTCAAATTGTTTTACCCAAAAGTAACCTGTTAGTAGTAGCTCAGTAGTAGCCTATAAAAGCCCTGCTAATATTTGTTGGTTTTTCCTTTCTGTGTTTCATCTGAATAATTTACATTTCTATGTATTTATATTTATTGATATTTTATTCTACAGTTTCTAATCTTCTGTTAATATCTTCCAATGTATTTTTTATTTCAGATAGTGTATTTTATCTCTAAAAATTCAATTTAATTCTTTTCACATCTTACTACTCATTATTTTTATACATTTTAAAAATATGAATTATACATCTAATAGATGTTTTAGTGTTCTTTTCTGCTAATTCTATAATACCTTACATTTGAAAGCCTATTTCTGTTTATTGATTTTTCTCTGTTATGGATTATATTTTTCTACTTCCTTTCATGCCTGTCAATTTTTGTTTGGGTGTTGGGCATGGTAGAATTTATGTTTTTGTTTTCTGAATGTTTTTTGTAGTCCTTTAAATATTGTCGGGCTTTGCATTAGATCACAGTTAAGATACCTGGGACCAGTTGGATCCTTTTCAACAACTGCTTCTAAGTTAGAATTGTTAATTTGTTAGGATGATCAAAAAAATCACTCAGTATAGAACTCTTCTGAGGAGTTACAAGCATTATTTCTCTTCAATACTTGTTTTCTTCACCTAAGACAATGCTGTCTCATGCAGGCAAATTTCAGTATTGGGATAAAAAGAAGAGGTTTTCCTCATTGCAAATATCCAGGGCTGTCAATCTCTCTACTCTCCAAATTTTTTCTTATAAATTTTAACTACCTTGGTCTTCTGAACTCCAAATGTCTCCTCAACTCAGCAGGACCACTAATCTCTGTTCAGTTCTCTGTGTTTTGTATTTAAGCGTAGGAACTCTATTAAAGCAGTAAGCTGAGGCAATGATGGGGCTTAACTCATTTGTTTTCTCTTATTCAGGAATCACTTTCCTGTACTGCATATTTCCGTTGTTCAATATAAAAACAAAAATGAAAGCATAACAACAAAAACCGTTGTTTCATATATTTTGTTTGGTTTTCTATTATTTTAAGATTGGAAAATAAATCTGGTTTTCTTCACTGTAAGCAAAAGTCAGATTTTTTTAAAACTTATTAAAAATATTTATTTCTCTAATTCCAAATTTGTTATAGAGTTGTTTCATTTCTATTCATACCGAGAGTCTGAATATCCTAAAGGTTAAGACACCAAATCGCCTGGGTGTAAATCTCTGCTTTGACAATTACCTCTTAGGTGACCTTGAAAAGCCTCCTTGGCCAGGCTCATGCCTATAATCTCAGCACTTTGGCAGGCCAAGATGGGTGGATCAACTGAGGTCAGGAGTTCAAGACCAGCCTGGCCAACATGGTAAAACCCTGTCTCTACTAAAAAAAATAACAGAAATTAGCTGGGTGTGGCAGTATGCACCTGTAGTCCCAGCTACTGGGGAGGCTGAGGCAGGAGAATTGCTTTTACCTGGGAGGTGGAGGTTGCAGTGAGCCGAGATCATGCCTCTGCACTCCAGCCTGGGCAATAGAGTGAGACCCTGTCTTAAAAAAGAAAAAAAAAAAAAAAAACAAAGAAAAGAAAAGGCTTCTTAATACCTTTGTGTCTCAATTTCCCCACAAGAATAGCTCTTCATAGAGTTGTTGAAGGGATTAAGTTAGTTAATATAGAAAAAGCACTAAAAGCCATTTCTATCATATATTAAGATATTATTATCTCTAGTTCTGCTATCTAGTCATGTACTTATACATAAAGAAATTAGAAGGCTGGGCACGGTGGCTCAAGCCTGTAATCCCAGCACTTTGAGAGGCCCAGACGGGCGGATCACCTGAGGTCAGGAGTTCCAGACCAGCCTGACCAACATGGACAAACCCTGTCTCTACTAAAAATACAGAATTAGCCAGGCATGGTGGCACATGCCTGTAATCCCAGTTACTTGGGAAGCTGTGGCAGGAGAATGGCTTGAACCTGGGAGGCGGAGATTGCAGTGAGCCAAGATCGCGCCGTTGCACTCCAGCCTGGGCAACAAGAGCGAAACTCCGTCTCAAAAAAAAAAGAAAGAAATTAGAACCAATTTTTAGTACCATCATATTTGTGGACACATTTTATATTTTACTTTGTCATTTTTACGTTCATTTTAATACATTCCTTTGTTATTTTAAATATGAAGAGGCTCACTAATCTTATGCCTCTATTTTCATAACATTTGAATTCATTACATACATAACATCTAAGGAAACCAACTTATACATTTGACCTCAATGAATCCTCATAATAGTTCTATGAGATTAAAACCAGTGATAGCTACACTATGCTGATTTGGGGAATAAAGTTAGAGAAGTTCAGTGATGTCCCCAAGGTCAAACAGCTGTCTCCTGAACACTGGAATACAAACCCAATTCCCTGTGATTCTAGAACCTTATCTGTTAGTGACTATGTGACTACCTCTATTAAATATCATTATAAGTAGGATAAACACAATTTCAGTTTTCCTTCGCAGAGTTCTGCTTCATGCCTGCCTTGCAGACTGATTTTTATTTAATAGTGCCCATGGTCACTCACAAAAAGCCAAATTTGAATGATAAATTATATATTCACTGTTATATACATAACAGGTATTACTGACTGATGAGATTTATAATGAGCAGCTAAAACCTAGAGAGTGATTTATACAGTTAAAGGAGGTGACGTCTCTAATGTCATTTTCCTATGCTTCAGTGATTTTATCACTTTGACTTTTAGAGAAAAATGACATGACACTTCACAGAGATTTGTTAAAATTTAGCAGTTAGTTATTCAGCCTTTCCCATTCTGCTGGTAGTTACAAAATAAGGTAGATATTGAAGGACAGAGGTTAAATGCAGGAAGTGTATCTTGTCAGATGCCCAACACTCCATTCTTGCCTCCTCAGCCCTACTCAGATAAAAATAGAATAATTAAACTTTTAGGAAGAATCTGTAATCTAGTGGCTCTTTAGGGGATGGAAATGTGGGACAAGAAGGAGAATAAGAGAGAGAAATGAGTAAAACAGATATGAAAGAGAAATGAAGAGCCAACAATTTTTTTTTTTTTTTTTTGAGATGGAGTCTCGTTCTGTCACCCAGGCTGGAGTGCAGTGGCACGATCTCCGCTCACTGCAACCTCCATCTCCCGGGGTCAAGCAATTCTCCTGCCTCAGCCTCTGGGGTAGCTGGGATTACAAGCGCACACCACCACGCCCGGCTAATTTTTGTATTTTTAGTAGAGACAGGGTTTCTTCATGTTGGCCATGATGGTTTCGAACTCCTGACCTCAAGTGATCGCCTGCCTCAGCCTCCCAAAATGCTGGGATTACAGGCGTGAGCCACCACACCCGGCCTCAGCAAAGTTTTTAATCATGTCAGAACTGCACTTATTTTTAAAGCTGCAAAAACATAAATAATCTATTCATTCCTCTTAGTCACTACTGAACAGGTAAAATAAAATATTTAGTATTATCCCACGCAAATGTGAAAAAGAGGGTGAACGCAAAGCATTGGCTGTTCCCAGGAGAGAGGCAACTATGTCATTAAAGTTTGCATAATTGTTTTATCCATGAAGCAAAGAAAGGCAGTTGGGCTCTTTAATAACAAAAAAGGAAATACTGGATGATATACTAGTGACTGTGAAATAGTTCAGGGACTGTCATGCAGGAAATGAAATGAAATTGCCTACTTTGAAGTCTCTTGCCTTTGCTGTTCTTTCTGCTTGAAAATCTTTCTCCAAATACGCTTATGGCTTACCTTATCATAGCCACTGGAAGTCATTTTTTCACTGAGGGCTTCCAAAGTTGCCCTACATAACTTGCTAATTCTCTCTCACACACACGCACAGTCACACTTCCTAGCTCCCTCTCTGCTTGTATTGCGTCATTTAGCACTTACTTCTACCTAATAGAGTATGTATTTTTCTTATTTTTCTTTTTTATTACCTCAAACCTACCTAAATGTGGGGCTCATAAAAGCAGGAATTTATATCTAATTTGCTCACTGCTAATCACCAATGCTCAAATCAGTACCTGGTAATGGTTAACAAATACTTCTTACATTAATAAATGATGAACAAGATATTTGTTTGGTTTTAACCCAAAGGGTTGAACAAAAATCCAGAAATAAATTGGAAGGTGGCAGATTAGGCTCATTGTAAAATATTAGGACTACATTCTGTCTCTTTATGAGTAAGTGGCTCCTCAGAACATGATTCTAACATACTTGAAGTTACTATATGATCAACTGACAGAAGTAATTTCAAAAATTCTTGCAGATTGGATGAGAGGTTGATATTCTTTTCCTTAGTACAGAGAAACTTTGGTTATTCAGCAAAGGGAGAAAAAGATGTTCAAAGCACTACACACAAGCTACAATACTAAAATGAAGACTAGCTTTCCTGTTTAATCATAGTTCTCGTTAGTTTATTTCTATTACTCAATCTAACTTGAAAACTTGCTTCTGTGAAACCTGAAAAATAAAAATTGAACCAAGAGAGAAGGTGAAGGAGATATGAGTTCTGGGAGCAGTGGTGGAGAACAAGAAAAACAAAGGAGAAACAGCAACTCATAGAGCCTTTTTTGCATTACTTATTGAGACAGATACAGTTTACAATGCTGACATTTGTCTTGAGAAAGAGAAAGAGAAGAAAAAATTTACTTATGACATGTTTTATTTTTCTAAAACTTTGAAAGGTTCAAAATTATCTTTATGCAGGTTTCACATATTAATTTAAAATCTTACTGACTTTGTGAAACGGTACAAAAATCAACAACAACAGCAACAAAAATAACTTGAACTCAATAAATGCCACTTGAATCAGCAAAGACCCACGTGTGTGGTTCTGTCAAATCCCCTTGCTGCAATAGCTCTGCCAATTTACTTGACAAATGTGTAGCCCTGGACTTTCACCCCTTGTTTAACAGAACAATTTGAAGATGATACTTTAGAAGTCTTTCAGATCATTAGATGGTTATTTTTGCAGAAGCAAAGGAGAGAGAAGGAGGTGCTACACACATTTCAAAAACCAGGTCTTGTGATAACTCACTCACTCACTCACTATCATGAGAACAGCACCAAGGAGGAGGTGTTAAACCATTCATCACGGACCACCCGCATGATCCACTCACCTCCCACCAGGCCCCACCTCCAATATTGGGGATTACAATTCAACATGAGATTTGGGCTATCAGCTTGGGAAAAAATACTATCAGCTTGGAAAAAAAACTATTTTGTACTTTGCTTTTTTAAAGCACAAAAATAAATAGGAGTTATACATTTAACATTTTCAACATTCAGGAAAATAAAATATTAATTTCTCTTTTTCATAAACCAAATGCATTTTAGGCTCAGTTCTTCTCTATCTCTTATTTCATGGCTACTACTGTGTTTTTCCAACTAGGCCAAGAGTAAAACATTGCTGAATTTTTATAATAATACAAACCTCATTCCCTATATATTTTCACAGGAAAAAAAATCTTTTTGGCGATAAAAAAATTTCATCATTACCCTGATGTCATGAAATTATATTCTGCTGAATTGACCAGAGAAAGACATTGTGCATAAGGCATGGTAGATCCATTAAAATTCAAATAAACACATTCAATTTTAAGGTGAAATTTGTTCATTTGCATTTTTTTATAATTAGTAGTCATGGAGGATAATACTTTGATGACATACTAATAAAAATACATCCACAATAATGTATTATTACTAGACTTCTCTTTATTTCTAACAACATAACAAACACTGTGATAATGACTGATATGGTTTGGATCTGCGTCCCTGCCCAAATCTCATGTTGAATTGTAATCCCCAATATTGGAGGTGGGGCCTGGTGGGAGGTGAGTGGATCATGCGGGTGGTCCGTGATGAATGGTGTAGCACCTCCTCCTTGGTGCTGTTCTCATGATAGTGAGTGAGTGAGTTATCACAAGACCTGGTTTTTGAAATGTGTGTAGCACCTCCTTCTCTCTCCTTTGCTCCTGCTCTGGCAGTGTAAGATGTGCCTGCCTTCCTGTCTCCTAATCATGATTGTAAGTTTCCTGAGGCCCTCCTCAGAAGCAGAAGCTGCTATGCCTCCTGGACAGCCTGCAGAACCATGAGCCAATTAAACCTCTTTTCTTTATAAACTACCCAATCTGAGGTAATTCTTTTTTTTAAATTTTATTTTATTTTAAGTTCTGGGGTGCACGTGCAGGATGTGCAGGTTTGTTACATAGGTAAACATGTGCACGTGGCTTGCTGCACCTATCTACCCATCACCTTGGTATTAAGCCAGGCGTGCATTAGCTGTTTTTCCTGATGATCTCTCACTCCTCCCCGTCTCCCACTAGTCCCCAGTGTGTGTTGTTCTCCTTCCTGTGTTCATGTGTTCTCATTTTTTGACTCCCACTTATAAGTGAGAACATGCAGTGTTTGGTTTTCTGCATTGCTGTGCTGAGGATGATAGCATCTGGCTCCATCCATGTCCCTGCAAAGGACATGAGCTCATTCATTTTTATGGCTGCATAGTATTCCATAGTGTGTATGTACCACATTTTCTTTATCTAGTTTATCATTGATGGGCATTTGGATTGATTCCATGTCTTTGCTATTGTGAATAGTGCTGCAACCAACATATGTATGCATGTATCTTTATAGTAGAATGATTTATATTCCTTTGGGTATACACCCAGTAATGGGATTATCAAGTCAAATGGTATTTCATAGCACTGCAAGAACAGACTAACACAATGCCTTTTTGCACACATTATTTCTAATTATCAAAACAACTCAGACAGATCATAATCTTTGATTTACAAATGAGGAAACTTAAACTCTAAAGATTAATTGGAAGCTCATATAGCAAAAAGGGAGGTATGATCAGAATTTGAAACTAAGTCTTATTGATTCAGTAGTTATAATATTTATTAGTAGTTATTTGGTAATATCAATGAAATGGATAAACTGGTTAGCTAGCCTAACCAAAAATTAAACAAACAAATAAAGAAGACACAAATTACTAATACCAGGAATGGAAGAAGGGTCATCACTACTGTCTCATAGATGCAAAAAGAATAATAAAGGCATATTATGAACAATTCTATGACCACACATATAACTTTGATGATATGTACCAATTAACTGAAAAGCACAATTTGTCAAAACTGACACAAGAATATGTAATTAGAATAGCTCTATATCTATTTTTAAAATTGAATCAATAATTAATAACCTTCCAAAAAATAAAGCGCTAAAACTGATGGTTTCAATGTTGGATCTTACCAAACATTTAAGAAAGAAGTGATAGTAAACCACAATCCCCAAAAAATAAAATTGGAAAGGACACTTCCTAATATATTCTATGAGGCAGCATTATCTTAATCTCAAAATCAGATAAAGACATTACAGAAAAGGAAAACAAGGGACCAATATCTCTGATGAACATAAATGAAAATTTTCTCAACAAAGTATGAGCAAAGAAAATCTAACGATATATAAAAACGTATACACCAGGGCCAAGTGGGATTTGTTGTAGATTTGCAGGGCTGGTTCAACATTCAGCAGTCAGTTAATATAATGCACCATATTAACAGATGAAAGAAGAAATATCACATAAGCATATCAATAGGTGCAGAAAATGCATTTGACAAAATGCAATAGCCACTTGTGATAAGATATCTCAGAAAACTAAGACTAGAACTCACTGAAGTTGGAAAAATAAAATCTATAAAAACCTATAGCTAACAGCATACTTAATGGTAGAAACTGGACAATTTCTTTCTGTGGTTGGGAATAAGGCAAGGATGTTTTCTCTCATCACTCCTATTCAATTCTATGATGGAAGTCCTAGAAAATGCAATTAAAAGAGGAAGGGTAATACAACATATAGAGATTGGGAAAGAATAAATAAAACTGTGTTTGTTTGTAGATGACATGGGTTGTCTGTGTAAAAAATCCCAAAGAACTAACAAAATTACTCCTGGGACTAAAAAGCAATTACTGCAAGATTGTATAATACAACCTTATAAATACACAATAGTCAAATTATATTTATGTATAGCCTGTAATAAACAAATATAATTTGAAATTAGAAGCATTTTGGTTCAATTATACAAATATATACAAGATCTGTATGAGTAAAACTACAAAGCTCAGATAAAACAACAAAGATATCTAAATAAAAAAATAGATGTTCCATGTTTATGAATAGAAAGGCCTAATATAGTTAAGAAGCTAATTGTTTACAACTTGATCTAGATACAAACAATCGCAACCCAAAATTCTAGAAAGTCATTTTGTGGACATCAGCAAATGACTCTAAAGTTTATATGAAAAGAAAAAAGATGCAGAATAGCCAACACAATACTGAAAAAAAGGAAAAAACTTATAATACTAAACTCCTGGAGTTTATAAATTACATAAAGGTACATTAGTCAAGACAGTGTGATACAGGCAAAAGGCTAGAAGAATGGAAGAACAGGTCAATGGAAAACAATACAGAGCTCAGAAACAGACCCAAACAAATACCATTAACTAATCTTTGAGAAAGGAACAAAGGCAATTCCATTGAGAAAGGATAATCTTTTCAACAAATGGTGCTGCAACAACTGGACATGACCAGAGCAAAGAGATTATTACAGACCTAATTAAGGACTTTGGACCTCCAGACAAACGCAATCTTTGCTGAGAATGGAACTGCCTGTAAGTAAGTTCTAAAGATGTGTTCTGCAGCCTAGTGTCTACAGTTAACAATACAGTGCTGGGCACGTCAAAATTTGTTAAGAAGGCTCATCTCATGTTAAGTGTTCTCGCCACAAAAACAAAAACATAGGGGCACAAGAAAGCTTTGGGAGGTGACGGTTACATCTGTAACCTCAAATGTACTGATGCTATCACAGGTGTTTGCATATACTGAAACTCACCAAATTGTCCACATTAAATATGTGTAGTTATTTGTATATCAATTACACCTCATTAAAGCTGTTAACAAAAGAATCAATGTGATGATTTGCATAGGAGAACATACATAATTCAGGTTATAAGGCAAGAAAGGCCAGTGGGAATGTGAATTCCTATGATCACCTCACACAAATTAAATATGGGGTTCTAGACTCTGAGATAAATTCCAGAGCGCTCTCACTAATAACTAATTGATCGCCTAATGATCTCTTCAGTGAAATGAGGATTTCTTGAAGAAATACATGAGTTTGTAATGACTCCCTGCCTGCTGAAAGCCTTCCAATCCCCAAACTGAGTGGACCCAGTGAAGACAAAACAGTGATATATTTCTTTTTTTTTTAATTATTATTATACTTTAAGTTTTAGGGTACATGCGCACAATGTGCAGGTTTGTTACATATGTATACATGTGCCATGTTGGTGTGCGGCACCCATTAACTTTCTACCCCATCACAGCAAAGAATGAACACAAATGGTTATCCAAAAAAAAATCAAAATCTTTAGACATATTCCTGAAGAGACATAAAGAAATAGTTCCTTAGGGATAAGGGAAGCCCTAATGAGAAAATGTCACCTACATCTCAAGGTAGTTGTCAGAGCTAGATTAAAGAGCTATTGATACTCTACAATTCCCAGACTTCCTGTGGGCAAGGCTTATGAAAGGCAACAATTGGGGAAAAGTTCACTTCTTCCTACTCAGCCTGAGGCATATTTCCCACAGATCGGTTGATTCATTTGGCAAACTTTTATGGAGCACCAACTATATATTGTACTATACACTACACTAGAATCAGGAGATTAAAAAGTATGATTACAACACAGTCCATATCCTGAGAAATAGTCCCATCCTTTAGAATCTTAATATTTTTTCTAAAACATGATTTGGTGGACAGTCTGTTTCTTTACTTACGTGACATATTTCATATAAACTATAGCAGAAAAAAAGATACTATTTAAGAACGAAGACTGCAGCCAGATTGCCTGGTTTCCAGTTTTTTTTCATCTCCTCACTATGTGACCTTTGCCAAGTTTCTTGCCTCCTCAGTGCTTTATATTTCTCATCTGTACAGTGCAATGTATAATATACTGAGTACAGTGTCATAGTTATCTACCTTGTAAGGTTGCTGTGAGGATTTAAGTGAGTTAAAACCTGTAAAGTATCTAAACCATTCTAGGCGCATAGAAAGTTCTAGAGCCATGTTTGCTGCTGCTGCTATCACCCGTGTTATTACTGTTGTTGCCGCCGTCGTTTTCATTCCAATGGGTTACAGGCTGACTGATGTTTATATAATCAATAGGAATGTTATCTCACCATCCCATGGCACATTAACCACAGCAACTGTTATTTAGTAGCTACGTCTGTACTGAGAGCCTTTCAAAGATTTATATCTATTACCAAATAATACCTTGCTGTAGGGACACAGATCCACAAATATTAGTGACTTTGTGACAATCACTAATATCTCTTCAGGCACAGAGTTTTGAAGTTCTTTTTTTCAACTAGAGAGTTATGCAAATATTATGTATACTCACTGCACAATTAAACCTAATTATTTTAAAATGCAAAATGACGGACATTGCACATCATCTCACCATATTTTTCCAAATAGGATAGCATAGGTGTACCGTCAACTTTATGACAAGAATATGGCAGAGCTGTGCATCCTTTGGGAGAGATTTCCTACAATTACTTAAATTCCTTACACTTTAACTCCTCGGAATTTCTGTAGAGGAAGAAAAGTGAAATCTGTAACTATTATGCCTTCTACTCTGTTATATGCTCCCATCTCTGTGAATCTTGATTTAAGCTGAGTGCATCGTTAATCTTTAATATAACCCGAGAACAATAGTCAAATAGAATAATGAGTGGTATTGAAGAAATATATAGAACAGCATGCCCAGAAATGCATTCAACCACTCCATATCTTGCATTATTAGACACACCCACTGACTTGCACAGATCCAGAATTTTTAACTCTTTGTTGAAAGCAAGGGTAGGCAAAACTTATTCATAACAGACCAGATAATATAATATGTTCAGCTTTGTGGGCCATATGGTCTCTGTGACAACTACTCAACTCTGCTACTATGACATAAAAGTGATCATAGACAATATATAAATAAAACATTATGGCTGTATTTTAATAAAACTTCATTTATGAACAGTAAAATTTGAATTACACGTAATTTTCATGTGTCACATGTATTATTTTCCTTGAAATTTTTTTCAAAAAATTAAAAATGCAACAAGTCTTTGCTCCCAGACCATACAAAAACATATGGCAGGCTTGATCTGGCTTACAGGCTATAGTTTCCTGAGCCATAATGCATAGGAATCAGAATATTTTGAATTTAACAATTTAACCATGGAACTGCAATCATTACCTAGAAGATTAGCTAATAACATAAAATGTCTCAAGGCATGCATTAAAACTTCAGTCTTATTTTTCTCATTTATTTATTTAGGATTCTAACTTTAAGAACAGAAATCATGGGTTATGATTTCACATCTACCACTGTTAGTTTGCTAGCCTTCAGTGAAAATTTCCAACCTCTAGCAACCTCTTTTTCCCAAAGTCTGTTATTTGGGAGATGGATTATATCACTACTATCAACTCACACTATGTATCAGAATCACCTGTGGAGAAACCAAGGCCGAACACTCAGAGATATGGCGTCAACAGGTGACACCAACCTGCATCCAGGGTTGGAAACCACTGGGCTACTGAGCTCCAGACCTCTTTCTGTTTGATAAGTTTAAGAATTTCTATTCTGTACATACCGTTGACACAAATATCAGTAATAATGTAGCATTACTTCAGAGAATATTAAATTTAAATAATTAGTAGAAACCCTTTGCAAAAAAATTCAGAACTATTGAACTTCTCCTCCTTCACGATGGCAAAATCAAAAAGAAAATATATATTTAACTCCTTTTAGCTCACTGTTGAGAGATGGACAGAATAGAAAGAAAATAAGTAAACAAATCATATGTATTTCTTTTCCCAATAGCTAGAGCATAGAAAATTACAGAGAAATAAAGCAGCAATAATCTGAAAGCTTCTATGTATTCTTATTCTCAAGCCCTATTTCCTTATTTAGGGGGTTTTGTAGTTGAACAATTGCAGCAGTATTTCTCTGCTTCCAGTTTCATTATTGAAAAGACAGTTCACACAAATATTCAAAAATAAGCAGTCTACATTTTCATAATATGGTTCATTTTTTCCTAACTTTTAGTACATTTCACAGTCAATATCTTGTGTATACTCATGTTAGTGACTCAATTTTCAACTGTCAGCTTCACAAACCGTCATCAAAAAAATCAGATGATCAAGCAGAGCTTGGTTGTTCAGACTTCTTACAGTAAGGGACACACACGCAGACACACACACACACATCTAAACACACACACACACACACCTTCTTGATTAAAAAACAGTAATGTTCCAACCTTTGGGTAGGAAATATTTAGGGTTTTATAACCTGAGCAGAATGATTTTAAGATGAGTGTTTCAAAGGAGGAAACTGGTTGAAATTAGGTATAGTTTTTGAATTACTAGATCTAGATTAGTGATCACAGTGAGGAGTGGGTCTTAAAGGGGGATTTGATAAGCAGGCTGTCCTTACAGTGAGGAGTGAGTCTTAAAGGGGGATTTGACAAGAAGATATGTCAGCCTGCCATATGTTTTCATATGGTCTGGGAGAAAAGGCTTGTGGCTGCATTTACAGTCTTGTCTTCAACAATTAAATATTTCTTGCAACAAGTAATTAAGACATTTTTGCTTGATTCCAATATTGTTTGACATAGGGACATGTAAATATGTTCATCATATATATTGCTTAACAGAAGGGCAGAAAAGTATGCCTGGACCTGGCATGACTTAACACAGAGAGAAAAAAAATGTTTGTATTAATGCTCACTGACACTTTTTGTCATGCTTTTGGTCATGCCTAAGATATACCATTATCTTATGAACTACCTTAGTCTGTTTTGTATTGCTACACACAAATACCTGAGATGAGTAATTTATAGAGAAAAGTGGTTTATTTAGCTCATGGTTCTGCAGGCTGGACAGTTCAAGGACATGGCCATGATTTCTGGCAAGGTCTTCTGTGCTGCATCATAACATGGCAGAGAAGGTCAAAATGGAAGCAGTTATGTGTGAAGAGGAAAAACCTAAGAGGCATCCTGGCTTGATAGCAACTCATTCTCAAGGGAATTCATTAAGTTCCATGAGAACTTATTCAGTCTTGCCAGAGTGAGAACTCATTCACTACCATGAGAAGGGCACTAAGCCATCAGGAGAGATTTACTCCAATGATTCAGACAATTCTCACTAGGCTCCACTTCCCAAGACTGCCATTTCAGGGATCAAATTTCAACATGAGGTTTGGTGGGAACAAACTCAAACCAAATCACAGCATGAGGATATGATCAATGCAGATCAAAATTACTGTCTGATGTATTGGGTTCACTGTGTCAGGCAGAATGGTGTTTCCCCATAGGAGCCCGTTTTGAAGCCTCCATAGCTTATGTATATATTAGATTAAATAGCAAAGGGGAATTCGAGGTGATAGATGGATATAAGGTTGCAATCAGCTGACTTCAAGACAGAAAATATTAGCTGACTTTAAGACAGAAAAAATTATCCAGATAAGCAAAATATAATTATAAGAGGACTTCCAGCATGACTGTTGGAAAAATTATTCCCCAGTGAAACTGGTAAAAATTATTTTTTTTTAAAAAACAACTTTTTATAACCCCTGGAAATGATCCTAAAGGAATACAGCAAATGAAGAAACATCCATTCAATTAAATCTAGTAATATTCAGAATGAAAAGCAGGAGTGTGTAGTATTTAAGCAAAGTCCACTCTCCATTGCCCTCCCAGTTCAGAGATATTATCATAAGATATTAAAAACAATAAGATTTAATAGCTGACTTCTCCAATCTAGACTTCCTTAGCCAAGAACAAATGGCATCTTCTCCCACAGCTTCCAGTTGGAGAGCTTTCTTCTAGGGCAGAATGCAACATCCACATTTCTTCTCCTACTGCCAGTTGTCTCCTGTTGCTGAGGTTGTTTCAGGTGAGAACAGTTGAGAGGCAAGGCCCCCTTCTTCACCCCACCCTCCACTCATGGAACAGAGACTCCATTTCGGGCACAGTACCTTTAAAAATACTGGAGCCCCAGTTGCCTTACCCTGGATCATAAGTTTCCACACCAAGAAAACCAACTCATGAAGACCTCATGCTACAATCTCCACTTCCATTGGGCACTCAGGTTCAAAAGTAGGAGCATCACTCAGAGAAAGTATCCCATCATCTCAAACCTAACCACAGAGGCCTAACTCAATATTTTACTAGAGGGAAAAGCAGGCCATAAAACTAATAGCTCCTAGTCTCTTCCCAAAGAAATTGACTTCACTTGCAACAGAGCACAGGGAAATTCTAGCCTATAGACATGGAGGTCATGGTGAAAAGCAACTGGGAGAAAATAGATTCAAGACATAGGCTGAACGGTAAGCCAGTTCGTTTGTAGGAGAGAACCTGAGAAAGAGAAAACTTAGAGAAAAAAATATACAACACTGATCTAAGAACCTCCTTCAAAGAAGCCCAAATCTGATTGTATTAGCCTATAGAGCAATTTATAACCCAGGACATAGTTGAAAATAGTAGAGCAATCAGCCTCCAATTAATGGGGCATAACAGTTTGCTATCGTCAGGGAAAGAGATGAAGAGAGCCGTACCAAACCCACTATTGTCTCAAGGTGACTGTGGACATACCAAAAGCTGTGCCCCACTGAAGATTAACATCAGAGGTTTAACAGTGTGGGGTAGGAGAAAATAGACATCACTAAAATATTCCAGCCCTGAAAGGGAGGAGACTCATATGCAAAGTTGCCGTAATATATTATTCAAGAGGTCTAGTTTCCAACAAGAAAATAATTAGGAATGCAAAGAAATGGGAAAGTATGACATATAAAATGAAAAAAGAAAAAGCAGGCAAAAGGAACTGTGAGAGCAGCCAGATATCAAATTTAACAGGAAAGGCTTCATGGTAGCCATTTTAAGTATGTTCACAGATTGAAAGGGAACTTTGTTTAAAAAGTAAAGGAAGTCATGATGACGATGTCCAACACAAGACAAAGTATCAATAAAGAGATAAAAATTATTATGGAAATTCTGGAGCTGATAAACACAAGAACTGAAATGAAAATTATACTAGATGGGCCCAACAGTAGATTTGAATTGGCAGAAGAAGGAATGAGCAAACTTGAAGATAGACTCATTCAGATTATGCAAGCTAAAAAACAGAAAACATAAAAAAGAGAAATAAGGAGCCTCAGGGAAATCTGGGACACCATTAAGTGCATCAACATCCATGTCCATATCCACATCAGACACATCATAGTAAAAATGCTTAAACTTAAAACAAGGAGAAAATCTTGAAAGCAGCAAGAGAAAATTACAACAAAACAAAACTCCTCACTTTCAAGGGAACCTCAATACGATTTAACAGCTGACTTCTCAGCAAAAACAATGTAGGCTGGAAGGCAATAGGATATCATATTTAAAGTGTTCAGTTAAAAAAAAAAAAAAGCAAAACCTGTCAGCCAAAAATCTTATATCAGGTAAATCTATCTTTCCAAAATTAAAGTAAAATAAGAACATTCCTAGATTAACAAAAACTGAGAGAATGTGTTGCTAGCAGACCCACCTTACAATAAACTCTAAAGGAGTTTCTTCAGGCTGACGGGAAATAACCCTAGATAATAATTTGAATACACATAGAAAAATAGGAGCTTCAATAAAGTTAGTTATATGATTCCACAAGGCAGTATAAATCTATATTTTTCTTTTTCTCTTGATTTACAAAGCAGTTGTATAAAATAATATGTTACAATGTATTGTTCGGTCTGTAACACAGAAATGTAATAAATTGGTAATATGTTTGCTAATGACAGCACAAAGGAGGTGGGTGAGAACAAACCTACATTGGGCTAAGGAAATGACTGCAGATGAGTAAGTTAATAATTATAACAAAGTATCATGAGTTTGTAGGTTTGTAATATTAATACATAAATATGTATAATACCAGTATAACAAAAATAGGGGAAAAAGAATAGAGATAATGTCTTAGGCATCTCAGGCTGCAATAACAAAATGCCATGGACTAGGAAGCTTAAAGAGTAAACATCTGGGCCAGGCGCGGTGGCTCAGGCCTGTTATCCCAGCACTTTAGGAGGCCGAAGTGTGTGGATCACGAGGTCAGGAGATTGAGACCCTCCTGGCTAACACGGTGAAACCCTGTCTCTACTAAAAGTATAAAAAATTAGCCAGGTGTGATGGTGGGCACCTGTAGTCCTAGCTACTCGGGAGGCTGAGGCAGGAGAATGGCATGAACCCTGGAGGCAGAGCTTGCAGTGAGCCGAGATCGTGCCACTGCACTCCAGCCTGGGTGACAGAGCGAGACTCCATCTCAAACAAAAAAAAAGAGTAGACATCTATTTGCTCACAGTTTTTGAGAGTAGATGTCTGAGATCAGAGTGTCAGCATGGTTGGGTGCTAGTAAGGGCCCTCACCCTGGCTTGCAAATAGCTGCCTTCTCATTGTGCTTCGCATGGCAGAAACAAAGTGGATTCTGGGCTCTTCGTCTTATAATGGCACTAATACAGTCACGGATGCCTCACCTTCAGAAACTCACTTAAACCTAATTACCTCTGAAAGGTCACACCTCCTAGTGCCACCACATTGAGGGGCAGGGCTTTAACATAAGAATTTGGGCAAGACACAGGCATTCAGTTCATAAAGAGTTATATAGAAATAATATTCCAATATCTTACTAGAATTAAGTTAGCATAAATCTGAAAATTAATATGATAGTTAAAATTTATGTAGTATGCCCTAAAGAAACCACTTTTTTGAAAAACTCAAAAGATATAGTAAAAATAAATAAATAAATTTAAATGCTTAATTAGAAAATATTATATAATGCAAAAGAAATCAGTAAAGGAACAAAAACAGACAGGAGAAACATAGAAAATAGACCTTTAATATACCTTTATACCTAAATTACCTTTAATATACATGCAGAAATCCTTAACAAAATACTAGCAAACTAAATCCAGCAACATATAAAAAGAATTATATACCATGACCAAGTAGGATTTATCCCAGGAATGCAAGGTTGATTAAACATACAACAAATAATTAATGTAATACATTATATCAATAGAATTTTAAAATTACATGATCAGGCCAGGTGCTGTGGCTCAACCCTGTAATCCCAGCACTTTGAGAGATCAATGTGGGTGAATCATTTGAGGTCAGGGGTTTGAGACCATCCTGGTCAACATGGTGAGACCCCGTCTCTACTAAAAATACAGAAATTAGCTGGGCATGGTGGCGGGCACCTGTAATCCCAGCTACTCGGGAGGCTGAGGCATGAGAATCGCTTGAACCTGGGAGGCAGAGGTTGCAGTGAGCCGAGATCATGCCACTGTACTCCAGCCTGGGCAATAGAGGGAGACTCAGTCTCAAAAAAAAAAAAAAAAATTACATGATCATATCCATAAACACAGAAAAAGCATTTAACAAAACCCTATATCATTTCTGATAAAAATACTCAATAAACTAGGAATAGAAGGAAACCTTCCTCCACTTGATAACGGGTATTTGTGAGAAACCCACATGTGACATCATCCTTGATGGTAAAAATGAATGCTTTCCTCTTAAGATCAAGAAAAAGAGGACACCTACTCTCACCACTTCTATTCAACACAGTTTTTGAAGGTCTAGCCAGAGAAATTAGGGGAAAAAATAAAATGATCCAAATTAGAAAAAAATAAGAAAAGCTATCTTTATTCTCAGATAACATTGTCTTGCATATAGAAAATCCTAAGTATCCACTAAAATTATAAATACCCAATGACTTCAACAAGGTGATAGGACACAATAGTAGTATCAACAAACATCATTTGTATCCCATATATTTATAACAAACAATCCAAATATGAAAGTAAGAAAACAAACCCATTTACAATACAATAAAAAAATGCTAAGAAATAAATTTAACAAAGTAGTACTAAAGTTATACTCTGGAAACGGCAACATATTTTTGAAAATTAAAGACTCTGTACTGAATGGAAAGGCAACTTATATACATGAATCAGGATACTAAATAATTGTTAAGATGGCAGTACTCCTCAAGAATCCCAGCTGACCTCTTGCAGAAATTGATGTATTTAAATTGTGCAACCTGGAACGTTTAGCCTCTCTTAACAGAGATTGATGTGTATAGAGCACATTACAAATCTTCCAGACCATTAACTGGTCTATTTCTACATAGCAGCTTTACCAGCTTGAAAAGATATTTTGCACAATGCTTTTTAAAAACATACAAAAACCAAATATGAGTCTTATTCTTAATACTTTTACTATTCAGGAAAATAAAAAATGAATTTGTGTTTCCATAAAATTATTTTATTTTAGGCTCACTTCTTCTTAATTATTTTATAGATACTACAGTAGTTTTCCACTTACAAAAGAAAAAGTTGTCGATAAAGTGGAGGCAGGAGACCCACAATAGTCAAAATAACCTTGAAAATAAAGAACAAGGTAGGAGTACTTCACAATTTCAAAACTTCCTACAAAGCAATGACAGTCAACACAGTGTGATGCCAGCACAAGAACAGATGTATATACCAATGGATAAGAATTGAGAGACCAAAAATAAAACCATACATCCATAACCAATTGATTTTAAATAATTCAATGAAAGACGGAATAGTCTTTTCAATACATGGTACTGAGATAATTGGATAGCCACATGCAAAAGAATGAAATAAGACCTCTATTTTACACCATATACAAAAATTAACTGGAAATGGATCAAAAAACTAAATGTAAAACTATAACACATTGGAGAAAATATTTACAAGCTTTTATGTGACAAATGATTGATAGATATGACTCCAAAGGCAGGAAGAACAAGAGAAACAACAGACCATTTGAACTTCATTAAAATAAAAACTTTTAACATTCAAAGAAAACCATCAAGAAAGTGAAAACACAGCTCATAAAATGGAAGAAAATATTTGAAAGTCATGTATCTGATATGGGTCATGTATCTAGAATATATAAAATCTCTTACAACTCAGCAATAAAAAGACAAACCCATTTTGAAAAGGTAAAGAATCTGAATGAACATTTTTTTCACAGAAGATACAAAAAATGACTAAAAACACATGTGAAGAAGTTCAGTTTCATTAGTTATCTGGGAAATGCAAATGAAACCACAATGAAATACCACTTCACACCTGCTATGATGACTATAATCAAAAAGACAGATAATCAGAAAGGTTGACAAAAATTTGGAGAAAATAGAATCCCCATAGATTACTAGTGGAAATGTAAAATGGTGCAGTCATTTTGGAAAACGGTCTTACTGTTCCTCAAATGATTAATAGAGTATCCTATGTCACAGCAAGTCCATTCCTAGGCATATACACAAAAGAATTGAAGACAGATATTCAAAGAAATACTTGTATTTTAATATGTATTTTTAAGTGAATGTTATTATAGCAATATTTTATTGTTATTTATTGTTATAGCATCATTATACTATGATTTCCAATAGCCAAAAGGTAAAAATAATCCATAAACAAAGTATGAGTATATCCATATAATAAAATTATATTTGACCATAAAAATGAAGTATTGATAGATACTGCAGCACAAATAAGCCTTGAAAACATTATGCTAAGTAAAAAAAATTCAGTCCCAAAAGACTATATAATGTATGATTCCATTCGTATCAATTGTGAAGAGTAGAGAAATTTATACAGACAGAAAGTATATCAGTGGTTGCTTAGGACTGAGGATGGTGGGACGATGGGAGATAATAAAGAAAACTAGGAGTTTCTTCTTGAGGTGAGAAGAATGTTCTAAAATTGACTGTTGTGCTGGTTGAACAGATCTGTGAGTCATTGAATTGTACACTGTAACTGAGTAAAATGTGTTACGTTAATTAGATCTTAAAAAAACTTAAAGTAAGTAGAAGATGGAGGCAAAGGATGCACAGTTGAATAAAGAGAGTGATGACAGAAGCAAGGCATAGTGATGCAGTGTGAGAAATGCTTAGCCTGCTTGTGGTGGCATTGAAGATGGAGGAAAAGGGTCATGAGACAAAAACCATGGAAAGCCTCCAGAAGCCAGAAGCCTCCAGAAGACTCCAGAAAAACAGAAGAAATGGGTCCTCCACTAGAGCCTCTAGAATGAAATACAGCCCTTTGTAGTTAGCCCAAGTGAAAACCATGTTGGACTTCTGACCTACAGAATTATAAAATAAATCTGTGTTGTTTTAAGCCACTAAAAGTATGGTAATTTGTTACAGCAGCCATAGAAAACTAGCATGGATTAACTCTGGTGGTCATTTTAATATGCCAGCTTGGATAAGCTACAGTCCCCAGTTATTCAGGGAAACACTAATCTATCTGCTGTTGTGAAGATATTTCACAGAAGTGATTACAGTGAATAATCAGTTGACTTTAAATACTGGGGATCATCCTAGATAATTGGAGTTGACCTGATTCTATTAGTCAAAAGGCATTTAAAACAGAACTAGAAATTTCCTGAAGAAGAAATTCTGGATGTGGACAAAAAATTCACCCTGTGCTTGAGAGTATGACAAGCCCTTCCTGCTGTCCTGTCTACAGACTTTGGATTTGCCTGGCTGGTCCTCACCATTGCATTATCTAATTGCTTATGACACATTTTTAAATACACTCCTGGTCCTTGTTCTGATTCTCTGCTTCAACCCTAACTGACAGAGTCACATTGGGAGTGTTTGGTGGTAACTGTTCCAATAGCTCTTTGTGTCAATTTGTTGTATAATCATCTGTTAGAACTTTTCCTGGGAAGGCAGCTGCATAGCACTTATGACAATGATTGAGCAATAGGACATCAGTCTCCTGTGATCACACATTTGAGCACCATAACCATGGGGAACACTATGAGAAGGCTTATGATAAGAGTCCATAGTTAATTTTGAAGATGAAAGTCAAGAGAGTCATATTAAAGCAAGAGAATAAAACTCCTCATTTATTGCTCACAGAAAAAGATGTAACCAAATTAATTTAACTGGTTGTTGACAAAGATATGTAATTTTATGTCTTTGTTTTGTGAGCCTTTTTGTAGATTAAGGCAACCTGAGAGAGATGAAGCTATAAGCACAATAGTCCTCTAAGACAACAAATACTTTACTCGCAAAGATCGGTGATAAATCTAAGACACTTTTATTTTGAACCATTCCCTGCCTGATTTCATGCCAGAGTGCTAAAGCCATAGTGACATGATCTAGTTGTTCTTCTATTCTATGAATTCTAGTCAGGATTTTTCTTACTTTTAGAGAATCATAAAATAAAGGAAAAAGCCAAAAACCTTTTTCAATTATTAAAATTTTCAAAGTCCAAGTTTCAAATTTTTTCCTTCTTAATTTAAATTATCTAAAGATATCTTTTTAGTAGGGAGAAAAATAGAGGCTGAAAGAGATCCTGGGTGAAATCATGGATGCTGTGTGACAGTCTTCAGATCATGGATCTCGTGAGGATAACAGCCAATATGTTGCATGCCTCAAATCCAATATCAGCCATTAGTGACTAGTAATTTGTTTTCAGCTAGAACACCACATATTCTATTGTGAAATATTATTTTAATAATTTTCTGTCATTCTTCAAGAGTCGTCAGCATCAGGCAGCATTAATTGTAGTATAGAAAAGGTAGAGCCATTGTACAATGTGGTGATTATAGTTTAAAACAATGTATAGTCATTCCTCTTTTATCCACAGGGGATAGGTTCCAAAATCCCCACTGGATGCCTGAAACCACAGATTATTCTAAACCCTATGTAAAATTTTTATTTTTATATACATACATATCTATGATAAAGTTGAATTTATAAAGTAGGCACAGGAAGAGACTAGTAATAACAATAATAAAATAGAACAATTATAACAACATTCTGTTCACAATTTAATGGGCAGAAAATTCATTTTTACCATAGATCGTAGAAAACTCAGCATGATTTCTTTTCTTTCCTTATTAAGTAGAGAACTTTCACCTTGTCACTTACAGGAGATGCCTAACAGTTTCTCTTTGACATATCTGAATTGTGCTTTAGGGACATCATTAAGTAAAATAAGGATTACTTGAACACAAGCACTGTGATACTGCCACAGTTGATCTGACAAGCAAGATGGCTACCAAGGGCTTAACACACGAATACCACATACAGCATGGATACACTGGACAAAGGGATAATCCCTGTCCCGGGAGGGACAGCATGAGATTTCATCACGCTACTCAGAAAACTTATTAATCGTTTAGTTCTTGAGTTTTCTATTTAATTTTTTTGACTGCAGTTTACTGCAGGTAACAAAAATCATGGAAAGAGAAACTGTAGATAAGGAGCATTACTTTAGTATATACTTGAAAATTGGTAAGAGAGTAGATTTTAAATGTTCTCAGCACAAAAATAAGATAAGTATGTGAGGTAATGGATATTTTAGTTTGATTTAGTCATTCCACAATGTGTGTGTGTGTATGAATATGTATCACAAAATTATGTTGTACACCATAACTATATATAATTTGTATTTGTCAATTAAAAAAATAAACATTTAAAGATAAATAAAGGAGACATTTGCTCACTATAAAAAAGAAAAAAAAACTTTGGGTACATCTAAGTCAATAAATGAAGTTGAAAATGTAGTATAGCTCTCTTATAAGATATGTAAAAGTAATACAGCCTCCAAATATACATTATCTATTTCCTTTTATTTTTCCGGGTCTGTTTTTCTGAAAGTTCTGTTACAAAGGCTGGTTGCTACAAAGTCCTCTTTCTAAATATGATGTATAGGTTTAATCCTGAATTTTAAGTGTAGAAAAAAGAGAAATACATATAAAGATAAAGAATAATAGCATGCAGATTAAAGTATATGACAAGCTATGTTTAGATTATTTGAATATCGTTCTGTGTGCCTTGGATCAACAACTTCTTGCAGTTGCCAACTTGTTACAAAGATTATGGGTTGAAGCTGTCACCTAAAGATTGTCCACTTCTAGAAGATTCTTTAAAATCCTCATTTTGAGGTTTCTAGTTGGAACAGTTTTCTAATTCTTTGAGGATGAATTCTCTTCTCCTAGTAAAGTATATCCAAGAAACAAGTGTACTTTTAGAGTTATGCTAACTAGTTACAGTACTTGATGAGATGTTTTCATTAGAGTTCAATAACCCTATCTGGTATCTCTTCCAGAAGACAAGATCTTAACATTTCAGACCATGTAAGCATTATTTAGGAGGATGTTGAAGAAATACTGTATGTATTGATGATGATTAGGTGCATTTTATGAGTTCTTTGCAGTATCAGAGGATGTCTGCTTGAATTTGACCAGAATGTAGAATCAGAGTAAATTTCTAGGTGTAAGAGGCAGTCTGATTTCAATTCAGAATGGAAGAACAAATAAGATCCTAAAAATAGGCAATTTCTTTGTCATTAAAAACAATGCCAATACTCTTTGGATTCCTATAATGTCTGAAAGCTTTGTTGATGTTTTAGCTTAAGAATTAATTGTTCCTTCTATCATTTCTGAAGATTGGGATAATATGGGCAGTAAAGTTTCTGAATAAGCAGCAAAGTGTTGAAAATCTTGTTAGTGACAGTCCCAGTAAAATGGGTATCTCTGTTACTGCAGAGATAGGTTGGAATTCCCAGAATGGGATAACAAAATCAAGTGGTATTTTTGCTAGTATCAGATCATAGCTCTTTCAAAGAAAAGCTTCAATCCATCACCAGAATTAGAAAACACTGACAAACATATTCAAAATCAGTTGTGGAGGATAGTAGGACAAAACTTACTTGGAGATGTCCCGAGACATTTTTCTATTTTTTAGCTATTTTTCATTTTTCTTCTTTATAATTTTACCAGGACTATGCTGCTGGCGATTGGTGAGATTTTCATCAGCGGCATCGTCAACAATTTGGGTCAAACGTTTCAGTAATGCTAGTTGACTACTGCAGCCAAATTGTCCTTGCTATAGTCAGTCAATGCTTTCATTAAAATTTTATGAAAGTTTCTATTCAAGATTCTCTGGTGCCAACAAACTCCTGAAAGGGCCAGAGATTATTCTCATGCAATTTGCAAGGATGTTTTTTTCTGGTATTTCTTTCTGACATTGGAATCAAAACTAGCTTTAAACCATTCAAAGTATTTGGCCTCTTGGACTGTCCTGAGAGCAAGGATTTTTCTCATGGTTTTCTACCTAAACAGCCATGAATTTTACTTTAACCTCTATGTTATTTACTTTTGTGTACATTGTTGACATTCCCAGTAAAATGCAAAAAAAAAAAAAAAGAATGTTTATCTGAAGGACACTAAAGAAGGTAGAACACAGATTTACAACTATAATGTAATGCAGAAGATAAAATAGTACTTTTATTCAAAACCACAAGAGTGGAATAACTATTTTATTATGTCCTTGAGGTGCTTCATACATCAATATCCTCTCCAGGTGACTTTCTTCCGTAGGAAGACAAAATTATTACACAGATAAGTGCAAGCTATGATGAGCTCCTACTTCTTTAGACTTTGAAATATTGGTTTCAGTGTTTCTTTAGTGTCTAGTTTTAGATGTGTTGTGCAAGCTTGTAGAAAGTTATGGTTGCAACAATCTGCACCATTATGGGTGCCTAATGGAGGAAGCATCTGATAGTTTTAATGTAAGGTCAGTAAAACATATTCTAGATCCATTTATGCTTTTGTCCAATGGCTCTTTCAAAATATTCATGGAGGTGTGAGAGATGTGGTTCTCATTGAGGTGTTTGCTTGCATATCATATTCTCCATTTAAAGCTGAAGATAATTTCCCTCATCAAAAAGACTGATCCTAAAGCTAGTTTCACATGTACTTTAGGATCGACTGCTTAATACTATCCAAAGACATTTAAATGCCTATGGCTGATATCTCCAATGGGCTCATTCTTCCTTTGCCTATAGGCCCAAATTTTATTCCAGACTATTTTCATAGAAGAGATTGGAGGTAGCCTTCAAAAAATCTTAGAGTTGTTAAAATGCATACTATTATCTCCAATGGGCTCATTCTTTCTTTACCTATAGGACAAAATTTGATTCAAGTCTATTTTCGTAGAAAAGACATTGGAGGTATCCTTGAGAAGATCTTAACCAGTATGTATAGCTAATTCCAGTGGTTTTTGATGTAATAAGTAGACTAGGGTAGTCCTCTGAGGACATGCTGAGGAACTTCCCACTCTACCTTTTCCATTTCATAGCTTGTACTTCTTGTACTTAAGGTCTCTACTACATTAAGCAAAAATTGGTATAGAGTATAAAGCTCTACATCTTCTTAGAACTAAATTATTCTGTGAATTTGTGAATTTCTTTCTTTCATGTCTTGGCTTTGGAAAGTTCTTTACAAGAATGAGACTAGGGCTTAAAATCAGCCCTAAGAAGCTACTCTAATTTGAAAGAGGCAATTGAGTTGTGAGGGTTTCTTGTAGAGCAGAAGGGAAAGGAAGTAGGTCAGAAGTGGGGGGGTCAGAGTGTGATGTAGGATCATAATGGAAGGAAAAGAAATGTGGAAGAAATCTAGTAGATTTGAAATGTGATTTAGGAAGATAAAAGAGAAAGATAGTTTCATGTTTTTTTCACATTTTTTCTTCTGACTTAGCTACACATTTTTTTACAGAAGTAATTTTGGAATCTGAATTTTTTTGGAAGCTTCCCCTAGTAATAAAAAATGATAAACATAAGAGGTTTGGAATTTTGCCCCTGTTTTGTTCTAAGGCACTTCTCAAATGAATAATTTTTTTCATAGCAGAAGCCCCTCCCCCCAAATATTCATTGTAATCCTTAATTATCTTTCAAGAAATTACGGTATTTAGAAAGACAAATACCTAATTAGTGTTATAGTATGGACACGTAAAAGAAGGTGAAGTCTGTCCCGGAGATGGCATAGACTGACAATCTGATAAATTCATAATTCTTCTCGTGTTCAGGAGTTTTCAAAAAGTTTCTTCCTGAACCAAACTGTCACAGAAGAATTTAGACAAGACTGTGGCAAGGTGTAAAAAGGCTTTGACAGATAGCCCAATGCAAACGTTTTCCATAACGCCTGTCTGACATGGCTTTCTGAATTTATCAGCCCTTAGAGTGAGCTTCAATGAATGGATTTATTAGGTCTATGTCCAATCTCTTCTCTAAGACCTTGGTCTTATAAGCTTATATCAGAGTATGACAAAGACCTTCCCACTCCATCCCCTAGAAAACTTAAAAACACAGCAGTGTATTACGAGTTAAAGACGGGACCCCTCCAAGGATGGGAATTTCAAACCTGGTTACAAAATCAACTAATTCCAATATGCATAGAATTGAAAGAAACTAAGCAGTTTGGAGCCTAGGAACCTGAAAAAAAAATCAGAGCTCAGACCCAGTCCAAAACTTAGCTCAGTACAGCAGTTGTAGAGGCTCCTGGGAGGATGTTCCAGGCACCTTCACAGAGAATGTTGTTTAGGATTGAGGATCTCGACCTGTGGTAGTGAGGGGGTTTCAAATGGAGCTACAAAACCTCCAGAATTACCAACTGTTGAATCCTCCAAAGACCAGGAAAAAAACAAAACAAAACAGGAAAACACTGATCAAGCAAAACTAAACTTTAAAGACTTACTGCAGTCAGAATACCACCTAACAGAGTCTTAACAGTATTTCAGTAACTGAATATTAGAAAAAAGTAGGTATAATCTCCTAGGGCCTGAGCTGGGCTTTTCTAAGGCAGATCTTTCAAATTTGAGAATTAATTGGCATTGACAGAATTTGTGACTTAATAACTTCAAATTGGTATATACAGCAAGATGAATTGAGTTTTGAGCAGCATACTACTAGCATTGATAAATAAACTATTTCAGTTGGCTCACTCTTATCTTCCAGGAATGAATATTTTCTGGGGAAAGCAACTAAGTTATTTTTGCTTGGCCTCAGTGTAACATAGAAACAGAAAAATTACCTGAACCCAATAGATGTATTTTTTAACACAAAGATAGGAATTCCTGTTGGTTTCAGTTCTTTGCATAAAGCATTGGTGTCCTCAACATATCAAATTTATTTCTCCCATTGTTTTTAATGTATTTTTCCCAGTTATCCATTAAAAATAGGTTATCTTTTCAGTGGTTACTAATATTGCCTTCCTTCCATCAATTACAATCATCCCATGCCTCTGATTTTATGAAAAGTTTCTTAACGGTAGAATTTAGGATTTGAGAAACATTTATTATTTTGAATGTCACTGAAAGCTCTACAAAGTGAAACCAAAGTAAAAATTGAGGATCTGAATCATAATTAATGGAGATTTAGCTCAAGTGTTTACCCAGATCCTTCCCCTAATCTCTGGATTTCAAGTGAACACAATTGCATAAATCCCTTTAATGGTCCATTTTTATGCTAAATGCTCTGCTTTCCTGCTTCTTTCCTACACGCCTACACTGCCACACCAAATTCATTCAAGACCAGGTCGCCCTATCTAAATCCCTCTTCCCCAACCATCAGGGCAGATTGGTTAAGAAGGTACAAAATATTAAAGAGATTGGGAACTTAGCTGATTTTATTTTCCTTCAGCTGGTGCCCAGAGTGATACATCATAAGATTCTTGGCTTTTCTGCCTTCTCTGCTTCTGAAAAACCCCAACTAATCTTTTCTAGATCCTGACAATCCTCAGGATCTCTAAGCAGCTTCCTCTCCCAAAGTGCAAACACCATAAACAGTAGTATCTCTTTATGCCTCAAGCAGAGGAATGCTTTCTGCCTGGATGACATTTTTTTAGTTGACCGTGATCTTAAGGAGACCATAAAACTCTTGGTTCCCCAAGGGTAAACCTTTGCTTTGAGCCATATCCATGTATCTCTTATTCAAGATGTTATTTCAACTTCCTTACTGGCAAAGAAGACTATGGTGTGTCACCTCTCCAAGAGACAAGAGAAAAACTGTCTTGCATGCCTAAACACTATGGTCAGTAACCTCTATTGGCCATTTAAACTTCTGAATACCTCACAACACAAATATGATTATTCTTACTATTTGATACTTGAGAAAATAGCACATTAGAATGTTAAAAAGCTACTTTTGGTCACATTGCTAGTGAGTAATATGGACAGAATTGGAAGGCTATGCTCTTTTTATTACACTGCTATGTCATCATTGGTAGAACTTTCATGAGTCCTTACCCTGCATAAGCATCATCATTATTATTTTTATTATTATCATCATCATCATCATCATCATTATCACTTATTCTTTCACTTCTCACAGTTATTCCCTAGGCTACTTTCTATTTAAGGAGGTAGGCAGACTTTCTCTCCATTTCCTTATTTGAGGATCACAATCTCTTTACTTCAAGATAATTTAATATTACTTTGAATCTGGGGGAAGTGGCATGTAAAGGACTAAGCTTTATTTATGTTGAGGGTGAGAGAGAGGGAAAACTTACAAGCCTAGGATCAACAAGACAAAGTTGGCATCTTCCACAGAAGGAGCACCAACCTTTTTTGTTGTTTTTGTTAATTAGTAGACTTTTTTGAGCAATCGTATGTTTATTTTAAAAACTGAGAAGAAAATAGAAGTTTCTGTATACACCTTCACCCTTCCCATTTCCTCTATTTTTTTTTTTTTTTTTTTTTTTTTTTGTTGGAGACGGAGTCTTGCTCTGTCACCCAGGCTGGAGTGCAGTGGCATGATCTCGGCTCACTGCAAGCTTCACCTCCCGGGTTCACGCCATTCTCCTGCCTCAGCCTCCCAAGTAGCTGGGACTACAGGTGCCCGCCACCACGCTCAGATAATTTTTTGTATTTTTAACACGGGGTTTCACCGTGTTAGCCAGGATGGTGTCGATCTCCTGACCTCATGATCTGCCCACCTTGGCCTCCCAAAGTGCTGGGATTACAGGCGTGAGCCACTGCACCCAGGCCCTTCCTCTATTATTGATATCTTGCATTACTGTGGTGCATTTGTTACGTTGCTAAATGAACCACTTGTTAATTGTGAAATGAGCCAATATCAATACATTATTGTTAATCAAAGTTCAGAGTTTATATAAGAGTTCACTCTGTATGTTGTATATTCTATGGATTTTGCAAACATACAATAACATGCGTCCACCATTGTAGTATCACACAGAATAGTTGCATTGCCCTAAGAAAAAAAAATTCCTGTGTTCCACCAATTTATCCTTCCCTTCCTCCCCATAATGCTCTGGTGACCATTGATCTATGTACTGTCTCCATAGTTTTACCTTTCCTAAAATGTCACATAATCAGAATCATACAGTACATTCATCTTTTATATTGGTTTCTTTCACTTAGCAATATACAGTGAAGGTTTCCTCACATTTTTTCATGGCTTGATAGCTCATTTCTTTTTAATACTGAATAATTTTCCATTGTATGAATGTACCACAGTTTATCTATTATTGATGTACCAGAGTTTATTTATTCTATTGAAGGATGTCTAGGTTGGTTCCAGGTTTTGACAATTTCTGTAGCCCTTTTTCTTCTCCTAACTCCATCAATTTCATGCTGCCCATCCTTCATTTACTGCCCCATCCAATATAATTGCCTCATTTCTCTCACACTGTCCAAATATCCTTTTACTTCCCTTAATCTCTGCTTCAGGAGGAAGATTCACTGAGTGCCATCTTCAAACTGCGCTTTGTACCTTTACAGAGCTGTTTCCATCTGAAATGCCTTCCTCCTCTAAAATCACGAAATGTGTATTTGTGCGTGTGTTTGTGTGGGTGATACTCAATATATATTTATAAAGCTTACCTACAATTTACATATTGTTTCTGAAAGACCAAATTTTCAATGAATTTTCTTGACAAGTGTATCTTCTTTTTTGTCATAGTCAAAGTCAAGGGATGTAGCCCGTTTTCTGCTGTGAAGCATTCCGTGATGTTGCCGACTAGCCAGGCATCTGAACATCAAATTATTAGCACGTTTTCTAGTCTCTGTTGCTCTCAGTAATAACACCAGCTCTTAACTTAATCTGCACTAGGACATAAATTTATTATGTTAGAATTTGCCCAACACTGTCCTAACTGCTATTTGTTTTAAACATGCCCAAAAGGCATGAGATTGGAAAGTTGATTATTATTACCTCATTTTTTTTTTTTTTTTGGATGAGAAAACAAGAACTCAAGAGATTGTGACTTTCTTACAAGGGAGGGAAGATAAGTATTAAACTAGATCCTGTAAACTCATGCTTACAGTTTTGTTTTTTTCTTAAACAAACCTGACCTCTGCTGCTTCTTAAAGAACCAAACCTGTGTTTGTATGTATTTATCATACCTACATTTTGTTAACCTTTTTTGCATGGTTAAGTCAGAATCTTTCCTGAACTCAAAATTGGCCAAAAAATAGTTTTGTTTCATGCAACCTCTATGTCAAAGTATGAACTCAAATCTGAGCTACTACAATTATTACTTCATATACACCAACACACACACACAAGGAAATGATGAGCATACTAAATCAAATACAATTTTATTTCCTAATGAAATGAGCTAAGCATAAATATGACAAAGTGTGCAGTGGAGAATAATTATCAGCCTTCCTTTATAGACAACATCAGGCTCGGCAAAGTCAATTTGAATATAAATGCAAAATATGTTGAGAACACATTTAGAGAAAAGCAATAATAGTTACTAAAATAGACTATTAAATTATCTTTTAATAACTTTATAATAGCAAATGTAATACTGTGAAAAAGCCCAAGATCTCTAATAAAATCAGGCGAGTCTGATTTGCAAAAATAAATAAGATTTAAATCAGGTTAAATTTTATAAGCAGTGCTATAAAGTGAATTTGTTCTGCTATAGTATCTGCTAGATAGGAGGAATAGTTTGAACAACTAAGTTCTTTCAAATTATCAAGTGTAAGAAATATGATAAGCATGAAAATACACTTAAAGCATGTATGTATAGATGATACTGGCAGTAGTAGTTGTATTACTGTATGTTGCCTATATTTAGATCTGATTTAGGATGTTCATGTGGTATAAATTTTAAAATATGGTTGATATTGAAAAAGGAGCATATTTGTATGAGTGTGTGTGGTTGTGTGTGTGTGTTTTACTATGCAGGATTTTAATATTTATAATATTTGGCATTGACTAGCAATATGGCTTTTTTTTTTTTTTTTGAGATGGAGTATCACTCTGTCGCCCAGGTTGGAGTGCAGTGCTACGAACTCGGCTCACTGCAATCTCCGCCTCCTGGGTTCAAGCAATTCTCCTGTCTCAGCCTCCCCAGTATCTGGGACTACAGGCACCCGCCACCATGCCCGGCTAATTTTTGTATCTTTAGTAGAGACGGGATTTCACCATATTGGTCAGGCTGGTCTCAAACTCCTGACCTCAGGTGATCTGCCCGCCTTGGCCTCCCAAAGTGCTGGGATCACAGGCTGAGCCACCGCACCCTGCCAAGATATCCTTTATGTGCCAGCAGCTAATATTTGGAGCTGATACTCTAAATACAATGTTTGAAAAGAAAAAACAAGAAAAGAAAAACAAATGTGCTCATTTAAGATTAGATTTGTGCTAAGAACATATGGATATATTGTGAGTATAAGTGATTATGGGCATAGATACAATTGTCTCACTTTGGAATATACTGTTCTAGAAAGGTGACTGTAGCAGATTGCAAGAATGACTCCAATTTGTCACTCCCTCCTAGTTTCATCTTTTACCACATACTTTGCAGCATCCTCCATGCTGTAAAGTAGAGGATGCAAAGTGGTGAGGGTTGGAGTGGGGAGGGTTGGAGTGGTGAGGGATGGAGTGGCGAGGATTGGAGTGGCGAGGGCTGGAGTGGCGAGGGATGGAGTGGCGTGGGTTGGAGTGGCGAGGGCTGGAGTGGCGAGGGATGGAGTGGCGTGGGTTGGAGTGGGGAGGGTTGGAGTGGGGAGAGCTGGAGTGGTGAGGGTTGGAGTGGTGAGGGATGGAGTGGTGAGGGTTGGAGTATTGAGGCTTGGAGTAGTGAGAGTTGGAGTGGTGAGGGTTGTAATTTCTTGATTCCGGGCTTAGCCAACTGACTTCCTCTGGCCAGTGAAATATTGGCAGATATAACACAAGTAGAAGTTTTAAAAAGGCTTGTAAGCCCAGGCTTGCTTGCACTTGCCCTGTGCTCTTGCTATGATAATATATATGCTTCGCTTTGCTTCCTGGTCCCAGAAAAAGATGAAAGTCATACAGAACAGAGCCAAATGGTCCCAGTTGCCCCAGATGAGGCCAGTCTACACTAGCCAACAGCCTCCAACCCAAAGATGTATGAGTGACCCCAGCTAAGATCAGCCAAACTTTGCCCTCATAACTAGAAAGCTATCATAATAAATGATTGTTGTTTCAAGCAGTGAGTTTTGGAGATGGCTTACACAGCAATAGCCAACTCACACAGTGATGATATGATCTCCCAGATCAAAATGTTATTCTGTAGACATGAAGAGAAAATGAAGCAGCTGACTCTGGGAAATGAAAGGAAAAACAAAGCTGTTCTGAGAATGTTTTTTGGGGATTCTGTCCCTCATGGGTTTGCAGTAAAAATGATCATGCTACAAATACTGAGAGTAGTTTTGTCCCACAGTTTATAAGTTACACTGCACACTCATATTAATTTTTTCATGTGAAGGTCAAAAAATACTTAGTAGATGGGGCACATATTTCCATATACTTTTTCATAAGTAGATGCACTCCCATAGAGCTAAATGCAGGGCTTGTCAACTCTAGTGCCTTTCCCCATTTCTGACTTGCCCTGCTACATTTTCATACAATAGAGTGTCACTAAGGAGAGCAGAGCAGATAACCCAAGTGACAATGACAAATCACACAGTGCTATCACACAATAGTAGGAAAAAAAATGTTGCATTTCTGAAGACTGGACAAAGTGAACTCGTCCAAGTTCATAGCACAAGCAAAACTCACTTTTTAAGAGTCACTTGGAAATCATTTTCCAACATAAACACTGAGCATCATCCTGAATGCTATCCTAAACCAGGTTCCCCAGGCACTGTGTGCTTTATGCCCCTCTAAATGCAATTTATGGTTGCAAAAAAATCTGGAGTCAAGTAGTTAACAAGGTCTCTGAGTGTTAATATAATAGCCCTTGCTAGGCCAGGTGCGGTGGCTCACACCTGTAATCCCAAAACTTTGGGAGGCTGAGGCAGGCAGATCACCTGAGGTCAGGAGTTCCAGACCAGCCTGCCAACATGGAGAAACCCCATCTGTACTAAAACTACAAAATTAGCTGGTCGTGGTGGCAGGTGCCTGTAATCCCAGCTACTCAGGAGGCTGAGGCAGGAGAATCGCTTGAACCTGGGAGGCGGAGGTTGCAGTGAGCCAAGATTGTGCCAGCCTGGGCAACAAGAGCAAAACTCCATCAAAAAAAAAAAAAAAAAGAAAGCCCTTGCTATAGCTTTTCTGTTGTTGTAGAAAGTCTCATCAATATTCTATCAGTAACTTACTGCCAAGTCATTTTTACCTATAGCAGCAAGTCAGTCCAAATGACTCCAGGAAGTTTCCCTTGTGTGAAAGTCAATGAATCTATCTCCACTTCTTGGAGACAGGAACCAGTCAGAATAATAAAAAATAAAAGCAAAAATAAAATCTTCCAAAAAAGTTGTAGGCAAAATAAAACAATAAGGATCCCAAAAACAAATGGAATCCCAAATAAATACATAAATATTTCTTAAGAAATAATTAATTTTAAACATTAAAAAAGGAAATAAGGCCGGGTGTGGTGGCTCACTCCTGTAATCCCAGCACTTTGGGAGGCTGAGGTGGGCAGATCATGAGGTCAGGAGTTCGAGACAAGCCTGACCAACATGGTGAAACCCTGTCTCTACCAAAAATACAAAAATTAGCCAGGCATGGTGGTAGGCACCTGTAATCCCAGCTACTCAGGAGGCTGAGGCAGGAGAATCGCTTGAACCTGGGAGGTGTGCACTCCAACCTAGGCAACAGAGTGAGACTCCGTCAAAAAAAAAAAACGAAAAAAGAAAAGAGAAAGAAAAAAAAAGAAAAACAACAAAACCTAAAAAAATTAAAAGGAGGGAATTAAATGTATATGTCTCTTCTTTTGCCAGGTAATCCATTCATCAAATATGTATGAATTTTGAGGTAGATAATTTTGTGTAATTTTCTCAGTGTTTTCTTTTTTTGAAAACAGAATCAGCTGTGTGCTGAATATTTTTGTGTAATACATATTTTACCTTTGAGTATGGGCTATTTGATTATTATTCAAGTATAATTGAAACAACCTCATTGTCTGTGGTAAATACCAAGGTTCTTGGCCTCACAGCCAAGGAGATCGAGGTCACGGACACACACAGGCAGAGTGAGTTTTGGAGCAGGAGTTTAGTAAGCAAAAGGAAAGAACAGCTCTTCATTACAGAGAGGGATCTGGAGCGGGGTTGCTGGGTGGTAGAAAAAATATCAGGGGTTTCATAAATGGGCTAGGGAGAGGGGGCTGTTGAGAAGGGGATGTCTTAAGAATAATTCCCTCAATAAACGGCTTCTTCTCCCTCAAACCCAAAGAATAGGAAGCTATCCAGGAGAGAACTGGCAATTAGTCCACCCACATGCCGAAGACAAAGCGCATCCAATACTTCCTAGCGTGGGTAGATATTTTCACTAATTGGGTAGAAGCATTTCCATGCCGTACAGAAAGCGCCTCTGAAGTAATAAAAGTGCTAGTTAATGAAATATCTCCCCGCTTTGGCCTACCTAAGTATCTCCGAAGCGACAACGGCCCCTCATTTAAAGCAGCTGTCATCCAGGAGGTCTCAAAGGCACTAGGCATACAGTGCCATCTCCATTGTGCTTGGAGGCCCCGGTCCTCAGGAAAGGCAGAGAAAACAAACATTATCAAAAGACACCTCAGAAAACTGTCCCAGGAAACTCAACTTCCTTGAGTCATTCTTCTTCCCATAGCTTTACTACGAGTAAGAAATACCCCTTCAAAGTTAGGCCTGAGCCCTCTCGATATACTGTAGGGATGGCCTTTCCTTACAAATGACTTCCTATTAGATCAGGAAACCTCCGAATTAGTTAAGCACGTAACCTCCCTGGCTCATTTCCAACAGGAATTAACACAACTAGCAGAGGCCCAACACAAGGAAACAGGACCACCTCTATTTAACCCAGGAGATTTGGTACTGGTGAAGTCTCTTCCTTCTCTCTCCTGTCTTTAAACCCGAGTTGGGAGGGGCCTTAAACCGTTCTTCTCTCCACCCTCTTGACAATAAAAGTTACCTGAATCTACTCCTGGATACATCACACTTGAGTTAAAGCTTGGAAAACTGAGGGAAAAGTCCCTGACAGCCCAGAAAAACGCCCTGAATATCACTGTGAACAAATAGAGGATCTCAAGCTGAGAACAACCAAAGATAAGTAAATGAATGAGGGCTACTCATTCCACATAGCCCCCTCTTTGCCTTACCAAATCCTCTCAGTTATTTCCACCTTTCCCCTTGAACTTCGCCGCCAGACATTACAACTCTTCTTTGATGCATACTTGCAGGGAGATTTTGACTATCCTTGGGAGTACGTTTGTAAGTTCATAGACCTACAAGGGGAAATTGTATATTCTGGCAAATGGTAAATAAATTTTGGATGGAAATAGCTTACTACATTATAATTGCAGGAATTGCTATACTTACTCTGCTGTTTGCAGTGGGACTATATACCATGATACACAGTGGAATTCTGGACACAGAATTGTACTTGCTGTAATCTTCTGCCTAACTATCACCTTTATAACAGGTCTAATAATTACAGAAAAAAAAGACAAATATGAAGTTCTTGCTACTGAAACTTTTCTTCCTCCTCCTGATAGAGCAGGTCAATCCCCTAAACCCTATAGCCCAACAAATCCAACACCTCGCCTTGGCAGTCAACCTAACTTCATGTTATATTTGTACTTCAGACTCGCTGTCAGCGGAAGTATTACCACTATCATTGGAGGATTTAGCCAAAGTTAACACTCCAGTTACCCTCGCTGCTCAGTCCAATGCAACTTATCCTGATAAGCAAGTCAAGAATATATTTCTCCCAATCATCTCACAAGTTATAAAGGATGGCCACCCAGACCTGAATTTTACAGAAACCCCACCTCCTATAAAAGTCTTTCACAATGTAGATTCAAGGCTCACATTTCCTATTTATTTCATGTCCCAAAGGAAAAAAGGAACTTTCCTGAGAACCTTGTCCAACTGCTCATATGAAGTCTTTCTTAGCTGGACAGCTCAGGAAAGGTCATGTGACTCCTCAGAAAAGAGACTCAAATAGTACCTTAAAGTAAGAAAGCAGCACCAGTTCCTTCTCCTTAAATATCCAAATTCAAGGCAACCTCAATTTACTAGTAACACCAACACTTCTCACATTTCTACGGGTTGGTACTCAGTGTTGATAGATAACTCGCCTTTACCCCTAACCCAAACTTTAGCCTGGGTAGTGCAGAGAATGTTTTTAAATTTCCACCCCAATCATATATTCACCCCCAGCATTTGAGCAGAATTTGCCTCAATATGGGAGGACCTCAGTGGGAACTACTTAAGTACACAAGACCCCCCCATGTAGAGCTGAACTTTTGGGGATACAAAGTGTCTCTAGATCTCAAACGAGAGCTATGCTTCATATGTGGAAATTTGGGGTATATGAGCCCACCAAGTCACTGGAGGAGAACCTGTGGTGTTGCAGCAATACTTTCAAAACTATCCTATGCCAATACTTCCATACAATTCCCATTCCTTATGAAACACCCATATTGTAGTAAAAAAGGCAGCTCACGTAATTCTACTCAGGCAGCTCATGTAATTCTACTCCCTTTAGCAGCTGTTGTAACTGGACTCCTAGGAACCACTGTTCAGTCCGTCTCCCGAAGGTAAATGGGATTACATTTATCCTTTCAGCAAACCCAAGCTCTAGCTGAAATTACGGCTGGCAATCAGGCATGGTGGCTCACGCCTGTAATCCCAGCACTTTGGGAGGCCGAGGCAGGCGGATAACGAGGTCAGAAGTTCAAGACCAGCCTGGCCAATATGGTGAAACCCCATTTCTACCAAAAAAATACAAAAAGTGGCCGGGCATGGTGGCACACACCTGTAATCCCAGCTACTCGGAAGGCTGAGGCAGGAGAATCGCTTGAACCTGGGAGGCAGAGGTTGCAGTGAGCTGAGATCACACCACTGCACTCCAGCCTGGGTGACACAGTAAGACTTCATCTTGAAAAAAAAAAAAAAGGAAAAGAAATTACAGCTGCCATTCAAGAACAGCAATGGCAAATAAACTCACTTGCAGGTATCACCCTGCAAAACCGTATGGGACAGAACCTCCTAATGGCAAGTCAGAGAGGAATATGTGTTTTCCTTAAGGAAGAGTGTTGCTCCTATATTAATGCTTCTGGTAAAGTACAGCAACATCTAGTAGAGGCAACCAATATTATCACCCACGTGCCACAGCACAACCCATCTACATGGCTCACAGGCATCAAACAAACTCTGATGTCATGGTTGTGGTCTATAGTGCCCGCACTAATAATGGTAATCTTAATTAATACTCATATTTAGACCCTATATGCTGAACCTCCTTGTAAAGTTCATCTCTTCTTGCCTAGAAACCATCTAGTTTCAAATGGTGCTGCAAATGGAGCTGAAAATGAAACTGTCCTTCTAAAATGAAACCGCCCTTCTACCGGGGACCCTTAAATTGATCCCTGGAGGAGCCCTAATTGCTGGTCCCCACACAATACCCCTCTCCAGCAGGAAGTGGCCAGAAGAAGTCGTCACCCAATTCCCCCTAACAGCAGTTAGGGATCCCATTGCAGAGGGGAGAAATATGTTATAGGAGACAAAAAGAAATTATTTAGGTAGACAGGGTAAAGCGAGTCCCCGGCAGGAAACTTTCCTTTTAACAAAAAGCAGCTCAAACAGAGCTCCCTTTCTAACCTCATGCAGTTCAAGGATGCCACTTCTCTTCTAACAACAAGCAGCCTGAAAGAGCAGACAACAAAACACAGATAAGACAGCTGGGGCACAGAAGGAGGGGGGAAGGTCTCCTGGATAATCACCAAACTTCACATTTATACCATGGGTCCCAGTAAAACAGTGGGCTGTAATAAGCACATTCCTTTCCCTTTAGGTGCACTAAGATAGGGAAGCTAAAAGCAGATTTGGAGGTATGCCTGCAGCTGCAGGAAGACGTATGGGAACAGACAGAAACTCTCCCTCCCACGTAAGCAAGACAAAGAGACACAGACTAAAAGTTGGCCTATGTGGTCCGGGAATGGAGTGGGAACTGATAAAACAAACAAACAAACAAACAAAAACTCTGCTCTATACAGATAGCATACCTGGCTCAACTGAACCTTTGGGCACCCAGGAGGATAAGACACCCCCTTCTCAACAGCCCCCTTCTCACTAGACCATTTATAAAAACCCTGGCATTTTTACTGCCACCCAGCAACCCACTCAGGACCCCTCTCTGTAACGGAAAGCTGTTCTTTCCTTTTGCCTGTTAAACTCCTGCTCCGAACTCACTGTGTCTGTGTGTGTGTCCATGACCTCTGTCTCCTTCACTGTGAGACCAAAAACCTTGGTAGTATTTACCCCAGACGACGAAGCTGCTTTATAATTATGTTCTTGTAAAGCATTTCTGAAAATGTTATTGCTCCAAATTGTAAAATTGCAAGTTTAATATTAAAAGAAAATAAAACAAAAATTACGTTTTTTCTAATGCCTTCAACTCCTAAATAACCTGAATCGAAGTTACCAGGGAGGTTTTTAGTATTATTAAATACTAGATACTGCCAATTAAAATGAATCCTATATTGCTATATAAAATGAACTTCTGCTGTTTTTTAATATTCTTTGGACAATAATCCACCCATGGCACATTTCAAAAAGTAACTCTGACATAAAAATAGGAAAGTTCTCTACCAGAACATAAAGTTACATCTCTCTTTGATAACAGACTACTTGTAGATTTAGTTTTGTTTTGTTTTTTGTTTCTTTTATACTTCAAGTTCTGGGGTACATGTGCACAATGTGCAGGTTTGTTACATAGGTATACATGTGCCATGTTGGTTTGCTGCATCCATCAACTCGTCATTTACATTATGTATTTCTCCCAATGCTATCCCTCCCCTAGTCCCCCACCCCTGACAGGCCCCGGTGTGTGATGTTCCCCTCCCTGTGTCCAGGCGTTCTCATTGTTAAACTCCCACTTATGAGTGAGAACATGCTTGGTTTTCTGTCCTTGTGATAGTTTGCTGAGAATGATGGTTTCCAGCTTCATCCATGTCCCTGCAAAGGACATGAACTCATCCTTTTTTATGGCTGCATAGTATTCCATGGTGTGTATGTGCCACATTTTCTTTATCCAGTCTATTATTGATGGATATTTGGGTTGGTTCCAAGTCTTTGCTATTGTGAATAGTGCCACAGTAAACATACGTGTGCATGTGTCTTTATAGTAGCATGATTTATAAATCCTTTGGGTATATACCCAGTAATGGGATTGCTGGAAGAAAGAAGGGGGATCAATAGGGAAAAGTTCAATCCTAATACATGTAATCCTTTAGTCAATTACATGTATGTGGCTAAGGACAACTTGGTTCTTTTGAGTGGCAGAGCAATATTATATCACCTAACAATTGAATGACACACAATGGATAAAACATGTGTGATATATATACATACATCTAAAATCACTTTTCCTCCCAGAAAGGGAAAAAGTTACAAGTCACATAAATACAAAAATGCATTTATTTCAGAGACTTTTAAAACATTTATCCTAAAGACAAAAAAAAAAAAAAACCACACAAATACCTGAAACAATCATATAGATCTCAACCCCTCCCAGACAATGACAACACCTAAAATTGTTTCATGATTGAAGTTACCTGTCATTGGCGGGGCGCGGTGGCTCACGCCTGTAATCCCAGCACTTTGGGAGACCACGGCAGGCGGATCACGAAGTCAGGAGATCAAGGCCATCCTGGCTAACACGGTGAAACCCCATCTCTACTAAAAAAATACAAAAAAATTAGCTGGGCGTGGTGGCGGGCACCTGTAGTCCCAGCTACTCTGGAGGCTGAGGCAGGAGAATGGCGTGAACCCCGGAGGCGGAGCTTGCAGTGAGCCGAGATCGCACCGCTGCACTCCAGCCTGGGCGACAGAGCGAGACTGTGTCTCAAATAAATAAATAAATAAATAAATAAATAAATAAATAAAAATAAGTTACCTGTCATCTGAATGTTATATATCTATGTTATACATTTACTATATTTTGTATTCGTGTTTAATCATGAACACATTCTACTAAATATGAGAAAGATTCTGTATGATTCTGGATCCTGCCCTAAGAACAGTGTATCCTCAAATAACAGTCCTGCTTGTGCACTTATCTTCTCACTCTGTAGCCATTTCTAATAAAGCCACTAACTTTGCTCTTTAGATTAGAATTTACCCACATGATTCTTGAGATCAGTGCTACCTATAGTTCACCTAGGAATGTTCCATCCTTAGTCATCCAGGAAAGTCCATAAAAACTGTCAATTAACAGTTTAGTCACAATGTGATACCAAAAAATCCCATCATTAGAAACCAATTTGCAAGGTGGGCTCTGATTTTCCTACTCAAAAATGACAGGCAAAAAAAAAAAATTTACTTTAATTATTTTCGGACTAGGATCTGAGGTGAGAAATCACCTCTGTACTTTTGCCCAGGATCATCTGGAGATAGAAACCACAAGGAAAGCAGAAACTTCCCCCACCATCCCTCCACCACAAGTCCTATGGTCTGTTTTAACCAGACCAGCCAGCCCTGTTTTACTCTATCTGAGTAAAGTTGTGTTTAAAGAAAATAATTCATTGGTTAAAAAAATAAATAAAATGACTAACTTAGTTCAAGTCTTAATATTAAATATTAAGCTTAGTTCAGTTCTGAACATTAAAATATTAGGCTTCCCCCACCATCCCTCCACCACAAGTCCTATGGTCTGTTTTAACCAAACCAGCCAGCCCTGTTTTACTCTATCTGAGTAAAGTTGTGTTTAAAAAAAATAATTCATTGGTTAAAAAAATAAATAAAATGACTAACTTAGTTCAAGTCTTAATATTAAATATTAACCTTAGTTCAATTCTTAATATTAAAATATTAGGCTTAGAATGGTTATAAATATATAAACCTTTTATCACTGGAGAATGAAAATTAAAGAAGTAACACAATTTTTCCTGATTAAATTTATAAAAATTATCTTGTTTGAATGTCTAATCTTCTACTTCCGTTTCTAAGTATAAATTTTACATAGACACCTATAGAATTCAATCAATTAAAATTTAAATTAAAAAATATAGGCTACTTTATGGTTTTGTTTGGTGATTTAATTACTTCAGTCAGTATTTATTAACTTGGCTTTTATTTCACCATATCAATATTTACCAGCTGAGTTTTAACTTCGGTTATATAAGTATCTATAATACATTTAAAATATTCGCTAGAATAGAGTGGTATAGTGGACACTGAAGACTCAGAAGAGGACGAGGGTGATGAGTAAGGAATGAAAAAATACCTATTGGGTACAATGTGCACCATTTGGGTGTCAGATACGCTCAAAGCTCAGACTTTATCACTGTATAATTCTTTCAGGTAACCAAAAACCACTTGTACCCCTAAAACTATTAAAATGTGTTTTAAAGTATATCATAAATACAAAAAAAATAATAAAATAAAATATTCTCTAGGTATAAAATGTTCAATAAAGTGTTAGAATTAGGGTAAAACAGACAAAAATGGAAATGGGCAAATTGTAAAGATCAGACAGACTCATCAGAGAACAGTAGGTGGCTAGGACATACTGAAGAAAGAGGCGTAACAGTAAAATTTTGAAAGTCAAAATCCAACATAGATTGGCAAGTCAATTCTCACATTTTTGATGAAAAGAGAAATAATTACCATGGCAGTACAATAGTAAAACAATGTCGATGAGTGCTTAGTGGGATCTTGCCAAAGTTAAAGTGTAGCTCCGTATTTTTATTTTTCTGTTTTCAACTTTATAGTGGCTTTATATGAAACTTAAAACGCAGAGTCCTTGACCAATTTCTGCATGGCCCTACTTTTCTGACATCATTGCACTCTTTTTTTTTCTTTTTTTTCTTTTTTCTTTTTTTTGGCACATATATAGTTTGCTTTCATACTAGAATGTAAGTTCCCTGAGGCAGGGACTCACGCACTCCTGGCTTGTTCGCTCCCTCTGTCCCCAGCCTGACACCTAAGTGTCTTTAAAAATGTTCGTTGACTATCAACATAATTGACTGGCTATTGGAATCATGCAGCACTGGAAAGCCAAGTTATAGGATGATTGATTTATCGAGCATTTACTCAGAGAATGGAGGCTGGACAGTCTGAGGTATATTTTTTTAGTTCACTCTTTTTAGCAAATAATTTTTGAACTTATGCTTTTTACTTACCCATTTATTTCTTCATTTACAAAACATAGGATGAGAACTTATCATGTGCTAGGAACTATTTTAGGTGCTGAGAGTAAATATTTTAATCACAACAGATAAGAACTCTCTTCTCATAGACTTGGTATTTATTTTTGTTTTCTGTCCTTTTCTTTTTCCTCTTTATTTTATTTTTTGGCATGTAGAGAAAGAATCTATCTTTGCAGAGTGGAAAGTGCCAGGAAGAAACTAAAACTAATTAATATTATAGAGACTGACTTACCCTTCTCACTCCAATGCTGAGTGGCATCTCAAGGAAGTAACATTTGAATCGAATTTCAAGACAAGAAGGAACCAGCTAAGAAATTATTTGTCAGGAAAATGTTCCAAGTGGTAACACAGCTGGTGACAAGGCCCTAAGGCAACAGCAAATGTGGAATAATCAAGGAAGAGAGGAATACTAGTTGAAATGTAGAATGGGCACTGGGGAGAAAGTTGTGAGATGAGCTGGGGAGGAAAGAGTGATTTATATGCCCTGGTCAGACATTTCAAGTTCATTCTACATGAAATGAAACACCACTGGAGCATTTTAAGTGGAAGAATGATGTAATACAGATTGCATTTTAAAAGATAATTTTGTTGCTAGGTAAGGAGTTGATATGGTTTGGCTATGTCCCCAACCAAATCTCATCTTGAATTGTAGCTCCCATGATTCCCATATGTTATGGGAGGGACCTGGTAGGAGATCATTGAATTATGGGGGCAGTTCCTCCATACTGTCTCATGAATAAGACTCAGTGAGTAAGTCTCATGAGATCTGAAGGTTTTATAAGGGAAACCCCTTTCACTATGCTCTCATTCCCTCTTGCCCACCACCACATCAGAAGTCCCAATGCTCTCCCTTCGTCTTCCGCCATGATTGTGAGGCCTCCCAAGCCATGTGGAGCTGTGAATCAATTAAAGCTGTTTCTTTTATAAATTACCCAGTCTCAGGGATGTCTGCAGCATGAGACCAGACTAATACAAGAGTAGACTGAGGGGAGGCAAGAGTAGAAGCAGGTAGAAAATACTAAGGCACCATGTTATTCGTTAGGACTAAGATGGAACGATTAGTGACCTACCTGCACAAAACCTACAATCTCTATGAAAAACACAACACTCTGCTCATTCTAGAAGTCTGTCACTTTAAAAACTAAAAGTGGCCTCTAGATTTTGAGAAAATTCACCTGTGGCCATGCTTAAGGCCATAACATCTTCTCAAAATTTAGCTCTTATTTCAGGAAATAAAGTAATACATTCCTAGAATTTTCATGTAACAGGTAAAAAAAAAAATCCTGCTTTAAATTTCACTCCAATACTATAGTTGTTTTTTTCCCAAATTTCTCAATTCTTACATATATATTGGTAATATTTATTTCCTTTTCGCTAGTCTTTGCACTTAAACAAAATTTATTCTGAATTGTTATATTTAAAAATATTTACTGGGCTCACTTTTGCATTAAAAAACAATTATTACTACACACAATAAATAATGCCTGTGGACTTTTATATACTATAAAAGACAGAATTAGTTAAAATTGCTACAAAACAAAGTCCTGAATACTTTTAATTATGTAAAACTCAGATTCTTACAATTAAGAACACTAGGTTCCCACAGAAAATGTAAGGCAATGGAATTTAAACATACGAAGAGAGAGCAAGAGAGGGATTAGCCCCATTGGACATTAAGAAAAGAAAAAAAAAGCTCTATTGGACTTTAAGAAAAAATAAAAACAAAGGATCAACTAGGTCTTCCATGGTGGCTGGGGGAAAACCTATTTTTTTAAGGAAATGTCTGAAAGCGTATGCCTAATGCCAACACTTTTCAGAGATATCAATGAAAAGAATAGAGAAGATTTTTAGTTTCATGATATCAATGTATGAGAAAATTACAAGAGTAAAAGGGAAAATCATCTTCTCTCTCTTAGAAGAGTTGCACAATGTATAAATGGCTAAAACAATGACCTAGGAAAGAGTTTTCAAGAGAGGAACTATTGAACTTTTGAAGTTACTTTCTGATTATTATATCTTTATGACCAAAAATGTTGTGTTTAGAGAGCTATACTGTCAAATACATAATCCAGTACTAAAAGAATGGCTGTATTCCCAGAGTAGCAAAGAATCATAATATCAAAGGAGAGTAAAGATAATTCTCTTCAAGTAATAAAGTGAATTTAGATAAGCAACCAATTAGAAACAATTTTTTAAATTTATCTTTTTGACTTCAGGTTAACCTCCCTGTATATTTATTTTACCTGAGAAAAAAAATTAACATTCATTGCCACATAAAAGCACAACTAAAATACAGTTGGAAACAGTGTGCTTTTGACAAAAGAACTATATCACTGAGTTCTAAAGACAACATTTTTCTCAAGTATGTCAAACACATGTAATTATATTTTCATGTTTTCACATTCATAGTCAAATTATTTAGATAACTTATTTCAATAAAATATCTTCTTTTGGTAATATTGTGCTCTGTAAATGGAGAGGAAAATAACCTATATCTACTCCAATTTTTTTCCCTTACAGAATTATTTTCCACATAATGCCACGTTCTACCTTCTAAGCACCAAATAAAGGAAAATTGATATGTGGCTTTCAGCTGCCTGTATCAAATATAAATGTAGGCAAATGAAAGAGATATGTTTAAGAAATGTGTAGATCATTTATATGTTATGAAACAACTTTGAAATATTTTTGATGTTTTATTTTGCGGCAATAATTGTCACAAAATAGGACCAAATGTGTCTGTTTAAGAAAAAAAAAAAATCAAGGACCAATGTAGAAGGGAAACCGTGCTCAGGCATAGAACGACAATATCCAGGAGACTCAGGTTATTGAAGGAGAAAACGTTAAAGAGAAATTTGGGCTTCAGAGACTGTAAATGCCACATGCTATTAAACTATAAAGATTGCTTTCTGAAACTGTTTATTCCTGAAAGTGAGTGGGGAAATCTTATGGCTAAAAGAAACAGAATAGAATGAGTTTCCAGTGTGTCTTGGGATTCAGTGTTTACTTTTCACCTTATTTGCTCAGAGTAGAAGATGAAAATAGGGAGAGAAAATACAAGTTTGGCTCAGAGATCCAAAACTGAAAAGAGGAGGTGGCAAGTTTAGCTAGAAAGGTCAAAGTCCTGCCGGAAGTTTGCTTTCATGTTCACTGGAGCCGAGTTGGTTCTTTTTACATGAGAAATCCCTTCAAGCCACAAAATTGTGAGATACTGGAAGGAAAGTGTATTTATTAGTCCATTCTCATGCTGCTATGAAGAAATACCCAAGACTGGGTAATTTTTAAAGGAAAGAGAAATCAAATTCATATGTTTCATGATCAAACTCATAATCACAGTGCACCATCAATCACTTAATAATAAAAATGTAGATTGTCTTTCCTTAATTGAGTAGAAGGCAATTAGAACTTAGCACAAACCACTATCCCTCCCACCCATTCCCCAAAACACAGAATGGTGAAAAAGCATGAAATTATTTCTCCCTGATGAAGACAACTGCCTTCTCCATTCTGAAAATAATTTCAAGTACCTCAACTGAGACACAATCTATTTCTAGTTCTCATGTATATTTGTGTGAGATGGTACAACCTCTTGAATGTCATGTATTTTGTTCTGCATGTGGTCATTCTTCAAGCTTGACTATTAGATATTTTGCTCTTTTATTTCTCTCCTGTCCTTGATGAGATCTTTTTTGCCCTAATGATTCTAAAATTCACATCTCTGCCCTACCTTTTTTTGTTGCTGTTCATTTAGATTTATTTTGATTCAAAGTTCTACTTTATATTGCTTCCCATTTTACAAAAACACTATACGTGAATAAAGAAAATCATTACTTCTGGCTCTAAACCATGACCTATCTCTGGCTTCTCCCATACTACAAATGGTAGCACAATTAACCCTTTAACCAATTTCCAAAGATGACGGTAGAAAAAGAAGCTAATTCTTCATTTCCAATTTTCAAGTTTGTAATGATATATCTCACAGCTTCAGTCTAGATCCTCAATCTTAGTGCATCACAAAAGCAGTAACACTTGCTTTCTTGTTTTAAAATGAAATCATCATACATTGACCACACTGATCACCATTTCCCCTTTAGGCCCTAGTTGTTATAACTTGAACTAAATGTTAACTGTAAGCTACAATACTCTCACCTACCAGCTTTGTCAGCTCTTTCCCAACTTTTCTAATTTGTGTTAATTTGGCAAGCTGTTTTCACAATTTGAATTTTACTATTATATAACCTGCCTATAATTTTGTCTTCATTCCTTGAAAATGCTATTTTAAGTCTCACATTCTTCGCCATGTATTCTGTGCAAAAAGTTCTACTTGATTCTAGGTCATTGCAGCACTCTGGCATCTCACATTTATTTAAAGAGAGAAAGCTAGCTAAATATGTGACTTTGGCTGGGTGTGGTGGCTCAACCTGTACTCCCAACCCTTTGGGAGGCCAAGGCAGGCGGATCACCTGAGGTCAGGAGTTCCAGACCAGCCTGGCCAACATGGTGAAACCCCGTCTCTACTAAAAATACAATATTAGCTGGGTGTGGCGGCATGTGCCTGTAGTCCCAGGTACTCGGGAGCTGAGGCAGGAGAAGTATTTGAACCCGGAGAGGGGGGGGGGGTGGAGGTTGCACCTCCATGTTTTTCATTTAAGTTATTTAGCTATATTCTTAAAGAATATTCTTTGTTCTTTAAGAATATTCTTTGACTTTTCTAAATATTTCATACGATAGTTTTATGGGTGAGAGTTTTAAAATAAAATCTATCACAATAAAATAAATTTATTTTTATTTTAAACTCTGAACAATTTTCCAAATACTTGAGGCAGAAAGTTTTCTCTCTCCACATTGACTCTCCATACAATAAGTACATGTAATTTATTCTAGTGAAAAGATTCCTACTCAACATTGGAGATCAATATGCCTTTACTGAAACCATTCAAGCATTCAAAAAATATTCATTGTCCAACACCTGTACCCAACTAGGATCATTAACTCAGACTGGTTAAGGAAAGACAAATAAAACAAGTCATGTATTCCCCTGCCTTCATAGAGTTCATGTTATGAAGGGGCAGACAGAAAGCAGATAGTAAAAACATAAATAATGTTTATAATTGGCTGAAATGCATAACACCCTGACTCATATGTTAAAACCCTAATCCTCAGTACCTTAGTGTGTGCTGTATTTGGAGACAAGACCTTAACAGAGGGGATTAAGTTAAAATGAAGCCATTATGGTAGGTCCTAATCCCATCTGACTATTGCCCTTTCCAAGAAAAGGAAATTGGACATGTGAAGAGGCATTAAGGGTGCCCATGCCCAGAGGGCCAACCATGAGGAGAGACACAACATGGTGGCCATCCACAAGTCAAGGAGAGAAGCTTCAGGAGAAACCAACCCTGCTGGCACTTTGATCTTGGACTTCCAGCCTGCAGAGCTGTAAGGAAGTAAATATCTGTTGTTTAAGCCATCCAATATGTGACATTTTGTTATAGTCGCCCTAGCAAATAAATATAGCACCAAACAGTGATACATCCTACAAAAAACAGAAAAGAAGGGATGGATGTGATCTGACTTTAGAGGTTGTAGAAGTCTCTTTGAGGAGCTGACATTTGAGTTGAGACATGAATTTTAAAAAGAATTTTTGAGGAAGCTGACATTTGAGCTGCTAAGTGAATTACGAGATCATTTGGGTGAAGATAAACTATAAAGTGCAAAGTCCCTACGGCGAGACAAGCTTGGCTTGCTCTGACAGCGAAAAGGCCAGGGTGAGTGGAGTTAGTGAGCATGGGGGAAATTGTGGTCTAAGATGAGGAAAAATCAAAAACAGTCCAGCTGTCACTGGGTCTTGTAGGCAGGGAGAGGAGTTTATGTTGTCACTCTGAGATGAGTCATTGAAAGATATTAAGCAATCCTTTTAAGTCTGGTTTAAATTTAAGTGAAAAAATTAAAAAAGCACGCAGAGACGGCTTCCTTTTCTAAATATCCCCCAGGTATGATTTTGCTCTCATCCTGCTCAAAACGGAGTAGCCATCTTTAAAAAACAAACAAACAAACAAAAAAAACATTTGAATTTCTAATATTGTGCACAAAACTTTCAAATAAAAACAGCTTTACTGTGCTTTACTATATTTTATAGAGAGGAAACTCATTTCTAAACCATCTTTTAAGAATTAGCAGTATGCCCAGAGATAGAGAAATACTACATCTTTTATTTTGTGCTCTATTTAAATCAAATTAATTTTATATTCCCTAGTCATTATAAAGCCCATAATTATTTAGTTAATTGGACTATAGGACAAACATAATGGATACTTTTTTTTCTTTTTTTTTTTTTTTTACAGAGTCTTGCTCTGTCACCTAGGCTGGAGTACAGTGGTGTGATCTTGGCTCACTGCAAGCTCCACCTCCTGGGTTCAAGGATTCTCCCACCTCAGCCTCCCGAGTAGCTGGGATTACAGACACCTGCCATCATGCCCAGCTAAATTTTGTAGTTTTGTAGAGATGGGGTTTCATCATGTTGGCCAGGCTGGTCTTGAACTCCAGACCTCAAGTGATCCATCTACCTCCCAAAGTGCTGGGATTACAGTTTTGAGCCACTGCACCTGGCCACCATGGATACTTTCAGTTGATAATTTGTGAGTTTTTGCTTACAGCATTTTGTTGATTAGTCTTAAAATATCGTGTAGAAAGCATTGATACAAGAATCTATCACAGAGTGTTAGTAATTTAAAAAGTTATTGTTAGTAAAATATAACAAATGAAATATATTTAGAAGTAAAATACTACACTACTAATATAGAGATTCCTCAGGATGAGAGTTGAGTGTCTGCAGATACTACATTTTAGATATCTCCAAGAAAGAGCTCAGGTTTTATGATTTTTTTTTTCTGTTATAAGTTGAGTGTATTACATAGAGATGCTCAATTTTAACCACAGAGGGCCTCTTTATTTACTTGGCGGATTATTAAATATTCTGCTTTTTTCCCACTCTACTCTGTAAGAGTAACATGATTGTTATCAAGCGGAAGAGGCTTGCTGCCCAATGTTCTAGAAGCCAATACTATGACACCAGGTTCTTAAAAAAAAAAAAGCTTTGTATTGAAAGTCAACTCCCAACGTGAGAGAGTGTTAAGCTCAAATCTATCTCTCTGTCTTGGCTTCAAACAGTATTTGTATTAGAAAAGTTTCAGAGGCCAGGCACGGTGGCTCGCTCTTGTAATCCCAGCACTTTGGGAAGCCAAGGTGGGCTGATCAGCTGAGGTCAGGAGTTCACGACCAGTCTGGCCAATATCGTGAAACCTCATCTCTACTAAAAATACAAAAATTAGCCGGGTGTTGTGGCACGCGCCTGTAGTCCCAGCTACTCAGGAGGCTGAGGCAGGAGAATTGCTTGAACTCGGGAGGCGGAGGTTGCAGTGAGCCAAGATCGTGCCACTGCACTCCAGCCTGGACAGCAGAACGAGACTCTGTCTCAAGAAAAAAAAAAGAAAAAGAAAAAAAAAAGAAAAGGAAAGGAAAGGAGAAAGTAAAGAAGAAGGGAAGGGAAGGGAGGGGAGGAGAAGGGGAAGGGAGGGGAAGGGGAAAGGAGGGGAAGGGAGGGGAAGGGAAGTTGAATCCACATGTTGAAAAAGGTGCCTGGTCCAGGCACGTGGCTCACACCTGTAATCCCAGCACTTTGGGAGGTTAAAGCGGGCAGATCACCTGAGGTCAGGAGCTGGAGACCAGCCTGACCAACATGACGAAACCCTGTCTCCACTAAAAATACAAAAATTAACGAGGCATAATTGCGCATGCCTGTAATCTCAGCTACTCGGAAGGCTAAGGCAGGAGAATCGATTGAACCTGGGAGGCGGAAGTTGCAGTGAGCTGAAATTGTGCCATTGCACTCCAGCCTAGGGCGACAAGAGTGAAACTCTGTCTCAAAAAAGAAAAGAAAAAGGTGTGTGGTGCGAGGTAATTGGATTATGGGGATGGACTTCTCCTTTGCTGTTCTCATGATAGTGAGTGAGTTCTTACGAGATCTGGTTGTTTAAAAGTGTGTGGTACCTCCCCTTTCTCACTCTCTCTCTCTCTGTGGCCACGTAAGACATGCCTGCTTCCCCTTCCCCTTCTGCCATGATTGTAAGTTTCCTGAGGCCTCTGCAGCCATGCTGTCTGTACAGCCTGCAGACCTGGGAGTCAATTAAACCTCTTTTATTTATAAATTAGCCAGTCTCAGGTAGTTCTTTACAGCAATGGGAGAACAGACTAATATACTTAATTATAAATATGATGTCACTAGTTTATGTATTTACTATACTACACTTTTTATCATTATTTTATAGTAAACTTCACTTCTATTTATTACAAAAAGAAGTTACATGTAAAATAACATCAGACAGGTCCTTCAGAAGATATGCAAGAAACAGGTATTGTTATCTTGAGATGGCAGCTCGAGGTTTGTTACTGTCCTTGAACAGCTTCCAGTGGACAAGATGTGGAGGTGGCAGACAGTGACATTGATCATTCTGACCCTGTGTAGGCTAATGTATGTGTATGTATCTTAATTTGTAACCAAAACAAGTGTAAACATTTTTTAAAAAATCAAAAAATAGACAAATGCTTGTAGAATAAGGACATAAAGAAGGAAAATCTCTTTGTACAGCTGTACAACATGTTTGTGTTTTTAGCTAAATGTTAATGCAAAAGCATCAAAAAAGTTAAAAAATATAAAAGTTTATGAAGTAAAAAGCTTTCAGTGGGTAAAGTTAACATATTATTGTAGAAAAAAATCTGTATTTTATAAATTTGATGTGGCCTAAGTGTATAGTGTTTATAAGTCTACAGTCGTGTACAGTAATGTCCTACGACTTCATGTTCAATCACCCCTCACTCATTGACTCACCTAGAAAAACTTCTGGTCCTGCAAGCTCCATTCTTGGTAAATGCCCTATACAGGTGTACCATTTTTTATCTTCCATATCATTTTTACAGTAGCTTTTCTATGTTTAAGGATATTTTGATGCACAAATACTTATCATTGTATTACAATTGCCTTCAGTTGTTGGTACAGTAACATGCTGTACAGCTTTGTAGCCCAGGAGCAATAGGCTATGCCTTATAGCCTAGGTCTGCAATAGGGTATACAATCTAAGTTTGTGTAAAAACACTCTAGGATATTCACATAGTGATGAGATTGCCTGAGGACACATTTCTCAAAACACTCTGTATGTAAATTCTACAAAAACTCATGTGTTACATTTCTATGCAAGTCTCGGCCAGGCGCGGTGGCTCACGCCTGTAATCCCAGCACTTTGGGAAGCCGACGCGGGCGGATCACGAGGTCAGGAGATGGAGACCATCCTGGCTAACACAGTGAAACCCCGTCTCTGCTAAAAATACAAAAAATTAGCCAGGCGTGGTGGCGGGCGCCTGTAGTCCCAGCTACTCGGGAGGCTGAGGCAGGAGAATGGCGTGAACCCAGGAAGTGGAGCTTGCAGTGAGCCGAGATGGAGCCACTGCACTCCAGCCTGGGCGACAGAGCAAAACTCCATCTCAAAAAAAAAAAAAAAAAAAAAAAAAAAAAAAGAAGGCAAGTCTCCAGATGGGAAGAGATGGCCTCCCCATGCAAAGTTAACTCACATTTGTAGCACCTTTATTTTGGCTCTGTTTACATCACACCTTCCCTAACAGGGTCAACTTGCTCAGATCTCTAAAACCAAGTACTTATCACCTGAAAACTCCTTTGAGATTCTTTTGTAATATGCATATTCCAAAGTCAATGTCAACATATTAAGATGTTACTTATTTTAATCTGTAAACAATCATTAACATATAGTATATTTGTAGACAAATATACTTTGATTTTCTAAGCATTTATCTCTCAAGCAACAAAACATCCCAAAAATGATTTGTAATTTTATGTTCAAATTTTTTTCATTGTCAAAGCACGCAGAAACACACATTTTCTGAATTAGTCCACATTTTTTATCTTCCAATTATTATCTAGAACTTTTTTCAGTATTGTTCTTATAAAATAGTAACATCTTCTTGCTACAGTCAGAAAATGTAAATGTTTAGGCCAAAATAATTGGAGAAAATATAATGACTCAAAACACTATTCAGAGAAAGGGCATGATATGGGAGGGTTTTTGTGGACAGAGAGTGCAAGAACTTTTCGATAGGGGAGATCTAAACTTACATTTTCAGAAAAGAAAAGGAAAACAGATAAATATCAAGAACATATTTTAATTAACTGCTGAAAATCCTAATTAAATAACTATGCACTTGTTAATTTCATAAGATGCATTATACAACCAAAAGATATTTTGCCAGTGATGATAAAATGCCTAATCACCTGGGTAAGTCTTAGATTCCCCAGAGAAGATGCAGAATGTATCTTTTAGTATCAGGTCAGCGAGTCAAATTTCTCTAGAGGTTAATATCATTAGAAATTTCAGTGCCTGAAACATGTCATATTTGTGTTTTATTCACAAAGATGACAGATTGCTCAGGTCTCTACCAAATCTAGTATTTTTCTGTCCTAGTTTCAATAATAGGTTGCTGCTTCAGATCAATATAGCAAGCAAATTAAATCATAAAGCTCAAAAAGAGAAAGGAATTCTGTTGCTATCCATCTCATCACAAAATATCCTCACCATTACTTCAAAATTGAATTCATGGCTTCATGAAATATCACTTACATTCAATCATAAATTGAAATACTGGCATATATATATATACACACACACATACACACATGCATATTTATTAGTTGCTTTTGTGTACATTTTCTCTTTAACTCTCACTTCATTCCCATAACATAGGCATGTAATAATAAATTATTAATTTTTAAAGTTTAGGTCTGTGTTACTGATTGTGTTCTATATGACAGCCATTATGTAGGTGTTGAAATGCAACAACAAGTTTAAAAAAAAAAAAACAGCAAATATCCTTACACTGAGAGAGACTAGAATGGAACAGGGACTGAATAGTAAGTGTTAAATGAAAAATCACACAAATAAATGTAAAATTGCAATTCTGATAAGTGTTAGAAGGCAAATACAAGATTCCTAACAAGAGAATTTGAACTACTCACATATTTAAATGGAAAGTGTCCTGTGATTATTGAATTGAGATCTAAAAGATGAAGGAGTGAAAAGGAGTGTTCCTTTCTTAGGGCTGCTGTAACAAAGAACCACAAGCTGAGTGACTTAAAGAAACAAACATTTATTCTCTCACAGTTCTATAGGATAGAAGTCTTGTGATGGAGCAAGTAGGGGCATTTGATATGGAAAGGGTTGATTTAGGGAGACCAATTAGTGAACCAGAATTGTAAAGGATTGAGATGTAGTTAGACATAAAATGACAGGTTCTGGAAATGGATTAGTAAAAGGTATGAGGAAAATAGAGTTATCAAGAATGATTCAGTGTTCCTTGGCTTGTGGCAGCCAAGATGTTCCAATCTTGGCCTTCATCATGACATGGCATTCTCCCCTTGTATCTCCACATTATCTTTTGTGCATGCATGCCTCTGTGTCCAAATTTTCCCTTATCCTAACAACAGTCATATTGAATTCAGGCCCATCCTAATGACCTCATTGCAACTTGATTACATCTGTGAAGATCTTATTCTGAAATAAGCTCACATTCACAGATATGGGGGTTAGAATTAAACATATTTTTGAGGGACACAATTCATCCCATAACAGAGAGGGTAGTTAGCATTTCAGGTCAAGGGCCCATGGCTGGAGAGAACCTGATGCATTTGGGTAACTGATGTGGCCAGATCAAAGAGAAGAATGACATGAAATGGAATTGTACATGAAGGCAAGGAGATGGAGGCCAAGATAAAACCAACAGAAAGCATTTGAAAAGTTTGTAAGGGTAGATGGCAACTTTGGCTTCAGTGCTTAGAATGGATCATATGAATATGTGTTGGAGCAAGTAGGTGCATTTGATATGGAAAGGGTTGATTTGGGGAGGCCTGTTAGGAAACTATTAGAGTCATCCAGGTGAACCAGAAGTGGATACGATCGAGATGTAGTTAGACATAAAATGACAGGTTCTGGAGATGGATTAGCAAAAGGTATGAGGAAAACAGGGTTATGAAGAATGATTCCCTTGTTTCCAAGTTGCAAAATTAGGAAGAAGACAGTGTCATTTGGGGAGGTTAAAAATTACCATTTGATATATAAGATTAGGGAGATTGTGAATTCAAGTTTAGGTGTCAAGTGTGAGGTTGCGTAGAGTAGACCAAGAGGAGATATTTTGTAGGGAGTTAACTAAATATGTGAAGCGTCCAAAGAAATCAAGGTTAATTTTCATTAAGTTTAATTGTGGGGTCATCGGTGTCATTCAAGGTAGTTGAAATTCTGTCTCCTATAAGCTTATATTTATAATATGTTATTTAAGATTTGTAAAAATGTAAAAAGAACCAATATGAAGACTTTATTAATTAATTCATTTTCTAATTGAGGTAAAATTCACATAATATAAAAGTAACCATTTAAAATTGTACAATGCAATGGCGTAAGTACATTTACAGTGTTGTGTAACCACCACCTCTCTATCTAATTCCAAACTATTTTCATCTCCCCAAAAGAAATCTCTGTACGCAATAAAGCAATTACTCTCTACCCTCCCTTCCCCCTATCCCCCGGAAATTGCCAATTGGCTTTTTGTTTCTGTGGATTTACCTATTCTGGGTGTTTTATGAAAGGTCACATATTATATATGAATTCATTGTTTATGATCTTTATTATAAACACCAAGTAAAAGTATGACACCTTGGAAAATGAAATTAACTCACAGCTTTTGTAATCACCAGAGGCTTGTTTTCATGAGAATTTATTAAATCTGATAAAACTGGTGTTCCTTTGCTTATTGCTAAATACCTACAGTTGACAAGCATTTCCTAGGGTGCAATCAGAAAGTGTAACTGAAATAAACTAGTATGATTAATTTTGCAGTATCCATGTAATGTATTTAACACTTAAACAGGACTTACCATAACCCAGTAATATTCTAAGTTCCTTACAAACATTAATTCTCTTGACTTTGATTTCTACCCTATGAGATAGGTCTAGTGTTTTCTATTTTACAGATAAGGAATTTAAGGCATAAAGATTTACACAGAGATTATGTGGAAAATCCGGTAAGTTTGGCTCCAAATCTATCTTCTTCAGATAATCTGCATTATTGCTCTCATTTATTGACTAACTACTGTGTAAAAGGACTATCTATCACCAACCATTGCCATGGGATTTACAGGGCCTCTTAGGGGAGCAGTATATGTCTTTGGCCCATTGACTTGGCTTAGCCTCATAACATACTTTGGTCAATTTAATGAAAAGATATGATGCATTCCAGTTCTGAGCAGAAGCTTTAAGAATCTTATGTGTTTCCACCAGTTGTCTATTTTTCTGGCACAAAATGACATGTCCTAGATGAGGAATGATCTTTCAGTCTAAGGCCCATAATGAAAGACACTTGGAGAAGAAAAACTCTACAGCCCCGAAAACACTATGTGAAAAATAAATAACCTATTATTTTCATCCACTACCGTTTATGAACTTGTTGTTCTCACTTAGCTGAAGATGACCATTACTGTTCTTAATCACTGGGCTACATATTTTTTCAAATATCTTGTTCGTTTCTTAAAGGTCAAAGTTATATCTAAGACACTGAATGTTTTAGTGCCACACCATCATGACACCATTTCTTCTTGAAAGCAGACATTGTTTTGTTAATTCCAACTTTCATTTTAAAATGTACACAGTTTTTCAGAGTCCATTGGACAACTGAGTATCTTCTAATTATTTTAATAAGAATCCCTCGTATAAAATTAAGTCTACTTTCAAAACTTCAGTGTGTCTAAAATTTAATGATTTTATATTTATTCTTAGATTGTACAAAGAACTTAAGGGGCTGACTCATTTAATTCTTATGAAATGATTTTAATAACAGAATTCAAATAATAAAGCAAAATTTTCCATTTTTTTCTTATTTATGGCATACATAAATATCTACATTTTCTATATAATTAATCCATATTATTTCTTTTTTCTGTTCTTCCTTATTCTTTTCATAAATTTTTCTTTAACATTTATTCAACAATGACAATCACTACAGAATACTTTTTAGGACTTAGGACAGGGCCTGTCACATTGTAAGAATGTAATAAAGGTATAAAGAATCAATTACTGAATGCTTCATTAAATAAATGAATACATGGTATGAAAGTTGTCAAAATCAAAAGTCATTTCTGTTTAAAAAAAAAAAAAGAAACAAGCTAACAAAAAAGACAAATAGAGCCAGGGAAGGCCAAAATAGAAGAGTTCTTACGCATAAATGCCTGATAACAAAAACTACCACAAAAGACTCTGCAAAGACAAGCTTGCACAAAGGCCATCGCAAACTTACATCAAAAATATGTCTGCGAAAACACGTGCCCAGCCACTGCCTGTGCACCCTCAGACTGGCATCACCGTTGTTGTTAAGCCTTATAGCAAAGAATAATTATCTCAAAATGATGGCATAATCATCCTCATTTTTAAAAAGTCTTTTTTACCTCCTTGAATATGCGTATCGTTTACTATGATACTCATATTCCCTTTACAATGCCTTAGTTTTGAATAAATATGATTTTGTTTTAGAGAGCCTCTCTCTGTTTGTTATTTAGGTTTACAATACATGTAACATTTATAAAACTGAGTAGGCATGAAGGATGATTTATAGTAAAATAAAAAACACGGTATGTGCTCCTATCTCCTTTTTTAAAACACAGAATACTTATTCTCTAGGCAGTTTCTCTCTGTTTTCTTCAGGATTTGTTTGCTTCAATCTCTTATAGTTTTGTTTTTTTCATTCTCTCATTCAAAAAAATGGGTCAAAATGGTTCACTTCACCCCTCTTCAATTTCTTCACACTTCTGTGTTCTAATCTGTTTCTACTCACAACAATTCTGACATCAAATGTGTAGGAGATTTTCCTATACCAACTAATTCTCCAACTCTCCGCACATCAACTGGGCGCTCTGTTATTCCGTTCAATTCTGACACTAGCCACCTGAAATGAGTGCAGACCCCACAGGTTAAAGACTCAGTCCCCCCACTTCAGATGCCAATCCAAAATCCTAAGCCTCTCATACTTCTGGCTGATTGGCTACAAATTGAAGCTTCCCATGACGTCCTCTTCAGGTTTAATAATTTACAAAAACAGCCAACATGATAAGCAATAGCTATAAAACTTTACTTTCTATTACTAGTTTATAAAGGATAAAAATTATTACCAGTTTATTACAAATGATACAAATGAACAACCAGATGAGGAGGTACATAGAATGAGGTCTGAAAAGATCCCTAGCACAGAAGTTTCTGTCTCCATGGAATTGGAGTAGGCCACTCTTGTGGCACATGGATTTACGTGCCAACACAGAGGTCTTCTAAACCCCACTCTTTAGAAATTTATATGAAGGTTCCATTGTGTAGGCATGATTAATTATATTATTGACTGTTGGTGATTAAACTCAATCTTCAGCTCCCTCTTTCCTCCCCGGAGGTCCAGGGGTGGAACTGAAAGTTCCATCCCTTACATTATAAGCCTCTTTCATGACTAGTCTCTATCCTGCAGGTATCCAGAAGCCCTGCCATCCAAGAGTCATTCATTAGGATACCAAAGCCAATCCTATGACTCAGAAAATTCCAAGTGTCTTAGAAGCCTTATATCAGAAACCAAGGACAAAGAACAAATATTACAACAAAAGATGCTTCTCTCATTCCAATCACTCATGAAATTATATAGCTTCCCGGAGCTCTATGCTATGAACCTGGTAATGAAGACCAAATATATATTTCTTATCACAGTATCACAGATTTGCACGGGGACCCATTTTCATTGTCTCTTAATTAAATAATCAAGTACAACATTTCTTAACATTTTCATTTTCCTGAAAAAAATGTAATCATTATTATTTAAAAATTTCCTCACTGATTATGTATGTTTATTAAATACCCACTACAGGCCAAGCAGGGTGCTTGGTTAGTCTCAAAAGTATGTTTCTAAAAAATTATCCAGATTGCTACATTGCCATTTTCTTGAAGGTTTCTAATTCCCATGATTTCTGTAAATTACACTTGATGATCCACTAATGTATGTTCATCGGGCTTTTATCAAGGTTTGAGCTCCCCATCGCCTCTAAAAACTCATCAGAAGGAACAGTTTTAAAAACGAAAATAAATTGCTTATTTCAAATTTAAGAACTGAATAAGAATTCCAAAATCAATGAACGCACAAGTCACTAACCAGAAATATAATTACAATCATTTTTTAAATCAAGACCATATAAAATATTTGATTTGGGGAATTAGAAGGATAATGCCTTGAAGGAATACCTGAGTTGAAGAACAATGTTTTTTAACATTTTTTATATGTTGCACCTAGATCAATGTCAGGTACAATATTGTTGAAATGCCTGAGATGAATAATAACTACACCTGACATCTGCAATTGGTATGGGAACCTATTAAAATTCTTTCTTTCATCCTGGCTAAAATGGTGAAATCCCATCTCTACTGAAAAATACAAAAAATTAACCGGGCGCAGTGGCGGGTGTCTGTAGTCCCAGCTACTCGGGAGGCTGAGGCCGGAGAATGGCTTGAACCCGGGAGGCGGCGCTTGCAGTGAGCCGAGATCGCACCACTGCACGCCAGCCTGGGCACTCAAAAAAAAATTTAACTGTATATATTTATATATTCAATGGCAACTGTAGTTTTCATTAAAACTTTTTTAATGAATTTTAATGAAATAATATTACTTTATTAAATCTTTTCTACTCATTAATACATTTTCCTAACCATCCATTTTGTGAAAGAACAAAATACATTTCTATAATATTAGGTGACTTAAACATTATTTTATGCAGCTATTATAACTCTCTCTGAGTTGCTAACTTATATTACCTTGGCAAATGCATTGTTCTTATAAAGTTTGAAAAATTAAAGAACAAAACCTTAGAAGAGCTGTAATGGTGGCTTCTCTCTGAGAACTAAAAAAATGATTGCATGCTAGACATGGTCTCTCGATTTGGTATGTTTCCTGCATACCTTCTCATGTACTTTCTTGTTAGAAAAATCTATAGTAGAAGAGTTGACACCTGAGCTAGGGGAGGTGCCCAAACACTGATGGGACTTCCATCCCAGCCAGAGTCAAGGCTCTTGACAACTTGGAATAAGGAATTCAAGGAACCAGTCAGAAAACAGTGAAAGTAAGACAATTTGTTGCAAAGCCAAAGTACGCACTCAAGAAAGGGGAGTGCAGGCATACTCAAGAAAGTGAGTAGAGCCCAGTGGGGTTTGGAGCTTCTATTTTTATGAGTTTCTTTCACCAAGGGGTGGAATATTCATGAAGATTTTCATACAGATTTTTGGAAAAAGGAGAAAATTTCTGAGAACTGTGGTGCCAACCATTTTTAAACCAAATACGAATGTTCCTGGAACTGTCATGGCACTGGTGGGCGTATTATTTAGTATGTTAATGAGCACATGATGAGGTCCTAGGTGAAACTTAGGTCACATCCAGCACCATATTGGGTCCAGTCAGTTAGCCAGCTTGGCCCACATACTGGTTTTTGCCGTCTTACCGTCTTAGCAGTCCCTAGCTTATGCAACTGTTTCAACAGTTTTTATTTGCCAGTCATGCAAAACTGCTGCTTGGAATTTTCCATTATCCTGTGACCACCCTGGATTATTCCTGTCTCAGAGTCATTCCTTTGATACTTTGCTGCAGCAGAGTGGAAAAACACATTTCTGCTTCGTTAACCAACTAATACGTACATATTAGTTGGTTATACAAAATCTAACTTCAAACTTCAAGAGAAATGGTGTACAAAGAGTAGAAAAGGAAAAAAAGTCTGATTTACTCTCTTTCTTCTTTATTTACCATTGTGTTTATTTTCTATAAGAAATACATCTATTTTTCTTATTAAGAACACCTGAATTTCCAGGCTTCCCTTTTTTAAATGATAAAATTTGTTGGGTTTCTCCTTGTTCCTACAATTATCAGCATCCTTTTTCTAAGTACAAGCAAGCAAGTCATTAATTATTATCAATAGTGGATTACATTGAGAATCAACTGGCTTCCGGTATGCAATCAATACCAGCTATTATACACAATAAAACCTATAATCAGCACACAGCCATTTTACAGAGTAGGTCAGAGATTAGTATAGCAGAAATGTGTCAGGCTACAATAATCTAAGTTTGTGAAGCATAAACTATTTTTATAAAAACCAATTCAGTTACAGTAACAAAGACAAATTTACCTTATCATATTACTTAAGTGATGATTGGGATGTCTGGGAGGGTGTGTACAAACCTCTCCACCACCTCCAAAGACATCAGTGAATCATTGAAAATGCCCCAGGTTATGTCATGGCAGCAAGAAAACTATCTGAGAAATGTTTCATCCTCTTGCTTTGTAGCTCTCACCATTATAAAGTACCACTTCAGACTCTAAGCTTCCTTTTTAAAGCTTATTGTCTGTCATATTTTCTTTCCTCAGTTTGATTTTACCTGCATGGTAGATTTGATTTATATTGAAAAAGATACACAAAATTACAGAGAACCAGAAGTGTTTGGATCATGAACTGTCTTCCAGGAACTCCTTCTTGCTTCTTGTGAATAACAATGATAACAGAAGAATACTATAGTCCAGTTGTTTTTGTTTTGTTATATTTTATGTTATCTATACTATGCCACATAATGCTAGTAAATAATAACTCCCTAATTATTTACATTTATTGTACTTTTTCTAAAATAGAGCTAAACAGCTGTTTTCTTCATTTATATAACTATATTATTGTTTAACAATTTTAGTTATGGAAATCAGCAAAGTACTAACTAACTCTTCATTTTGACGGGGGGGAGGTCCATAATATGTAAATATTAAGATATTCTTAGAATGCCTCTTTCATAAACTATAGGATGAAAAATCAAAGGGTCATATTCTCACAGTTAGAAAGAAATATAGTTATAATGTACGCAAAATTTGTTAAACGTACAAGCCTTCACTTCAAAAAAAAAAAAACTCAGAATAAAATAAAATAAACTTGCAGTTTTCTTTACCTTCATTAAGTGTTGATGGTGCTTTGTCCTGTTGTTATTTCTGGTGCCATGATCATCAGCACCAACTTTGTGGTTGATGAATATTTTATTCTGTTTATTCTAAAAGAATGTAACAGCATCCATCTCTCTCACATTTTGAGAAATCAGTTATGGTGATATGTAGTGAGAGTTTTAATAACTATAGTTACTTTCTCATCCCCATTCAAAACTATCAACCTGAAATAGGATGTTTGTGACACCTCCAAGACTATAGTTTAAAGGTCACCAATCACTTCCTCATTACAAATCAAATAGCTTGATCACACATTGTTTATGGACATGGTCCAAAGAGTACCAGCATAGGCATCTTGCTGATCTGTGAAGACAGATAATGGAAATCTGGGGCTGCTGAGGAGACCTGACTTCTGAGACATGATATTAGAGAAGACATGCAGAAAAAGAGCTCCAGAAGTCTGTAGAGAAACTTATTCACAGTTCTGGCTAGTCTTTGGCTGGTTTATAAGTGTAGATGCACAGGGTAAGACTCCATGAAACCAGGCAAAAAACAAAAACTAATAAAAAAGAACATCTATCTGGAATTGTGAGCTAAATAATTGTTAGAACTTATGAAGAGAGTTAAAAAAAAAATCTGTGTGCAAACTAGCCAGAGAGATAAGTCCTTCTTCTACATTCTGGACATTGAGTAAAATTCCAAAAACATCACACTATAAACAAATAGATATTCTAGAGTTTACAGTAAAGGCAACTCTAGAACTGCTCAAACATAGCTTAAAACCAAAGTTTAAATTAGCATGCTGATCCTCAAGTAAATTAAGTGCCTGCAAGAACCAAACTCATTAGTTTCTTAAGAAACACAATAAAATGGAGATACTCAATATTAGAGCATTCTGAAAATCTAGAATGTAATAAAGGTTATCTAGACATGCAGTAAGTCAGGACAATATGCCCAATAAATAATAAATAAGAGATAAATAGGGAAGCATTAAAGGGATGGAAACCATTAAAAATCAACCAAATGGAAGTTCTGTTAACAAAAATACAACACATAAAATGGAAAATGTATTAGGTAGACTTGGCAGCAGATGAGACACTGTAAAAGTAAACTTAAAATGACTTTGAAAATAGGGTTGTCAAAAACATTCAATAAAAACAAGAAAAAAATATTGAAAAATAGTTGAAGAGAGCCTCAGTGATCTGTGGAACATTTTAAAGTGTTCTAACATATGTGTGATTGGAGTGTCATATTAAGAAAAGAGAGAGAGAAAAAATAGCTAAGGAATAGTAGCCAACATTTTTCAAAGAATCACAATAGACCCCAGGGAACATAAACACAAACAAATCTATCTCAAGCTAAATGATCATCAAAATGCTAAAAACTAATGATTGTGGGAAAGATACTGAAAGAAGCCAAAGAATCCAGGTCACATGCAGGGGAAAATCATAAAATCTATTTCATAACTTTTTATCAGACGCAGTGGAAGTCAAAAAAAGGATAACTGAAAATAACATATTTAAAGTTATTGGGAGGGAGCGGGGGAAATATCAACCTACAATTCTATACCCATCAAAAATAGCCTTAAAAAACAAAGCTCAGGCCAGGCACGGTGGCTCACGTCTGTAATCCCAGCACTTTGGGAGGCCGAGGCGGGCGGATCACGAGGTCAGGAGATCGAGACCATCCTGGCTAACATGGTGAAATCCCATCTCTACTAAAAATACAAAAAAAAACAGCTGGGAATGGTGGTGGGCACCTGTAGTCCCAGCTACTCGGGAGGCTGAGGCAGGAGAATGGCATGAACCCGGAAGGCGGAGCTTGCAGTGAGCCGAGACAGCACCACTGCACTCCAGCCTGGGCGACAGAGTGAAACTCCATCTCAAAAAAAAAGAAAAAAAAAAGCTCAAAGAAAGATTTCTAAACAATAAATGCATGAGAGTATTTGTCACCAACAGACTTACACTATTTAAAAAGTTATAAGAGAAACTTGTTGTAAAACATTGAAAAAAAAAAGTTGTTGATGATAAAAGGAAGTAATACCAGATGGAAACACCAAGAATTGCAGTGCACTGGAAATGATAAGTGTTAACAAATACATTTTTTTCTCATTTAAAAATTATGTTTAAAATAATTCACTTTTTTAAAACAAATGAGAAGTGGCTTCAGGTGGCTGACTACAGGCAGCTGGTACTCACCTCCTCCACAAAGAAGAGCTAATATAGCTAGTAGATGATCACACTTCAAATAGATCATCCAAGAGAGAACAGGAATTCAACAGAGAAGTCACAGGAAACACTTAAAGCAAGGAAAGAGAGGGGAACGAGGCAGCCTCCTTGGCCAGCCTTGGCTGGAAACCTGGAGAGGTTCCTCAATAGGGGGAAAAGGTAAGTGAGAGACCCCAATGGCCCACATTTCCATCACAGGCTCCTGCAATCGTAACCTCAGGAGAACCCCTTGACTCTTGTGGGCCCTAAGACTATGATACAGAACACACAAGGCATTGTTGGATTTTTTTTTTATCCCTACCACTGCTAATCTTGTCATTTCACTTCTAGTAACTGCAAAAAAATTTCCTCAGCTTAGTTATCAACTACATTGTTAGTTTTGCCCTAGGGTTCCGAAGTTCCATGGTTCACAACTCAGAAGCATTTTACATTCTGCTCGATTTAAACAAGGTATTTCTCTAAGTTTTCACAAGAATGGTAAGGTGAAAACCATAGCTTCATTTCCTAAATAGCTATACCATCAGCCAGGAAGCTCTGCAGTCCATACCCTGATGCTTGTGCATAGAATATTCCTCACCTCCTTGGTGAAACAGTGAGCCACACACCTTCCGACAAGTTTGTTTGTTTGTTTGTTTATTTTGAGGCGGAGTTTTACTCTTGTTGCCCAGGCTGGAGTGCAATGGCATAATCTTGGCTCACTGCAACCTCGGCCTCCTGGGTTGAAGCGATTCTCCTGCCTCAGCCTCCTGAGTAGCTGGGACTATAGGCATGAGCCACCACGCCTGGCTAATTTTTGTATTTTTAGCAGAGATGGGGTTTCTCCATGTTGGTCAGGCTGGTCTCGAACTCCCAACCTCAGGTGATCCACCCACCTTGGACTCCCAAAGTGCTGGGATTACAGGCGTGAGCCACCGCGCCCAGTCCCGCCGAGTTTATTTTTAAGGTGACTTTTGTTATTTTGAAGTAGCATTGTGCAAATGTAAAGTGCAACAGCAGAAGATGAACACTGCTGGAATATTCTGAAATATCAAAATACTTACTTTTTTCATCCAAAGCTCTGAACCCTTTAAAGAAAAGAATAGTGCTGAAGTGTATTTATGTATTGTTTGTGTGTTATGGGGGGGGGGGGGTGGGAAAGAGAAAAAATATAAAATAAAACGTAAATTGTACATGGATCCACAGATTGCATGATTATTGTGAACATTTAAATACTGTTAATTATATCAGATTTTCATTCATTCAATACTAGCAAAAGCTAGTACCAGAATTAATAATAATAATAATAATAACAACAACAGCTTTGAGTTGCTTACTATCTGAAATACGTTATTCTACCCACCTTCTATTTGCTAGCTCATGCCATTTTCACAACTGATGAGAAAGGTGCTATTATTTTTTCCTACTTTACAAGTGAGAAAATTGAAGCACAGTGATTGTACCTCATAGGCCTAAACTCACAGTCAAGAATAGAGGATATGTTAAACCTTCAATGGATCCAGGGCAGTCCATTACTAGATATTCAATGAACCTAATAATATGACATATTGCCTTACCATGGAAACTGCAAGGATTTCTGAAAATAATGATAGCATCTTCATATTTCATTGCCTCTGCATTAACTTTTCTCTGTGAGAAATTGTGAATGCTCTATTTCTAAGTATATAGATCTAGATTTATCTCTTTCTATATATGTATATGCAGACATTTGTAGATGTATATTCATGTCATTTGTGTTGCTACTTAAAAAACTCAGTTCTTATAGGTTTTTATATTTGTCTAACTAGTAAACTTGAATTGGAATTTTATTTAAAAAATTTAGATTTTTTATTTGCATCTCACTAAATAATCCGTGTCCTAGCGTTACTCATCTTAAATTTAACAACATTTTATATGTTAACTTGTAGTTACAGGCATCTTGGAGGACAAGTGCCCCCTTTGACCTTGGGCTTCGGGTTTTATATGTTGGCTGGCCTACTTCTGGCGTCTTGCATCTCTTTTCCCTTGACTCTTTCTTTGGGGTGGGCTGCCTATATGTGCAGTGGCCTGCTAGCAGTTGGGAGGTGAGCATGCGCAGTGTTTACTGGAGTCGTACACATGCTCACTTGAGTTCCCTTTACCTGCAGAATGACCCTGGAAGGTCATACTCCACCATTTTTCCTCTTAATGTGCATGCTTAAGCCCCTTCGTCGAGCTCCTGAGATCTTATCAGAAAGCTGCTGATCACCAGTTTTAGGTGTTTCCTATCTATAGGGACAGTGCCTTTCCTCGGTGCTGGCTGCAATCTGTTAATATTTTAGAGAGGCGGTGTGACAACTGCCTGACCATCACCTGATGGTTGCCTGATTTTCTTGGTTGGGTGTAGGGGCCCTCTCCTGCCCTGTTGGCATCTGACTAGCTACCACGTGGAACACTATGTCAATTTAAATTCATAGACTACCCAAGGAAAATAAAAGGTACCTTGCTATAACATCAAACTTAATAATTTGCTTTTTAAAATTTTCATTTATTTATTTATTATTGATACTTAAAACTTAATATTTGTTCATCTACATGGGGTTCTTGGGATATTTTGTTACATGCACAGAATGCATAATTATCAAGTCAGGGTATTTGGGTTATATATTACCTCAATTATTTATGATTTCCATATGTTGGGAACATTTTAACTTTTCTAGCTATTTAGAAACATAAAATACATTGTTGTTAACTAATAGTCACCCTACTCTGCTACCAAATATTAGATTTTTTTTTTTTGAGACGGAGTCTCGTTCTGTCGCCTAGGCTGGAGTGCCATGGAGTGATCTCAGCTCACTGCAAGCTCTGCCTCCCGGGTTCATGCCATTCTCCTGACTCAGCCTCTGGAGTAACTGGGACTGTAGGCGCCCGCCACCATGCCCGGTTAATTTTTTGTATTTTTAAGTGTTTCACCGTGTTAGCCAGGATGGTCTCGATCTCCTCACCTCGTGATCCACCTGCTTCGGCCTCCCAAAGTGCTGGGATTACAGGCGTTAGCCACCACGCCCGGCCCCAAATATTAGATCGTATTCCTTCTCACTGTATGTGGTACACATTAAACAATGGTTTTTCATCCCTCCCACTGCTGCTCTCACACTCTTACTATATCTATCATTATATTTCCTACTTCCATGAAATCAACTGCTTTTGCTCCCACGTATGAGTGAGATCATGTGATATTTGTCTTCCTGTGCATCTAGGCAGCTTGCTTGGGTACTAGTAGTGGCTGCAGTGAGCCAGGCAGGCGGGTGGGTTCTTGGGCCCTTGGGAAGTGGATGTGGCAATGGTGATGGCAGTAGCAGTGATGAGACAACCCTTCGGTTCCCAAGAAGTTCACATTTGTGCTATCAGTGATAGTGACAGGTTGGGAGGGCCAGTCCCCAGGCCTGCAGGTGGTGCATACAGGTGGGTGCCACGTGTGATGGTAGCAGTAGGTTGGAGGTGCCTAACCTCAGGCCTCTGGAGAAATGTTCAGGTGATGAAGGTGGTGGACTGGACTGGGTATTGGAGGGGGTGGAGCCCAGCCTGGTGGAACTGTCATCTGGCCCTCTGATGGTGTGTGCAGGTACTGGCTGTGGTAGGCCAGGATGGGGTGATCTGCGACCTTGGTGGAATGCTTAGGTAGGGGCAGCAGTGACTATGCTTTGGCTTTGCTACTGGGGAGGGCAGAGTAGCTTTCAGTGGCAGTCCCTGCAAGCGGGAGGAGGCTGGAGAGTGCATAGATTGCTCGTGCTTGTCCCTGGTGGTGGCAGCCTGTAGTGTCAGTGGCTGAGGGTAGGGGAGCCCTTTCTTGGAATGTGTGAAAGTGCATAGAGACTCCATTGTTGGGGGTACCAGGGTCACTACCAATGGCTTGTACTTATGCCTCAGTGATGGCAGGAGCCAGCAGCAAGGGAGGCTGTGGCAGGGTAGGCTTTCTTCAAGGTGCATGAAGATGTGGGGCCCTGTAATCAGGGGACAGGGTCACTATCAGTGGCTCATACCTTGGCCCCAGCAGCAGCAGCCAGCAGTGGCAGTGACTATGCATGGGACATGTCAATGGTGCTCCAGGATATGGAAATGTAGTGGCTTTTGGGCCCCAGAGCATGATGCAATCTGGTAGGGGGTGGGATCTCAAAATGTTACTGTACTGTCGCTGCTTAGGACTGGGAGGTGTATGGGACTCAGCATGACCTCCCTCTCTGGAGCAACATTATCACAGCTCTGTTCGTTTGTTAGGGCTGCCATAACAAAGTATTACAACCTGGGTGACTTAAAAAACAAAAATATCTTTTGTCTCCATTTGGGGGCTAGAAGTCCAAGATCAAGGTGTCAAAAGTTCTGGGTTTTTTTGGGCACTGTAAGAAAGTTCTGTTTTTTGGCATGGTACTGGGTCTTGGTAGAAACTGAATGCTTAACTGTGGGCTGCCCATTTACCATCTGACCTGAGCCCATCATGAACTGTTATCTGACTTACCAAGCCATAAAGTTGAGTATGCATAGCAGCACTCTCATCAAATGGAAGTGGTGTATATGTGATTGGGTCCAAGCAGGCCCTGTAGGGACAAGTAAGCCATATGAACTGGTCCAAATGCCCATTGTCCCCACCCCTGCTTCATTGCCTTCTTTCTCCCAGCCTGCCCCTATGACATCATGAGAACTTCCCTATGAACAATCGATAGAGAAAGAAAATTCAGGCCTGGTTTACAGATGGTTCCACAGGATATGAAGCAACATGTAAAAGCATGCAATGCCGCAGTACAGCTTCCTTCTTGGACATTTTGTAAGGATGGTGGTGAAGGGAAATCCTCTCAGGTGTCAGAAATTTGAGCACTGAAATTGGTTGCTTACTTTTCTTGGAAGGAGAAATAATCAGGCATGTAATTATTTACCAAATAATGGACCTGATGTTCAGGAACTTGGAAGAAACATGATAGGAAAATTGCTGACCAGGAAATTTGGGAAAGAGGCATGTCAATAGACCTTTCTTTTTTTTTTTTTTTTTTTTTTTTTTTTTTTTTTTTTTGAGACGGAGTCTCGCTCTGTGGCCCAGGCGGGAGTGCAGTGGTGCAATCTCGGCTCACTGCAAGCTCCGCCTCCCGGGTTCACGCCATTCTCCTGCCTCAGCCTCCCGAGTAGCTGGGACTACAGGCGCCCGCCACCACGCCTGGCTAATTTTTTTGTATTTTTAGTAGAGACGGGGTTTCACCGTGTTAGCCAGGATGGTCTCGAACTCCTGACCTCGTGATCCGCCCGCCTCGGCCTCCCAAAGTGCTGGGATTACAAGCGTGAGCCACCGCGCCCGGCCGTCAATAGACCTTTCTTAATGAGAAAAAAAGATTTGAAGATGGTTTGTGTCCCATGTGAATGCTCAACAAAGGATAACCTCAAGGGAAGGATTTTAATAATCAAGTGGATAAGATGACCCGTTCTGTGAATACCAGTCAGCCTCTTTCCCCAGCCACCCTTGTTATCACCCAATGGGCTCATGAACAAAGTGGCCATGGTGGCAGAGATGGAGGTTATGCATGGATTCTGCAACGGGAACTTCCACTCACTAAGGCTGACCTAGTTACAGCTGCTGCTGAGCGCCCAATCTGCCAGTGGCAGAGACCAGCCCTGAGACCCCGATACAGCAGCATTTCCCGGGGGCATCAACCTGATGGCAAGTTGATTACATTAGACTGCTTCCATCGTGAAAGGAACAGTGTTTGTTCTTGCTGGAATAGACACACTCACTGTTAATATATTTGCCTTCCCTGCATGTAATGCTTTTGTATTCATTGATTTACAGAATGGCTTATCCACCCTCATGGTATTCTACACAACATTGCTTCTGATCAAGGAACTCACTTCATAGCAAAACTATAGTAGTGGGCTCATGCTCAGGGATTTAACTGATCTTATGTTCCCCATGATTTTTAGGTAGCTGGCTTGATAGAATGATGAGATGGCCTATTGAAGACTCATTTATAGTAACAGCTAGGTACAATACCTTACAAGACAAGGCAAGATTCTACAACAGAATATATGTGCTCTAAATCAGCCTTAAATATATGGTACTCTTTCTCTCACAGCAGGATTCATGGGCCCAGGAATCAAGGAGTAGAAATGGGAGTTGCACCATCCACTATTACCCCTGAAGACTGACTAGCAAAATTTGTGCTTACTGTGCCCACAACTTAATGCTCTGCTGGCCTGGAGGTCTTAGTTCCAAAGGGAGGGCTACTGCCACCAGGAAACACAATAATTGATCCGTTGAAATGGAAGTTAAGACTTCCACCCTGCCACGTCAGTCCTCTGAATAACAGGCAAAAAAGGAAATTATTGTACTGGCTTCAGTGCTTGATTCTGAATTCCAAGGAGAAATTAGACTGCTACTTTATAATGGAAGTAAGGAGGAATATGCCTGGAATACAGCAAAATTCATGCAGTGTCTCTTAGTATTAACATGCCTTGTGATTAAAGTCAATGAAAAACTGCAGCAAGCAAATCCAAGCAGGATTATGAATGGCCCATACGTTTCAGGAATAAAGATTTAGGTCACCCCACCAGGTAACAAACCATAATCAGCTGGGTTACTTGCTGAAAGCAATGGGAATATGAGATGGGCAGTGGAAGAAAGTAGTTTTAAATACCAGTTATGAGCATGTAACCAGTTATAGAAACAGACTGTGATTGTCATGAATATGTCTTCCTTGTGTTGTTATGAAGATGCTTGTGTTTATATATATGTATACACATATTTATAAACATATATATACACACACATATGTATATACACACACACACACACACACACACAAATGGTCCCTGACTTACAATGCTTTGACATGATTTTCCACTTATAATTTTTCAACTTTACACTGGCACAAAGGTGGTACCCATTCAGTAGAATCCATACTTCAAGTATCTATACAACCTTTCTGCTTCTCACTTTCAGCACAGTATTCAATAAATTACATGAGCTATTAAACATTTTGTTACAAAAGAAGTATTTATGTTAGAAGATTTTACCCAACTGTAGGCTAAGGTAAGTGTTCTGAGCACATTTAAAGTAAGCTAGCTATAACGTTTGGTAGTTTATGTGTATTAAACGCATTTTTGACTTAGAATATTTTCAATTTACAATGGGTTTATCGGAACATATATAATCTTTGTTTTTTTCTCTCTTATCCCCATAGGTAACATAAGATCTATTAACTTTATAGTATAGTATTTAAGTATTGTTAAATTGACATAATAGTGTTTAAGTTATGAGATATATCAGATATGGGATATCAAGAGGAAGAGTAACTATCACTCAAGGACTTTGCATTCTTTTGGGGGAACGAGTTATTCCATTTTCAGTTGTACATAAGACAGTTGGATCGTGTTAGGTGGAAGTATGACATTGTTATTGTATTTATTTGTAGGTTAAGTATGCTTTAAGGAGATTCATATGGTTGCCAAGCTGACCAGGAGTGGACTTGTGATGGTTAATCTTATGTGCCAACTAGGCTTGGACACAGTGCCTAGACATTTGATCAAATATTATTCTAAATGTTTATGTGAATATGTTTTTGAATGAAATCAACATTTAAATTGGTGGACTTTGAGTAAAGCAAAATGCCCTCCATAATGTGGATGGGCCTCATCCAATCAGCTGAAAACCTTAAGAGAACAAATATGGACCTGTCCTGGGCAATAGGAAGTCTGTCAACAGATGACCTATGGACTTGAACTTCAACCTCACCTCTTCCCTGATCTCCAGCATGTGGGCCTACCCTGCAGATTTTGAACTTGCCAGCTTCCCTAATCCATGTGCCAATTCCTTCAAATAAAATAAATCTTTCTCTCTTCCTCCCTCTCCCTCTCCACACACACCACCCCCCCACACACACACATCCTATTTGTTCTGTTTATCTGTAAACCCTAATATGATAAGGTATGATTCCCTTTAAGAAGTTCTACAACAGAGAAAACTAACTTATGGTGATAGAAATGAGAATAGGGGTTGTTTCTGAAAGGGTGGGAATTGATGAGAAAGGGGCTAAGAAGGAGATTTTGAGATTAGAGAAATTATATATATATATATATATATATATATATATATATATATGAATGTGAGTTACATATCTGTATGCATTTGTCAAAATCAATCAAGCTGAATACTTAAGAGCTCTGCATTTTACCATATGTATTAATTAACCAAACCTCATGTCTTAAAAAAGGAGAAAAGACATAGGTGTTGCCATTGTAGATTTGGAGAAATATTATGCAAAATTTTATAACATAAATTCTTCATAATATAATGTTACTTATTAAAAGACTGTACAATTATATATAACCTTCTACTTGTACTACAAACAAAAGTGTGTGCATAAAAACATTGAAAAGAGAAACACAAAAATAGTAATGATCTTTATTGATGGGAATGTAGATAATTTTAATTTTGTTCTTGATATTTACTTATGCTATTTCATTTTCCAAAAATGAATATGTATTATTTTTATAATCAGAAATAATCAATGAAAGGTTTTTAAAGAATAATTTTTATAGCATATATCTTGCTTTTACTAAAATTGCATTGTATTAGTTTTCTATTGCTGCCATAACAAATGGTCATAAGGTTAATAACTTAAACCAGTAGTCATTTAGTATCTGAGAGTTCTGTAGGTCAGAAGCCTGGGTTAGCTCAACTAGTTCCTCTGCTTTGGGTTTTACAGTGCTGAAATCAAGACGTCAACCAGCTGGTCTTTTTTCGGGAGGATCTGAGAAAAATCTGCTTTCAAGTCCATTTAGGTAATTAATATAATTTGGTTTTCTGTCGTTATAGAAAGAAGTTACAGTTTCTTTGCTGGCTGTCTGGCTTTTCATTTCTAGAGAGGTGCCTTCCTCAAAGTCTTTTCAATTGCACAATTTGGGATAAGGTGTTTCTTGGTGGAATCTTGTCTGATTAATCAGGAGATTCTCCTTTTGTGTCTATATAATTTATATATCATTTATATGTATATAAATTATGTGCACAGTTCCTTCCTTCCTTCTTTCCTTTCTTCCTTCCTCCCTCCCTCCCTCCTTCTTCCTTCCTTCCTTGCTTCCTTCCTTTTTTCCTTCCTTCTTTTTTTCCTTTCTTTATATTAAATCTGAGGCTCTCTTTGGTTTTACATTTTCCTTAGATACTGACAAAACAACTAAAAAGTGCCTGTATCTACATTGTGGTGTTGTATGTATGTGTATGTTTGTTATCAAGATAAACGTTTGATTTTGACTGCATGAATTTTAGAAATATTTAGACAACAAGCACTATATTAAACATAACAAAAATATTTTTAAAAATCTAAAGCAAGAAACAAATGACTTCAGAATGTAAACCTTCTTAAATTAATATGTAAATTTAGGGCTATGCTAATAAAAACAGTATCAAGTTTGAATGGGTTGTGCTGTTGTTTAGGTTTTTTGTGTGTTTGTTTGCATTGCTTTTCAAAATCAACCAGAAGTTATTTAGGTAAATATTAAAATAATTGTCCTGATTTCTGACAAGAGCTTCTAGCATACAGAAATAGTCTTGATTATTTCAAATGCCTCTATGTATGTAAAACTTTGGTGATGGTTTAAATAACGGTCGAACTTATATTTATCAAAATACAATATTTACAGTATTTCATTCTAGGAGTTGCAGTGATGTAAAAATGATGTATTCATAACAGATATCTAAATAAATCTTTATTTAAAAATACAATCTTAGAAATTATGCTGTACCTAGTTAAATAAGAGCAATTTTAACATCAATTAAATAACAGTAGCTAAACCAAAAAGAGATATATCAAAATTACTTTACAATGACAAGGCAGATATTCTGCTGTGGTTGTGGGTGTTCAGGACTCCGATGCTATAGAAGCTGAGCCAAATTTGCGGGTGACCCTCAGTCCCTGAGGCCTCAATGCATGACTCTCCCTGGGGGACCTTATGACTCAACGGACACCCTGGCATCTCTAGGCCTCTATAAGCTGCATGTGGAGCAGCAGAAACAAAAGGGTCCTTTGGGAAAAACTGGAACTTGAACTTAATATTAGCCTTTATTTGCCTGTTGTGATCATTTTCTTTTCTGAGTCCATGGAGCTTTCTCTCAGTCAACAGAGCAGCCATCCAACTTTCTTAAGCTCTTTTCTCAAATCAGAGTCTCATTTCAATGGGAGAAAGAAGCACTCCATAATTATTTGTCATTGTTTTTAGCCACCTTCTTGTAAAAGTTTTGTACCTGATATGTGGAGTTCATGTTTCTACACACTTTGGGAAATTCCTTCTCTATTTCTAAGCAGTTCACTGATTTTCTCTAAAGTTGTATTACATTTTCTAGCTGAAGCTTCCAAATTTCCCTTTCAAGCTGCACATTTTCAGACTGCAAAGATGCCTGCTCAGTTTGGAGACTTTCTACTTATCCTGTAAGCTCTTCATTCATTTGATTTTCTTCACACCGTTTTCTGAATCTTTCCTGTTTTTCTCCTTAAATAGGTCATTTTAAGTGACCTATTTAAGTTAACATCCACAGTAAGACTCTTTAGATCAAGTTCTGACTGATAGGCCAGTGATTACCATTTTCTTCCTCCCTCATTTTCTCTACTTCCAGGTTCCCACCATCCTTGTGATCGCTACAGAAATTGGGCAACTGTATGGTCTTCAGCAGGATTCAGCCAGAAATTTTAATTAGCTCCCTTTATCTTTCATGACCTCTTGTGTCTGAATGCTCCAACAGTGCTATTTGTTCCATTTTGTTTCTCATTGCACAGTTTCTTAGTTGAGTGGTTCTGGACTTTGCTGAAGATGAGAGTTTTCATTCAAGCTGTCTTGTATTTGATTCCAAAGTTGTTCTCCGTCATTCTGTGATGTCTTCCAGATGTTCCACATTGATCACTAGGGAAAGTTTTCGTGAGTTGCTTTTCTGCTCTTTTCCCAAATTTATGGTGTCTTCAAGTCATGACCTGCTTCCATTTTTTTTAATGTCAACAAACACGGCGTTTGTGACATCAGAAGACTGGCTTCCACCACAGCACGCCTAGATTTGTTAAACTTATGAGAGCAAGAGAGATTTCCACCTTGAGAAATGCCAATAGTGTCTTAAAAGGAAAAATATAAAACAGGACATTTATTAAGTTTGGGGCATGGCTTTGAGCAATTTAAGGAAAGTTTTTCAAGGTAGGAAACTGGTTGGATCTGAAAAATTTCACATGATAGAGTTGAAGACTGGTAAGCATGGCCAGTTAAGGGTCTCAGGGGAGTTTTGATAAACGAACCATTATCTTAAAAAGACAGCTCTTTTCCCAGATGAGCAAACTGTATGCTTGAATAATTTGGTTAACAAGAATTTTCTAAAGCAGTGACATTATTTACTTGCTTGCCATCTGATATTCCAGCATTTGAGTTTCCTGGATCAGATAGTTATTATGATGAAAGGTAGTCTTGGTTCTCAGTCTCCATCCAACTTAGATGCTTGAGTAGCCTCATTGCAAACTATACTCATTCTGCTTCTCTGTGAACTTCAGCTGTCTTGCATTCATGACAATTTGCCCATCGGTCAGATATACCCAATTTCCTGAGTCATCTCTCCAATGGTACATTAGATGTTCTTTTTTTTGTGGATAAACACCTCAAAAAACAATTTTGGCGCTTTGAGATAGTGATATACAAATTTATTTCTCGTAAACAATGGCTTGGGATTTTCTAAAATATATTTCTAGTTTATATTGAAATGTTGCATTTCAAGCTTACTGAAAAGAAGAGTATAACCTCATAACATGACAATTTGTAATTGACTATTTGAAAAGTTTGAAATAGTTTATTGTTAAAAAACTGCCATTGGCTAACTCATGAGAAAGTGCATGTGCCTTTCAGATTCTAACAGGAGTGAACTAAATCTTATAAACTTATTTGGCTTCCATGTGCTGCTTTAGAAAAATGCTAACTATGCCTTCCTCTTTAATTCAAGTAATTTCACTTTTGGGTCTATGCCACTTCTTAAAAAAAAGGTGAATAAAAACAGAGCGTAGATGATGAGGGCAGAATATGATGCAAGCTACCAATTTGAAAGGCAGTGAATGAAATCTAATTTTAAAATGCAAAATCAAGCAAGAGCCAAGAAAAGAAAATTGCTTTTATTTTTCTATATCCTTAGCAAGTTAGTGATTACTGAATATTTAATGCATCAACCTGACTACCATAGGATATCTTGAGAGCAAACATAACATCTTAAGTTACAGAGTCCCAAGTAACTTTTGCATCAAGAACCCCTAGATTTCATTATAAGCATAAAGCACAGATGTATTATGAATATTCTTTATTGTAACACATTCTCAAACTGTAAGCATCTAATGTCTAATTATAGGTTACTAAATTTTATCTGTAACATATAAGTGAATTAATATTCTTATAGAATAAAAAAATTGAATTGGAAAACTTTGGAGTCTTCTTAAATTAAATTTACTTCCATGTTATCATCTCTTTAACTTATATTATCTTAGCATTTCTATATTTGGATCAAACCTCCTATCATATACTTACTGATTAATTATGTTAAAATTATTTCTTCATAGTTTCAAGTATATATTCTTTATTCCTCTAGTTAGGTTTGAAACTCTTCAATAGTTGGAATCATGTCCTCTGTTGCCCATTTTTCCTCCACACTAAACGCTATGATTTAAATGTTGGTTCCCCTCCAAATTAATGTTTTAATCTATTTGCCACTGTGGCAGAGTTAGAGGTGGGACTTTGTGGAGGTGATTGGACAATGAAGGCTTTGCCTCATGGGAGGGATTAATGTCATTATATTGACTCTCTTTTCCCTCTTTGCCTTTCTACCTTTTGCCATATGATAATTCAGCAAGAAGGCCTAGACAAGATGCCAGCACTTTGATATTGAACTTGCCAGCCTTCAGAACCCTGAGACAATACATTTCTGTTCGTTATAAATTACTCAATATTTAGTATTCTGTTATAGCAGCACAAAATGAACTAAGCCACTGAATACTACATACCCATTATTATAAATGACTCCTAAGGGATCAACCTATCCTTTAAAAATCCTGAAAAAGTGAGTTAATAGATTGGAATTCTATACTTTTCACACCATTCATCACTGCCTTGCCATAGGATCACTCTAAGGGCTCTTGCCACAGGAAAATTATCTTTTTATTTTATTTTATTATTATTATACTTTAAGTTTTAGGGTACATGTGCACAATGTGCAGGCTAGTTACATATGTATACATGTGCCATGCTGCTGTGCTGCACCCATTAACTTGTCATTTAGCATTAGGTATATCTCCTAATGCTATCCCTCCCCCCTCCCCCCACCCCACAACAGTCCCCAGAGTGTGATGTTCCCCTTCCTGTGTCCATCTGTTCTCATTGTTCAATTCCCACCTATGAGTGAGAACATGCGGTGTTTGGTTTTTTGTTCTTGCGATAGTTTACTGAGAATGATGATTTCCAGTTTCATCCATGTCCCTACAAAGGACATGAACTCATCATTTTTTATGGCTGCATAGTATTCCATGGTGTATATGTGCCACATTTTCTTAATGCAGTCTATCATTGTTGGACATTTGGGTTGGTTCCAAGTCTTTGCTATTGTGAATTGTGAATAGTGCCACAATAAACATACGTGTGCATGTGTCTTTATAGCAGCATGATTTATAGTCCTTTGGGTATATACCCAGTAATGGGATGGCTGAGTCAAATGGTATTTCTAGTGCTAGATCCCTGAGGAATCACCACACTGACTTCCACAATGGTTGAACTAGTTTACAGTCCCACCAACAGTGTAAAAGTGTTCCTATTTCTCCACATCCTCTCCAGCACCAGTTGTTTCCTGACTTTTTAATGATTGTCATTCTAACTGGTGTGAGATGGTATCTCATTGTGGTTTTGATTTGCATTTCTCTGATGGCCAGTGATGATGAGCATTTTTTCATGTGTCTTTTGGCTGCATACATGTCTTCTTTTGAGAAGTGTCTGTTCGTATCCTTTGCCCACTTTTTGATGGGGTTGTTTGTTTTTTTCTTGTAAATTTGTTTGAGTTCATTGTAGATTCTGGATATTAGCCCTTTGTCAGATGAGTAGGTTGTGAAAATTTTCTCCCATTTTGTAGGTTGCCTGTTCACTCTGATGGTAGTTTCTTTTGCTGTACAGAAGCTCTTTAGTTTAATTAGATCCTATTTGTCAATTTTGTCTTTTGTTGCCATTGCTTTTGGTGTTTTAGACATGAAGTCCTTGCCCATGCCTATGTCCTGAATGGTATTACCTAGGTTTTCTTCTAGGGTTTTTATGGTTTTAGGTCTAACGTTTAAGTCTTTAATCCCTCTTGTATTAATTTTTGTATAAGGTGTAAGGAAGGGATCCACTTTCAGCTTTCTACATATGGCTAGCCAGTTTTCCCAGCACCATTTATTAAATAGGGAATCCTTTCCCCATTGCTTGTTTTTCTCAGGTTTGTCAAAGATCAGATAGTTGTAGATATGCGGCGTTATCTTACATCAACATTGTAAATTTTTATCTTGGACCTAAGGTCTACCAAGATGTTTATGCATCCTGGAAAATGGAGAAAAATACAGAATTATAAGTTTTCACAAAACAAAAATATTAAACATAAAAAGTTGTGCTTTATCCTGAGATTATATTTATCAAATGCTAATTTTTAGATGGTATTTACCAATATGGCAGCTAATGTCTATGCCAATCGGCCAATTAGTACAAGTACTATATCAGTTGTTTAATATTTTTAATACAACCCAGGGAATTAATTATGGTTTTATATATTAAGATTCTCCTTTTATATGAAATGGTGGCAATAAAGTTTAGTTATTTTATATTCACTTTTCTTTAAGATAGATGTAGCTGAAAAACAACATCGACAACCCTATGTCAGTCTTCTCTCTTTAAAGTATAAAAGTAATTTTATAACCCAGTGATGTCCAAAAGCCTGGGAAAGAGACAAAACTGCTCATTTTAACTCCATGAGATTCCTTGTGTTTAAAAGTAATTTTTTTTTATTTCTCAGCTTCCAAAATTTTATTTGACAGCCTCCATGTTTGCATATAGTATCCTAAAAACAGAAAAATTTCTAGCTTAACTCCCTTGCAAAGTCTTAAATGGCTATAATTTGAAATAGGAATTATGCCATCAAATATGAAGAAAAGAAGTACGGCAACTAAAAATAAACTCTGTCTGAAACTTTACACTTTATGGATCCTACTTTATATGTAATATCAAAAAATCATAATAGTGAGATACGTGAAGTGTATGTTAATTTATGCCTTCTGGTATACATAAGCATAATATTTTTCAGTATGGGGAATATAAATTTTAAAATTATAAAATCTTAAAATGAGGTAAGACCTTTACATCATCTAGCCTAATCCCATGAAGTTCAACCACGATGCCTGTATTTATTTCCCTGACCATATTATTTCTGCTAAACCATACGTAATACTAAAATGTTCACCACCTCACATAGCTTCCTATTGCTGCTATGGAGAGCCTTCACTGTTCTAAAAATCTATCTAAAATTGAATTTGAGTTTTTATCTATTAATGACATTTTGATCTCCAGTTTATCTTTATAGCCATACAGACTGCATAGTTATTTTTCTCAAACATAATAACATTTTAAAGCCTTAAAATATTAATAGGTCTCTCATAAAGGTTAAGGTCTTTTAGAAAACCTAACACCAAAAATTTCAAGCCCCCACCCAGCACAAAGTTAGTTAGTTAGTTACTGAGGTTTTGTATCATAAACCCCAAACTATAGAAGGTGCTCTCTTGAAGTTGTTTAAATTGTCCATTTTGCCTGCAAAACTCAAAACCATAGACTTTCTTGTTCTTAGGCTGTATACTTTTGGGAAGTGATACTGGAACATTTGCCTTGCCTTATACATCACATTCTTGTTCTCTTGTTTCTTTTAACTGATGACAAACCCAGCTGCCTTTAACACATACAACCTCTGCTAACTGCCAGAAAGCAGAGGGTCTCACTCTCAGGATACTTTAAACACATTAGCGTTTGCCTTCAGTATAGATCTCTATTTTCTTCAGCTATCCCTAATGGGTTATCACTCAATTTTGGATACCATAATACCTGAGACAAAAGACATTGTGTTACCTCAGCTAAAGAATTTCTATCAAAAAGGTCTATTTTTAACAGAAGGTCTGCTTTTTTTCTAACCTTATTATTCCTTTATCGCCCTCTTACATAGATGGTATTATTAGGCAAAATTATCCATAGGTCATGGAAAAAAAGAAGGCCTGCTCTTCTTTTGCTTCATTTGTGGAAATGGCTCTTCATTTCTAAACCCAAGATTCTCAGGCTTTATGTTATAGTTACATTTATGTGGCAACTTGGTTATGCTGTGGTGTCCATTTGCTGGTCAACCATTTCGACTATTTAAAGGTAGCAAAAATGGAGGCAGCAACACTCACGGATTGGCAAAGCAAGGAAGCCATTCCTTCCCTAAGACTGAAAGGGCAAGAAAGGAATGCATGGCAGCAGCTCCAGGTGCTAGAGAACATATCAGGGCTTTCCAAAATCCTGTGCAGAAGAGGGGGTGAGCAAGAGAAGAGATACCCTGCCCTCTCTCCCCTTCTATCATCCACTTTCTGCAAGTACTTCCCCCTAGCTAAGTCTAACTGGAAGCCAGAAAGACAGCATCTACATGAACCATTCTCCTGAGGCACAGAGCAGGAAGTGAGGAGCAGGGAATGGAAAAGAATCAGCATGTGACCCTCACTGTAAATTACACCAAAAACATTTGGATGCATCTGTCAAGGTTTATGAAGAATGTCTGTACCTTTAAAGGCTGAATATTGTGTTTCACTCAACATGTCACCTCTCTGGGTCCTCTTCTTCTATGGTTAAAAAAAAAATACTGTAATAGGATTTCTAATTCTCCCTTCTTGCTACACTTAAACTCTGAGAGAAGAAGAAAAAGTAATGAATAAGAAATAAATATTATGCCCCTCACTCCCCACTCTTTGGAAAGTTTAAGTGGATGCCATCAATTTTAATTTTAAATATCCTTCCTCCATTGGACAGATTAATGGAGGAAATAGAGTAGAAACATAATGAGGTGAAGCCCAGATATCTGTGCGAATGTACCCAAATATTAACACTCAGTGAGCTACTATTTGGTATTTTTAATTAAAAAAATAAGTTAATGAAAAGTGAGCGTATACTATATAGAATTGCTGATTAGCTGAATGAGCAGAGCATCCTGGCCTTTCTGTCAAAAGGCACTTATTACTTGGTGTCCCTATTTTAGCCTAGAATGTTCTAAAGAGTGACAGTAAATCATATGTTATGCTGTGATTGCTAGCTCACTATTTTTTACAGGCATATTATTTGGGGTGATAAAAACTAATAGAACAAAGAGAAGCTGATTTCCCACTTACCTAGCAGTTACTAAGCAAAGGATGAATTCCTTTATGTGGAGATTCATCAACCCAGATTCTTTCCATTTTGTGGCTCTGTACCCTTTAGGGTCTATCTGTCATTTGCATCTAGTGAGTACAAAGAAATACAGATCTTTTGGGGTAGGAAGCATACTTTCTTCCTACAAGAGTCGATACAGAAACGGCATGCATTGCTTTCATGCACATTCCATTCTCTGCAATTTAGTCATATGTCCAAACCCAAATGCAAAGAAGACCAAGAAAGTAGGCTGGCTGTGTGCCCCAAAAGAGAAAATTGACTTTTGCTAAATAGCTCTATCACATACATAGGGATTATGAAAATAAACATGTATACATTTAATGATGTCTAAATAACTCCTGATGCTTAAAGTTAATATTATGACAACGTAAAATATTACAGGATAAGTAAGCCTTTCATTTCTATGTATCTTAATGTAAAATATTCATGTTTAATTAGTGTAGACTGAGCACAAATAATGTGTCTTTGCTTTAAATTTTAGGGAAACAAGAGGGGCAAAATATTCTACCATATGTTATTTTCCCATTTAAATTTCTCAAAGGAAAGGTAGGCTATGGTATAATGGTTACAATTATAATAAGAAATAGAAGAGAATATTAAAAAACAATACTTTAATTTCTGCCTGTCTAAATAAAATAGCTGTCTGCTAGTGCTTCTGAAAATCTATATAAAAATTTCCCTATTAATGATGAGACATCTTCAATAGTTTAATTGGAAATAATTAAATTTCCCTAAGAAAAAGGACAGATTGAAATAGCCAAGTGCTGTAACGATCAAATTGGTAACCAATTAATTATTTTTTACATGTGCCCTGCTTCTTGTTTAAGTACCATCAGTAAGTTAACACAAAATTCAGTTAAGTTTTGTTTTTTTCACTCAATCAATTTCTACACAGCTTTTCTAGGTTGGGTATTGTGCTATTTGGTGTTGATAGAGTTATTAACAAGATAATCAAAGACTTACATTCTAGCAGCATTAATGAACTTTTACTATGTGCTCATTCATTGCAAAAAATGATCATACAGAATAAGTATTATTATCTCCATTTTACAATAAGGACATTTAGACTCAGGGAGAGGTTAAGTAATGTGTCTAATGCCTTGTGGTTTGTGAGAGTGGAGTTGAACCAAACCCCAAGTATCTCATCTTATCCCTCTGCTGCATGTAACTAGAACTGAATTCCATATGAAACAAGCTCTTCCTGAAAATTTAAGTCAGTGAGACTTTCTCACTGCTTAGTTTACTTTCTCTAATTTTTAATTGATATTTCCTCTTACAATATTCAAAAATTGGGTTTCATTATATATGTAGTCTCACTTCCAGTTTCTAATAATACTGTGTTTTTCTAACATGGAAGATTTTTTTTTCTAAAGCAATTGCTGACTTTTTGATAATGAGTCAACAGTGCCATCTTCTGTCTCTGTTCTCATCAGCCACTGGAAATAAAGCCTTAAAAGACTGGGTTAATGTAGATCAGGAACAGGAAGCAAGGAATCTGGAGAGTTTACAATCTTGGCAAAATGTACTACATCTTTGAACACTTGCAAAGAGACTAATTGTTTGAAAGGCTCGCAGGGCAGAGACGTGTTAAAAACAGTGCAGTGTGATTAGTTTCCTGAAACCTTTGAGTAGCCCTTCCAACAATGGAACCGAAGAAGGAGGAAGCAGGAGGGAGGAGACAATGACAGAAACAGGTGGCAAGAGGTTGTAATGATTTGGGACGCCGTAATTGATGGAATAAAATAAGCAACTCTCCTGTTTGTTCTACCAATTGTTTACACATTTCCTCCTGTCTTCACCTTTAGAGAAACATGACTGATCTTGGTAAGCACTTTTATCAAGCAAAAAAAAAATAAAAAGGAAAAGATACAAATGAAACAAAATATTAAGCCCTGAATTTTTTCCTTCTCTGCATGTGAAGCATAGTTATCAAAACTGAGGCATGTGAGAAAACTTAGATAAACATGAAAATCTTGCAGGATTGAACATGTAGCTGAGAAAACACTATTTTTTTTTTTTTTTGCAAATCTATCCTATTTTGGAAATGTATTTTTAGTCTCATCATACTTTCCAGCCATCTTGCAAAGTAAAAAAGATGAAAATTAAAAACTCAAAGGGTTTACCAGTACTTAGGTGAGTTCATTTGAGTATCTCCATTTCACAATGCTTATCTTTCATATACCTACGCTGGGTTTAAGCTTTCTGAATAGTAGCCACTTCGAGAAATATTTATGACGTTAATCATATTGCCCAGAATACAATTGTTCTTCTGAGGAATTTGAAGAAATGGTAGGAATCCCAAACAGATTTTCGAAGTTCTCTTAGACAAGGAACTCCAAACAGCAGCAAGGCAAAAGTATGAATGAAAGGTAGTTTTAATGCCTGTCTTTATAAGTGTGGCTTTTGTGAGGCTGCTGTTTTCCATAATTATTTTGCATACTTGAAGACGAAGCATGAACGGCAGCTACGAGTGGGCACAATACAATGTGTAACTGGAAAATTTTCTGTGTACCACCAAGGGAAAACTGCCACTTTACTTTTGCTGAATTATTGGCAATCTACTTCTTTGTGCCCATCTGCTTTTTTCAGCCTTTCATTAAAATAGTATTAGATGAGTTTTCTTACTATAAATTAGTGGTCAGTGCTGGACAAAGGGGATTGGAATTGGAGTTTTCTGAAATTTAACCAAACACCTTAACAAGATGTCTCCAAAAAAGCCAAGTATCTAAGGTTTGATGGGTTACCAGGCTTGCAAAGGATCTTCCATCTGTTTCTGAGGGCTTCACATGACAGTCCCTGACTTATGTTCCCTAACAGCCCACTCTATTTCACACTAGCCAGAGGTATTATACTTTAATTGTATCATATTAAACACACTCTAGAAAACCCAGAATTCCATGTTAATTCGTCAGTCAACACAAGAAACTTAGCTTCCTAAATTGGCATATCTATATTTAAAGATCATCAATGTCAACATTTTACTATTTCTCTAAGCAGGGCAGTTATCATGTAATTTCATAAGCATGAAGTAATAAAATTGATCTGAAAATGCATATACATATTTATTCTCCCTTTTACAAAACTAGAATGCTTTCTACAATTGTTTTTTAATAAAGTCATTTTCAAAATATACACAATGCAAATCATTATGGGGATCTTCCTTCTCTATTGCCTCCCTCTGGTTGTGGATAAAAACTGGTTTCCTGGGCAAGAGCAAAGGCAGAGACCAGGCTGAATCAAAGGAGCTGCAATTGCTATGAATTCTCCAAATCTCCTTACACAGATGCTCAGAAGGATGAGATTCTGCCATTTTGTACCCGAACATTCCTCCCAGCCTGTGATGCTGAAAGATTAAAGACTCCACGAGTACACACAACATGACTGATTGATTACACTGACTTCAGTGCAACTCACTGGGAGAAGCACGAGGCTTGAGCTTTAACCAGAAGCTCTCTCAAGCACATGGCAATCTTTCTATATCCAAGGGAGGCTTTCTTTTTAATTTCATAAACTCACTTTTATTTATGGCACAGACCCCTTCTAGACCCCTCCTCAGGACTTTTTACAAAGGGTGCCCATTAGACCACTTATATCATCTCCTCTAGTTGCTGTTTATTCTATTTGCATTTGTTTTTCTCATTTAACTGTAATCACCTTATGGTAAGGGTGTTGGTGGTGGTACAAGGAGTGGCATTGACACAACTCCAGCCTTAGGTGACACCTGACTTTTACTAACTTAATTTCCCTTGTGGTCTTACTTAATTCATCTTACTCCAGTGGTCAAAAGAATGATAAAATTTCCATAATTCTGCTTGTGTCCAATCTCTCTCTCTTTCTCTTCCTCTATCTCTCCCCCTCTCTCTCCCTCTCTTTCTCTTTCTTTTTTCTCTCCCCTGGGTCCATTTATTTCTCTTTTTAAAATCAGTAATTACCAAAGTACCTCTGAAATTTACTAATTAACTTCATTTCTGATAACTAAGCTTGATAACTTTTCTTCTTTCTATAAAATAAACTTATCCTCTGATACATACAACCCAATTAAATGTTGACTTTCTCAGTTGTAGAGCTATCGATTTCCTAAGATTAAAGTAGTCTTCCTCATTGAAATTTTAGAAAAGTCCAAGGCAATAATATGAGGACAAAGAGGGAGTTGCCATTGTCTGATTAAAGTCAACGGAATAGATAAATGTGTCAAAAAGAACAAGTGGCATAACGGATCATAAGTATAGCAAATCCACAACTTATTATGAATTGTCTGATGTACATAGTTTTGAACTTTTCTTTTAAATCTTTTTTAAATTAAGTCATTTAACTATGTATTTGAAGACAATGTTTCTCCACCTTTAAACTGCCTCAAAATCTTTCTAAGGACACCCACTAGGGACTTCTCTTAATGCATATACTGAGTTTTTTAAAGATGATATCTCTACCAGCAAGCAGACTGATGGCTTGCGTGTGTTAAATACTCTATTAGGTTATGGTGCATACATGCTGCATACATGTAATCCTAACAAAAAGCCTGTGAGGTATTAAAAGGTTTCTTTATGTACAAAGAAAAGATACTCCTGAGTATTATGATCCAGGCAGCGAGGCCAAGCTCTTTTCCAGTGTCTTCCAAAGAGGATGTAGCATGGTTGAAATTCAAGATCAGGTGTGTTCGCCCTGACTACCGTGTTCCCTCACATGAATAAAAATGATCTGTAGGGAGATACTAATTCTCCTTTTCAATAACCTTTTTCTTTAAACCATTTTTCTTTTTCAATAAACATAACTAACATAAGAGTGCTCGTAATCTTTCCTCAGAAATCGAGTTTATATTTTCCATTTATCCCTGCATTAACTAAGGTTTTAAAGGTAATGAATTCAGAATTTATTTGAATAACATAGTTTCAATAGAAGCACTAACAGCAGAAGCCCAGGGGCTTACAGACAACATAACCAGGTTGAACATTTCTCCTATCTTTTCTTCCGATTTATCACAAAATATTTACATATAATTAGTTTGTTGTATGTACATTTAATTATTGTGTCATGTGTTTTTACAGGTAATTTATTTATCTATGCATTAGTTTGCTCGGGCTTCCATGACAAAATATTGCAGACTGGGTGGCTTAACCAACAGGAATTTATAATTCTAGAGGCTGGAAGTCTGAGATGAAGGTGTTGGAAGGGCTGGTTTCTGCTGAGTCCCTCTCCTTGGTTTGCGGATGACTGTGCCGTTGCTGCCTCTTCTCATGGTTTTTCCTCTGTGCACACACACTTCTGATGTCTCTGTGTGTGTCCAAATCTCTTCTTGGGAGAACACCAGTCAGTTTGGTTTAGGGCCCTCCCTAGTAATCTCATTTTAACATAATTATCTCTTTAAAGGCCCTGCCTCTAAATACTGGCACATTCTCAGGTACTGGGGGATTATGGCTTCAACATATGAATTTTCAGGGGACACAATTTAGCCCATCACAGTCTGTATAATTGAAAAGCTATAGCACAGAATATTGAATTGCTATTTGTGTAAAGAAAAAAGGTCCCACTGTAGACATGGAAACAGTTCAAACAAAGGGGGACAGGAGTAGATAGGAGTGGATTAAAAGAAGATATGTTATTTTCTCATGGCAGAGAATATGTTGACTGCCTTAGAAACATAAACAAAATATGAGAAATATTTTATTCTAATACAACAATGAGCAAAACTGTACTTAAGCCAGACGGCTGGAATTAGGGATTCAGGAAATAAGCATTGCAATTATATGTCAATCAAGTGATAAACTTAAAACCCTGCAGTGTCAGTTAAGAAGAAAGATTATTAGATTTATCAAAACACCACAGTGGAATACAGGAAATATAGCCCAAATGACAAAGAGAATATTTGCAGGAACTAAGAATAATCATTTTAAAGGAAAATAGGTTGAAATTAAGTCAAGAATGTTGAACAATGATCATAATAAAAACAACTCTGAAAGCCTGTTAGAAACCTATTGCCTCTGGCTCCTTAGAATATTTAAGAATTTGATGTCCAGAAACAGTCATGGCCCTTTCAGGAATATAATGTCGGTTTATAATGAAATTTTCAAAAATTCATAAAAGATTCACAAGTCTAAAAAGAACAATGCAGATCCTCAGAGATTCTTACATTTAAATAAATGTAGAACATTTATGTATACTGCAGGACAGAACTTGACATATTATAAAGAATTTTCAAAGAGCAAATAATTAGTTTTGTCTTGAAAAATGTAAGATTTTAAAATGGTATGGTATCTTTAAAAATCTGATAGTTCACCTATAAAAAAATGTTGCTAGAAAAGATTGGTATCAGGGTGGGCACAACTTATAGGCAGGAGAATATTTTCTTATTTCTGGAAAAGAATCAGCATAGAAGGTGCTTTACATATTTCTTTAAATTCAAGATAAATGATACCAAATGTGGAACAGATGCTATTTTGGAGACAGGAATACATATGATATTAACAAAGAGAAATTAAACAGCAAAAGCAATTCATAAATAGTGACACATAAAGATGGGTACTACATTGCAAAATTCAAAGGAGTATGACGTGGAGAAATGAGAACTATAAATTGTCAGCCTCACAGGATTTGAATAGTCTTTTACATATATCAGAAAGAGAATTCAAGTTTTTATGTCATAAAATTCAGGGAACAGTTAGTTTGTTAACTCAGTGGCTTGATTGGGTATAGATACAGTCTTGGAAAATAACTCTCATGACAGTGCAGATTGAGGAGATGCTGGCAGCCAGAAACTATGTTATAGCACAGTGAAGAGTTTATGAGCATCTAAATAGAAAATTGGGCAGAGCCAATGGAGTGGAAGAGATGGATATATCTGACCCGCTAGAGTAGTGAGTGTCATGGTTATGAATGACACTCCAAGATGTGGAACATGGAAGAATTGCAGACAATTTTGTGATTTCTAACTGAGATGCTAAGCAGATGTTGATGCTATTAATCTAGGAAAGCAGGAAATAAATACAAAGTAAAGGGCAAGTCAGATTGCAAGACTGAAGAGAGGAGAAGCAGGAAAAAATATAATATGAAAATACAATATGAGTAAGGATTTGCACATAGTGAGCCTAAAGTTCTAGTTCAAATTGAGATAGAAAAGTCTAGGAGCTAATGAGAAAATGAGTATACTCATTATTACCATTTCCTTTCACACTTCTGATAGGATTATGCTTATCATATACTGTACATTATTTTTCTGATCCTGTTGGCCTTGCTCGTTGATAATCCTCTCATCTATATACCTCATCTCTCGCTTCTCATCTTCAGATAGCAAAAAATAAGTACAAAATACATACACACTTTTAGGTGAGGAAGTGTTTGTCAAATTAAATTAAAGAATTCGGCTTTCACTTTCTCATTGAAAAATACACTTCTATAAATGGAATGGCTTTAAGTATTTATTCATAGCTATGCATTCATCCTGCAATGCTTCAACTAGAAAAAAGGAAGAAGAAAATGAAAAGGGCCTAGGATATTAGTATCCTGTTGAAATAAAAGTAAAACTTCAATTTCTTTCCTGTCTAATGGAACACTTTTTGTCTCCAGTGAATGGCAGACCAGGCAGCCTTGTCATTGTAGAAGTAAAAGGGACGTGAGTGGCTTCAGCCTGGGATAGTGATGTAAAAGGAGATAATTAAAAAGAGAGATTTGATTATGTGAAACCAAAAAAAAATGCTCACTCTCTTAACATACTTTTTGTGCAAATGTGTTCCACTCCCTATGGGGACTGACTGAAATTAAACAGTGATTCTTTGGGAGCAAGGAGGATCTTCTACTTAAACAGAATCCTTATCAAGATCACCCCGGGATTTGACCGAGATGGTCAGGAACAGACCTTCATCAGAGAAGGTGTATAAAGACCAGTATGAAGTGCCCAGTGGAATCCGAACAGATGAATAACTCACTTAAAATATCTGTTAAAAGGAAACTTCCAGAATCTTGGGGGAAAAAAATCCCATTTAAATAGCTTTTAATCACCCCTGAGCATCCATGATATGCTTTCTCTGAGGAGCACAGGTATTTGGCCTCTCTGGGAGACTGCATTGCCTTCCTGGTAGAGTTTTTATTTTTTTATTTATTTTACTTATTTATTATTTCGTCTAGGTTTGGAGAGTCATCTTTAAATTTCTATGGAGATGTTATTCTCCCTTGCTGAGAAAAGATATTGAGAGTTACAGAAACTGATGTTATACTGTCGATTTGGAAGCAAGTATGTTCAAAAATATGCATTTGATATTCTGGAAGGTATGACTTGAGGAAGCTTCAGGGGTCTTAACTTCACATTTGCACCAATATTTTGAGCAGAGGAGGAGAAAGAAACAAAATAGAACCAGTATTCTTACCCCAACCAGTATTATTCAGTAGAACCTGAGTAACTCACTGTGAAATTCTATTGGGAGGACTGGACTTGGCTGCTTCAAAAAGGAAAATCATGGAGTCAGATAGATGGGATAAACAAGTTGTGTGAGACAAACAGACATGATTGCATGGTCCCTAGTAAAGAGAACTCTAGTGAATTTGCTGCTACAAACAAAAAGAGACAGAGAAAAATTATTTCCTTTATATTTCAGTCAATAACTACTCCATCAACCAAAAAGCCCACAGCTTTTGCTGCAAACCTCAGTGACATGTTGACCTTCAGCTTCTCCCACTGGGATGCACAATAATTTTTGTTTGAAAAATTGACTTTCCCATGATGAAAGAAAAGTGAGAAAAGAATTGTTTTATTCACCTGAGCAAAACCAGCATAACATTTCAGACCTTTGTCTTTTTTGTGAAACTCACCACTCCATTAAGATTGATCATGTCTATGAGGCTAAAAGTTATAGTCAAGAGCTTCTAATTTATGAAAAGAATAGCAGACCTTTCTTTTTAAAGTGATCATTTTCAACACGAACTAAATTTAAAATAGTATGTATTTGGATTTGGTAACTTATTATTCTTACTTTTGTATTTAAAATATCCTGTAAATTACTAAACTCTATAACATGCATATCATCAGTAACTAAATTGTTTTGAAATTCTGGCATCAGTTTAGAAGAAATTTCTGCATTTATAGGAGGTGTTAACATCTGTAAAGTTTAAAAATAAATATAACTCAAGATTTCATACTAAAAAATGTATTTTCAAAATTTACATTTTTTTAAAATAACTCGTGACAGTTTTTTTACAGAACTTGGTAATTTTGCTTCTACCACATCTCCAGGCTCACTTTGCATCCAGCACCTTCCTTGATCACCAGTCAAACTTTCATCTTTCTGTTTCTGGAGTTCACCAAGCTCTTTCCCAATTGAGGTTACTTATATATGTATATGTTTTGCCTGGGCTATTCTTCACCACACTGTTCATGTGGCTAATTCTTTTATTATCTTTAAAGGTCACCTTAAATGACAGGAATGTGTTACCTTTCCTGGCTCCAAATCCAAAATTAGGTCTTATCCCTTTATTACATTTACCCATAGATTTTCTTGATAGCACAGGGAAATAGAGTTTTATTCATCCTTGTATCCCCAGCACCTATCATATTATATAGTAGGCACCCAGGAAATATTCATTGCATGAATTAAGTAGAGATGGTCTGTGCTTTCAAAGAACTTTCAGTCTTCATAATGAATATAAATAATAAAAATATTAAATTAAATTGCATTATAAATGTTATATTAGGAAATACATATAGGATGCTTTCTAACCTGTACTTAGAGTAAAATTCAAAGTGGAATCTAAAGGATAAATATGAATCAACCAAAAAAGAAGGGTAGGTTTTCATCTACTTGTATCTAATAGATACATTTTTGTATTGAAAAAAATGTTTCAGGTAGATATATTTTATCCAAAATTGCTTCAGGCAAATAGAGATACAAAGGGCCAATGGAGAATTATCTCAACATGGTTAAGCCTAGTGGACATCACTGTCCTGCCTAAGATAAAGACTGTCACTGAAGACCCTGCTTATCTTTAACATTGTCCATTTTGTAGTGCCATCAGGAGGTATTAAAGAAAACCCTCAGGGTACAGAGTAACAACAACCATATATGCTTGTACCAGCTACTTCTTGTCAGTAACTAAAAGAAAAATATTGTATATTGTTTTATAGAGTGCTTAAATGACATTTACCTACACAAATATCAAATTGCAAACACTTTGTGCTTCAAAACTTATTTATAAGTTTTGTTTATATATTATTTATAACCTCGGTATGATTTAAACCATATAACAAAATAGCAAGAGAGGAAAAGAGAACTACAAAAGAACTGCAAGACAGACAGAAAATAATGAACAAAATGGAAATAGTAAGTCCTTCCATTGGAGGAACACATAGACTGAAAGTGAAGGTATGGAAAAGATGTCTCATGCAAACGGTTACCTAAACAGAGAAGAAGTAGCTGTCCTTAGACAAAATCAACATTAAATCAAAAACTGTCACAGGAGACAAGTACATTATGTAATGACTAGAGGGTCAATCACTCCAGAAAATACAACAATTAAAAATATATATGCACAGAACATCAGAGTGCCTAATATCTAGAGCAAACTTTGACAGACCTGAAGAAATAAATAGGCATTAATACCAGAATATTTGGACACTTCAATACCCCACTTCCAATAAGGGATAGAAAGTCCAGAAATAAAGTCAATAAGGAAATAACAGGCTTGAACAATACTATAGACCAGGGACCCCCAATCCCTGGGCCACAGACCAGTGTTGGTCCATGTCCTGTTAGGAACTGGGCCACACTGCAGGAGGTGAGCTGTGGGACAGGTAGCATTACAGCCTGAGCTCTGCCTCTGTCAGATCAGCAGTGGCATTAGATTCTCACAGGGAATGAACCATATTGTGAACTGCACATGGTAGGGATCTAGGTTCTGTACTTCTCGTGAGAATCAGAAACCACCCCCGACCCTCCCTTCGCATGGAAAAGCTGTCTTACATGAAACCAGTCTCTGGTCCAAAAAGGCTGGGCACTGCTACTGTAAACCCAATGAAACTAATAGACATATAGAGAACATTCCACCCAACAGCAACAGAATATACATTCTTCCAACGTGCACATGGAAAATTTTCCAGGATACATCAAATGATAGGTCACAAAAACAACCCTTAGCAAATTTAAGAACATTGAAATCTTACTAAGTACCTTTTCTGACTACAATAGAATTAAACTACAAATAAATATCAGAAGAAAAGCCAGAAAAGTCACAAATATTTGGGAAATTTAAAAACACACTTTTGAGTAACCAATTGGTAAAAGAAAATCAAAAGTGCTATTAGAAACTATTTTCAGCAAACAAAAATATAAGCACAACATAGCAAAACTTATGGTACACAACAAAAGCAGTACTGGGAGAACATTTTATAGCAATAAATGTGTACAATAATACAGAATAAAGACCTCAATAAACAACCTAACTTTCCATCTCAACAAACTAGAAATAGAAGAACAAGCTAAGCTCAAAAGTAGCAGAAGAAAGTAAATAATAAATGTTAGAGGAGCAATAAGCGAAATAGAGACTAGGAAAAAATAGAAAAAAATAGTGAAACTAAAAATTGTAATTTTAAAAAGATCCAAAAATTGACAAACCATTAGCTAAACTAAGAAAAAAGAGAGAATGCTCAGATAAATAAGATCAGAAATGAAAGAGGAACCATTATAAATGATGCCAAAGAAATACAAAGGGTAAGAAAAGACTTAATGAATAATTATACACCAACAAACCAGATAATCTAGAGAAAATAGATAATCCCTATAAATATACAACTTATCACAACTGAACCATGAAAAAAACAGAATATCTGAAAAGGCCTATAACTATAACAAAATTCAATCTGTAAGTACAACCTCTCACAAAGAAAAGCCCGGGAAGAGATGGCTGCAATGTAGAAATCTACAAAGCATTTAAAGACTTAATGTCAATCATTTTCAATTTCTTCAAAAAAGATTCAAGAGAAAACATTTACAAATTTATTTTATGAGTCCAGCATTACTTTGATTCTAAAGTCAGACAAAGACACTTCAAGGAAAGAAAGCTACAGGCAAATATGCCTGATGAATGTAGATGCACAAACCCTCAACAAAATACTAGCAAACTTAATTTAACAGCACATTGAAACAATCATACACAATGACCAAGTGATATTTATCTCTGGGATCCAAGGATGGATCAATATACACAAATCAATAATGTGATTTACTACATTAACAGACTGAGGAATAAAAATCATATCCTTTAGTCAATAGATGCAGAAAAAGAATTTGACAAAATTCAACAATCACTCATGGTGAAAACCAAATCAGATATAGAAGGAACGTGCCCTAACTTCATAAAGGCCCATATCTGACAAGCCCACAGTTAACATCATACTCAGTGATAAAAAAACAAAAACTTTTCCTGTAAGATCAAGAGCAAGACAAGGATGCCCAGTCTCGCCACTTTTATTCAACATAGTACAGGAAGTCCTGGTTGGAATAATTAGGCAAGAAAAAGAAACAACAGACACCCAAATCAGGAAGAAACAAGCAAAATTATCTCTGTTTACAGATGACAGGAATTCATATGTAGAAAACCATAAAGAATTTCCCCCAAAAAACCCTATTAGAACTAATAAGCAAATTCAGTAAAATTGCAGAATACAAAATCCACATATGAAATAATCAGTTGCATTTCTATACACTAATAATGAACTATCCAAAAGAAAATTTTTTAAAAAATCTCATTTACAATGGAATCAAAAAGAAAAAGATAGGAATTAACTTATCTAGGGAGATAAAAGACATACATTGGAAAATAAACATTGATGAAAGAAATTAAAGAAGACACAAATAAATTGAAAGCCATCTTGTGTTTATGGATTACAAGAATTAATATTGTTTGAATGTTCATACTACACAAAGGAATCTACAGATTCAATGAAATTCTTACCAAAATCCCAATGGCATTTTTTACAGATATGGAAAAATCAATTCTAAATTTATTTGGAATGACAAAAGACCTCAAGCAGTCAAAACAATCTTGAGAAAGTAGAAGAAAACTGAAGGCAACACACTTCCAAATTTCAAAATGTGTTACAAAACTATGATAATTAAAATAGTATTGTGCTGGCATAAAGACAGACATACATTCAAGTGGAATAGAATAGAAAAACTAATGCATTTTTAAAAATTAATTGATTATGGACAATAGTGCCAAGAATACACAATAGAGAAAATATAGTCTCCTCAACAAATGGTTTTGGAATAACTGGATATCTACTTGCAAAGAATGAAATTAGACCCTTATCTTACTCCATACACAAAATCAACTCAAAATGGACTGAAGACCTAAAGATAAGACCTGAAACTATAGAACTCCTAAAAGAAAAGCATAAGGGGCCGGTGCGGTGGCTCACGCCTGTAATCCCAGCGGGAGGCTGAGGCAGGAGGATCACAAGGTGAGGAGATCGAGACCATCCTGGCTATCAAGGTGAAACCCCATCTCTAATAAAAATACAAAAAAATTAGCCGGACGTGGTGGCAGGCGCTTGTAGTCCCAGCTACTCAGAAAGCTGAGGCAGGAGAATGGCGTGAACCGGGGAGGTGGAGATTGCAGTGAGCCGAGATCACGCCACTGCACTCCAGCCTGGGCGACAGAGCAAGACTCCGTCTCAAAAAAAAAAAAAAAAAAAAAGGAAAAAGAAAAACAAGGAAAAAGCTCCGTGACATTGGTTTTGGCAATGACTTCTTGGCTATGACACCAAAAGCATAGGCAACGAAAGCAAAAACAAACAATGGAACTACATCAAGCTAAAACATTTCTCCATAGCAAAGAAAACAATTAGCAGAGTGAAGAAACAACCTATGGAATAGGAGAATTTGCAAGCCATGCATATGAAAAGTGGTATATCCAAAATATATAAGAAATTCATTCAACTTCATAGCAATAAAACAAATAACCCAACTGAAAAATGAGGGAAGGACATGAATAGATCTCTCTCCAAAGAACATATACAAAGACCAACAGGTGTGTGGAAAGGTGCTAATATCACAAATTATCAGTGAAATGCAAATCCAAATTGCGATGATATATCACCTCACACCTATCAGAATGACTATTATCAAGAAAAAAAACACAAGACAATAAGGGTTGATGAAGATGTGGAGAAATTGGAATCTTTTTACACTCTTGGTAGAAGTGTGAAACGTTACTATGAAAACAGAACGGAGTTTCCTAAAAGAATGTATTAGAATTGAATTACCATATGATCCATCAATCTCACTGTAGGGATTGTATATCCCAAATTGATATCCAGAAGAATTGTAATTAGGATATCAAAGAGATACTTGTACCCCGATGTTTGTTCCATTTACAATAGCCAAGATGTGGAAACAACCTAAATGTCCATCAAAGGATAAATGGATAAAGAAATGTGGTATATACACACAATGGAATATTATTCAACCTTACAAAAGGAAGAAATGCTGCAATATGCAACAACGTTGAAGCTAAGTGAAATAAGTCTGTCACAAGAAGATCAATACTGCATGATTCCAATTCTATAAGGTATCTAAAATAGCAAAACATAGAAGCAGAGAATAGAATAGAATGGTGGTTGCCAGGGCCAGGGGATAGGGACAAATGGGAAACTGCTATTCGATGGGTATTAAGTTTCAGTTATGCAAAATGACTGAGTTCTTCAAATCTGCTGTATAACATTGTGCCTGTGGTAACAATACTGTGTTCTACACTTAAGATTTTGTTGAGAGTAGGTCTTGTTTTAAGTGTTCCCAAGCATAATTTTAAAAGAAAGAAAGATGGCATCCATCAATCTCCAAAGTCTATCCTTCCACTTAGTGATCTAAAAGAAAGATGGATTGTATTCGCCACGATTGAAGCAGAAAAGTGTACAGGAAGATTTTAGTTAGCCTAACTGGATCCTTGTGCCCAATCTCTAAGCAATCATTTTTTCCATAGAGATACAATGTTATATGGGACAAGCCTAGGCCTCAACCCAATCTTGCTGCCAAGAAAAGTGAAGCATGAAAACTGACATTTCATCAGGTCCACAAGTGAAAACTATTGGAAAGGTTCAGATAAAGAGGGATGAAGAATCTATAGCCTCCACTATTTATTTATTTATTTTTTATTCATTTATTTTTTTGAGACAGAGTCTTACTCTGTCGCCCAGGCTGGAGTGCAGTGACGCGACCTCGGCTCACTGCAAGCTCCGCCTCCCAGGTTCACGCCATTCTCCTGCCTCAGCCTCCCGAGTAGCTGGGGCTACAGGAGCCCGCCGCCACGCCCGGCTTTTTTGTATTTTTAGTACACACAGGGTTTCACCGTGTTAGCCAGGATGGTCTTGATCTCCTGACCTCGGGATCCGCCCACCTCAGCCTCCCAAAGTGCTGAGATTACAGGCGTGAGCCACCGCGCCCGGCCGCCTCCACTATTTATTAGACTTCAGTTGGAATTGCCAGAAATAACTAAATAAATGCCAATGTGTGCAACCAACACCATTAGAATTAGAAAAAGAAAATGAAAAAATTGGATTGGATAGAGAAAATTTTCATTTATTTTTACAGTCAGATGAGTATGAAGCACTGAAAATCCAGAGGCACAAGTAAGAAGTAAAAAGAAAATTCAGGAGTTCAGAAAGGTACAAGAAGGCTGTTCAGTGTTGCCTATGTTGAAATACTGTCTCCAATTTTGGCAACAAGTAAAATGCTGATGGTTTTTATGAAATATCTTTATTAATTTTGTAGCCATAAACTTCATCTTTTCATAATTAAATCTAGTATTCCCACCCCTGTGGTCATACATCTCCTGGGAAACTAGTATATTCCTCAACAAATTCCAATCCTATATTAAGAAAAGTAAAAAGCAAAGAAGGAAAATAAAGATATGCATATGTAACTATCTCAAATTTCATCTTCTGGCTGTCCTCTTTCCTAAGCATCTTCTAAAGTGTTATGGATTTAATGTCTCTTTTTAAGAGGTCTTTAAAACAGAATGAAACTTTAAAGCTCAATTTTGTGCCTTCTTGAAGCATAAAAATAATAAGCAGTTTTGCAAAAACACAGACTATGCTAGTTTTTATTTTTCTCTAAAGCATGTGGTAGAAAGAACCAACTTTCTTTGGAAATAAATGTTATATTTTGTTCCTTCATTTGTCAGCATGGTTTAGTGATTGTTTCGTTCAGGTTGTATGGGAAATCTCAAGGTGAGTTATCTCCAATCAAAGAAGTTGAAGTGACCTAAGCAAGAAAGCACATTTTGTGCCTTACAGTATACTCACTTGTCTCTTTAGGGAACTAACTACTCATTTCCTTGTGTTCTCAAAACGTGGCCATTTAAAGAAACTTAATTATAATAATTTTGTAAACATTTCCTTCCTCATGTACTCATTAACTTAGATGGAATTGAAACTTTTTATAGATACCACTATGACTAGAGTCACACATATTACACATAAGTAATTACAAAGTTAAAGTTAGAACAAAAATAATATATTTATGACCACTTCATTTGCTGGTTAATTAGTGGAATTTGGAATCAGGTCAGGCTACAGAGCAATGGTGTACTAGCTAAATTTTTTAAAAATAGTGTTTGAATTTCTTCAGATTCTAGAATTTTTTTATTTGTTTTAAGAGTGTTTAATGTGCAGGAACTATCTCATGTATTCCAGTCACTATTGCTTCAAAGAAAAAGAAAAGTATCTGCATTGATGGTCAAAACCAAAATTTTAAAAATAGAAGAAAAAATATATAAAATTGCTTGAGTGAGGGTACAATAGAATTAATAGATTAATGAATGAACTAAAAACTACATTAATATATTAATATGTAAAATGAATCTATCTGTTAGCCCATTGTTAAAAAATGATTTTCTTCCTTTCGATTCTCTTCTTCCAGATTCTTTGTCTTTTTCTATGGACCAATTGTCATCTTTCCTAACAGAAGACTACGCATCCCTGTGATACCTCTCAGATGACAACAAAGTTCTGTAAGGTTTCTTGTGTGGAAATGACAGGACACATCCTCAAATCCTGCCAGCATTTGTTTAGTAAGAGTGCTGGATCATTTGAGGGTTACTTTTAAATTTCCTGAGCCAATGGTCCTCCTAAGCCAACTATTCATTCTGTGTAATGGCTGATGAAATTAACAAGGGACAAACCAAATCCCAATTGCCTATAGAGCGGTACATCAAAGATATGCATATCCAAAACATAGATAAAATCATATATACTATCTTGTAGTGTGGTTTTTGTCTGGAGATGTTTTCATTTTTTACTCTTTCTAGACCAATAAGCCACACAGAATGATTTACATTAGTGTTGATGGGCCAGATGGTTTTGAACAACATTGATACCATTTAATAGGCATAAGATATACTTTAGGTTTTATTTAATGTTTATGTCATCTTTATGTAACTATATTAGGGTAAATAAATGATAAATGCTTACAATTTTCAAGTAAATAGTAAAATAGTCAATAGTTCTTGGATATGCAATTGCAGTATTCCACAGTCAACAGAATCAGTATTAAAACCAGCTTAACTTCTATGACAAGCAAATATAAGTACCCTAGAAATATGTTGGCTTTCATAATGAAGCTATATTAATATACAACATTGAATGTATATTCTACAAATTGAAATTTTTAAAGAAATAAGCTGGCTGCATTTATAGATCTCCTAGGAGACTTCCACTCCATGTGACCTTAGAGATCATCATTTTTATCATTTTACAGTGTAGCTTACCATCACATTTTAAAGCGCATTTACCATCACATTTAATTTAATAAGAATAGTGTCTTTAAGTTGGATTTAATTATCCCAATGTTTCAAGTGATAAAATTGGGGATCTGAATTTTAAATAATTTGTTTCAGGACACAAAGATACAAAGTGGCATGAGCCATGATTTAAACACAAGTGTGTTGTAGGAGACTGCATCGCACAAGGCGCTAAAGTGACCTGCATAATTTTTTTTCTTTTTTTATATGGAGTCTCGTTCTGTCACCCAGGCTGGCGTGCAATAGTTCAATCTCGGCTCACTGCAACCTCCGCCTCCCAGGTTCAAGCGGTTCTCCTGCCTAAGCCTCCAGAGTAGCTGGGATTACAGGCACGCACAACCATGCCCGAGTAATTTTTGTATTTATTTTATTTTATTTTTTTTAGTAGAGACGAGGTTTTCCCACGTTGGTCAGATAGGTCTCAAACTCCTGACTTCAGGTGATCCGCCTGCCTCGGCCTCGGAAAGTGCTGGGATTACGGGGGTGAGCCACTGCGCCCGGCCCCTGCATTAATTTTTTAGGCATTCACTCCACAAAGGGCTCACTGGCATTTTTCACAACACTGATTTGTTTTCTTGCAAAGATGTAGACATTCCTTTCTGCCACACATCTATGGTCTACAATAAGAACCCAGTGTTTCTCCAGCATGGATAGAGTGAGGCTTGTAATTTCCTCTGTGAAGCAACTTAGCTGATGTGGAGGAATGGTTCTCAGCATACACTTGATTATTTTTCTTCATTTTCAAAGTCAAGCATATCTTTTGCAAAATGCTGCAGGCTTTTTGTTTGTTTGTTTGTTGTTTGTTTTGCTTTTTACTCTTGCCACAACACAAATGTTTTACTCCTTTTCTAACACAAATTTTCATTACCTACATCCAATGTACTGAAAGGCTTAAAAATGAAACACTGTCTAAGCCTTTGAGATATAAAATTGAATTAGATTTACACTACACAAAGCTGTCTCTCTATAGTCCACATAATCTCTCCCATCTCAAAAATTACATTGCTAATATATATGAACTGAAAGAGAAGCCAATTCAGGAAGGAGCTGATTCAAGAAGTGCAAAGAGATAATCCCATTACAATGAGTTTTCAACTCAATTAAATAAGGCTCAAGAGACTGGGCAAATTATTGGGGCTATTCATATCATTTCATTAGAGCAAAATTTCACTGTAATGAAAAGAGAAGTTATTAGCTAGACCTTGAAAAGGCAATTCAAGATTATTTTTCTAATGTGATTTGACTTGTTTATAAGTATTTCTTAAAGCTAGTTTTATCTGTCATAGCTTATTATAAGAGGTTTCATTATTGTTTTTCAAGAAATGCCAAATTGCTAAATCTCAATGGGGAGCTTCATGTGTATATGTCTGAAGAGCAAAGACTACATGCATTTTTATTTGTATGTATGTTAATAAACACCATTTTCTGAAAAATTACAGTTCAATAGACTATTCATAAAACATCAAAATTTTATCTCAGTGAATAAAATACTAAGTATTCAAATTATTATACTTTATTCCAAAATTTCAACTAACAAAGATTTTCTGTTTATTAGCATTCTTACTGATATGTATCTATTCGAGATGAAATTTGGGAAGAGGGAGGGAGCTGGTCGGAGGTGATAGGATCATGGGGTTGGTTTCCCCATGCTTTTCTTGTGATAGTGCGTGAGTTCTCACAAGAGCCGATGGCTTAAAAGTGTGTCACTTCCAATCTCTCTCTCTCTTGTGCATGCATGCATGCACACGTTCTCTCCTGCCACCTTAGGAAGAAAGTTCTTGCTTTCCCTTCACCTTCCACCATGATTGTAAGTTTCCTAAGGCCTCCCAAGCCATGGAGAACTGTGAGTCAATTAAACATTGTTCCTTTATAAATTATCCCATCTTAGAAGACACCCTGTCATCCCATGTGAATGGAATTTATGCTCCTCCTTCTCTGTAGGCTGGGTCTTTGATTTGTCTGGCTTCCTTGGATGCAAATCCAGGACAGTCTGCCATCAACCCTGACATTGGGATGGACTATAAAACAGTCTCTCTCCACAATTAATTCCAGTGTTCCAACATCACAAACTGGAGAATGACTATAGTAGCCTGATATTTTTCCTCCTATGTGTATTCATTCCCTACAAATATTGATATCTTCTAAATAAACCGTAAAATTCTTTATATATAGCACATATATGACCCTTAGAAGTGTTTATTACAAGAACTTAGGTGGAAGAGTGTGTATCAGTTTGTGCTAGCTGTTCCCACGTAGCAGCTCTTTTGTAAGGCACAAGGTAAGTAGCTAGATTTGTGTAACAGAACAGAACGCCCAGAAACAGACTCAAGTCCATTCCATGTTTGAATTACACATAACATCAAAAAATATTTTAATTAGGAAGAAAGTGAGAGATGATTCAACAAACAGTGGCAGTACACTTGGTTGACTCTTGTAGACAGAAAAGCACAGTTCAGAGAAGGTTCTGGCGTCATTCTCAGCACAATGTGAGTCCTAGCTTTGTAACCTAGTAACTCAGTGACTTTTGGAAGATCATTTTAACTTATTCTGTTTCAGTTAGCTTGTCTTTAAAAGGAAAATAAGCCTACCAGCTGAAGACATTGGGAGAGTTTAACAGTATCATAAATACATACTACTTAGGAAAGCACTTGACCATAGTATAAATAAATGCCTAATAAATGTTAAATCTCATAATAATTAGAAATATTAAATCATGGTCTGGGCACCATGGCTTACGCCTGTAATCCTAGCACTTTGGGAGGCCGTAGCAGGCGGATCACCTGAGGTGAGGAGTTCAAGACCAGCCTGGCCAACATGGTGAAACCCCATCTCCACTAAAAAAATGCAAAAAAATTAGCTGGGCGTGGTGGCAGGCACCTGTAATCTCAGCTACTTGGGAGGCTGAGGCAGGAGAATCGCTTGAACTCGGGAGGCAGAGGTTGCAGTGAGCTGAGATCGCGCCATTGCACTCCATCCTGGGCCACAAGAGCAAAACTCTGTCTCAAAAAAAAAGGAAATATTAAATCATTAACTCACTAGATGAATTGCAGTTAAATGTAAATGTATAAGGCAATAAAATAAAATAATGTTTTAGCCTAGGGTAAATATCTTTCTAAATATGGTATGAAAAGCTGGAAACTAGGGGAAAAAAGGGTAAAAAGTACCTTCTTAGTGTTTTTTAGATTATTTTTGACAAAATACACATAAAGGTCTTAGTAGATTATGTGCAGTGGGGTGTATTCAATAAGTATTAGCTTAAATATAATTTGTGGAAACTGGGAGGGACAAATAAGGGACATTGGAGATAATAAGACAAATAAAACCAAATTGAAGTCTTTTACAACCTATTAAAGATAGTGTATCATATAGGGAACATATGGGGCTCTACAATTGAAGTACCAAATAACAATATATGCACTGTGGTCCCAAATTGTAAATTTCTATATTTGTATGTGAATGTGTCTGTTTGCATGTGGGTGTGTGTATGCCCACAAGGAGGGACAGATCTAAGAATATATTTAAAATATTGTTAATAATTTTCTCTAGTAGAATTACGGATATCTTTAACGACTTCTTTATATTTTAGAGTTTCTCTAATTTTCTACTGTGGATAAATATTATTTGCATAACGAGAAAAGTAATCTTAAGCTAAAATAGCAAATGTCTTTCGAAAAGCAATGAGAGAATATAATCCAGTTGAAGAAAACTGTTAAGGCATTTATTAAAGTTCAGATAAACTTGTCACATGGGGAACAATGTCTCAGATGTTATCCTATTTGCAGCCTAACAAGACAGCCTGTCATATTTTCATAGATCCTGGCAGAAAGATGTGAAGTTTCTGGGTCAGTTTGTTACACACAGCTATAGCAGGATTCAGAGTAACATTTTGCCCTTATTTGCTGAGCCCCAATTCCCACAGGGCAACATGATGAGGGTCAAGTGTTTCCTACTTACAGTGGGATGAATTACAGAACACTGATATTAGGAAGTCCATGATCTTATATAGATACTGCCTTGCAAATTGGCCCAACCTCCTCTCCAGAGAGAGACATTACCTTTATGAACCTGGAATTTAAATCTGCTCCAGGGAGGAGAACATCCTCACCTTTCAAGACTATTTGCTTTTACAAGCATCTTGCAAAGAAAATCTAGAGAAAATTGGCTGATAATGGCTTTGTTCAGAAAATTAGACTTGCAGAAATGTGAGAGATCACAAGAGAATTGTCTCCCAACAAAACCATCTCGCTAATTTGTAAAGACATGCAAAGTGAGTCTAGTTGAAGGTGTAAATCCAATATAGCACTTTATATTTAGAAATTGCTATTTTGGACTGAAGCCTATTCAGTCTTTGATAGCGTATATTTTTCTGGTTAGCTTCCTTTTAGCCTACTTTTCCCCATAATTTACCTGTTCATGAGAAATACTACAAATGTTTGAGTTGATAGTCTGGTTTTAATACATATCTTTATTATGATTCAACATTTTAAATAAATTCTATGAAGTTTGTTTTGTTGTTGTTATTTGTTTGTTTTTGTTTGAGACGGAGTCTTGCTGTGCCTCCAGGCTGGAGTGCAGTGGCATGATCTCGGCTCACTGCAACCTCTGCCTCCCAGGTTCAAGCAATTCTCCTGCAGCAGCCTCCAGAGTAACTGAGACTACAGGCACATGTCACCATGCCCGGCTAATTTTTGTATTTTTAGTAGAGACCGGGTTTCATGATGTTGGCCAGAACGGTCTCAATCTCTTGACCTCATGGTCCACCTGCCTCGGCCTCCCAAAGTGCTGGGATTACAGGAGTGAGCCACTGCACCTGGTCTTATTTTTTATTTATTTATTTATTTATTTATTTATTTATTTTTTTGAGACGGAATTGCTCCCTTGCCCAGGCTGGAGCGCGATGGGGCAATCTCAGCTCACTGAACCTCTGCCTTCCGGGTTCAATTAATTCTGTCTCTGCCTCCCAAGTAGCTGGGACTACAGGCGCCTGCCACCGTGCCTGGCTAATTTTTTTGTATTTTTAGTAGAGGCAGGGTTTCACCTTGTTGGTCAGGCTGGTCTTGAACTCCTGACCTCAGGTGATCCACTGGCCTCGGCCTCCCAAAGTGCTGAGATTACAGGTGTGTGTCACCACGCCCAACCTGAGGGGGTTTTTTTTTTTTTTTTTTTTTTTTTTTTTTATGTAAAAGGAAACTATAGCAAACGACTATTTCTGGAAATCCATAGAAACAAAAAAGAGTTGCTGGCCAGATTTACTAAAGGTTCTATATGTCTTTATCAGCTTTCTTTATTTTACTGCTCACTCTTGTCCACAGGCATTCATAAAGCTTTATCTAGACAAATTCACAAAGACAGCAACAATAATGATGCTGCCGTGGAAAAGGCCAAAGGTAAAGAAGAGGTAAGAAAAGCAAAGCTTTGATATATTATGCTAAGTGTAAAAGACTGGTTTCATTGTTGTTTTGCTCTTCATTTCAAAACTGCACACCCTACAATAATTTTAGGTGAAAAATCAATACGGATAAAAAACAAAACTACTTTTTTAAAACCTTTGTGCCTGTAATTTTTTATTATTCTTTCAAAAATAAATATATGCTTGACCCCTGCCCACTGGAAGTCACGGAATTTCACCTTCATTGGTAATTTGTAGATACAAGAGTTAGCTGACTGCAGAGAGCATTTTCACCCTGATGTGACAGGGATTTATAAATGTATTATGAAATATCAGCCACGGGTGATATTCACTAAGGAGGAACTATGAGCTATTCACTAAGGAGGAACTATAAGCTAATTTTTGTGAATACAAACAGGTTTTCTTATAGTCAATTGGAGAGAAGGAAAAAAGTAGTGGCAATACTTCAGGAAAAGAACTGTGTATAACTTGAGCCAGAAGCTGATTTCAGAGGAAGTGAGTAGCAGAGCACAGCATGACACTCTGAAGGCTTAAATGCAAAGCATTCATCTGAGTTCCCGGAAGACCAGAAAGTCAACCTTCTTGACATCAGCCTATCCTGGAAGCAGAGTGAGCAGAAAAAGGCCTAGGGTTGGTGTTTATATTAACAAAGTGACTCCTTCTTTCTCCAGGAACCATTAGCCATGCTAGCAGATAGTTAAAGGAGTGGGTTTGGGCAAGATTCTTACTTCCCACAAGCAACTATGCATGATACTAGATTTACTTGTTTCCTGTAACTTCAAGTTGAGAGTGTATATAAGGGAGGAGCATTAGAATGTCCAGATTGTATTTTTCTGAGATATTATGAATATAGCTATGAAAAAGTGTCTCCCAATCACCTATTTGTGTATTAACAAAGCCATATTTTGAGGCACTAAAATAATAACAATTATAGAGTCACTAAAAGAATAATTCAATCCTCCTGCCTCTCTCTTTAGTGACAGATTTTCTTTCAATGTGTCTCTCCTTCTCCTATCCCTCAGTCTGCAATCAAGCTTCCTTCAGAAAACATTTTAAAGATTCATTTAATACGTCATGAAAAAAAATGAGTGGGTGTTTTCCTGTTCAAGAAAGACTAAAATTTCTGCATTTATAAACTTTAAGTGTCTTAATAGAAATTATAGAAACATAAGTAATTATCCAAACTTCATTTATACATTGATTTTTTAAAGCAGACATGACCTTAAGATTCTGGCGGAAGTATGGCAAGATTTTATTTATTTATTGACATATGCACTTCAATGTCCATTTTATTCCCTCTCTTCCCTTTGGTTCTCTTAGATATTTCTGTTCCCAGAATTCAGGTGCAGCCCCTGGTGACTAACTGGTAAATCACTTCAAACATGGAGCAAATGAGGGAGAAACACCAAAATCACCGACCTCCTTTCAGAATTTCTTCTTGGCTTTTTTTTTCTTGAGACCAAGTCTTGCTCTTGTCCCCCAGACTGGAGTGCAATGGCGCGATCATGGCTCACTGCAACCTCTGCCTCCAGGGTTCGAGCGATTCTCCTGCCTTAGCTTCCCATCTCCTCGGCTCTTTAGCATGTGTACCTTCACATCTCCCCATCTTATCTCACTACTAGGTTTCCTCTTTCTAGCCTGTTTGAACGTCTTCATACCTCTACATCAACCCACCACTGTAGAAATTCCAAGTAGGAGTCATTTTTCTCTATTGTTTTTGCATTCATCTCAACGAATAGGCTATTTCTTTCTGGCTTAAATATTCTTTAATTCAGCCTCAAGGTTTTGCTAATTATATTCATCTAATCGAATAAATTTATTGAACAATAGCTGTGCATCTTTCATTACACCAGACATTGCATTCATTCTTCAAAATTATACCTCTCTCTGCATACCCTCCCCTAAAAATTATCTCTCTCTTGAAAACTATATATCCCTGGAAATAGTGTGCATATATGTAACATATATTTTACATACATAAAACATATGTCACATATATGTGCAAATTCTTGTTCAGAATTTCCAGCTCTCTATTGCACATCTTGCTTATCTCAAATTCAATGGCTCAAAACTAAACTTATCATTATTCTATCAACCCAACTTCTCCCCATGACCCCATGACTTTTTATCTCTGTAATGGTACTGTCATCATTCCATAGACAAGGATTTGAAATTTTAAGTGTCTTGAATTTTTCTTTCTTTATTTCCATAGGCAGTCAGTTGCTGATTAATCACACACACACACACACACACACACACACACACACATCTGCACACAGGCATATACATGCACATGTGCATTTCAAATATTGTTTAAATCTGTCCTCTTCTTTCCATTCTGTGGTAAATATGTTACAAAAATGGTCCAAGTTCTTTATCCTTCCCTGCATCATGTTTTTCTTCTTGTGGTTGTGAGGTCTCTGACTCAGGTTGGTCATGGGACTCGCTTTGTCCAGTGAGAAGTTAGCAGATTGGGACTTAAATGGTTTTTAAAAAGTACTTGTGATTTTCCACTTTGCTCTTGTCCTTGTGCCACTGGCATGAGAAGTGCCAAGTCTAGCCTGGGAGAGGATGTGAGGTTTGTGACTCCCCATCAGGTTGCCCTAGTTATTGCAGTGAAGGCCATCCCAGAGCAGCATCAGCCAGGTGGTCACAAGACATGTGAGTGGTCCCAGCCAAGATCAAGGGAGCTGAAGAGTCACCTGGCTAGTCAGTTGATGAAAATAAACAGTTCGTATATCATTTTGTGATCATTTGTAACAACTAATAATCTATATACTTTCATTCTACCATGACTTAATATAGGGCTTTACTATATTGACCTAGGCTATTACAGCATTCATATGCAAACTAACCTTTTACCGAACATTCTTCCTCTAATTCACCTTTCCCAATACTGGTGGTTCATTTTTCCTTTTAGATAATAAATAATAAGATATTCCTTCTTAAAATCCTAAACTAATACTCTCTTGCCTATCAAGTCAATCCAAATTCCCTACCCTTGGCATTAAAGGCCTTTTGACACTACCTCTCAATGGATCATTATTTGTAGCATTTCTTCTATGCAGAACACACTTCCTCCTCCACCACCATGTTTACAAATAACACCCACCCTTCACGGCAGAATTGAAATCCCACTTTCTTCTTGGTTAACCAGCCAAGAGTGATTTCTTTCTTTTCTGATCTAACTTTTTTCTTTATACATGCCTTACAGCATTGACCACATTCTGATTTATAAAATAATTGACACGGCACAAGTCTTATCTCACTTTATATCCTGATTTATACTTAAGGGCAGAGATCTGAGCCATCCTTTACTCTTCCTCAGCTACTCTTTCTGTATGTTCCTTTCTGTATCTTGTCATGACTACTACTGCACCCCCTCCATAACTTCAAGCTTCCCAGTCTCCAAGCACTAGCTCCTCTCTCCTCCCAGATCTCAACAATTCCTCCATCTCATCAGAACTTTCAATTCTATACTCCTATACCTTTTCAATGCCCAGTACCATCTTTTTATGACTCAATCAGGATGACATGATTCATTATACACTCTTGCATTTTACTCTCTGTTCCCTTGGACTTCTCCCTCTCTTTTAATCACCAGATAAAACTACAGTTCAGAGTAAATAAAATTATTTGCCTTTTCTACACTGGCACTTTTGCAGCTGCATGTGACTAAAGAAAATTATACAACCATGTTGATTAATCTCACTTTAAGTTTATAACCAAAAACTTCAATCTCTCCTTTAGTGCTGCATGACAAACCATTATTTTCCTCTTGGCCAGTCATTTAATTTTAAGTAACAAAATCATAACATTCTCTCTTTTTCTAATCATCCCAACATTCTTTTTCTCTTCCTCATCATCAACTATTAGCCTTGTTTTTTATCTACTGGGAAAACAGAGGCAATCATAAATGAATTTCCAAATACTTTTGCTTCCATTTCATCAATGTATTTTTATTTGCACCATATATTTTGTCAATGGATTACATTCCTATCTAAGGAAACACCCTTTCTATATCTATTCTATGGAACCCCTTCTCTCCTACTCAAGTCAATCCTGCAAGTAATCCTTATATTTTCTATATCATTAATTTTTCCCATTCTACCAGATTAATGCTATCTGCATATAATGCTTCAATATTGCCCATCTTGAAAAGAAATGATTTTACTATGATTTTTTCAAGAGGCCTTCTTCAGTTCTTTGCTTCCCTATACAGATAAACTCCTCTGCTCTGCCCCTTTTTAAATTCTAATTTCTACCAGCAGTTTTTAAAAATCTCTCTGCCTTTATCTGAAAAAATGTGCATAATTGCAGCATTTAGCTCTAAGAAGTGCTGTGAGGAATAACTGAATTCATTCAAGAAAACTATTCACAGTATGGTTGGTAGGTACATAGATCAATTAATTAGATAATCTATAAATGACCTTTTTAAAATATAAAGGCAGATAATAATGTTATTATTATATATATAATAATGTTGTTAGATAATGTTATTGTTATCTTTACTTCTCTTCTTACTGTCTCTGGAATCCACTCTCATTGATACGAATTTATTGTGTGGTTGTAAAGGAGGCACTGGGTCAAGATCCAGTCAAAAAATACAGAAACCATGCTGGATGTTTCAAAAAGAAGGGATTTAATACGGGATATCAGTAAAATAGATGCTGGAAGGCTAGAGGCATAAGAGGAAAAGGTAAAGTAACTCAGAGATGAGAAACTTCAGATAATAGCTAGCATCTCTGGGTCTAGGAGAGCATAGAGAGGAAATGCTATTTATAGGAACTGCGGCCAGGGATAGAGCTGGTGCCTAAGAAGTTGAAGAGTTGGAAGAGGCACATTGCCCACAAACAAAGAAAGAGGGTTAGAACTAGAGATGAAGAACTTATGGGTTGTCCTCTTATTTTGGTTTCTAATCTCCCACTAGTTCCACCAATTTAGAAAACCCCAAAAAGAGCCAACTATGAAAGCATCCTGGAAATTGTTTGCACAGCCATAATTCCAGAATTATTTGCCAGGGCACAGAATGGTATGTTTGGAGCTAAAAGACATTTGGTAAATTTCTGGCAAGGAACATTTTTATAATTAGTGACTACACTAAGAAATATAACTTTGGCATAATCCTAAAGAAGTTAGCAATAAAATATCAGGAAAAAAATTACTCAGGATAACTTCATGGCAAAAGATCTGAAGGTGCTTCATTTATTTTATTCATTCATCCATTTGTGGAACAATGTTACAGTGGAATATTCTGCTTGGAAAACAATGCTATGTCTGGTTGTATGAGAATGGAAATAAGTAGTATCACAAGCACCATAGAAAAAAGGAGAGAAAAGATCTTCAGAGATGATGAAAGTTGTTTTGTTCACACATTGTCAAAACAATAATTGTCTCCTAGGTGAAAGAGAACATGTTTCCATTTCTAGGTAATTGTCAACTTTTTCTTTCTCAAGCTGTGTGTTGTAACTTTATAGGTAGAAGTGTGTGTGTGTGTGTACGTGTGTGTATGTGCACGTGTGTGCATGGCAGGGTGGACGGTTTGGAGTCATACAGTATAGAGGACAAAACTTGAAGCCAGACAACTCGAGTTTAAGTCCCAGATCTGGCTCTTTTATCTTTGGCACCTAAAGCAAATAAATTCACCTTTTTGTGCCTTAAACCTCTCATAAGTAAAATGTTAGTACTTAACGATGTTGTATTCAATTAGTTGATGCATATGTAAAGTTATTTAGAACTGTATCTGCCGCCATGTAGAATTAACACTATGTAAATGCTACCTGTTATTTGTCTTGTGAATTTTGTCATAGTTTTAATTTTTTTCTACAATTTAATTTTTCCTGTACATTTTTTTCATGTTTAGTTTTCCATAAGATAACATGATATGTGAAATTACCAAATATTCCATTCTATGGCTTAATATATTTCATTTATTCATCCATTCACTCATTCTAATCTAAGTTTCCCAGCAGCAGCTTAGAATCACTCAATTGTAAATAATCCCATATGAAGTGGAAATAAAAGCACAATATTCACACCAGTTCAAATACCTGACTGAATATGTCCATCATTCTCTCTGAAGACTGCACCAAAAGATGTACTGTTTCTCTCCAACATCGTACTCAAATCCTTAATCATGTAACTAAAACCTCTTCCTGAGAATCTATATATTAGAATGATTGTAAAAGTGGCATTATCTCTTTCTCACTGAGAATATGCTTCTCAGAAGAGGAAAATTGGCTCCAAATAGAGCTTATATTTTACTTCCCTCTTTTATAACCCTTAGATGTTTCAAGGGGACTATGTAACAGAGTCAGTCACTTCTCTACTACCAAGACTAATGATTAAAGTATAAATTGCATGAAGTTCACAAGTCATCAGAGACTATTATATATGACAGAGATTGATACTATATCTTTCACTGGTTGGCCTATAGCACAGGAATAAAATGTACATATTTCACAGATTGATACTTTAGCAAAATCATAGTAAAATGGTTTACATTACTTCTAAGACAATTCTAAGAATATTTGCATATACTGTGTACCTGTGTGTGGACCGTATGTCTATATATTGCATATATGAGCACTACTTAATTTTCTTGCTGTCAGAAAAATAAATAAATAAATTTCCCTTATCAGAACGTCCCATTCCTCATCACCTTTCCAGTTTGCCTTGTCCTGTGCAATTAACTATTGAATATTGCATACAATGATAAATGATTTATTCAAGGCCTGTCTCTCCCCAAATTTAAATGCAGCAATACCCAATAGTGGTAAAATAAATGCCAAGCCTTTTTACTGTTACCAAAAAGTTTCTGGCTATGTTTGAGTTTTATTTCTTCTTTTTAAAAAATTTTATTCTAACAAAATGCATAGGATTTTAAATGTTCAGTTCAGTGTATTTGACAATTATATATGACTATGACCTGTGTAATGATCAAATAAAAGAAGATTTAGCACATTTCTGTCACCACAGAAAGTTCTTTTTTGTCTCTTTCCAGACAATTTTCCCTCCAAAGGCAGCCGCTTTCTGACTTCTGTAACCGTCTGTCAGTTCATCCCTTTGATTGCCTGGCATCATTTGCTCCGTGTAGTGTCTGCAAGATTCCTCCATTCTGCTGTGTATTTCAGTGATGGATTCCCTTATTGCTGGGTAGTGCTTATTATGTGGGTTTACCACAATGTGTTTTTCTCTTCTCCTGCTGATAGGCATTTGGTTTGTTTCCAGATTTAGTCTATTACGTTTTAGAGTTATTGATTATAGATTACTGTTCCATAGTGACATATGCATGTGTGCGTTCATGTGTGCGTGTTTATATGTGTGTATCAAACATTGTAAACTAATTGTAAATGACCAATTCATTTCCCTCATGAGGAGAAATTATAAATTTTCATCTTACCTAGTTGACCATTTGTTTTCCATCATAATTACTTCTTTTTGTATCCTGTCTGAAAAATGATCTTCCTATCCCCCGGTCACAGGGGAATAGTTTCTATATTTTCTTTTACAAAACATGGCTCTAGAATTTATGCTTAAATCTATGATGAAGCTTGGAAAAAATTTATTTATAGAATTAGCTAGGGGTCGACAAAATATTTTAATATGAATATCCACTTAATTTAGTATCATTTGTCTTGACATCTATGCAAATATTTTAATAATATTTACACAAGCTGACTTTTGAACTCTATACCCCTTAGTTAAATAGATTAGTTTAGAAGATAAGTTTATGTGTCTTAAAAGCACATCATGTCACATTCATCTTTGGACAATATTTACTTAATACTTACTTAAAGGTATATTGTATAATATGATAGTTGTTATGGACTGAATTATGTGTCTTCAAAATTCACATGTTGAATCCCTAACTCAAAGAGCCTCAGGATGACTGTATTTGAAAATAGGACATTTAAAGAGGTACTTAAGTTAAATGAGTCTGTTAGGGTGGGCATAATCCTTAATCCAATCTGACTGTTGTCCTTATATCAGGAGATTAGGATACACAAAAAGAGACACGAGCAATATGCGTGTGCTCAAAGGGGTGACCACGTGAAGAGGAAGCAAGAAAGGGCCATGGACAACCCAAAGAAAGAGGCCTCAGAGGAGTACAGTCCTGCCACCTTGATCTCAGACTTCCAGCCTCCAGAACTATGAGAAATACATTTCTGTTGTTAAAGCCATCCTGCGTATTCTATTTTGTTATGGCATCTCTGTTCCCCCACCCCCAAAATTCCTGTGTTGAATCCTTAACCACCCCTGTGACTAGATTTAGAGATAGGGTCTTTAAGGCAGTCATTAAGGTTAAATGAGGCCATAATGGGGCAGACCTAATCCAATATGACTGATGATACTGGTCACAGAGAAAGGCCCTGTGAGGACACTCTCTGCAAGCCAAGGAGAGAGAACTCAGGAGAAACCAAATTTGCTCACCCCTTGATCTTGGACTTCCAGGCACTAGAATGGTGAGAAATAAATTTCTGTTGTTTAAGTGACCCAGTCTGTGATATTTTGTTATGGCAGTCCTAGGACAGTAATGCAGCAGCCCTGGCAAACTAATACAGAGTGCTAGCTAGAAGCAAATATTCTAGATATAGGGAACATGCGGCCTGAGAACAGCTTCTGGGAAAATCTGATTTCTTAGATTCAGGTTCTGATTTCAGTCTTTTTTGATCCCCACACCATCGTCTCTAAGACTGGCTGGGATGCCTAAACTGCTTTTCTCATTGTAAAAAGCAATGGTCACTAACCTGTCACATTCTACTTCTGCCCACCTATTTCTGTCCTCCTCTTGGCCTCTGTCTCACCCAAAACAAACAATTAAACCCAGATACTCTGAAAATTTGTCTCTAGAAGTTCAGTTTTCACGAGAATATTCTCCATCAAATTCCTGACTATTGGTTAACCTACGCCAAAAAAAAAAAAAAAAAATTAGAAGAGGTGAGAGAATCTCTATTGATATTTCCTCCCATTTTTGTTCTTTATCCATGAAGAATGAAGGAATAAGGAGATAACAGAATTTCTGACAACTTCAGCCTCTTGGTTCCACAAAGAAAAATAAAAGTAACTCTTTCCTGCCTCAGCCTTCCTGGTGTGGGAGATGCTAATGACAGTGCGGTGGAAAAAACAAGAGCAGCAAAAGCAATGTCAGTGTGAATTCTGTTCTTGTCAAGTGAAATAATAATAATTACCATTTTCCTGATCATTATAAATGTCTAGTGAAAAAAACAACTAGAATAACCCAAGATTTTTCCCCTGATGGGTTCATTATGCTCAGTGGTTTAATATATGTCATTTTTTTAAAAAGCCTAAAGTTAAAGATTTAATTTAAATCTTAACTAGCAAATAATATGTATAGATATAATTGCATATGTATATAATATATACATAAATACATATGTATAATATAATATATACATAAAACACCATATTTGGGGAAAATAGAGTATGCCAAGATATCTTAAGACAGTCTGCATACAAAGGTGGTCTTGAAAAACTAATTTTGAATGCAAAGAATATAAACAAAGAGATATAAATGTCAACTTCGTTAGGTATCAATATTTAAATTAACAGTTATTAAAAATGTAGAAGTACTATAAAATTAAGTTTATTACCTAATTTAATATTTATCACTAAATAGTTGTTTTACTTGAGGCAGGTCTGTACTAGTCAGACTTTTAGCCATATCAGCTTATGAAAAACAATTAGTGCATTTTAGTAGCCTCCCTTTTTTTAATCTGTCTAGTAAGTTTTTTAACTATAAATTTCTGTACCAAAGAAATACTACATAGCAGTTATGTTATATTCTGAAATTATGATTTTGTTTTTCTTCTTTTTTTTTTTTTTTTTTTTTTTTGAGATGGAGTCTTGCTTCTTCACCCAGGCTGGAGTGCAGTAGCGTGATCTTGGCTCACCACAACCTCCATCTCCTGGGTTCAAGCAATTCTCCTGCCTCAGCCTCCCCAGTAGCTGGGATTACAGGCACCACCACCTATGCCTGGCTAATTTTTGAATTTTTAGTAGAGATGGGGTTTCACCATGTTGGCCAGGCTGGTCTTGAACTCCTGACCTCAAGTGATCCGCCTGCCTTGGCCTCCCAAAGTGCTCGATTACAGGCTTGAGCCATCACGCTCAGCCTATGATTTTGTTTTCAATGAAAATTAAACACACCAGTTTACTCAAGATAAAAGTTTTCAGTCATATAACATTTATGAAATGAGCTTGAATTGTACATCCTGTTTAGGTGAGTCCAAAACTTTTTTGTTTCGTGTACTCGTGTCAATTGGGAGGGATAAAGAGGTAGCATATGCTATGACTTTTTGGTCTGTTGTATGCATGTAATATTTCCATGATTTTCCAAGATTTCTATGTTTATTCCTTATTTTGCCCTGGGGTGTTTTTCTGTAGTAAATCTCTATTTTAAAATGTATTTGAATGCAAAATAACCTTGAGTCCCCAAAAGGCTGAAAAATTTGCAAGCAACATGTCACAGAAAGAAGAAAAATAAGAATGAATACATTAAACTTCATTACATTTCTATTCTTTTCTTTTTCTTTCAATTTTTTTTTTCACCTCAGCAGTGCAGAGAGGTACATTTCATTTTAAGTATAAACTTTATTTCTTTGATGTCTTAGCCCACTCAGGCTGCTATAACAAAATACCTTAGACTGGGTAATGTATAAACAGCAAATATTTATTGTTCATAGATCTGGAAGCTAGGAAGTCCAAGATTGAGGTACCAGCAGATTAAATGTCTGATGAGGATTCATTCCTCATAGATGTCACTTTTTATGTCTTCACATGATAGAAGGGTGAATAAGCTCCCTCAGACACTAATCACCTCCCCTAAGGCCTGCTTCACACCACCACATGAGGTATTAGGTTTCAACATATGAATCTGGGGACCCCCATGGCTGCTCTCAAGGGTTGGAGTTGAGCTCCTGTGGATTTTCTAGGCTCAGGATGCAAGCTGCCCATGGCTCTCCCATTTTCAGGTCTGGAGGGCAGCAGCCCCACTCCCATAGCTCCATTAGGCGGTACCCCAGTGGGGACTCCATGTGAGTGTTCCAACCCCACATTTCTCCACAGCACTACCCTAGTGGAGGTTCTTTGCAAGGGCTCTGCCCCTGTGGCTTGGCACCCAGGCCTTCTCATACATCCTCTGAAATCTAGGTGGAAGCTGCCAAGCCTCCTTTATTCTTGCATTCTGTGTGCCTGAAGGCTTAACATCATGTGGAAGTCACCAAGGTTTATAGCTTGCACCCTCTGGAGCCATGGCCTGAGTTGTACTGGAACCCTTCGGGCCATGGCTGGAGTTAAAGCTAAAGTAGCCAGGATATGGGAAGCAGTATCCTGAGGGTGCATAGAGTAGTGAGCCCTGAGCCTGGCTCTGGAAATCATTTTTTCCTACTGAGCCTCTGGGCTTGTGATAAGAGGGACTTACTCAAAGATCCCTGAAATGCCTTCAAGGCCTTTTTCTCATTGTCTTGCATATTAGCACTTGGCTCTCAGTTAGTCAGGCAAATCTCTCCAGCAAGTGGTTGCTCCTAAGCCCACTTGTATTCCTCTCCTAAAAAAAGCTTTTTCTTCCTCTGCTACATAGCTAACCTGCAAATTTTCCAAACTTTTACACTCTGCTTTCCTTTTAAATATAAATTCCAACATTAAGTCATTCCTTTGCTCCTGTATCTGATCATAGGCTGTTAGAATCAGCTAGACCATGTCTTGAATGTTTTGCTGCTTAGAAAGTTCTTCCATAAGGTACCCTGGGTCATCACTTTTAAGTTCTACCTTCCACAAAGCTGTAAGGAATGAACACTATTAAGCTAAGTTCTTAGCTAGGGAGTAACAGGGGTGACCTTTACTCCAGTTCTCAATAAGTTCGTTATTTCTGTCTGAGATCTCATCAGCCTGGCCTTCACTGTCCATATCTCTATCAGCATTTTGGTCCCAACTATTTAACCAGTCTCTAAGAAGTTAAAAACTTTCCCTCATCTTCCTGTCTTCTTCTGAGCCCTCCAAGCTCTTCCAGCTTCTGCATATTACACAGTTCCAAAGCTGATTCCACATTTTCAGATATCTTTTTAGCAACTTGGTGCCAATTTTCTATGTTGGTCTGCAAGTATTGCTCTAAAGGATTACCTGAGGCTGGATAATTTATTAAAAAAAAAGTTTATTTTGGCTTACTATTCTTCAGGCTGTACAAGAAGCATAGTGTAAGCATCTACTCCTAGTGATGCCTCAGGAAGCTTACAATCATGGCAGAAGGCAACAGAGAGCCAGTGCATTATATAGTAAGAGGAAGCAAGGGTGGGAGGAGGTGCCATGGTCTTTTAAACAACCAGATCTCTTGTGAACTAAGCAATAACTTGCTTATGACTTAGCACTAGGGGATGATGCAGGGGATGATAAGTCATTCGTAAGGTATCTGCCCCCATGATCAAATACCTCCCACCAGCCTCTACCTCCAACACTGAAGGTCACATTTCAGCATCATATTTTAAGGAAACAAACATCCAAACTATATCAAATAACCATAATATTTATTATTTGAAAAATTCTTATAGATAAATTTGAGTATTCAAATCTGATTATGTAAATAAATTAAAGGAAAAATACAATTCCAGATGGTGTTTAAACTCAACCTTTTGATTAAAAAGGAACAAAAAGCAAGTACCAATTATTTTTGCTACATCTAAGACAAAAAGTCTTCTTAAACATTAAGAAATTTTTGTTTAATCATTTCTTTTAAAACTGGAAGAGGAAGATGATAATCATCTATTGGCTTTAATAAATGTTTTAAGTGTGATGTTTTGCAAGCTTGTGATGACAGGCAGAGTGAGGTGGTCTAATTTGAAGGTGATTACTTCCAACTGACTCAGCTTGAGGTCTTGTTTATCTTATCAACAAAAGATTTTTTCTGGTTGTTTGATTTAACATCTTTATAATGACAAATATCTGATGCATAGATTGGCCACCTACCTATATACCTATTTTATATGCATTTGTTTGCTGAGGTTTAATATGCAAGTATTAGGATAAAATAAGAAAATAAAAATATGTCAAAGAAAGTAAGGAAGATATATCAACTTATGCCTAATTAGTTACATTGATTGATGATTAAATTTAGTTCTTGGCATTCTGGCAAGATAACAAAGGAAACATGATCCATTATCTAATTGTCATCATCTGATGAAAAGCAGTCTACTAATTCTTCAAGTAAGATAATTTTTTTTCCTGGTACAAAGTCATCTAGCCAATGTATTAATATAATGGACAATGTATTATTAAGTAGAATGTTGGAGTCATATAATGATGGTTTATGGACGGAATATATCAACACAAAATTGATGTCACATCAAAGTGGGTTTGTTGCTAATTACTTGCCATTATGAGATAAAAGTACAGGCCTTTGATTTAAGAAAACTCATTTTGCAAATGGATATTTAAATAAAAGTAAATACATTCACTGTTAGAAATAAAACTGAAGATTTAATGTATTAAGTGACTGTCTTCAAGCAGTCAATCAATAATGTTTATGATACCTACACTTTCATGATTTTTTTTATTTTCTGGGACAATCTGCAATTTGTAATCTGCTCAACTTTTCATGATGATATGAAATTCAGTTTAAATTCATGAAAAGCAGTATGGTGCTGGTACAAAAGCAGACACATATACCAATGGAACAGGATAAAGTGCCAAGAAATAAAGCCACACACCTACAACTACCTGATGATAAACAAAGTCACCAATAATAAGCAATGGTGAAAGGACTCCCTAAATAGGGATGGGATAACTGGTTAGCCATATGCAGAAGATTGGAACTGGACCCTTTCCTTTCACCATATTACAAACATTAACTACAGATGAATTAAAGACTTAAATGGGAGATCTAAAATTACAAAAACCCTAGAAGAAAAGCTATGAAGTACCATTCTGGACATCAGCCTTGGCAAAGAATTTATGACTAATCCCCAAAAGTAATTGCAACTAAAACAAAAATTGACAAGTGGGACCTAATTAAACTAAAGAGCTTCTGCACGGTAAAATAAACTATCAACAGAGTAAACAGCCAACCTACAGCATGGGGAAAAAAATATTCACAAACTATGCATCAGAAAAAGTTCTAATATCTAGAATCTATAAGGAACTTAAGTAATTCAACAAGCAAAAGAGCAAATAACCCCATTAAAAATGGGCAAAGGACATAAACAGATATTTCTCAAAAGAAGACATACATGCAGCCAACAAATATATGAAAATATGCTCATCCTCACTAATAATTAGAGAAAGGCAATTAGAGAAAGGCACCACAGTGTGATACAATCTCACACCAGTCAGAATGGCTATTATTAAAAAGACAAAAAACAACAAATGGGTTGTGGAGAAAAGGAATCACTTATATACTGCTGGTGGGAGTGTAAATCAGCTCAGCCATTGTGGGAAGAAATTTGGAGATTTCTTAAAGAACTGAAAACAGAACTGCCATTCAGCCCAGCAATCTCACCACTGGGTATATACCCAAAGGAAATTAAATTGTTCTACCAAAAAGACATGCAGTTCTGTGTTCACTGCAGCACTATTCACAATAGCAAAGACAGAGAATCAACCTAGAGGCCCATCAACATCTGACTGGATAAAGAAAATGTGGTCCATTAAATACTACACTAAAAAGGAAGGAAATCATGTCTTTTGCAGCAATGTGGATGCAGCTGAAAGCCATTGTCCTAAGCAAACTAACACAGGAACAGACAACCAAATACCACATGTTATCACCTATAAGTAGTAATTAAACATTGAATACACGTGGACACAAAGATGGGCAGTAGACACTGGGGACTGCTTGAAGGGGGAGACTGGGAGGTGGGGATACATTGAAAAGCTACCAACAATTAGCTATGGTCACTACCTGGGTGAAGGGGTCATTCATACACCAAACCTCAGCAACACATGATTTACTCATGTAACAAGCTTTCACGTGTAACCTCTGAACCTAAAATAGAAGTTGAAAGAAAAAAAGTCATTCATGAATGAATACCTCCATTTACCAGCTACTTTGCTAGGGTCTGAGAATTTAAGAGTCTGGGCACTATTCATCTTTCTCAGTTACAGAGCTAGCGTTGGGTTGCCCTCTGTTCTAAGACTCCCACTGCAGTGAATCTGTTGCTTCCAAAACCAAAGTTTCAGTACTAAACTCACTGTGGCAGCACCCTGAGTGGACATTTTAATGTGTCTTTTGTTTTGCAAAAATGTGTGGACACCTTCTAAGAGACGATGCTGCAATGTATGTGTCTCAGTCCATCCAGAATGCTTTAACAAAATACCATAAACAGGGTGGATTACGAACAACAGAAATTTATTTCTCAGTTCTGGAGACTTGGAAATCCAAGATCAAGGTGCCAGCAGATTCAGTGTCTGGTGAGGTTCTGCTTACTGATTGACAGCACCTTGACAGCTTGCCCTCATACAGTGAGAAAGCGCAGGGGATCTCCCTGAGGTCTTTTTATAAGGTCAGTAATCCCATTCAAGAAAGCTCTGCTTCCATGACCTAAACACCTCCCAAAGATCCTTCCTCCTAATACCCTTACCTTGAAGTTAGAATTTAAATGTGCACATTTTGTAAAGGATATAAGTATTCAGTCTGTAGCAGTATGTTTCCAGTTCTATTAATTTTATTTACAAGTAGGAAATATACTCATGAATATGCCAATTGACATTTCAAATGTGCCATTTACTACAGACTTCGCATAGCTCTCCTCTTTCCTGAATGATTAAATATATATAAAATCTATCAGAATGAACATTCTAAACTCAAAGCACACTTTCATAAGTATTTTCCTAGTATTCAGGTGCACAGCCAGATATATCTGTCAATTTTCTCTCTCAAGAATTACTTGGTCTAAACTGGTTGTCTCAGTGTATCAGTATCAGTCATTCTTAATCCTCCAAAGATAACATTCAGAGGAATGAAATAAAAACAGAGTCTCTAATCCCTCTTTCTTTTGTATCACTCTTTATGCAAGTAAGAAGATCAGCTTTGATAGTGGATTACTGGAGGCCACATGTTCTCATTGGAACATCACAGATTGGATTTAGCACAAAAATACATTTTTTCTGATGTGTAAACAACACCAGCTGAATCCATATTTCTCATGAATGTCCTGCCACACGGCTGTGTTTTTTTCTCATCATGCAGCCAGTTTTATTATAACTCCCTTTTGGCACAGCTTCCAAAGACTTGCATCTGTCACTTGCAGCAGAGCATCATGAAGGTTCACCACTATCTTGGACCACTGGAATTTAGTTGTATTGTTGCATTTCCTGACTTAGATGCCGATAAAATATCTTTAAGTCCCTTTAAGCTAGTTGGCTGCAACTTACTTAGAGGCACTGCTATCAGCTCTCTTTTTGAGAGCTTACTCTGAGCCTTAAATTGGCAGCTTGAACACATGAGTTTGTTGGAGGTAATGACTTTGTTCTCTGGGGTTGGATTTTGACAGCTTTCCACCATTATAGCTGGGTGTAAACAAAATTGAATGGGTTAGGATTACCCATTTCTCAAATTTAAAGTATTTTTGGTGATCCAAGGAAGAGTTGCCTCTCAAAGATTATCTGACTGAAGTCAAGAAAATTTCACCTAGTATTATCATTTTAATATGATAATGTGAACTCAAATTCAAACTTAGCCCGATGTTTGCTGTACAAGGCCATCTAACTGGATGGATATCTTTGAGAGAGAGGCTTCCCATCATTCAGTTGAATTTAATTAAAAGATTAAGTAAATATGCATTATCCTTATCCACCTACTTACTCATTAATACAAAAACATATGAAGCATGTGGATAGACAGTGAGTCAATCATGAGCCCTAAAAGTTGAGGGCTCATGATTGACTCACTTTTTGTCTGTCTTCGGTCAGAATGGCCTTAAAATTACAAGCAACTATGGAGGTTTCAGTGTTTCATTTCAAAGCCAGACACCGTGCTAGTTATCTCATATGTGTTTAAAGAGAAATCAAATGCACTCACTCTTCTTCAGAATTTCCTCCAGCAGCAGAGGAGACATGACTGTGAAAAATAACAGCAATGTAATAATTTCTATAATAGAAATATGAAAAAAGGCCATTAGCATGCACAACAAGGAGTATTTCTGCCTTGACAGGACATAGAATATTCTTGGGGGGATGATATGAGCTGAGTCATTCATTCATTCATTTCAATTTATGTATTATAAACGACATTTTTGTACCATGCATTTCTATTTTCTCTCATGTCCTTCCTTGAAGGATGAGGTTCACTTCTCTCCCCAAGGGAAGTAAGACTATTTCCTGCAGCTCTTTGTATAATAGTCCCTTTAATCCCTTATCTGACCAAATGCTTTCTCCAGCTAAGCTGTGACGTCCAAATAATTGGTCTAATATCCAGGAAAGGAGATGAGTGCAGGATAAGACATGTGTTCCTACAGGGGGAGACCTCTACACTGTCTTTAAGGAAGGAAGTATGTCAGCTTTTACCAGGGAGGAGTGGGCTTCCTCTGCATGAACAGATGGTCTAGGGGAGTCTGTGAATCAAGGTTGTTCTAGCGTATCAACCCAGATGTCTTCATCACATGACTAAGTTTGCATTTCTTAATCAACGCCTTGACATCACATAGGATAACTGCCTTGGTCCATCATTTAGCCTTCTTTGAAGCTCTGGTGCTTTAATCATTAAGTTCTTGGCTTGGTCCTCAGCTTTACTTGCTCTCTGGCTGTAGTTAGGCCTTGCTATGCTATCAAGGAAGCCCTCTGGCTTTTAAACTTAATTTCAAATTACTGCCTAATCACTTTGGTTATCTTTCTTCAAAGCATCGATTGCACTTAACAACAACCACTTGCTTTCTCTATACTTTATGTCAGTTGTTACCTCAGATTACTCATCATCATGATAATCTGTACTTACTATTGCATTCCTTTCAATAATATACTGAAGCACTTAACAACATTGCTATCTTGTACAAGGTTCATTTTTGTTCATCTGACAAAAGTTATGGAGGCCTAAATGTGAGCTAGCAGGTAATTAAGCTTCTGAATTCTATCTCTTCTTTCTCTGACCAGTCGGTGCCAACTATTGCAGACTGGGTTCCCTGGGAAGCAAAATTTGAAAAGATTACTACACAAGAATTCTACCACAGAAGTCCTTGAAAACTTAAAAAAGTAATGAAATGAGGCAGGATTGGACAGAAGGAGAAGCTAAACAGTGATGCAGTCCAAACAAAGGCCAAACCTACAAGGAGCTCTGAAGCTGTGACGGGCCTTCAGCATTGCCTGCATTGTAATGAGAGAACTGGGATTTTATATTCCTGCATCTATCATAATTGAATGTAGGTTGTCACTTGGGTAAAGCAGCTGTCTCCAACATGGGGCATTTTCCAGAAAAGACTGTCATCTGAGGGCAGTAAGCCAGTGACATTCTGAAAAGCTGAGAGCCTACATATTTCAGTCCTAAAAAGGAGTCTGTGTGGCACATCACAAAATCCACTCTGGAAATTCAGGTGTTACTAGCCTGTAGTGCTTACAGCTACTTTCACTAAGACAAAATAATTGTATGCCAGAAGCTACGGCAGATGGCCATATGAGCCTCAGGCAGTGGTCCAGGCTCCCTGTGGTTTTCAGGACACTCAGAATTACTTGAATACTCTGGATAGGGGCCACAGGCATTCTACAAATGATGGCAGGTCCAAAAAGGGCTGAGATCATTACAGAGAATTGCTCAGTATTTAGCAGCAAGGGAAACCAGCAGTGCAATGACTTTTAACACTAACTATCTAGAGTTAGTCCAAATTTTACAGGTCCTCCATGAGACCACCTTACTTCAGACACCAGCTGCATGCTCAAGGATCTCAGGGACATCCTCACTTCTAACCAACTGGCTACACACTTGAGGGTTCCTTTCAGGTTTGAGAATTCACTTGAATGACTCACAGAACTCAGGAAAGTGCTACATTTATGATTACAGCTTCATTATAGCAGAGACGATACAAAATCAAAACCAGCCAGAGAAAAAACACATGGTGCTAAGTCTGGCAGAGTCTCAGACCCTAAGCTTCCAGTTGTCTTCTCCTTGTGAAATCAGAAAGTGTCACCCTCATGGCACATTGAAATGTGATGATACACAGAGCATTGACAACCACAGAAGCTCTCCAAGCTAGATGGTGAGAGTTTTCATTGGGGTTTCACCATGTAGTCAGTCATGTAGTCATGATTGGCTGAGTCATTGGCCATGTCATTGAACTTGATCTCCTGTCCCTTGTCATCTCCTCAGAAGATCTGCAAGAAGAGAGTTAAAAACTCTTTGTTTCAGAGCTCTGTTTGAGAGTTAAAAGCTGTTTGAAATACTAGCTTTGGTTCTGGGCACTATACTTAATTTACACAAATTGTTTCTGCTCTCTGATTTAAAGACTCAACTATGTAAATACAGCTTCTAAGAAATTTGAAGCATCATAGTGGGAGAATAAAGAGAGAAGTTAAGAATTTTGTCAATAGGAGTCCATTAATATAATAAGCATTTCGTAAGTGCTAACTATATAAGTCACTCTGCCACAAACCACAGACATTCCCGAACATACATATGAAATTAAGCTGGTTATGGCCTGCTAGAGAAAAGAATACGTGAGCACAGAAAAATTATCCATGAAATCCTGGATAGAATGTTGAAGATGGCTACAAATTGGAGAAAAGGCAGTATATTAGTCCGTTCTCCCACTGCTATAAAGAAATACCTGAGACAGGATACTCTATAAAGAAAAGTTTAATTGACTCACAGTTTTGCAGGCTTAAAGGAAGCATGATGTCGGCCATCTGCTGAGCTTCTAGGGAGGCCTCAGGAAATTTACAATCATGGTGGAAGACGAAGGGGAAGCAGGCTCATCTTACATGACTGGAGCAGGAGGAACAGAGAAGGGGGAGGTGGCGCACACTTAAACAACCAGATCTCACAAAAATTCACTCAAGTATCATCAAGACAATACCAAGGAGGATGGTGCTAAGCCATTCATTAGAAACTGCACCTATGATCCAATCACCTCTTACCCAGCCCCACGTCCAGCACTGGGGATTGCATTTCAGCATGAGACGTGGGTAGGGACACAGATCCAAATCATATCATGCAGTGACCTGTAAACTATTTCAAGTCATGCAGTGAGCAAGTAGAAAAAAATAAAAGTTAAGAAAGGTGTAAAATTTGTCAACTCTAGACTCACGACAAAGACACCCCCCCAACACACACAATAACCTGCTCACCTGGACAAAGTGCTCACTCATCAGGAAGATAGCCAACTCATTGAGGTTGATTTTGAGAGCCTGGTCTTGCTGTGTCTACTAATCTTCAACAAATATGTTACAAACTCTGACATTAACTCCCAGTCATTTTTCTTGCCTTGAAATATACACATTAATCTATTTGAGTCCAGGGGACAAAATCTATAAATTATCTTTTTCCCGCCTTTTGATACTAAGAGATGGTGAATGTGGAGTTTTCCATTTCTATAGTAAGCTTAATAAACTCAGCTTTGATACGTAAAGATTTCTGAGTAAATTTTACAGAAAGTCGGGACATGAGCCAGTTTGGAAAGATAAATTATGTACGATTTAAATAAAGAATTCTAGAAAAATATATTTGAGGAACTGGGGGAGGGAACAGGTTACTGAGACATGGGACTTCAAAGATGTCCCTAAGTTCAAAAGCTGAACACAATAATGTTATCTTTCCCTTAGAGAGATTTATATACATTCCAAAAGGTCAGAGTAAAAACATGCTTCCCAATGAGCAAAATACCTCAATTATTTTTTTCTGAATTACTCTCCTACAATACAAATTAGTATGTATAGGATAACATCTGAATCTCATTGCTTTACCCCAGGGTTAAAAAGTTGAGGCATCAGGAAACCACAGGTTTGTTTGCTATGAGTAAATAATAATTTTCTCTGTGTTAGAAACCTCATGTGTGTGTGTTCAAGATAATAATAATAAGTATGGATATTAAAAATCTATCTTACTCCCTCTTTCCATTTCCCAAGTGTCTTAGTCCATTCAGGCTGCTGTAACAAAATACCATAAACTGGGCTACCTAGAAATGACAGAAATTTACTACTCACAGTCCTGGAGTCTGGAAAGTCCAAGAGCAAGGTGAGGACTGATTTGGTTCCTGGGGAGGGCTCTCTTCCTGGTTCATAGACGGTCTTTTTCTCTGTTTATCCGCACATGAGGAAAAGGTTCAAGGAAGATTTCTGGGATATCCATAAGGACACTTATTTCATTCATGGGGGCTCTACTCTCGTGACCTAATCACCTCCCAAAGGCCTCACCTCTAAATACTGTCACATTGAGAATTAGGTTTCAACATGTGAACGTCAGGGAAATAAATACCCCACTTACCCTAGTATTGTTACACATTGCATGCTTATATCAAAATATCTCATGTAACCCATAAATATATACACTTACTATGTACCTGCAAAAATTAAAAAATTCAGTCTCTAGCACTAAGATTTAAACTTTTTAGCAGTTTCTTCTCATCTTGATTTCCATATTTCAAATACAAATTTTGTAGTATTTATTTCAGTCCAAATTTACTTCAGAAAACAGAAGCCAGCCTGTATCTTTTAATGGTTTTGATACAAGAAATTGAAGGCTTACTTGACTATTGGAAAGACTGAGGAGGAAAAAAAATGTGGAAAACAACCAAAGAGGATTTTAGCTTAAATATGTAAAGTGGGTCATATGTCCTCAGACAAAGCTACTGTAAATCTCAAGACTCTATGGATGGTTGCTATCCAAGTACCTCAGTTATCAGCACCAATGATCATGACTCCAAAAGCTCACCTGGAGGCTTTCTGAACTCTCACAGCTGTCAAGCATTTGTTCTCAATTGCCACCTGATAAAGGTCTGTCCTTCTGCTTGACCTTTCAAATCTCAGACAAGTAACATTCATTGGAACCCTAAGAAGAAGGCGAATGTGGAAAACATAGTTCCCAGCTTCTACTTTCTAGAGAAGACCTTAAAGGAGGTGGGTTCGATGCCTGCCAAGTTGACAACAGATGATCCAACCCACTATGATTTCCTGATACATCAATTTTAGATGTGATCTATTGCACGGCATGTTACGATATGTTTTAACTCCCTTATACTTCTTCTTGCTCTCTCGCTCATCCTATTATAGGTGTTTTGATTAAATCAATATTCAATGTTTATAGGGCTACAACTGTAAATTTATCCACTACTGAGAAAGGTGGCATATTTATGATTAGCCTTCCATTTCATAAACCTTTTTTTCCCCTGGAATTGATAATGGTGGCATTCTTTTTTCATTTGCTTAGTTGTGCTTTTTTTTTTTAATATCTGATACTGACTGACTATCCAAACTTATACTTAGAGGTGTTAAACAACTTTCAATACCATAGTCCCTGTGGTCAGATGGAGCAAATAATCTATCAGTTCTTTTTATCTGCCCCTCCCCTCCCCACCCCATTATCTTTTTCATGAAATTTTTCCCAGAGCTGTTTTTCTCCCATTTGAAATAGTTGTTCTCTTGGCCTACTGCAAAAAGGTTGATCTAGGACTGCTCCTTCATGTTTTCCTGTGCTAAATCTCCTTTTTTTTTTGAGACGGACTCTCACCCTGTTGCCCAGCCTGGAGTGCCATGGTGTGATCTCGGCTCAGTGCAACTTCCGCCTCCCAGGTTCAAGTAATTCTCTGCCTCAGCCTCCCCAGTAGCTGGGATTACAGGCACCCACCACCACGCCTGGCTAATTTGTTTGTATTTTTAGTAGACACAGGGTTTCACCATCTTGGCCAGGCTGGTCTTGAACTCCTGACCTCGTGATCCACCCACCTCGGCCTCCCAAAGTGCTGGGATTACAGGCGTGGGCCAACGCTCCAGGCCAAAACCTATTTTTAAGAGTTTCTTTCTCTATATTGGTTTACTTTTACATTTTGATGAAACACACCCTATAATAGCTTTTTGAGCAAGAGTGCAGAGGAGGTTTTTTTTTTTCATCTTTCTGATGTTTTAAACTTGTCTTTTCTATCACACACTATTTACCTTTTGTCCATCTAACATGCAGATACAATTCTAGTAGAATTAAGAATCTTTGTTTCATTCCTCAGTTTATTTTTCTGCTGTCCTTTTTTAGTTTCAAAGTTATTTTTGTTCCTTCATTGTTGTTTTGTATCATCTTGTCCTTGTTCCATAGATATATCTTCTCGTTTTAATATTAATTGTAGGTGATTGTTAGAAAAATATTCTACTCCATAAATTATCACTGTTTTCTTAACTATCCTTTACCCACTTGTTTTTTGATTTCTCTTTTTTATCAAATATTTCATCAAATATCTGGGGAATGTGGTCCATTCATGTTCAAGAATGAAGTACCCACTACACAACAGATCAGAAGCCTTATCTGTGTGCATGAGCAGAAATTGTCAATTATTAGGCATTGTTGGAAGATAATCTTGCAGCAAGTAAAGTTTATTTGTGGGTCCTCAAATTTGAGGATTTCATGCATTTTCTCTGCAACCAGATTTACGTGGGATAACATACTAATTTTCTGTCTTACTATGGAGCAGGCAGAAGAAAATTGTATCTAGCTGCATGTGTTCGAAGAACAAGTAGAAATGGGAGATTGCGAATTTTATCATTATGTAAGCAGATTTTCACTTAATTCACTTATTTTCAGCATCTGTCTCACCTTTGACTTCCATGATCTCTTATTTTTCTCAGTTGGAGTCCTTACTGCTTTGATTTCCTCAGAAGATAGAATTCTGGTCAGAGATTGGATGACAGTGAGGACAGAAAAGAAGAGGAAGTTGCCTGTCTGTGTGGGATCTAGTAGGGCTCAAGGGTCTACTTTTCCTTACAGAGATTTCTGCCATCCTCCAATTTTCAGCCCCACAATTCACCATCCTTCCTATTTCTTCCATTGTACAATTGCATCACATCCTAAGCCTCTGCTTTATTATACAAGACAAGTAAATTTCTTTCTCCTGTTTCCCTTCGCATAGTCTCAGATGGTTAGCAGTTGCAGCACCCACTCTGCTCACCCAGAAGCAGAGGTCTTAGATTTACATTGTCATTCAAACTAACAAGGCACAGTAGGCTTCAACCAACACCAAGTTTATTTAGCTTTAAGAAAGAATAGCTGGGTGCAGTGGCTCACGCCTGTAATGCCAGCACTTTGGGAGGCCAAGGCAGGCGGATCACAAGGTCAGGAGATCGAGACCATCCTGGCTAACACTGTGAAAACTCGTCTCTACTAAAAATACAAAAAAATAGCTGGGCGTGGTGGCAGACGCCTGTAGTCCCAGCTACTAGGAAGGCCGAGGCAGCAGAATTCCTTGAACCGGGAGGCGGAGCTTGCAGTGAGCGGAGATTGCGCCACTTTACTGTAGCCTGGGCGACAGAGTGAGACTCTGTCTAAAAAATAAATAAATAAAAAGAAAGAATAAAAGAGAGGAATTGTAACATCCTCAGCAGCACCGTAGCCAAGGTCCTATGACTCACAAGCATGATCATGAGAAGTGAGGCTGACTGTGTGCCGACCACCTCAGCTCCAGGAAGCCGTCAGCTCTGGGGTCTCTACAGCTTCTCTGCATTCCTGCTTATCCAGAATCTTGTGCTTTTCTCTTGTGCTGCTGAAACTCACTATTTGCAAAGTATTTATCAGGTAGATGTTACCAAGCAGTTAGAGGATACCTAGTTAACAATCTCCACAGCTAGGTACAGAGGCTTGATTCAGTATATTAAAACTTCAGGAGTACTCTCATTTTTCTTGGAGCTTGTATAACCTTTAACGTTTCTTCAATCCGTGTCACTAATTTGGGCATCTACTATGGGCTGAATTGTGTAATTAAGGTTAAACAAAGTCATAAGGCTGGGGGCTTTCAATAGGATTGGCAGTCACATAAGGAGAGAACAAAAGAGATTCCCCTCCTTTTGTACTCTGAGGACACAGGAAGAAGAGGGCCATCTGCAAGCCAGGAAGAGATACCTCATCAGAAACCAACCCTGCTGGTCCTTGATCTTGGCCTTCAAGCTGCCAGAACAGTGGGAAGATACATTTCTGTTGTTAAGTCTCCCAGACTATGCTATTTTGTTATTATAGCCTGAGAAGAGTAATATAGCATCTAAACCTCAGACATCCCGTAAGCCAGACAAAAGGACTAAACCAGCTGTTAATGATAAGCAGAGATTACTTTCCATTCATTATGCCTTAATTTAGGAAAAGCGACTGTAATATTGTCCCTTAGTATTTTCTGGAAAGAACAGACGCATCTCATTCTCAGGACGTGGTGCAAGGGAAATTTCCGTTTCCTTCCACTGAGACATCTTTCAAAACATTTTTTAAATAAAAAGTACTAAAATACAATTTAAAGAAAAGCCTGAGGACTGACAATCATTTTCTCTTCCATTTGTGATTCAAAGGCTTCTGTTTAATCAATAATTCCCTATTCAAACACTTTACCTGGATAGTTTAATGGCTATCTGACCACTTGAAATGCAAATTATACAGTTTTTAATCTTTGAATGAGATTCTGAGGGTCAAAGAGTAGTTCTTACTCCAAAGCATAAACCATTCTGACAGATTTATACTAGAGAGGCTATACTAAATAAGAAAAATGTTTAAATAATTCAGATAATAATGCAAACTGTTAACTCTTAGAAAATTCTAAGCCAAGTGTTTTCTAATGTGTTAGAGTTAGCTAAGAAAACACACAAGAAATCCAAGAAATCTGCTGAGTAGATAATTCTATTGTGCCAACACTTATTAGTTTCATGCATCTATTTAAGAAGACCCTGAAGCTTTATAAAAGACATTTCATTTTATATACTGTAGGTAACTGCCATTATGCAAATATTGTTGCCATTTAACTCCATCATGCATTTTATCTGATAATCATGAGTTGTAATAATAAGCAGACAGGTATAATTGAGTTTATTATATGGCCTGTTCAGTTTCTTTCCTGTCGTAAGAATACAAGAGTAACCAAAAGTCATAGTTTGATGTTTAGTGTAACTAAAGAGTTTTCTTTATATCCTTCATTTTTATTCTTATTTTAACATGTGAAAAACACTTAAGCTACTTTTAGGTGTCTAATATTTCTGCTGTCAGAAGGCATGACAAAATATTTAATAGCATAGTTAATGAGAATTTTTCAGCCATTCTATCAAGAAGTAGTTTGCTAATTTAAAAAATCTGAATGCTAATAAGTTGGCTTAGCTAAAAAAAAAAAAAGTCAAAACAAGGCAGTAAAAAAATACAAAATATTAAAGCTCTTTTTGTAATGCTACAAAGAATACAAAAATAAAATTTGTGATTTTACCATTGATAGTTTTCATATTAAGACTGAAGCTATGTAACATACTAATTTTAAGTGTACTACTAAATATTTTTCTTTCTATTCTCTATGCTTACATGAAATTTTAAAAAATGAATATTTTAGGGATGTAAAATAAGAACAGGGAGAAATTGATACCAAGTACAGAGAAAAAAATAACATTTGTGGAAAAGCTCTTGGTAGCGATGGTCCAAATTTAATTTTACATCTATTATTTTACTTACTGAGACGAAGACTGTCTAGAATCCAATCCTAATATTTTCTAAGACTAGCTATTAGCCCTGTGTTGTGTACAGTTCGTTCATCATCAATCAAGTGAAAACAGTAGGAGAAGCTGCCCCACAGAGTTGCAGTGAAGATGGGCCAATTATAAATATGTAAGGCAGTTAGAGCAGCACATGCACACTAGTGAGTATCACATCAGCACTTGATACTTCTTAATCTTCTTGAACTTGTAGTGAATTACAGAACTCACTACAAGTGAGTTATAAATATAAAATAGAAGTGAGTGGGATGCTGGGACTCTAACACATTGACATTTAAATAAGATTTGATTCATGAATATAGCCAGAAATATCTTACTAGGAATATTTGCTTTTCTGAAAGAGAAATTCAATTTTGACATATATTTTATCATGTATGAATATGTATATATTTATATAACTATATAATTAGATATGACACACATACACACTTGTGTATCTGAAGTAGAGAAAGGTCTACAATCAACTATGAGAAGTCAGACGTTCCAATGAAACAGAACAAACAAAAGGTCTATGGATAAAAAGCTATTGAAAAACATTAGAATGAAAAATTTGAATAAGTGTCTAAGTGAATTCCACTAGTCCCATATAAAATCTACCTTTATTCTTTGTGCAGTCACTGCTGTGCCTATATTTCCTAACTAAAATTAATGTCACCTATAGCATAGCATCCTTTTAGTCTCTTCTACTATTGAAAGAGGTACTGCAGATTACAAATTATCTTGAGCTCAGGTAAATTAGACAGTTCTTGTGTTTTGAAGCAACATCTTGAAAACCACTATTAAATTAAACAGCCAATGTCTAAGAGAACAAATCCTTAAGCATGAGAAAGATTGGGAGCAATAACTTCAAATATAAATCTACTATCACCCGCTGAAGAGGTATAGTAAACAAAGAGCATCTATATCTGTTCATCAGTTATTGATGACCATTTGATGCCAATTTTATGAGCAATAAACCAGATACATGGGTTCATATGATTCTTTTATTATACTTATATTACCTCATATGTCAAAGTCCACAAAACATAATTTTTTTCACTTTTATGGAAGTTATGATGAAAAATATAATGATAGATTGGAGGCAGATAGATTATTATTTTGTAACTGCTTCTTCATCCTTAAAATGTGTTGTTATTCATATAGTTTGAGGATTGCTTTGGGCTTTATTTTCTTTTGAATATTTACATGACTCTTCTTCTACACAATATTCTCAAAAGAATATATCGTATCTGTTTTCTTTGTCAAGAACAGCTGTTACCTCACCCGCTTTATCTGTAATGAATACTTTGAATATTTTAGCCCCTATGTACACTTCCCTTTTCTCACCCTTCTTTTATGTAGACAACTAGGAATGACCATCATGAGAAATAGTATTAGGCTAATGACAGGTTATATGAAGGGTTATGACTCTGTATAACAACTTCTCTATAGCATCAGTTTTCATACTTCTTGGACAATTGTTCATTATCTATTTCATATTTTGAGTGGAACTATGTGTTAAACAAAATATTTTATACCAAATTCAAAACTTAAAAAGCACTTAAATTATATTATTTTTCAAACAAGCCTAGAAAACAAATGAAATAATAAAGAGGGTTCCTTCTGTCACACCAACTCAAAGTAAAGGAGCTAATGCTGGAGGTAATTAATATTGTTGATTTATACTTTTATATCTTTGAATAGCATATTTTTAAAAACATGATTTAGAATAAGTTGCAGCTGAATCTCTGAAACTTTATTTCTTTTGTAAAGTGAGAAGTGTTGGTATGTACCTCAAAGGACTAGCAACATGGGCACTCGCTTGGAGCTTCTTAAAAATGAAGAATCCTTATGCTTTGTCCCAAACCTAATAAATCAGAATTTGAAGATGGTTCACATGCATGATAAACTTAGAATATCACTGAAATGGATATCTCTAGCATTGTGTAATTTTATGATTTTTAGAATCCCTAGAATGGGGAGAGTGTAGATAAAAGAATCTACTTCCAACCTTATGCTATAGAAAGGTGGAAAACTACAGTTTGGCACCAAGTAAATATAACTGAGTTGTATCTAAAACCTTGGATTTAAGTACTTTGGTTAAAATATTGTTTGAAACTTTACAATAGCACCCATATTATTTCAAGGGCAAGAGAGACTTTTGTGGGAGGGTTTATTGATAAAGAAAAATTACTGAGAGCTTTATTTCACTGTCTTTACGGATTCACAAGTTGTGAAGCCTAGCAAAGTCAATTTGGAAACTTAAATTTAACAAAACAGTTATCAATAGCAATTCATTATCAATAGCAATTCATTATCTTCAGAACTGAAGAATTGTCACAGAGTGGTATTTCTATAAACCACTTCCACTCATGAGTTAAGTTATAAGTTTTGAGGACTGTAACAGGAGGAAAAGTTTGTCTATATGTAGAGAGTGGCCACTTAAAAAGCCAATTTGACAAAATTTGCATGGCTTCCTGCTGTAACCATTAAAAACTGTATCATTCACTCTAAAGTGATGTAGGGATATTGTCTAGAAAAAGCTAATAAGCATCAGAACAGGATACCTGAGGCTCTATCCAGAGTACTATTCTTCATACTGTGTTAGTTGCCTGTTGCCGTCATAACAAATTATAACAAGCTTAGTGGCTTAAAATGAAAAAACTTTATTCTATTATAATCAAGAATCAAAAAGAAGGGCTAGAAATCAAAAGCACAATAACAGAATGATATGGCTTGGCTGTGTCCCCGTCCATATTTCATCTTGAATTGCAGCTCCCATGATCCCCACACGTCATGAGAGGGACTAAGTGGGAGGTAATTCAATAATGGGGGCAGGTTTTCCCCATGCTCTTCTCATCACAGTGAATAAGTCTCACGAGATCTAATGGTTTATAAAGGGCAGCTCCCCTGCACACCTTCTCTTGCCTGCCACCATGTAAGACGTGCCTTTGCTCCTCCTTTGCCTTCCACCATGATTGTGAGGCCTCCCCAGCCATGTGGAACTGTGAGTCCATTAAACCTCTTTTTCTTTATAAATTACCCAGTCTTGGGTATTTCTTCTTAGCAGTATGAAAATGGACTAATACACAGAAGAATAACTTTGAAGAGTATGTCGGTAAGCTAGATACAGCAGAAGAAAGAATCAGTAATTTTGAGGATATGTCAATAGAAATTTCTCAAACTGAAATTGGAAAAGTATGAAGAAAACCAGAACATGACATTCCGCCATGTGGAATACTATCAAAAGTTGTACCATATAGATAATTAGAACACAAGAAAGAAATAAAGATAAAATGGAGAACTATTTGAAATAACAATGGCAGAGGTATTTTTTTTAACTAATGGCAGACACCAAATCACATATTCAGAAAGCTCAGAGAACACTAAGCAAACAAATACCAAAATATGTACATGCCTAGTAATGTATTCAAACTGCAGAAAACCAAAGACAAAAGACAAAGAGAAAATCTTGAATGAAGCCAGTGATGGAGTAGGGTAGGAGAACTTACCTATGGAAGAAAATAATAATAATTACAATAGGCTTCTCATTAAAAAAATCAAAGAAACAAAAAAAAATCTATGTAAGCAAGGAGTAGCAGAGTGAAATATTTGAAGCCTGGAATGCTATATCAAGTGAAATTATTCTTCAAGCATGAAGAAGAAATACTTTCTCAAACAACAAAAAGTGAAAAAAACATACTACCAACATGTGTGCTTTATATAATGTATTAACAGAAGCTTAATAAAAAATGTTATAGAAACAAATATATAGATCAAAAATTTGGATCTACATAAAGAAAGGGGAAAAGGGTCATACCAGGAACAAATACAGTTGAAATAAAATGCTTTATTTCTCTGATTCTAAAATGACCTAAAAGATAACTGTTTGTTAAAGTAACAATTGTAAAAACACATTGGATGACATCTGTGTAAATTAAATGAATAACACCAGTGTTACAGGAGATGTGAGTAAGAAATTGAATATATTCTGTAATAAGGTACCTGTAGTAAGCATAAAGAACAGTAGGTCATTTGAAAGTTAACTTAGATTAGTTGCAAATGTAAATCCCCAGGGAGCTCCTGCCCCATCAACTGAGAAGGGGCAGGGCTCCCGCTTGTCTCCAGCTCTTGCCATCTCCATGGAGTGTGCAGCCCCAGGTGCACCTCCTCACGGCCTGAGGAGGGAGTTCCAGGTCCTCGCTGGGCCCCTCTCTGCCCACTCCTCCATGCCTGACCACACTGCTCTCCCTTCAGTGGGAGACTTGGCCAGCCCCATTGTGGTGGCCCCTAGGGTGGCAGGCTCCAGGGGGCTCCTAGGGTTGGGCTCCAGAGACTGTCTACCTCCTCCCCACATCCTCCTCACACTGTCAGCAGGTGAGAGCAGTGACATGAGGCCACATCTAGAGCAGCAGAGGCTCCAGGCCTGGGAATGGGTCCTACCTAGTTGTGCGAGGGTGGGGCAGCAGAGTCGGCTGCCTCAGGAACACAGGGCACAGGGGACGCTGGGCAAAGGGGTCCCACCACTGCCACTGTTGCTCTTGCAGCCACTTCCACTGCCACTGCTCATGTCCCACCCTCTTCCCTCCCTCTTCCCCCGGCTCCTGCTCCAGCTCGCACAATGGCAGTGGCTGCTTGGAAGCCTGCTACTTTCATCAATTGTATCTATTAAAGAAATCAATATTCAATACAATTCAAAAGAAGAAAATGCCAGACACAGAGTATTTTATTGATGAATTCCACCAAACATTTAAAGAATAAAAATACTAATATTACACAACCTTTTCCAGAAACTACAAACAGAGGGAATACTTTCTGACACATTCTGTACGACACACTAACAGGCTGGAAACTCCATGTGATAATATGATATAGAGATATATATATATATATCATTTTACAGATATATGTCTCTATAATGCACCATGATGGTGAAAGATGTTAATAGCAGAGGAAACTGAGTGTGAGTGTTTCGAAACTCTCTACATCACCATCTCATTTTTTTCTATAAATCTAAATATTCTAAAAATAAAATCAATTGAAGTTAATTCAATTTGATACTAGTACCTCTTAGCCCCCTAATAAGGCATTTTTTGATATACAATTTGTCAGCCTGCCGTATATACTGAGATAGATTGACAAAAATATCCTTGTCATTAACAAAGCCATTGTGGATGAAATTATGTGAAAGATTAAATATAGTGCCATAGTGGTTTTTAAAAGATTATATATAAACTATCAATAAAAGGGCCTTGACAATAAATTGGTAAAATTTTACCAGAAAACTTTGACACTTTATGGACTTAAAAATGTATTCTAAATTGGTAAATAAATGCGAATGAAGGGTGGGGTTCTTCCAGGTATGGCAGGGTAGCTTGCATCCAATGAACCATCAAATGAACTAATGTACAGTGTCCCAAAGCAACCAGAAATTAGAAAGGAATTGAACCCTGAAAGAATGGAACAGTACTAGTAAAATTTATCTTTATACATATTTTTGTCTGAGGCCTTTACCCAAAATGTATGGAGTAGAACAAATAGAATTAAAGCAGAAAACTGCAGTATTATTTTTCTGAAGAATCTGTAGGCAGAATTTAAGGCTTTTAATTTTCTGAAAATGCTTGGCTAATCCCTGAACTATACATGCCTAAGGGCATACCAAACAGATGAATTGCACCATCTGGAAGAATAGAAGAAATAAAGGAAATTTTAGTTCCTGCTCACCTGAGAGAAAGTATGTTTCATAAGATGAATCCAGCTAAGTTAACTGCCTGCATCAACAACAACTACAAACTCTTTAGCTCTTTCTTGAAACAAAGCAGAATTCAAAATTTCTACAACATATCATCTCAGTGTTTAGCATAAAATAAAAATTATTACACATATGAAAAACAAGGAAATGTGACCTATAGTTCAGAAAAAAGTAGTTAATAGAAACCTATTTTGATATGACCTAGAATTATAATTAGTATAGAGATATTATAAATTTAAGTTCCAGGACTTAGGAGAAAACTGCTAATAATGAATGAGGATGTGAGAAATCTCAGCAGAATTAAATAAAAATACTAGAACTACAAGGTAAAATATCTAAAATAAAAAATTTACTGCATTGTCTTAGCAGCAAATTAGAGATGACAGAATAATTGTTTTGTTATATCAGTTACAGATACATAGAAATTATCTGGCCTTAAGAACAGAAAGAAAATGATTTTTAAAATCCGAACTTAAGGACTTACAAACAATATCTCATGGCCTGATATATATGTAACTGAAGTTTCAGAGGGAAGGCTACAGAGAATAAAGCAGCAAAACTATTTGAAAAAATAATGGCCAAATATTTTCCAAATGTGGTGAATTAAGAAAATTAATAAATCCCCAAGTGTGATAAAAATAAAAACAGCATACATGAGCACACACATTGTCACTTTATATTTATATCACTTTATATTTATATCAAAACTCTAAAAATAAGGGAAAATGTTTAAAGCATCCTGAGAAAAATGAATGAATGATACATTTTAGAAAACAACAAGATGAATAACTATGACTTCTTATCCGAAACAATGGAGTCAAGAGGACAATGGATTGAGATCTTTACAGTTCTGAAGCAAAATTGACAAGTTTTAATTCTGTACCCAGAAAATTAAATTTCAAATATTTAAGCAAAATTACTATATTTACAGATAAGCAAAAGCAGAGAATCTGCTGCTGGTGGACTTGCACTATAATAAAGACAATTCTTCAAGCTGAAGGATAATAGCACCAGATGGAAGCTTATAAATGCCAGAACAAATGAAGATCATTGGAAACAGTAAATATACTTTTAATTTTTGTCTGATTTACATTAAAAAACACATCTGTCTAAAACGACAAACATGTTGTTATTTTCTATGTTTAATAATGTAAGTAGATGTATTATGTATGATAAATATAGCATAGAAGATGAATTAAATGTAAGCATAATACTATATTATGTAAGGTTTCATAATATTAATTCTTAGTAAACTGTGATAAATTAAAAGCACATATTTTAATTCCTAGAGTGACCACAAAAAATAATGGAATGAGATATAGTATTGACATGGTTTGGCTGTGTCCCCACCCAAATCTTATCTTGAATTGTAACTCCCACAATTCCCACGTGTAGTGGGAGGGAACCAATGGGAGGTAATTGAATCATGGGGGCAGGTCTTTCCTGTGCTGTTTTTGTGATAGTGAATAAGCGTCACAAGATCTGATGGTTTTATAAAGGGGAGTTTCCCTGCACAAGTTGTCTGCAGCCATGTGAGATGTACCTTTCACCTTCTGCCATGATTGTGAGGCCTCTCCAGCTACGTGGAACTGTGAATCCATTAAACCTCTTTGTTTTGTAAATTGCCCAGTCACAGGTATGTTTTTATCAGCAGCATGAAAACAGACTAATACAAGCATATTGAGACAGAGCCAGGATCTAAATAAAATTTGGTTTAAAAATAAATCAACAGAAGTATCTGAAACCTAATAAACATTATTTTAAAATTCTATACCCTAGCACTTATTAGTTACACCTTTTTTTCAAATAGCTTACCCTTTTTGAGGAGTAGTTTTATCAAGTATAAAAATAATCTTGAAGTTGTTGTTTAAAGGATTATAAGACAACATTAGAAAGTACCAAATATAATCTCTGTGGTTCAATAAATAGACAGTAGTTATCTCTAATTTTCTTCTTTATCCTAAAATAACTAGGAGGTTACTTCAATACAATAGCAGCAAAAAATATTTTTAACAGCATCCGAATATATTAGAAAAATAATAGCAGTAATGAAAGAATTATATGGGATTATGCATAGGTTAATGATTGACACATCAAAAGAAAGCACATATAAGATTTTGTGAACATGTAATTTAAGTATGCTGAAAACAATAGAAAGCTAATCAAAGAGATGAGAGAGAGCTTTAGCATAAATATCATGTAGAAAGGGAATAATGAAAGAAAGACAAGAGCAGTATGGAGATGCAACAGCTGTTAATAGCACAGAAAATAGGAAACAACATCATTATCTCCAGGTGCAAGTAGGAAAATGCAAAATCCTTTCACCTTCAGTCCTTATAACAAAATGACTGACTATGAAGAATCAGTCATAAACTTGAAATTCTAGCCTCATTGCCCAGTTAATTGCTTTATTAAATATTAAATTCTACCTTGTGGGAACAAAAGTGAATTGCATGGATAAACAAAAGTAAAGCTGGCTATCTTTTAAATGTAGAAATTACAATTTTTGTTTCCTCTACAAATTCATGACTAAAATTATGAGATAAAGAACGATCCCTCAGCTTCTAACCCCTAAGAAATATCCTGGACTTTGAAAAAGCTGTAATATGTGTGACCAACTTATATAGTCACTTGAATTTTGATAACTAGATCCTTTGATATTAGATCCTCTTATCCTCTTATGATTTTTTTTTTTTTTTTTTTGATGGAGTCTCGCTCTGTTCCCCAGGCTGGAGTGCAGTGGCACGATCTCAGCTCACTGCAAGCTCCACCTCCTGGGTTCATGCCATTCTCCCACCTTAGCCTCCCAAGTAGCTGGGACTACAGGTGCCCACCACCATGCCCAGCTAATTTTTTTTTTTTTTTTGCATTTTTAGTAGAGACGGGGTTTCACTGTGTTAGCCAGGATGGTCTCGATCTCCTGACCTCGTGATCCGCCCGCCTCGGCCTCCCAAAGTGCTGGGATTATACGCATGAGCCACTGCGCCCGGCCCCTCTTATGATTTTTATAATACACAGTCATATATCCGTTTTAGAATGTGGTAAAACCCAAAACACTGTGAAAAAATGTTGCTTTTAATGTATCAGAAAATGTTCTAGTTGTGATATTTTATCATTACTATTATAATTTGTAATCGGATTCAATAATTCAGAAACAGATGATAGCAGGGTGTTCTAGTCAGTAAATCAACTTTGTTTCTTTAGGCGCATGACATATCCTTTGAGTGTCTATTGAGGATGCTCAGAAATTAAAATAAAAATCCTACTGAATCCAATTTCTGAGAATCACAAAAGCATATGATACAGAATTTGCTGACTTGGGAAAGTTATCTTCCTTGTGGCACTCTCAGAAAGGCTGTGCTTTCTCTACCAATTCAAGGGATTTTCTAAGAGATAAAGCACAATTCTTAACAGGAATAAGAACGGAAAAAAGTATGACAGACAGAAGAAAGAGAAAGGACAATGCATGTACAAGAAAAGAAGGAAGAAAGGGAGGGAGGGAGGAAGAGAAAAAGGGAGAGAGGGTGAGATGGGGGCAGGGAGGGAAAATAAAAGAAGGGTAGAAGAGAGTCCGACTCAATTTTTTAATAATTGCCTGCTCTTTCTCTTCTGAGCAAATTGATAAGAAAGCCTGGGTGCCCCTTCCTTGGTTCCAGCAAGGGGTTCAAACTGTGCATGCCCTTGCCCACATCAGGGAACACTCAACTCTGCCCCACACTTACCCACCATATAAAAACCCCAAGCCAACCTGCTTTAACTGCATTCTTAAGCTATTTTCAGACCAGCTTGAGAAGTGCACCTGTGCTAGCCACATAACTCTTCATTATCTGAGTAATAAATCTTTTCATACCCTCTCGGTGTGTGTGATTTCATCAGCTTTGACATCAGAACCAAATTTTAGGTGGGAATCCATCTAATATCTGTAGGGTGACTACAACAGAAAGGACTTAAAGAAGATGAATGAAAATAAGGAAAAAAGAAATAAGAGAGAGAAGGAAGTCAAAAGCTACTGCTTTTTAAATGAACTTCTTCCTCTCAACAACAAAAGCATGGTTCCAACCACATTCCTTCCCCAAATCTGAGAACTGTTCTCAGTTCTGCCCATAAGAACTATTGGAGAAACATTAATAGCAATATGGAAATAGATATCTAAGTGATAACATTATGGGATCCATCTGAGTTAGAGAAACCAAGCCAAGCCAAAAGGTAGAGAAATCTTCCCTGTAATTTGTTGCCAAGTGTTTAAGTTTTGGTGGCCTAAAGAAAACTCAATCTGTGTTCCTATAAATAAGTATCACAAATGTTAGAATAAATTAGTTGAGTTTACTATAACCACTTCAAAATAGTAGCAGCTCACTTATCCATCAAATATTTTTTTCTTTTGTTTTTTTGAGATGGAGTCTTGCTCTGTTGCCCAGGCTGGAGTGCAGTGGCACGATCTCAGCTCACTGCAATCTCTGCCGCCTGGGTTCAAGTGATTCTCCTGCCTCAACCTCCTGAGTAGCTGGGATTACAGGCCCGCACCACCACCCCAGGCTAATTTTTGTATTTTTAGTAGAGATGGGTTTTCACCATGTTGGCCAGGCTGGTCTCAAACTCCTGACCTCAGGTGATCTACCCACCTTGGCCTCCCAAAGTGCTGGAATTACAGCTGTGAGCCACCACACCCAGCCCCATAAAATGTTTTGAGTTATTTTCAGGTAAGCTTTTTCATAACAAATTCTTCATTTAATTATCCCATAAGTTTGTTGGATGTATCTAACATTACAGATATTTGGGTTACACAGGATTGATACCTAAATGAGGATATGCAAAGTTGCTTGTAATAGTACCTAAGTTTTGCCTTTGCAAACAAAAAAATAAATCTATCTCAACAATATCTAACAGTGCTTTGCAACTTTGGTATTAAATATACTGATTGAGATGGCCACTCATTTTTCTCTGTAATCCGAGTTCTGTTTGTCAAGTTTGATCACTGGAAGCCCACTTTGGCAACCCCACAAGTTATTGAAACAAGCCCCTTATTAAATTTTATTTTTATTTTATTGCACTTTTAGCTTTCACTGTAGTTCATAAGAAACAGTTATAAGAAAAAGGATGGCTCTTCAAATCAGCTGTTATGAATAACTTTACATACCTGTTTTTTTTTCTCACTTCCAACTTAGAAGGAAATGCCTCATATATTCATTTACATTTCACTCATTAAATGAATACTAATTGAGCATCTACTATGTACCTAGCAGCGTGAGAGGTGCTAGAGATAAAAAATGAACTATAAAGTAGAATCAGTTTTTATCTCCTTTGAGCTTACATTCTGGTAGGGTAAGAAATATTACAAAGTAAATGCATTTTTACAAACTATACAAGTGCTATTAAAGAAATGTGAGAAAGAATATATAACAAAGACACATGACTGACTGAGCTGAGCTCTAAAGGTTGTGTGGGTATTATTAGAAAAATATTATTTCAAGTCCAGGGGAGGGTCAGGCTCTATGTTAGGAGGGAAATAAGTTCACTGGGGGAACTGAAAGGGCTTTGTGAAAGAGTAAGAATTCTACACATCATCATAATTTCTTGTGTGTGTGTGAAGGTATGTATATGTGTCTACAAGTCTCCAAGGAAGTTCATATTTAAATTTAATACTAGGTAATGATAATTATGGGATATTACATTTTCCGCATATTTACTATTCCTTTCATCCTTGTAAATTTTTGGTCTAAAATTCTCTATATGAGTTGTTGGGTTTTATAACGTCATTTTTATTCCCCTTTGGAGCTGATAGAGGAGGGAGAGAAGACAGATGTGAAAGAAAGGGAAAGGAAGAAATAAAAGAAAAATGATAAACCTAACATCATTCTAACTGAAAGGAGGAACAGAAAGGTAGTTATAAATGATCCCAGCACATGGTTAATATATATCCCATAGCTAAATTTGTCTTCTGTCTCTTACACTGTAAGATAAAATATAACTAATTATATTGAACCATATTTTTTAGATAAAATAAACAAACTTTCTGGGCTGAATGTTTTAGTAAAAACCCTTAGATTCCGCTAATATGCTAAATTTCAGGATAGAAATACAATGTATCATTGACTCAAAGCTGTAAAAGGTGCCTAAAAGGACCAAAGTTAGATCCCCAGATTTCTTCCAAGGGAAAAGATCAAAAACACTTAGAAACTTAAAATTTCTTATAATTAGATAGCCTTCAGTTTGACTGGCAGTTTAACAGTATAAATAAAAGGCGAGCTTTAATTTATAGCCTCAATATGACATACTGGAAAATTAAATCATTTCCATATTTGCATAATAAAATTTATTATCTGTAATTAACTAACCTTTAGAAAATTTATTTTTAATTTCCTCCTGTCAACATATCTGAAAAATGCCAAGTTAACAAGCTTTAGCGTATAAGCAACTACATTAATGTAGAAGTTATAGCAAGCATTAGATAGACGAAGCAGTCATGTCCTAAGTTAACTAAAGAGTTGTCATTGTATCACATTGTTCACTTGAAAACACATGGAAAAATATTTTATATCAATGCTAAATGACAATAAAATCATAAGACATTTTGTATACACTAATCAGCTAAAGTAATCTAATCAGCACTGTTTACTTGAAATTCCTTTATATTTTATAACAGTATATTTCATTCCACAGAAAAATCTAAAAATGAAAATTCAGTTGCTTTTATTCTAGTTGTTCTAACTCAACTGTAATGTGTTTATATTTTGTCATTGAACTTTGGAAGCAAGAGTTTTACAGTGATGTTTTTAAAATCTTCAACAATTAATAGAGAGTAATTTATTGTCTCACTCCATGCTTGATGTAAGCAGTGTTAAGGGAGAATTAAAATATACGTTATTCTACCATAGAATTTGGTTCTCAGGTCCTCATGTAATAAATATGTTTTTTATGTGTTTACATTTATAAGTATTTATATACCACATATAAATGTATACATATATACACCATTTTTCAGATTGTATGACTATAGAAGCTTAAAGGTTTTTTTTTTTTACAATTATAAAAAATATGGATGTGAGGCCAATCTGGCTGGGACATCTGCCACCCCATGGATCTCCAGGGTTGATTCGGCTGATCTGGCTGGCTAGGCTGGTGTCCCCTTCCTCCCTCACCACTCCTTGTGTGTCTGTCCCGAAGCTGTGCACTCTAATGAAGAGGACGACCATCCCAGACAGAGGAGGACCAGTCTTTGTTCTAGGGTACGTGAGTAGCTGCACTCCCCTGCTAGAACCTCCAAACAAGCTCTCAATTATAAACAAATAGCACCAAAACATTTAGCAACAGTCTTTTTGCTTATTTCTAGGATTTATCAAGCTCTGATTAATGCTCTATCTAGTCATTACAATTCATAGAAAGAAAAGCAGTGGTAGCAGGTGGCATTGTGAATTTAAGTTAGCCCCAATGTGGAGAAGGACAGCAGGGGCTCTTCTATATCGGCTTCCTGAAAGCATGACACCAGCAATATTGTATGTTTTCTAAACTAGTCAGTTCATTAGCGTTCCACCAAAAATTTTTATTCCACTTCACTGTCTTAAAAATACCAGTTTGTTCACTCATCAGACTTCTTTACCTTGACATAAGAAATCTAGGGTATTGATAGTGAAAGATGTAAAGTGAAACAAATAAAAGAAACCTTTTAAGCCAGTTCTAGAAGAAAGAGCCATCTTATCATACGTCCTTATTTATGTACATAAATGCACACATATACAGACCCAGGAAGGAAATATTCAAACTAACTCCACATCTTGCTCTTGTCAACAAAATTAAATATATGAATTACTTTAAATTACATCAGGTAGAAACTTGATATTACTTTTTTAAAAGCCAGACCTTTGCTAGATTAGAATTTAGCTTTTTTATGTCATGCTTCAGAAAAAAAGAGACCACAAGTCTTTAAAAAATATAATTTAGTATCTTCTCATCCTTTTTTTCTTATCACAAGAATTGACGGCTGGGCACAGTGGCTCAAGCCTGTAATTCCAGCACTTTGGGAGGCCAAGGCGGGTGGATCACAACGTCAAGAGATGGATACCATCCTGGCCAAAATGGTGAAACCCTGTCTCTACTAAAAATACAAAAATTAGTCGGGCATGATGGCGTGCACCTGTAGTCCCAGCTATTCGAGAGGCTGAGGCAGGAGAATTGCTTGAACCCGGGAGGCAGAGGTTGCAGTGAGCTGAGATCATGCCACTGCACTTCAGCCTGGTGACAGAGCGAGACCATCTCAAAAATAAAAAATAAAAAAAAAAAAGAATTGACCACACCACCTATCTAGATGCCTGAGTAGAAAACTTGAGATTCATCCATCACCATTCACAGCCATGTTCTTCAGATTTTTACCTCCCAAATTTGTCTCAAATTCTCCCAGTTGGCCCAAGTTATCACCCGTGCCCAGGCTACTAGATTATTGCAATACAATGTATAGCTCTAAAGTGGAAACTTAATTCATCAAGAGTTAAGTTCTTTCTTATTTTTCTAGAAATATATTTTAAATCTCATTTTTATTGACTGTTAAAAATCTTAGAGATTTATCAACTTTATCATTAAAAAACTTATCAACTTCACCATTAAAAATCTTATAGATTATAAATGAGTGAGAGAAATAATTAAATTGCATGTCATTTACATCAGAAGATAATCTAACAGATTATTATTGAAATATACAGAAGTAGACTCTTCTCAAGCCAACATTATTGGCCACTGTCTCATAAAATATAGATTGTAGATGGCAAAAAGGAATAATTTTTTTTTTTTGAGAAGGAGTCTTGCTCTGTTGCCCAGGCTGGAGTGCAGTGGCACAATCTCAGCTCACTGCAACCTCCACCTCCTGGGTTCAAGTGATTCTCCCTCCTCAGCCTCCTGGGTAGCTGGGGCTACAGGCATGTGCCACCACACTCGGCTAATTTTTTGTATTTTTTTAGTAGAGGTGGGGTTTCACCGTGTTAGCCAGGATGGTCTCGATCTCCTGATCTCGTGATCCGCCCACCTCAGCCTCCCAAAGGAAGAATTCTTTATATTATATAATTTTCACTCTCTCATTAGAGTGATCACTATATCAACTTTTATTTGTACAAGTTTGAAGCAAAAGCTGTAGGAAAATGATACAAATTAATAAACTACACTTTCTAATATGAATAAACAACATTTATCTCTGCTTTTTCTACAGATTTCTTTTTCCTAATGACTTGCTCATTTGCCAAACTGGCACTAATGCAAGAACTCTGTGATTAACTGATGTTATTGAAGACTGCTTTAGACTGACTGACTGTCAGCATGCCTCCAAAATTCATATGTTGAAAGCTAATCCCCAATAAGATGGTATTTGGAGGTGGGGCCTTTGGAAGATGATTAGGTCATGGGGATAAAAGGGACTAGTAGCTTCTAAAAGAGGCTCCAAAGAGTTGCCTTGCTCTTTCCTCCATGTAAGGACACAGTGAGAAGACAATTGTCTATGAAGCAAGCAGTGGGCCCTCACAGACACCAAACCTGCTGATATCTTGATTTATGACCTCCATAACTGTAAAAAATAAATGTTTACTGTTCAAGCCACCCAATCTGTGGTATTTTGTTGGATCAGCACAAATTGACTAAGACAAAGGCCTAAAAATCACAGATAGAAAAATGTATCACTAAATATCATAATTCCTTAATTCCCAGCTATATCTATCAGAGAGTTCCATACTCAGCCTCTCTTCCATCAGGCACCCACTCCCCATCACATATGGCTGTAAGTAACCAGCTCTTCCCCAATCTCTTATCTTCTCCAGGACCAGAGACTCCTCTGTGTCTTGGTAAGAGCAAAGTAAAATTGGACATTTCTTCATGTTGAACAGTCTTCATCCAAGGATGACTCATTTACTCTTATTATGCAGAGTGATTTACCATTCCATTACCTAGACCATACTATTTTCTTTGAAACACAGCCCAAATGTTTTACCATCAGAAAATAAAAGGGTCTATTAAAGTGCCTTTCCACATAAAATAACTGCAATCTTTCAACCACTTTCTTTGAATTTGGAAACAACTGTAGCTATGTTTAAATAGGGTGCTTTTGTTTTTTCCCAACTTTCCCATTAATAATTTTTGAAGGCTCTGGTATTTATTTTTGTTTATCTTCATTATAGAGTTTCTGCAAAGCAATATGGAAAGGAAATGAAATAAGCAGTTGGACAGTGGAAAAATTAATAGCATACATGTTTTAATTTTACACCTAAATCCTTGAGAATTATCTAAAAATACATAGGAAGCTAAGAAGTTTAACCCAGCAAAAATCAAGGTTTAGATATTTATGAAGAAAACTGTAAAACTGAGTAGATATATATAAAGGAAAACTAAATAAGCAGACATACAGGTCATGTTCTTGGATTAAACAATAAAAATAAAGTTATTTCCAAGCTAATGAGTAGTCTGAATGTAAAGTAAATCAAAATTTGACTTTATAGAATTTCTTCCTGCTTTTCTTCCCTCCCTCCTTCCTTCTCTCCCTCCTTTGTTCCTTCCTTCCTTCCCTCCTTCCTCCCTTCCTTCCCTCTTTCCTGTCTCCTTTATTTATTACATAAAATAAATATTTCATGTAGAAAACTATGTGTCACTTACTGTAGTAGATGCCAAGAATACTAGAGGCAAATATAGATATATATTTGCACTCACTAAAAATGACCTGGTAACAAATACAGACAATTAAATAGAAATTAGGGTAAATTCAAATATACATATATACACATACATAGACACACACACACACACATATATACACACACACATACAAACAGCTATGTGTGTATATGTATAGTTAGATATATATTTATTCTTTGTCTTCAAATAACAGTAAAAAAAACAAAAAAGTTTACTTCAATACATGGAGCAATAAACTGTTTTGCTGAATAGACAACATATTTTTCGATGCAAATTCTACCCAAATTTATTTATAGGTTTAGCATTCCACTAGAAATTTCCAATCAAACTTCCACTAGAAATTTTCTTTAAACTTGAAAACATAATTTTAAAAATCAATTTAGAAGAGGAAACAGGCAAATACAGACAAGACATGGTTACAAATGAAAGTGGTGAGGAATCATTGGCACTATCTTATGTCAAAGTCTATTCTTATGGTGCTAATGTTCTTTTTGTCCCCTTTGATGAGGTAACCTGGGGAAAAGCGCATAACCCAGTTTGTGAAGAGTTAGAGAAAGTGTTCTAGAAGGGATATCTAAGCAGAAATGGGAGGAATGTGTAAAACATCAACCAAGAGAAAATTCCCGTAGTGAATTCTAGACACAGGAGCTGAAATGGGTAAAAGCCAGGAGACAGTGTGGCACACAGGAGGAAAGGAAAGTCATTCAGGATAGATGAAACATACAGTGTGGAAATATTGAGAGGCATGCTGGCACCACATCTGAAGAGCTCTCAAGCTACATACTGAATGCAATGCACTGAGTCTTTAGTCTCTCCAAAATTGTTAACTCCCAGTTAACAATTGAAATGTTGACCCCCAGTGTGGTGGTGTTCGGAGGTGGGGTTTTGAAGAGATAATCAGACATGATGGTAGAGCCCTCATGAATGGGGTGAGTGCCTATGTAAGAAGAGGCCAGAGAGCTCTCTTGTTCTCTTTTTATCAAGTGAAGAAACAACAAGAAGTCAACAGCCTGCAACCCAGAAGAGAGCCCTCATCATACACTGAATCTGCCAGTGCCTTGCTCTTGTACTTCTCAGCCTTCCAAACTGTGAGAAATAAACATCTGCTATTTATAAATGAAGGTCTGCTATGGTACTTTGTTAAAACATCCCTAACTATGACTGAGTAAAATACACTGCACTTTATCTCAAGGAAGAGAGAATCATTGAATGCTCTGAAGTTGAGGTAGCATCAGATTATATCTATGTTTTGAAAAACTCTAACTTTTAATTTTTTCTTAAGGAAAGAAACTTGAATATGTTGAACCACTAGTGGAAGGAAGACAATAGATCAGGAAAAGCTGATGACATCAAATAATTGATGAAATGAGATCCATGGGGGTGGAACAGAGTGTCTGGAGGGTTTAAGTTTAGAAGAAGAGCTAGTATACCTACAATATTCTTAATACACTTGAATAAAATGTCAGTATCTCTTTGATATCTGATTAAGCAAGTTTTTACCAAAAAAATTGTCATATTAAAGCCATAATTTTTGCAATAGTTGAGGCTCATTTATATCCTGCTTAATAAGAATTCATCATATGTAAATCAGCACATATATAATACTTAATTTACTTGGTTGTTTAGTGAAATACCCACATAACATTTGGAACTTTAAAGATGTAATAGAAAGTATAGTCACATTCATGGATAGAATCACATTTTTCTATTGTCTACTTTGGTGAAAAATCAATAACTTTCAATACAAGTAAGATGCCATATTGGATTATTTTATATTCTTAAATAGGACAAACATCTAATATCAAATTTTATATTACTATTAATAATGAATTTATTTTTAAATGATGTGGGAATAAACATTTTATATCAAATTTATATTATGTACAATAGTTCATCAGAAGCACAGATATGTCTTTCTCATTATTGACTATGTATTTTCAAAGTAACCTGAAAGTAATCTGTGTGTTATTTGAAATAGTGTATTGTCTATGGCGTACTACCCTGAATATGTCCAATCTTGTCTGAAATTGGGAAATGCAGCCTGTGTACAAAAGTCCGTTGGGTCATGAATAGCCCAGCAACTTCCATTCATCAAGTTGCTATTTTGCGGGCATTGTCACAGTGACTCGAGAAATTATCTAGGGAATTATGCTTTATGGTATACTTGAAATGTGGCAAACATCCTCAAAAGACCAGGAGTTTGTATTAATTCATTGCCTGCATATATTACACAGAAAACACAGGACATTTGCAGAATAACTTGCTTCTTGCTATCTGGCTTTATCTATTTGGTTTTATTCCACTCTCTGTTATCCAAGGTGGCCAGTAATCTGGAGCCAAGCATTACCTAGATTCAAGATCCCAGACCACTTCACCCAACCAATTTCTACCAGAACTACTTTCCAATTATCTCACATCTAGTAAGCCATTTTCTATCCTTTGAAATGAGGGAAACTTTGACCCTAAAGAGACCCTTAACTACATACAATACAGATTTGACCTTCCATGCAGGACAGGGCTGTGTTCCCCTTCTCTCCATCTTCTCTACCTCCAGCTCCTGTCTCACTGTCTCATTTACCTCTCCACTCTATGCCCTAGTGACTTTCCTCTACCCTTAGGACTCCAATGGTTTTCTCTGGGCTCTTTACAACCTTGTGCCTATCTGCCTTTTCACTTACCTCAGTCCATTGTACAGTATCTGCTTAGATGTTTGTTTCACATGCTACACTGTGAATTCTAAACATCAGAGACTGTTTTGTTGTTGTTGTTGTTGTTTTTTATTTCTAAGACTTTGTGGTGTTTTCAGCATATAGTAGAGGCTTAGTTAAATGCTAAAGAAATCCATGAATTAGCTCTATCATTTCACTTTGTGGCACTTTCGATGATACAAAATAAATTATATTAAGGTCACTTAACAATTTCTTTTCTCAAGGAAAAGTCAATGAAGTTACTGTAACCACTCAATGCGTTCAGTTTACCCACATCCTAGACAGAGTCAATTTATCAAGACTGGAGAATTGCAATAGAGAAAGAGTAATTCATGCAGAACCAGCTGTGCTAGAGACCAGAGCTTTATTATTACTCAAATCAGTCTGCTGGAGCATTCAGGGATCAGAGTTTTTAAGGCTAGTTTAGTGGGTGGGAAGCCAGTGAGTCAGCAGTGCTAATTGGTTGAGTCAGAGATGAAGACATAGGAAGTCTAAGCTGTCATCTTGTGCTGAGTCAGTTCCTGGGTAGGGGGTCACAAGATCAGATAAGCGAGTTGATCCATCTGGGCGATGCCAGGTTATCCATCAAGTGCAGGGTCTTGAAAATATCTCAAGCACTGATCTTAAGTTTTACAATAGTGATGTCATCCTCTGGAGCAATTTGGGGAGGGTCAGACTCTTGTCGCCTCCGGCTGCGTGACTCCTAAACCATAATTTCTAATCCAAATTCTAACAAATTTTGGCTAATTTATTAGTCCTGCAAAGGCAATCTAGTCCCCAGACAAGAAGGGGGATTGTTTTGGGAAAGGACTGTTAGCATCCTTGTTTCAAACTATAAACTATAAACTAAGTTACTCCAAAAGTTAGTTTGGCCTATGCTAAGGAATGAACAAGGCCAGCTTGAAAGTGAAAAGCAAGATGGAGTTGGTTAGATCAGATCTCTTTAATTGTCTCAGGTATAATTTTGCAATGGCAGTTTTATTACTAGACAAACTAATTTATAATTTTTTATTGATCAGGGGTATGAGGGTTTTTTTCCCCCACTTCAAGCAAATATTTGCTGCTCTATCTTTCCAATACCAATTGACTAATTTCTAACATCAACTGGGTGCCCGATAATTCCATTTAATTCCGGCACTAATTACCCAGAGTTAACATCAGATCCTATGTGTTAAGGACTCAGTTCCACAAGACTGCCCCTGACTTCAGAGGCCAACCGTAAATGGGGTGCATAGGCTACCCATATTTTTGCCTTCCAACTACAAATTCCAGAGTTCACAGGATTCCTGACCCAAGTTTGGTAATTTTCTGGAATAACGCACAGAACTCACAAAGACATTTTACACACTATTACGGTTTTATTATAGATAAAACTCAGATTTTCAGTGTGTAATAAAAGTGGCCATTTTATCAAAAATAAGAAATATTGTCACTATTTTAACATGAGCCCTAATGAAGTGTATAATAAATTCACTTATAGTTGTATTTAAAATACACGTGTTAGTATAAGAATTAATAAATGACTGAATGAATGAATTATTTAATCATGATCTTCAGAAGGTCTTACGGTGCAGTTTTATTTTTCTGTGAAAATCTAACCCAGAGACAAATAATTGTATTTCCTATATGGGGAAAAAGTAATGAGCTGCTGGTCAGGGGAGACACTTTGGCAATGATGATGGAACATTACAGATCAGCAGGGATCCCCAGGCGGGTTTCACCACATAGCATCTTCTGGATTGAAAGCAGCAGGGGAATCCTATTCCACATCATTTCCCAAATCATTTCTCTTCTTGAGTAGAATGACTATAAACTATGAAGGAAAATTAAAGTCCTAGTAGAATTTTGAAAAGAGGAAAGTATGACATGAAAACTTACAGAAATAAATGGGCCAAAGTAAATTTTAAAATAATGAAAGTATCTCTTAAAGTTTATTAAAAATATATGTACCAGTATAAGTGGTATTTTCAATTACTTAGAATTTTTGGCTCATTATTTTTGGCTTCATATTTTAAGCTTTATCAATGATACATCTTTATATTTTTTCTAGTACAGGAAAAGCATGTCACAATTTTAGAAAAAATATAAAGAAAATTGCCTGCTGGATTTTAAGAAAGTATTTTTTGGTGATTCATTACTTATTTCAAGTATAAAAATATTCTGATCCTCAGAGGGTCAAATAAATCAGTGTATTCAGCTTGCTTCTGAGCCATTCTCCTCAGAAGCCCGAGCTATTTTTTTTATAAGATACAAAAACAAATATTTCCTTTGAATTCACATGGTTTGAAGATATGTGCCCGCCTTTCCATTCTATTGTCCTCTGACTGTATCAGAGCAGGGATAAAAAAGTGGAACTGGCTTAAAGCATTATCAAAGTCTTAATGGCTGGAAGCAAAAGTGATGAGAAAGAGTATGCTGGGTAAGCAAACCTGCACCGTATTTTTCAGAACAAATCCCTGTACCCTAAGCCTATTTTCAATGTGTAGTATAGTGTATACATGGAAAATGAATAAAATCTATAGAAGCAGAAGGAGAAATCACATTTTGCACAATTTAATTAAAATCATTGAGGAGCCTACACTGTTATTTTAGGGGTCTGACCTAAAATATTACCAAAACAGTAATATGGAAAAGAAATTCTTGAAAGTGGAAGAAACAGTATGCTGCCTCTTTACTTCCAGTGAATACCTGGACTGGTGACACATAGAGTTCAATCTTTCTTTAAAGTGTTAAAAAAAAAAAATTCAAGTATCAAAGTTTTTGCCAGATTATCAATCTTATCTGATTTTCTTAATGCCAGTGTTTAATCAGATTAGTTCAACTCTTCCTAAATCCTATTTATTGCCATTACAATTGACTGGTAACAAATTAATAAATGTAAAGTGATTAGAAAAGAGTCTGGCCTGTAGTAAGAATTCAATAAACGCAAACAACAAATATCTTTTCGTTACTATTATCCATAGATTACTTGTTAGTCGAGTTTCTGCATGAAAAGTCTTGAGTATCTAAGGACTGAAGAAGCTGTATGAAGTCTGTTTCATCCTGCCTAATTCACAGATGAAACTAAAGTCCCCTTACACAAGTAATGTTCACAAAAATTCAAAGGTAGTACCACTCTACTTTTACTAGAAAATAAGCAAATCACAATTAGAAGAAAATATGAAAACATGACATGTGAGAAAAGTTCATTGTAAGTTCATTAGAAACCTGAAGATGTTGTCAAAATGTATTTTGCAAGATTTAAGATGAAACCTTTAAAAAGAGGGATGATGTCTGATAACTTATCCTATCAACTGCTGTACACAATCATGTTATTTCAGGCACGATAATTGCATGGTAACAGCTATTAGGTGTTCATGAGCAATAGCTGTTGTAGCTGATTCTTTCTCAACTGGGCAGATTTAATTCAGTGACAAGAAAAATACTGCAAATCAACTCTGTGATATTGACCAAGTAAATATGAGAATAAATAAGTAAAAATAGTCCATGAACACATGAAAGCCTCTACTTAAAGAATAAAATTTCTCACGTTGGCTGGTCATGATACTACATTAGATAGTTATAAGTATCTGCAAGTAATGACATAAAGAATCAATAAGTTATGTCGGGTAAGTGTTATCAGTGTATACAGATATGTCAAATGCTGTAAACAATCACCAGGAAATTAATTAAACAGTATTATATTTGTTTGTTATTGCCAATAAATTTTGTGTGATTGAAGCCAAGCTTTCTTGCTAATTCCTGCTTTAGGTATATTGTTTATTAGAACAAATGTGGTTGAGTTTCACATCAACAAGTGAGCTTTATTATTTATACTCTCAATAAGGAAGTAGATTTAGTTGACATTGTCACAAAACATTTTTAAGTCAAAACATAAATTCTTACTGGAAATAATTGATATTTTTTTTCTCCCCCCAACTTGTCAAATCAGAACCCTTTTTTAGTGGTTTGGTTAATTATTTATCTGTATTTTTGCCTTTGAAATCTTACTTCAAAAACACATTTTATGCAAATAGTTATTTGTATCAATTGGCTTTATGTGTTAACTATTTATCTACTGATAATTATGGGCAAAATTAAATGCCACAATACAAACCAGGTAATTTATATTGAAAAAAAATCTAATGATGGACAATTTATATGTGGTTTTCCTTTTTAATTCCTGTATCTTTTCAAAACACTTATAAGCTCAAATGTTCTCTAAAGAGTGATGTTGCCGAACATGAACAGCCCATCAGATAATCCTGACCATTTCAAAATCACCTCAGGAAAAGATCCTTAAGTAAATCAGCAGGTAAATTGAGAAGGAAAAGACACAATTAACTTGGAGAAGAAAAATGTAAAGGATATAAAATAATTGTTATAGCTGAGTATTTGTAAAGTTCTCATCTATAAAATACACTTAAATTATCTGTTTTGTTACAGAGGAAGAGTGAAACTTTAGTTTCTTTTTTAAAAGAGAAAAATTTTTATTTATTTCTTTTAAAGTATGAGTATAGATTTTTGTTCTTACTGTAAAAACAAAGCATACCAAATGCAGGAAAAATATTGAAAAGCACAATGCACGTTTTTAATAATCTTAACAACCAGAAATAAAAAATAGTGATATTTGCAAATTTTCTATTTCTACCAGCCTTTTTATAAGATCCAACATCCATATACCTTTCTCTCTATCTGTAACCTATAATAGTTATCAATAGAATAAGTAGCAACTACAGTTACAAAATTGCCCTTCACAAGGAATCTTAAGCTGCATAATTAGATTTGGGTGACTATACGTTAGGGTGATACTGAGGTTATTCTTGTGTAGACAGTGGTTGAACAAAATAATCTCGAAGACTCTTTTAAGTATTCAGACTTCATGTACTAAGGATTCGTGTGGAACCACAGTGAAACCTTCCTAGGATGGAGAAAAATGAACATATATAAAAGGCAAACTAAACAGGTTCTGAATAGTATTATGTATCTCTTTCTTTCTTTATGGCTTCTTTTATCATGTTGGTTGGTTATCAGCTTGAAAGTCAAAGCAGATGTCATCTCTCAACCTACTACTCCAATGTCATTTTCACAGTCTGTTTTCTGTTGTCTATAACAGAATACCTGAAACTAGATAATCTATTTTATTTTATTTTTTCCACATGAAAGTTATATTTATTGATTTATTTTTATGTTGATAGGTTTTTGGGGAACAAGTGGTATTTGGTTACATGGATAGGTCCTCTAGTGGTGATTTCTGAGATTTTGGTGCACTCACCCAAGCAGTGTGCACTGTACCCAATGTGTAATCTTTTATCCCTCACCCCTCTCCCACCCTTTCCCTTGAGTCCCCAGAGTCCATTGTATCATTCTTATGCCTTTGCATCCTCATAGCTTAGCTCCCGCTTGTTGGTAAGAACATATGATGTTCCGTTTTCCATTCCTGAGATACTTCACTTAGAATAATGGTCTCCAATTCCATCCAGGTTGCTGTGAATGTGAATACCATTATTTCATTTCTTTTTATGGCTGAGTAGTATTCCATGGTGTGTGTGTGTATATATACATAGAGAGAGAGAGTACATAATATATGTATATTAAAATTGGAATGAGATAGGTATAACATATATATCCAAGACCCACATGAAACCCATCACATTCAATTTATATTTCAGAAATCTTATTTTCAGCATTTTTAATATCTGAAAATAATGCAACTTTTAGAACACTTCTGGCTTTTTTTATTGGTAGCAAACGTTAACATAATTTGAAAGACAATAGTATAAAAATTACATGTTGGCATATATATTTAATGGTTGAGATATTTACTTTTAATTTCTAGCAATTTCAGAGATGTATAGCAAATTGAAGACGTTTTTCTCCATTGTCCTTTCCCTTGATTTCTGCTTTTTTAAGTGTTCCCTTATCACCAAAGTTTCCACTATTGTTTTAAAAATATCTGATATTAATTCAAATTAATTATTAATGCTAACCAATTTTGCCTTGCAGAAGTGTTTGCATTTTAAAAAGAAACGCCTAGAGGAAGATTGTCAAATTTCTTCTCACCTTTTGAGGGGCAATATTTTAGAGGATGGATGACCTGCAATACAAGCCTTAAGAAACTACTGCTCCCATTGTCGTCAAGGCTAGCTGTGAGACTAATGCCAGCAAGTCTTTGCACAAAAACAAATGAGCTCTTAAAGAGATGATTGAATGCATGTGGGATCCATTACTCAATAAGAAGCTTAAGTCCAAATCAGTCTGGGGCTAACTGGCCTTTGCAGTTTTACTATAGCAGGGGCAACATGGTGTAGTAAAAAAGGCCTGAAGAGTAAGTGTAATTTTGTCTTGGTCACTTATTGGCCTCGTAGTCCCAAAAAATTAACTTTAATCTCTTGCCTTAGTTCTCTTACATACTTGGCAACTATGGTGCACAGCCCAAATTTGAGGCACACTTGTTATTATATAAAAAGTTTTATTGGTGCACAGCCACGCTCATTCATCTATGTATTTTCTGTTTCTGCTCATGCTCTACAACGACAGAGTTGAGTAGCTGCAATGAGACCATGTGGTCTGCAAGACCTAAAATATTTACAGCCTGGTACCTCACCAAACACGTTGCTGCACTCAGCTTTAGAAGGTGCCAAACGCACACAGAGTATCTCCTTTTTTACAGAACTTGCCTTCCCTCCAACAGGTTGTGTAATTAATCATTACTCTGTGTGTAACTTTCTTTTGTTTGCGTCTTGATTCCACTCACTCCTATACACTTCCAATCTCTCTAAACAGTTCCTTTTCATTCTCTTTATTTCTTAAATGTTGGTGATTCCCAAAGTTTCATCTCTAGGTTACCCAAATTTTAATTGCACACTTTCGTACACAATCTCCTTACCCCCTGAACACAAGCACAATTTCTGACTGGCCTATACATTCCATTCTTCTCCTACTACACTTAACTCAATATGTTGCAAAAATGATGGAGAGCTTTTTTTTAAAGCTTTTTCCCATTAGGCCAAATTCCTAATACCTTATCGACAACCAAAACATATGGAACACTGGGTACATATTTGGGGAACAAGGAAACAGATCTTTTTCACTCGGTCTCCCTCTTGAATTTGACCTATAGATTAGACTTCTCACTTCCTGTTGTGTGTTACCAGTTTCTTGCACAATAAAACAAATTTTTAAAAGTGCCAAGTGACCTGATCCTCATAACACATTGAAACTAAGAGTATTGTTAAGGTTATTACTCAAGATTTAATCATATAAATACAGCAATTATATAAATATATCATACTAAAGTGAGGTTAAAATGTGCTAAAAACAAAAGAAAAAAATGGAGAGATCACCATGGGGGTAGGATAAGATAATTAAATAAATACTGTGAATTCTGGATCATAAAGAAGACACACTAACCAAAGCAACTTAGACCTCATTCCCTCTATTTAATAGAGAAAAACAGCACAGCTCTCCTAAGGATGTTGGCAACTCCTTTAATAGAAACAAGCTGTCAAATGCATAGAAATTAAATACAGTCATGCATTGCTTAATGACATGGATAGGTTCTGAGAAATGCTTCATTAGAGTATTTCCTCAATATGCAGACATCACAGTGTGCTTACACAAACCTGGATGGTATAACCTACGACATACCTGGCTACATGGTGTAGCCTATTGCTCCCAGGCCACCAACCTGCACAGCATATTACTGTACTGAATACTGGAGGCAATTGTAAAACAATGGTAGTTATTTTTGTACCTAACCATATCTAAACATAGAACAGATACAGTAAAAATATAATGTAAAAGGTCACAAATAGTACAGCATTTTTTAGATCACTTATCTTGGAGGGAGCTTTCAGGACTGAAAGTTGCTATGGGTGAGTCAGTAGGTGAGTGGTGAGTGAATGCAAAGGCTGAGGACAGTGATGTACACTGTTGTAGACTTTGTAATCACTCAACACTTAGGCTACACTAAATTTATTTCTAAAAATTTCTTCCTTTAATAAGAAGTAACTCTGCCTTCCTATAACATTTTTACTATGTAAGCATTGAATTATTTTTAACTTTTTGGCTCTTTTATAATAACACTTAGCTTATGTGACGGTTAATATTGTCAACTTGATTGGATTGAAGAATGCAAAGCATTGTTTCTGGGTGTGTCTGTGAGGATATTGCCAAAGGAGGTTAACATTTGAGTCAGTGCACTAGAAGAGGCAGACCCACCCTCAATCTGGGTGGGCACCATCTAACCAGCTGCCAGCTCAGCTATGATAAAAGCAGGCAGAGGAACATGGAAGGACTAGATTGGCTGAATCTTCTGGTCATCTTTCTCCTGTGCTGGATGCTTCCTGCCCTCAAACATCAGACTCCAATCTCTTCATCTGTCAAACTCTTGGATTTACACCAGGGGTTTGCAGGGACTCTTTGACCTTTGGCCACAGACTGAAGGCTGTGGTGTTAGTTTCCCTAGTTTTGAGGTTGGGGATGCAAACTGGCTTCCTTGCTCCTCAGCTTGCAGATGGCCTATTGCGGGACTTCATCTTGTGATAGTGTGAGTCAGTCCTCCTAATAAACTCCCATTAATATGTACATATCTCCTATGAGCCCTATTTCTCTAGAGAACCCTGGCTAATACAGATTTAAGCATAAACACATTGCACAAATGTACAAAATATTTTCTTTCTTTGTATGCATATCCTATAAGCTTTAATCTGTTTGAAATTTTTTTAGTTTTTTATACTTTGTAAACTTTTTTTGTTGAAAACAAAGACAGAAATATTTAATTGGACTTACACCAGGGGTTTGCCAAGAGATTAACTGACATTAGCCTAGACTTATACAGATGTAGGATCATCAATATCACTGTCTTCCACCTCCACATCTTCTCCCACTGAAAGGCCTTCAGGGGAAATAACACACACAGAGCTGTCATCTCCTGTGATAACTAAGCCTTCGTCTGAAATACCTCCTGAAGGACTTGCCTGAGGCTGTTTTACAGTTAACTTTTTTTTAATAAGTAGGAGGAATACACTTTAAAATAACGATAAAAAATATAGTGTAGTAAATACATAAATCAGTAACATAGTCATTTATCATGACCAAGCATGATGTACAATTGCATGTGCCACTTTTATGACTGGGAGCATAGTAGGTTTGTTAATAGCAGCATCACCACTAATACACGAGTAATGCCTTGTGCTAGGAGATTATGAGGGTTACCCTGTCACTGGGTGATAGGAATTTTTCAGCTCCATTAGAACCTGATGGGACCACTGTTGTTTGTGTCTTCCATCTTTAACTGAACCATCATTATGCAGCACATGACTGTAGCTCAATTTTCACCTTCTTTCTGCCATACATACATGACCACAAATCTACACACTTTCCTCTGGAAAACTCCCAACTGCCTTAAAGCATATCTGAAAATAAAAATTATGTTTCTTGTAACACACACAAAACAATTTCCAGCTAAAAAACCTTTCTGAATGATTGCCACGTGCATAAAACACCCCTGGCAAGTGTGAAAAAACTAAATCTTAAAGCAAGATGTGGTTCCATATTGCAGCTAGTATTTAAAATTAAGTTGTCTCTCTTTGCCCCCTTTTTTCCGAACAAATTCACAGAGCCTGGATTGTGAATGATATGCCTGTCTCAGAAACACCAGCCAACTCAGCATTATAGTTTGCACTACTGGGTTTGTTTGCAAATAAAATAAAAGCAAGGAGAAAAACTGAGACATAATTATGAAAGGCACTAGAATGTGGAAAAGAGATTAAACCTTATTAAAATATCATTCCTAGGCATTAGCAGCAGTTCTATAATTAATAATATAACAGTTGACTGCACTAAGTGGCATAACAGAAATTAAATTTTCATTTATGAACAGGAATAATGAGGTAATATAAAAAGATTGGGTTTAGGTTCTTCTGCTACTGAAGATTAATAATTGCCTAAGGTCTATATTCAGAATTAAGACACACATTTAGTTGTAGAGAAAGATAATTCATCAAATGTGCAAGCATTCTTTAACCCTGGACTGCAGTCATGACATGAAATGTCTGCAGTTTCCATTTCACCACTACTGGAGTCAAACTATTTCCATTATTGCCTAACTTATCATAAATGCTGGAGAGAAGCAAAAGCACCATTTTCAGAGAAAAATATGCAATATAAATTGGCAAAACAATTTACAGGTTGCTTTTAAAAAGAAGCCCTTGGCAACATAAATATTTAGTGCATTGTTCTTACGGCAGCCGATGAGAGACTTTAACATGTGTGAGGAAATTTAGTTTTCTTGAATAAAATGACAACAGAGAATAAACAAGATGTGTGAAATTCCTTTAGGAAACTATTTAAGGACTGCTGTGTTTTATTATCCAAGAGTTTTACATTTATTTTTGAGTGTTTAGATTCTGTGTATGTAAACCAGATCTATTTATCCTACTCTTCATAGCATAGCATACCCATGAAGATAAAGTTAAGAAAACTTTATAAAAACATTGTTTTTAATTATAATTGCAGTATTTATTTTATAAAAGGAGAAGTCAACTAATTACTTATATAAAAATTTGAGACTAGAAACTATAATATTTTTGTCCTAAATTTTTATTTGTATCTCACCAAATGCCACTCAGCATGATTCTCTTATAGACTGAGTTACGTGCTGCAGTTAGGTACTTCAGTAAGGTCACAGAGCAGAGAGGAAGATGACAGTCATTCAGTGTCAAATATACAGCAGACACTTTCAATCTAGAACATGATCACATCTTCCAATAGTTCTATATGTTAGATGTTTCTATCCCCTTTTCACAGGTGCAGAAAGTAAATTTAAAGGAGATTTGGTATCAAAGGATTTGAACCCAGATCTGCTTGAATGCTGAACATAACATTCTTCCCACTTTACTACATGATCCAGTTAGTCTTTAAAGTTACCAAAAAGTTGCCAAAGTTACCGAGAGACAGGACTAGCTGTATTTCCTAGGCCGACTAAGAATTCCTAAGTCTAGCTGGGAAAGGTGACCACACCCACCTTTAAACACGGAGCGTGTAACTCAGCTCGCATCCGACCAATCAGGTAGTAAAGAGGGTTCACTGAAATACAAATTAGGCTAAAAGCAGGAGGTAAAGAAATAGTCAAATCATATATCGCCTAACAGCACAGGGGGAGGGACAATGATTGGGATATAAAACCCAGGGATTCAAACCGGGAGTGGGCAACCCCCTTTGGGTCCCCTCCCATTGTATGGGAGCTCTGTTTTCACTCTGTTAAATCTTGCAACTGTACACTCCTCTGGTCAGTGTTTGTTCCGGCTCAAGCTGAACTTTTGCTCACCCTCTACCACTGCTGTTCCCCGTGGTAGCAGACCCGCCGCTGACTTCCACCCCTCCGGATCCGGCAGGGTGTCTGCTGCGCTCCTGATCCAGTGAGGCGCCCATTGCCGCTCCTGACCGGGCTAAAGGCTCACTATTGTTCCTGCACAGCTAAGTGCCCAGGTTTGTCCTAATCGAGCTGAACACTAGTTGCTGGGTTCCACACTTCTCTTTCTAATAGACGCTTCTAATAGATCTATGGCTTCTAATGATGATAATGATGGCTTCTAATAGAGCTATAACACTAACCGCATGGCCCAATGTTCCATTCCTTGGAATCTGTGAGGCCAAGAACCCCAGGTCAGAGAACAAAAGGCTTTCTGCCATCTTGGGAGTGGCCCGCCTCCATCTTGGGAGCTCTAAAAACAAAGACCCGCCCACAACATTACTAAAAACACTAATAATCATGAGACAATTTCCAAAATAAAAACATATTACTTTTACCTTGAAAGATAAGCACACACAGAGAGACACTCATTCCCACAACTCTAGCTTACTGGATATGGCAAAGATTATGGCATGTAGATATATGGAAAAAGATTTTGTTATGGCTGTTATGGTTTAGCATTTGGGTGCCCTGAGTGAGACAAGATGGTGATCTTGTACCAGCCAGTGCTTCTCACCTCTAGGCTCTGATCTAAAAGTGTTGCTTCCAGGTGTTTGAGAAACCATTTAGTAATAAACCTAAACTACAGACTGTAATGAAAAGGTCATGTTGTTGCAGAAAGGGATAGTGGAACTCAACTGCCTAGTATGCTTACTTTCAACTAGGTCATCTTTTTTTGTCCTTTCTTTCATTTTGTTTACTTGAGGTGCATGTTGCACCTAATTTCTGAGTTTTGCCACTTCTCTAAGGTGACTAATCATGGGTCTCCTGGTCATCCCCTCTGAAGACACTGAGGCTTCCATTTTAGCCATGGCCACTATTCACTAAGCCAAGATCTATCTTCAAAATGGTTTGTTGTCTCTTGACTGCTGTTTCATACTCTTTGTCCTTGTAGGCTTGATATTAAAATTTCCTCTACTCTCCACTTAATAGGGTCTGAAAAGAAAAGAGAAGCCAAATTCAAATATTTAAGTGACTGTACAAGCTCACCCCATTCTTCCACATATTCCATTCCAACTTTTGTTCCACTGTGTCCTCACTTGCCAAGATCACCAACAAATTCAAGGCTGCTAACTCTGTGGTGTGTATTTCTATCCTTGCCTCACTTGTCTTCTCATTGAATACAGTTGACTACTACCTTTTTTGTGGAAACATGTCTCTCTTTGAGCTCTGGTAGCATCACTCAACCCATGTTTTTCTTTTACATCTCTGCTCTTGGTCATGCTCCCTGATGGCTCTATAAGGAGAGAAGAATCAGCAGATGCAATAATCAAAATAATCAACTCAAGGGAGCTTAGTTATGTTTTAACCAATGAAAGATGTAAGAGAAGTAAAAAAATACAAAAAGATAAAGACAATGTGTAAACAAAATTGTCAAATTTGTCAAATGGAAAGCAGGATATGGTTGTTTAGAAATATCCAATTGTTGACTGGCTTTTTTTTAAGTGTCGTATATTTTACTCCCTCATTCTGAATGAAGTCATTGCTTTTTGGTTCTTTCACTTGGACTCTTAGTGGCAATTTTGAGTTTTTGTCCAAAATGTCTTTCTTTCACACTCACTCAAAAATAATAGTTAACTAGAAGTACAATGGTAAGTTACTTTTGATTAGCGTTGTAAATATAGTTCACTGGCTTCTGTTGTTGTTTTTAAGAAAACTGATGTTAGTTTTAATTTTTTTATCTTTTAAGTAATATATTTTTATTTTCTTATGGCTTTAAGACACTACCATTGTCTTTGGTGACTGAAAAAAATGTGGATGTTATAATCCATTAAAAGTTTGAAAACCTGAAAAACAATGTTTTATATTGTTTGTGAAAGTTTACCACTTCCATTTGTTCTCTTATTTATTTATTTATTTTTTTGAGACAGAGTCTTGTTCTTGTCACCCAGGCTGGAGTGCAGTGGCACGATCTTGGCTCATTGCAACCTCCACCTCCTGGGTTCAAGAGATTCTCCTGCCTCAGCCTCCTGAGTAGCTAAGATTACAGGCGCCTGCCACCACACCCGGCTAATTTTTGTACTTTTAGTAGAGATGGGGTTTCGCCATGTTGGCCAGGCTGGTCTCGAACTCCTGACTTCAGGTGATCTGCCCTCCTCGGCCTCCCAAAGTGCTGGGATTACAGGCATGAGCTACCTCACCTGGCCCCATTTGATCTTTATGTAGTGGTGTACTACCTTCTAAGCAGTGAGTGATAAAGCAGGTAATAGCATTGTGGTCCTGGCTGGTAGGTCTATTTCAGTCAAGACTTTAGCATGGTTAAGTTTAACAGCCTGCTCACCTAAGGAAAAATTTGCAAGAGTTGAACGTGATGTCAGAGTCCCATTCAAGGAAGCTATAATAAACAAAGGTACACAACTGAGATGTTGGCAAGGAAAGTGTTATAAAGGAGAGGTCTCAGTGAAAAATATTTATTACCTACTACGCACCAAGCATCCTCCCAGAACCAGGGATAAATATATGAAAACAACAATTCCCATGCTCATATGAAGCTTCTGTTCTCTGATGTTAGAGGTGGAAGCAACAATAAACAACATCATAGAAAGATGTTGTGTGGTCATAAATTAGGGCAGAAATAAGGAAGAAAATAAGGGAGGATAAGAGAGAGAGGTTTGGACAGTGTAATGATGGCAGGACGTGGGGACTATTTTAATGCAGCAGACAGCCCCTTGAGCATAATTTGAAGGGAACAGGGGACAAGCCCTGCAGACAACTGAGAGAAAATATTTTCAGCAGAGGAGCTGACAAGCACAAATCTCATGAGAGGGTTGTGTGCTTGCTATGTTTGAGAATGACAAGGAGCCCAGGATGGGAGAAGAAAAAAAGAGAGAGAATGGTAAGAAAGGCGATCAGGTAGTTGGAAATAGTGGCGGTAGGGGTGGGGAGGGAAGTTGAACAGCAGTGGTGCAAATGAAGTAGGGCTTTTAAGTGTGAAAAGAAAACGTCAGAAAAATTAAATTTGATGGAGTTTAACTGAGTTAAAAAAGAAGAAACGATTTGTGAAGCAGGCAGCCTCCAGAATCACAGCAGATTCACAGAGACTCCCGGGGTGCCTAGTGGTCAGAACAAATTTACAGACAAAAAAAGTAAAGTGACATACAGGAATCAGAAGTGAGGTACAGAAACAGCTGGATTGGTTACAGGTTGGCGTTTGCTTTATTTGAGCACAACTTGAACAGTCAGCAGTCTATGAGTGGTTGAAGAATGGCCACTGGGATTGGCCAAGACTCAGCTATTGTTACAGGCAAATACTCCTACGTTAGGTTGTCAATCTTGTCTGCCTATTAAGCTAAGTTGTAGTTCGCCCAAAAGGACGCAAATATAGAAATCTGGAGTCCTTCTCAGGCCATATTTAGTTCACTCTAACAGAAGGTATAGTAGAACTTTAGCTTATACTCAAAGAAAAACCATGGGTGAGTTATTTTGTATTTTGTTTTCTGACATGGAGTCTCACTATTTTGTCCATGCTGTTCTCGAACTCCTGGGCTCAAGCACTTTTCCCACCGCATCCTCTTAAGTATCTGGGACTACCTACATGCCACACACTGGTGGTTGAGTTTTAAACAGAGGGGAAAAAAAAAGATCATATTTGTATTTAAAGAATGATTATGACTATTGCGTGTAGAGCAAATCAGAAGAATAAAATAATGGAGTCAGGGAAATAACAGGAGCATTGTAACTTAATGAGTCTGTGGTCACCCGGGTGACTTGCCATAGACACCTCAATCCCACATACACTGAAATTGCTGCATAGGCTGGAATTGACACAACAGCTAAGTAAAACAAAAATTGAGACTAGGAGAACTGCAATCTGCTTCTGATGAGAATTGATCTGGAAACTATCAAACAATGTATGGCAAGGGAAGTTGGCTATATAGCAAACCCAGACACCTCCGTTAGGATAAGTAATAATTCAGTGTGATTTTTCTCCAGCAAAGAGTATCTCCTCCGAATATTTTTCTCCTGGATGCCTAAAGTTGCAAAATAAATAGTTTGTAACTTTCATATAAAATTTTGACCTTTCTTTGTAGTTCACTTTTAGAAATCAAATATCCAAAAGAATAGAAAGACATTAAGCTGCCTTTGTTGCGAATGTACTTATATAATTATAGAAAGAATGTTTAAACAATTTTTAAAATAAAAAATAAGATAACTCAATTTTAAAGAGGGCAAAAGATTTAAATAAATACTTCACTATAGATGGTATATGGATAGCAATTAAATGAATGAAAAGATGTTCAGCATTATTAGTCATTAAAAAATATAAATTAAAACCACAGTCAACTACTACTACATATCTGTTGGAATGGCTAAAATTAAAATGAATGTCCATACTAAGTTTTAATTAGTAAATAGAATAACTAGAACTCTGATGCACTGCTGATATGAATGTATGATTGTACAACTACTTTAGAAAACAAATTGGAATTTTTTCAAAATGTTTAATGTATACTTAATGTATAACCCAACCATTTCACTAAACAGCATTTACCCAATAGAAAGGAAAGCATATGTTCACAGTATCTTTATGTGAAGCAGAATAAACCCAAGTGTGCATCAGCAGATGAATGGATAAACAATCTGTGGTTTGTTCACACAGTGAGATACTACTTAGCAATAAAAATAAATGAGTTCACAAAAGCCACATATTGTATGAATCAATTTATATCAAATGTCCAGAAAAGGTAAATCTATAGATATAAAAATTAGATTATTGGTTTCCAGGGTCTATTCAGAAATGACTATGAATGGATATGAAGTTTCTTTTGGAGGCGCTGAAAACTGTTCTAAATCCAGATAGTGTTGATGCTTGCCCAACTCCGTGAATGTACTATAAAACACTGAATTGAACACTGTAAAAGGGTAAATTTTTTAGTATGTAAATTATTTCAATAAAGGCATTATTATAAACAAGAAAATAAACTATTGATGTGTACTACATCTTGAATAAAACAAATACAATTTTGCTGAGAAAACAAGCTATATTTTTAAAAAGTGCATACTACATGCATTAATTCACATAAAATTATAGAAAGTGCAATCTGTTGTGACAGAAGGTAGAACAGTTCTTGCTTGTGGAAGAGGGGAGCGGATAAAGGCCAGAGGTGGGAATTACCAAAGGGCACTAGAAAACTTACATGTGTTATGGATATGTTTATTATCTTGATTTTGGTGATAGTTTCATGAGTATACACATAAGTCAAAGTAATCAAATCATACATTATAAATATGTGCATCTTATAGTATGTCCATTATATCTTGTATTATTGTACAACATAAATTATACATATAAAATACCAAAAGTATGTAGACAAACTGATAATTATTTTTACTAAGGTTAAGTAATTATTTGTGAACTACTTTTAAAGTGAAGCTGGTGCCATTTGGGGATCAGATGTTTTAATTCCTAATTTTAATCCTTGATGATAGAGCGTAAGTGCCCATGTGGACTCTTCCCGGGGGGAGCCCACAAAATAGTCAGAAAAGTACTGGCTCTCTTACATAGTGCCTGAGTAGTGTACTGCCTTTATAGTTTGCTCAGCTCCTTTCATCTGTAATAGTCCACATGGAAGACAACATAGAACCACTGGAATCCCTAAATGATGACTATACAGATGACTCTCAGTAACTCTCTTTGTGCTATAAATACAGTATAAAAATAACTACACTGTGCTTCAATATATTCAGTTGTTGAGTAAAAGCAGGATAAGGCCTTAAGAGAAATGGATTTCTTGACAGTTAGGGTCCATATTATCAAACTAAAATTAAACAGCAATTTCCCCACAAGCCAATCATGCATTAGGGAGACCATCACTGTTATAAATTATGTAACAAGGACAGAAAACATGGTTCCAAGAAGGTTCTAAATGCTTCATACTAAATGAAAGTTTAAAATCACTTGAATTTTAAGCAGAGTGATATAGACCTGGGGGGTAACAAAGTCGTTTCCAAGTTCTGATCATACACAACTGTTGATAACCAAATGTTTAACATGGGAAATAGAAGAGTGAAATAAAGGTCTATAGTTGCTTTTATTTACATTGGCCATATTTATCTCACAATAGTTACTTGACTGCCATTGTTTGCATTTGTTTCTACTTTAAAATTTTAAAGGAGCAGCAATTGTCTCTTTTTATGATTAGCATCAACCTCTGCATGGGTTTATGAAGAAGATGCATTGCTTTGTTAAGGAAGGATGTATTACATACTGTAAGCTTAGTATTTTACCAGGAAAAAAATAGGGTAAAGAGCCATGTAAGATGTGCTAAACATATGACCTTAAGATGCTATATTAATTTAAAGAATGGAGACATGGAGTAAATAATCATTGGTGAAAGTAAGCCCTTTAACTTATTTTAAACTCTGTTATTTATAATTCAGCATTTTTCAATAAGCCTTTAGGAAGCTTTCACTATTTTGACTATGTCTCTGTTATAATATTAAGAATGGAGGTTCATAGAGTTTTACATAACATTTTTGCAACTATAAGAAATTAAACATTAATTATTGATCTGTGAGGTTTAGTTTGACATATCTGTCAAACATATATAATTTGCTTCTTAATAGAATCCAGTTTAATCTCTAATATTTAAATTACAATTTACTTTGCCTTTATCGTTGGCTTTTACCTTTCCTATTATTCACATTGTCTCTTTGCTATGTTTGCTCCTCATGTGATGAATTTCTGACCTTTTAAAAAAAGAGCATACACATTTGCAAATTTCATGATCCAAATAGTCTTTCTGAGATGAGTATTTCACCAGTTTTATAATTTCTCAATTGTAACTGTTAAGCAAATTACAATTAACCATCTCCCAGTTTGCTCAACCATGTAAATGCTTGTTATTTTTGTTGATTATATAAAGCAGACTTTTTATTCTTTTGGCAAACAAGATAGAGAGGCTATAAACTAAACATCAGAATGGGCCATAAAATTTTTTCTGTTAAATCAATTTCCATTGCTGGCCTCAGAATATACATACAATGTAGCTTAGATATATTTCTTGAGAACATTATACCAATTTCAATACATTTGCTTTTCTTTAATAAAAAATATGTGACAGTTGTACTGAATTCAACATTCAGCTGGCAGGGATTACCAATCAGATTCATTCAAAGTGCTCTTGGGGTCAACTTACTTTTCAGGAGCAAATAAATCTAGCAGTGTGTAGCAAGTCTTCATGAAATAAAATTATCATTTTTTATCGAGAAACAGTAATAAAAAAAAACTTGTCTGTAAAAACTACTCCTGTAGTCCCAGCTACTCAGGAAGGTAAGGTGGGGGGATGACTTTGAGCACAGGACTTTGAGGCTGCAGAGAGCTGTGATCTCGCCGACTGGGCAACAGAGCAAGAGGCTGTCTCTAAAAAAGAAAGAAATCCTCACTGGCTGTAGTATAAAAAGTATAACATTAAGAGGAACAGCGATGAGCCTGGAAATGGAATCTATGTGGATTTAAAGACATTGGGTAAATCAGGATAAAAAAATTCTAATGCTGGTCTTAAATATTTAAAATATTGATTTACTTGATCACATAGCTGCAGAGTTTATCAGCTGTTTCTTAACCAATAGCAAGTTCAATTATTAGTGTCGAATCATCAAGTTCACTTTCTCTATGGACAAAACAATGGAGAAATCTTTGGAGGTTAAATTCTAGTTCCACGAATTAATTCAGAATATTTGGATAATTTCCAATATTATGTCTTTGATTTGTGTTGACCAAGGCTAAATTACTCTCCGTTGGTTTATGTCTGCTGGCAGGAAAATTAATTAGAAAACCATAGTCATGGCCATCCCAGTGCCCCAAATGCCATTCAGAATGTTCCAGAACACTTTTATTAAAAACAGAAAATCTATCAAGTTCAGCCTTACGTGAATAAACCACTTAAGTGTTTAACTCATCTGTGGATGTCTGATATAATTTGATTTGCAGAGCACATGGGGAAAGGATATAAACAGCAGACACTATGAGCTATAATATATATTTTCTTTCTAATGGGGCATTAGTTGTCATAACCTTTTGAATGTGTGTTTCTTTATACCCAAGCAGATGTACCTTACCTATCCCAACCATTGAATGTGTATTTCAATTTACTTTTCCTGTAGGAAAAAAAGATTTGTATTAATCCTGAATTAAACCCCCTGTCAATAAGCAGGGTGTAGAAATGTGGTTAATGGCTGGAGAATATTTAATCCAAGGCCTTACACAAACATCTCCTACTGCAATCACTCGAGCTACCTTGGAACTTGATTAAACTATGAAGAAATGAGACCCACAGGTTCTTAACACATCACTACTTCCTGTCACATCCCACTAACTCAACAGTACATTGGAAATTATGACTTACATTGGTTTCAATTCCACAAGATTATAGGCACTTTTAGGTATTATCAGTAATTCATATATAACTGGAATCACAATTTCCTCACCCAGAGGATGGGTGATGCCAGAGGATTATATCTATATTTTTAAAGGTCTGTATCTTCTATAATCTGTAGATTATGTTCATATTTAAGAATCTATATTATATCTGCTTTATACTTCCAGGCACTGATGCAGGGAATTAAGATAAACCTCCTGCTGAAGATGATCATCAGGTAAAGAGAGTTCTTTGATTTTGGTGAAACATTATATAACTGGTCACCAGATTTTTTGGAATGGAGTGCCCTTGGAGCTTTAAAAAAAAAAGAGAAAGTAGAGAACATGCTATTAACTTCAGACTAGGGACATTTGAAGTCAAATTTAACCACAAAGTAAATATTTTCTTGGTCTGCAATTAAACATGTTGGCTCTTATTAACATTATTGCTTCTTAAAAGGTGTGTGTGTGTATGTTTTCTAAAATTTATTTACTAGAAAATTTTCAGTGGAAAGACAAAGCACATCTACCCTGGCAAAGTAGCCCATGGCTGATCAAAATTCAGTTTAAGTAGATTTATAGGTTCCCCACAGTTTCATTGACAACTGAATCATTCTTCTCTCTGGAATGTTACTTTTCTTTTTGAATTGTCATGATATCAAGAAGGAATGAATAAGGTGAAATCGCTGCCTGTCAGTAATGAATAGGATTTTTCAAAAGGAGTTTGGAAATTTTCCCTAGACAGTTGGAAAAATGAGAGGATTGATATTGAAGCAATCAAGTAAGCATTATATGTGTGTATGTGTGTGTGTGTGTGTGTGTGTGTACTTTTTCCTTGTACTATCAAAAAATGTATGTTTTTATGTTTTCATCCAGTTTCAAATTGTATCTTTCCATATTGAAAGGTCCTCTGTCATCCCCAAGCCTTCAGTCAAGTGTACCATGTAGTCACAATCCTTGTGTCAATGGAATTCTGGACAATTCACTGATGAGGATATGAAAGGGAGTTTTGAAGCAATGTCCTGGTAGCAGCATCTTGTCAAATGAATATAGTCTTAGAGACATAGGCAGTTACCAGGTAAAAGAGTTGGAAGCAGAGCTGAGAGCAGTAAGAAGACAAGTCCGGACTGTAAGTGAAACAGACCATTTGGTGGAATGAAGCCTTAGAGGCTTGTACAGTGGTAGATAGTAACCTATCAGGAAGATAGAGCAGTTACAAATTAGATATGAAGAACAGTGCCTAAAGGATAAAGCAAATACTTTGTTCAGATGCTCTATCTTGTTCTTCCCCATTGATTACATCTACGGTGCTGATATCACTGTCTCTTATTATTTCTTTATGTATATTCTGGTTCCCAGATTTAGCCACTTTGAATACTCTCAGGTAGAGAAATTAGGAAACATGTCTATAAACAACTTTGCTGTTTCCCTGCACGCTTTCTCCACTTTCTTAAGAGTGCTCATTGCGAAGTATTGCTCAAAATTTAGCTACCCTAAGTATGCCCAGTGAATTAAGACTAGGAGGTTTCGTTTGTGAAATCAAATTGCTCTGTCTTTATATGATCTTTTACCTTTTTATCTTATCAGATAATGTGTTAGCAAAGTGCTGCAATAATGAAATATCAATATGTATTTATGGATCTCACTGAGAAACCTTAAATGAACCCAAGCAGTACAAAATGATTTGTATATAGAATGTTCATTGCCTAATCATACTCATAAAGATGAGTGAAGTTTTAATCGATTAGGTTTATTCGATTCATGAGCCATTTAAAAGTTTGCCTTGTGATATAAAATGCAGAATAAATAATAGTGCACAGATTAGAGGAATTTTCCCAATAAAACTCAATGGGTTAGTTTGTTGCACAAAAAATAAACTTGAACAGAATGAAAAGAAATATAGTGAGCCATATTCTATTCCTAAAAGCAAATTGTTTTCTAATATGATGAAGTTTCAGATGTAGAAATGATAATTCACTGTGCTACTTTTAGGAAAGATATTTGCATTTTGTCATTTACGTTCAGTGGAAGTTGGCAATTGGCATTGAATTTCCTAATTAATCCATTTTACATGCATTAGAATAAAATGCAATAAGTCTAAGTGTTCTTATGAAACATTTATGTGGCAGATCTAATTGGCCACTGGTGTACCAATTAAATACAGCTTAATACTTCTGGAATAATTACAGCAAATATAGCTTTTAATACATTTTTGGACTTAATGAAAATAACAGAAATATTCAAAGACATACAACAAAAAAACACGGCCGATAATTAGAACAAGAAACTTGAAAAGGGGAAAAAAAACAGAGAAGGGACCAGGGTCCCCAGGTAGGTAGCTATGACTAAGGGACTAAACTATAGATATAGTAAATGTTTGGAGGCTAAGCCTGAGATACCTGCCTTAAACCAAAAACACTGAAAGAAACTAGATAGATCCCAGGAGGACAGCAAGCCTCTAGCTCTGACAAACAAAAACTCAAATGCTCCTTGGATGAAAGAAGCATTTTGGCCCTCAAAAATGCTCCAGATTAAGTTCAATTAAATATGTGTGTGTATATATATATGCACGCACACATATATGTTTATGTATATATGTCTTATATATATGATTTTAGACATGCATGGGAGAAAATAAAACACAATAATGAGAATGAGAAGGAAAAAATAAAATCAGAAACTTCTACTCTCAGGCCTACTCTATTTGAAATATATCAGCAACAGGCTATGACTATGTATAAAACATCCAGTAGGCTAAAAGGTGAAACTTAAAAATTCTCAAGGAAGAAGTATCATTAATATTGACCAGATAGATTAAAACAAACGAATTCACAAATATAACAGCAGAACTTTTAGACAAAAAAAAAAAAAAACAGTTGATCACAATGAGTTGATTAAACAGCAGTCCCAGGTGAAGATAAAAAATGACAAATGGAAAATGGATTTGGAAAAATCACATTAAATTTACATAGGGAATACAAGGAAGCCCCTTAATATTAAATAATCTACCAAAATCCTACAGAAATCTCATGAATAATGATAATAGGCTAGGTGCATACCTTGCTAAGATCAGGAGCATGATAAGGCTACTAATTATCACTGCTTCTACTCAACCCTGAATAGGAAATGCGCCAGTGTTGAGTGAAAGAAAATAACAAGTGTATGTGATTGAAAAGAAGAAATAGTTGCACATGATGATTGATTACAAGAAAATCCAAAAGCTCTACAGATCTACAGAAAAATTATTAGAATTAATATAAAGCTTAGACAACTCAATAAAAGAGCAATTTATGTAAAATTAATTTTATTTTTATATGTGAGAAATAAACACATAAAATAGTATTAAAAATTATGCTGTTACAACAGTATGAGAATAACAGAATACATTTATTTTTTTAAAAAGTATGATAAAAGTTTGATAGACATTGAAGAGAAGTTAAATTCATAGAGAAATATACTCTCTTCCTGAGAAAAATATATTTCTTAAAAATGTGATTGTCTCCATAATTGTATATAATGACTTAATAGCAATTCCAATAAAATCTCAAATTGTGTTTTTTTCAAGTAAATCAACATTCTGAATATGAAAACTGATATGGAAGATGAAATTTTGAGAATAGCTAAGATATTTCTGTAGAGGAATGATTAATGTGTAAAGTATTTACTGTAACTGATTACTTATATTGAATTGTAATTTATGATTCAAATTATAAATTATAGATTATACATTTCAAGCACAGTTATTTTGGTACAGATATATTTTTTTAATGGAGCGATGAAACAAAACTGGAAAGAAACAGACATAGGACTAAATTTGGCATTTGCATTTGCTTCTGTTTGAAAAGTCTCTCTCCACTTCCTCCTGGTCTCTCCCTAAATGCCACTTCCCAATAAGGACTCTTCCATGTATATCCTATCAAAATTTACATGCCCAAATATCTATATGTAGTTCTCTTAGCAAACATAAAATATAACATTCTTTCAAGTATAGGTTACAATAACACACAAAAGCTTCATCAAGAAATTTATTTAAAGCATAATGTGATATTTACACAATGAAGGCAAAATCGAACAACCACGCCCAGAAGCAATAGTTTGTAAACCTTTCATTTAAAGTAACGGTTAATATTTCTTAATACATTAATCTCAGGTTCTATTTGAAATGCTCCAGTTTATTCATGTTTATTCCTCTCTCTTTTAGTTAACACCTTTAGAATAAGCAATTTTCTTTCTCATTTCCGGGTCTGTGCACAAATTGTAAACTCACTTCACCAGCAGAATTGGCTTTTCCTTCTCCCTCAATATATGCAAATTTAACCCTTATCTAAGCTCTGGCTGTAGACGTCACTCCTTTCATCTCCAGCCTTTAATTATATCCCACATCTGCACCAAGTCTGGCACTGAATGGCTATTTTCCCAGCCTCATGCCAGGCCTTGGGTACCACATTTCACTCCATCCATTTAAAATCATTTATTGCTCCTATTCTTTGTTTCTGCCTTCCTGACATGTACCCAGACTCTAACTTCTGCAATATATTAGTCCTTTAAAATCCTACTCTTCCTTCCGGATTCATTTAGCTTCTCCCCCAGTCAGTATTTCTCCATTTCCTCAACCCCAGGCAATCATATTTTAGCACTTCATTTATTCATTATGTAACTAATGTATGCATGCATAACTGGCACAAAATAAGTACTCAGTAATTGCTTGTTGAATGAAAAAATGCTTGTTGAATGAAAAAAATTGCTTGTTGAATGAAAAAATGCTCAACATCACTAATGATCAGGGAAATGCAAATTAAAACCACATTGCAATACCACCTCACTCATGAAGAATGGCCATAACCAAAAAATCAAAAAATAATAGATGTTGGCAGGGATGCAGTTAAAAGGGAACACTTTTACACTGCTGGTGGGAATGCAAACTGGTACAACCACTATGGAAAACAGTGTGGAGATTCTTTAAAGAACTAAAAGTAGAACTACCATTTGATCCAGCAGTCCCACTACTGTGTATCTACCCAAAGGAAAAGAAGTCATTATACAAAAAAGATACTTGCACACATATGTTTATAGCAGCACAATTTACAATTGCAAAAATATGGAACCAGCGTAAATGCCCATCAATCAGTGGGTGAATAAAGGCATTGTTTTATATATATACACCATGGAATACTATTCAGCCATTAAAAAAATGAAATAATGCATTTGTAGCAACCTGGATGGAATTGGAGACCATTATTTTAAGTGAAGTAACTCAGGAACGGAAAACCAAACATTGTATGTTCTCACTCATAAGTGGGAGCTAAGCTATGAGGATGCAAAGACGTAAGAATGATACAATGGACTTTGGGCACTTGGGGGGAAAGGGTGAGAGGGGAATGAGTGACAAAAGACTACAAATTAGGTACAGTATATACTGTTTGGGTGATGGGTGCACCACAGTCTCACAAACCACCAGTAAAAAACTTATGTAACCAAACACCACCTGTTCCAAAAACCTATGGAAATTAAAGGAAAAATTGCTTGTTGAATGAATAAATGAGTGATTTTTTTGTTTGTTTTCTAAAGGTATAGGCTGGAGGTCAGGAACCAATTATATTTTCTGGGTATTTTTCTGTGCATCTAACATGATGCTAAGTATATGGAAAACACTACTGTAGATTATTAGAATAAATAAATGTATGAATTCTGTTTCTATGGGTGAATGAATGTGTCTGTGTGTGTGAGAAAGACAAAGACAGATAAAGGCAGGAGGAATTACTTGTTCACCCTTGGAGAAGGTAATACAACATTCAAAATGACAAGCTTTCTTCTAGAAGATTAAATGCCAGCATACTATGATTAAACTCTTTGTTTTCTTTTATAAGATACTTAGATGAAAAAGTTAGTATTTCACTTATAAAAGTTAAGTTTTATATTTAACTTTTGGACATTTGCTGCCTATGTGTCTAATTTATTTTCCATTTTGTTGTCTGTTTTTCAAGATGTATATTTCAGAATAACATTTCCCATAAACTTTGAGTTTTGATTTTGTTGTTTTTGTTGTTTTGTTTTGTTTTGAGACGGATTTTCACTCTTGTTGCCCAGGCTGGAGTGCAATGGCACGATCTCAGTTCACTGCAACCTCCACCTCCCAGGTTCAAGCAATTCTCCTGCCTCAGCCTCCTGAGTAGCTGGGATTACAGGGACGCACCACCACGCCCGGCTAATTTTGTATTTTTAGTAGAGACGGGGTTTCTCCATGTTGGTCAGGCTGGTCTCAAACTCCCGACCTTATTGTCTGAAAATTAAACTTATATGTAACTGAACATAGTATTCAAATATTTGCCTTTTTTTCTATATAAATGACTTATATGTTTCTGTAGGAGAAAGTGATTCTGACAAATCAGTGAAATGCATAAAGAAAGGACAAAGAGACAGGACATGTCACAAAAGATTTTTTTGCGCTACGTCACCTCTGTGGGTTTTAAGAGGTGAGTCAAAGTGCTTCAACTCTGTCCTCTACAGTAGTTGCAATGATAACTAATTCTCCCCAGGTTTGACAGCACAAAAGCCCTCCCACAGGTACCCTGCTGTACCAATGGTGGCTTATCTCACTAGAAAGTTGCTCCTCTGTCAACATTGGGCGTCTCTGGAAGGAGAGTTGGACCACTCTTTCCTCACTTTTCTCTGTATGTCAAAACTGAACTTGATAATTTCAAAGCCCAGACTCTCCTTGCAGACCCATCCTCAACCAGGAAACTTCCAGGACTACATGTTGTCCAAGTAGTGAAAGTGCCCTATAACGGAAAAGAGCTGACAGCATATGCAAACGTGACAAAGCATAAGAGTTTTCCTGGTTAGTCATTTGCTGGCTTTCACATGTTCATAATAAGCCTCATACCTTCACAGTGTGTGGTACAGAGTAGACACTCAAATATTTTTGTTGAATGAATGAAAGTATTACATGAGGCAGAAATTTGAGTAAGAATAGATGTATATGCAAACATTCTGTGGTCACTATTTGGTAGGAAAAGGGAAAAGTTAATCAGTATGTACCCACTATTCATCCAGCTCTGTTGGGTGGTGAATGACAGTGTACGGTTGCTGTATTAAATAACAGCAACAAGAAAACACAAGTAGTTTTTATTTTGGCATAAACTTCATGTTACTTTCTAGTTGGTTAACTCAATGCCTTGCATCTGTTTTGTTAACATCTTCTTGAACACATTGTATTTTTCACATTTAATAGTGTCAAGGCTTTTCACAGTAGGGCTTACATTTGATTTCGTCACACAATAGACAATTCCTAAGACAACCTATAATTCCAATCCATTAGGCTAATGGATTGTAGCTGCTGTGAGCAGTGGGCCTGTAATCTTTTGATAATAAAGTCTAGTAAGACATAAAATATAAAAATAAATAAACTGAAAGGACTAGATTTAGCTGACATAAATATTTTCTTTTTTCCTTATAAAAGCCTAGTAAATAGTCACAGTCAACAGAATTTTTAGAATTACATATGGATACATATGAATAATTGCATCACACAATATTGACAAAGCTCCAAAAGTGATAAGTTTTTGTTTGGGAAGTCTTGGTAATGAAAATTCTTTACTTTCTTTTTTTCAATTTTTACTTTTAAAAGCCTATTATTATTACATGTCATTGCTTATGTATTACAGCATTTATCATTATAGATTGTATTCAAGTGGATATTCTTAGACCACATTCTTGAGGCGTTATTAGTATAAGAACCTGCCTATGGGAGAAGTGGACCTACCATGAAAGAAGGCGAAGCATCATGGAAGAGAATTGGTATTTTACATTTAAATTTTTAATTTATCTGAGTCACTCCACTGAATTGCAGAAAAGCAAATATGTCCCCTTAAATCAATTTCATGGAGTTAAAAAAGAAATGTTCTTATAACATCTGGCTTCTGTTTTCAGAAAGCTGAAATTCTGTCTGTTGGAGAACATGGGGAGGAAATCTGGAACACCCAATCCAGCTGGTTTAGCCACCTAATGAACCATTCCATTAGTAACTAAAGATCTTTGCTTTGTTCATGTTACCTGCATTAGAACCTGAACTCCTTCAAAGAAATTCTCTTTCTCTTGTTTCTATAGAAACAATGCTGCTAAAATATATTACATATCATTAATATTTTGAAGTCTATGATTAATAAATATGAAAAATAATTATTGATGTTCATTCTTAAAGCTTCACTGTAAACATAACTGTCTTCATGCTTCATCAATGTCCCTATATACCTCGCTTTTTTGATAATAATGAAAAAGAAGTAGAGGTTGTAAAAGAAAGGTGAGGGTAGAAGAAAAGAGCAGAAAAGGGGAAAAAGGGATTGGAAAGGGGAAGAAGGAGAGGGCACAAGAGGAAAGGTAGTGGGAGAGGAGGAAAGAGAAGAGAGGAGGAAAGGAGAAAGTGGTTTCTGAGGGAAGGAGCATTGGAGGCCATGATTTTGACCCAAGGCTCATTTGCATACATACCATAAGGCCTTGGAGGCACGTGTCATCATTTAAAGGATGGAGGGGATGTCTTTATTACAAGGTCACTATGTATAGATGCAGTTGTGCAGTGAAAGTACTTAGATGTTGAGATGCCATAAATCTAATAGCCCCTCCCCGCACCAGGCTTAAGATGTATGTTTTGGTGAGAAATTTACTCCAAGCCAGGCTAATGAAGGGAAAGCTTAGAGTGAATGGGAAAGAGAATAACAGGAATGCCTCCTTGATCACCACACCAGATGTACGATGCTGAGGAAGGCATGAGAAGCCTAGAAAAGAGCTTCTGAGACTCTCAGATGCTGGAAGGCATCACTGGAACAGCTTCCCTCCTCAGGAAGCCAGAGTCAGCAGTGCATTGTTTGGGCTCTGCTAGTTCCACATGAGCCAGGATAAGTAGCTTGGGAGGCGGCAGAGCTACAAGGTTTCCAGCACAAGTGGCTGCTGGTGGGGAACTCAGCTGGAACCACCATGACCAGCTCCCTGGCTAGAGAGTGCAAGTGACCTATGTCTTTGCCTGCAGCAGTTCCTGGGTATCAGGGAGACTGGCCCACTCCCTCAGCAACAGGTCAGAAAAGAACTCATCCTTGGAGGGAAGTTTCTAGGGAGGGAAGCCAATGAGGAGGGCCCTTATTTCTGTTTCTCCCTGGGTCTGCCCCTGGTGCTACATATCAGAGAAGAAAGACCCCCACGGGGTTGTGCAAAGAGGGCCAACAGAGCACCTCCAATTTATTCCAAGGGCAAATGGCTAGAGGCACAGACAAAAATGTTGGGCACCTGAGGGAAAAGGATTTAAGGCCAGAGTTTGGCTTCATTGATGTCTGGCCCTCTTCAGGCCGAAATTTGTGTACAGCTACTTCTAGCAGGGGTGAGATCACCAGGAGAAATGTCTGATGATGAAGTAGCCAGGCCCTCCCCAAATCCAGGAGCAATGTCTGCATGGGCCAGTTAGTGTGCAGGGTGGGAGGGGCAGAGCACAGTGTTCTCTTGGACAGCATTCTTTGCCACCCTCCTTACCCCCCAGCCACTTCTAACCAGGTGTATTAGTCCGTCCTCGCATTGGAATGAGGAACTACCTGAGACTGGGTAATTGATGGAGAAAAGAGGTTTGATTGACTTACAGTTCCGCAGGCTGTACAGGAAGCATGACTGGGGAGGCCTCAGGAAACTTACAATCATAGCAGAAGGCCAAGGGGAAGCAGGCTCTTACATGCTGGGAGCAGGAGAGAGAGTGAAGGGGGAGGTGTTACACACTTTTAAACAACCAGATCTCATGAGAACTCAGTCACTATCGCCAGAACAGCAAGAGCAAAACCAGCACCCCCACAGTGATCCCATCACCTTGCACCAGGACCCGCCTCTAACACTGAGGATTACCATTTGACATGAGATCTGGGAGAGGACACAGACTCAAACCATATCACCTGGGCTATGTTAGAATCACAGCATGTTTCCTTGGAGCTCTTTAGAGCTCCAGGAATATGGGGCCTTCTCTCAATGAGTCAATCTGGAGTCATCATGATTGTCACAGCTAGAAAATGGATTTAGATTTGTCACTCTTTTGTTCAAATGTTTTAACAATCTAGAGACATATGTATTACCAAGGACAATACTTCCTTCAAATTTTCCTCAGTATTGCAAATAAAGCGTAATTTTTATTTAGCAGGCTTCCAGGAGAAGCTAATTCCCATATTAAAAATTAAAAACTGGTGGCTGTATCTATATGTAACAGTTAACTTTTTCCAAAATCTTTTTATTTTAATATAGCTAATATTCATAACTTTCTACTTAATCCCTAAAAATAGATTATGTTTTTCCATGAAAGTTACATTTTTTTAACACCGAACTGAATCCAATTATCTTTTGATGTCAGCCTGTGAGTAGCACAAAAATAAAATTACAATAACAATTGGAAGCTGATAAAAGTAAGAATCTTCAAAAATTAACTTTTTGTTTCTAGTAAAGAAATCTTCAAGGATTTTAAAATAAACTTTTAATGGAACCCCTTGCACAGTATGTCTACTTGCGGGATATCATTTAGTTAAGTTAGTTTGAAGTAAATTTATTAAAAATATTGATTTGTTTTTATTATATTTCAAATTAAAATGATTACATAATAAAGTCACTTTCAGATACACATTAACTCTATTTTTAATCTTTTAAATATGTTGTCATCAAATTCCTTTTAACGATAATAGGCTCTAATGGAAAAATATTACATCTATATTTCAAGTATGATCTACATTTTTTATAAAGAACTCTGAATCTTTTTTAATATAATAACCAAATCATTAGTAGCCTAATGATTGTCCAGAACAATAAAGCTAAATTGAAAAATACTTTTCCAACTGACATGAATTTATACAATGAACTAAATCTTTAATGAAGTTTTCTGCAGTGATACAACTTAAAAACCATCTTAAAGTATTATATACTTGACACCAGAATCTTTTAACAATTTAAAAATACTCTCTTTAAAATGAGTTCTAACACCACCTGTACTGAGAGATACTGATTAGAGGAAGAAGAAAGTCACCTATGAATAAAAATAGTTCAGAAGCCACTTTGCAAACATTTAGCAGTCTTTAAATTCTCTAGTCTTTTAAAAGGAGAAATAGGGATTCCATTGCATGTTATGCTACTATGGTTTTTTGTGTGTAGATGGAAGACATGAGCTATAATAATGGTTAAATATACTGTATATTGAATTACTCATCTCTAATGAGCTTAGAATAACACTTTTATGTGAGCACAAATTGTATATATCTAAATTTAATTATACATCATTGAAAGTATTTCACCTGGTTTGCCGTGAAATTCTTCACCTGTGTGAGCTTCTTCCTTCTCTTTTCCCTTTTTAGTTAACATGTTTTCTCTAAGTTCCAGAATCCAGAAATTGGTGCATAGTATAAAATCAACTGGTAAATTTTAACTTTAAATGTTGTTTCTGGATTATCTTTCTTAAGTACGTCAAAATCTACTCAAGTTAATACTAGGCTATCTTTAGAACTTGACTATAGGACACAGACTACAACATTCAACAGGAACATGACCTTCCCCACTCCATTCTAATAGATGGATGAAGGGTCACAGATACTTATTATATTTATCCACATGAATTCCCATTTTAATTGAAAAGCAAATGCCTGAGAAAAGAGCTAGAAGGTTCTTATTTCTTTTTTTTTTTTTTTTTTTTGAGACGGAGTCTCGCTCTGTCGCCCAGGCTACTGCAGTGGCGCGATCTCGGCTCACTGCAAGCTCCGCCTCCCAGGTTCACGCCATTCTCCTGCCTCAGCCTCCCGAGCAGCTGGGACCACAGGCGCCGGCCATAGAAGGTTCTTATTTCTAAGAACCTTTGCAATTCCATTTATTGACAACCAACATTTAAAATGTGTTCTATTAATTGGGGGACAAGCAGAAATAAAGTTTTTCAATGTAAACATTTTTTTTGTATATACACCAAAAAGTTTCTTTTGGAATTATGTCCTAACATAAATTATTTGTAATAAAAAGCTGTCTGATTTGGAAATAAACACTTTTAAAATGCAAAATTGTTTTGTTCATATCCTATGGCTGTCACGATTTATGTGGAGCTATTTAAACAATCGTCTTCTTCAAACGTATCTATATATTATGTTGAGGGAGGACAATACCTTCTAGTGGAATCCATCAATAAATGTATTTCTCAGGCTTGTAACTAACATAATGTAACATTTCAGAATGTCTTTGTCCCCAGATGCTCTGCCAATGGAATGCTCCCTGCTGCTAAAAGTTATGCTTTCCACCTCTTTTTATAACTTGTCTGGCAGACTTGGCATGAAGGTGACAACTTAAGCTAAAAATCTGTCAAAACAAAGAATAGCTAACAGGCATGTCTAAGGCTGATGTGAAAATGGAACACAAGCCAACTAGAATGAAATGTATGCTATATAGATGCTTGTTCAGAAATAGGTACATCTGTGTTTACTGTAGTGAACACATATTTCTGGGCAACCATTTACTTTCCAGATCTACTGCAAGGTTCTCTGGATCCGTAGTGAAGACAGTCCCTGCCCTCAAGAACATAAACATAGGAACAGCTAACATTATTGAGCTCTCTCAGTGCTCCAGGAACTCTTCCAAATGCTTTCATATGTTACCTAATATTAAGATAATTAATCCTCACAATAAGGCTATGTGATAGGTGAATTATTGTACACATTTTGTAGATGAGAAAACCGAGGTACACAAAGTTAAAGGATCTTGCCCAGATTAGACAGATAGATACTAGGCTGTAGAGCCAGAGCTCACTTCCAAGCAGACCAACCCAGAGGCTCCACTCTTACCTACTCCTCCATCCTGCCTCTTTTGCAATGTTATGAAGGAGATACACGGATAAATGCAAAATTCCAACATAGAGGTTAGAGTGTTAAAGTATAAAAAGAATATTTGTGGTTTTGTTGCACACTGTGTGGACGTGAAGGGGAGTATATTAAAAAAGGATTCTCGTACAACATAATGGAGCAGGAAAGTTTGTTCGTCCCAGGCAAACAGAAAAGTATCTGCAATAGTGCTGAATATTTTGTAAATCACATTGTGTCCTAAATTAACTGAACTCGAGATTTCATTCATTTTAGAAAAGGTGGTAAATAGGGTGTTTTGAAACAACATTGTTGCTGTTTATTCTTCAATGAGTTGCTAACAAATTATTCCAAATGTATTGGTGTGATGATTAAGATTTATCACTTACAAACCAGGAATTCCCTAGAAATCAAAGAACAAGAGTATAACTGTGAAAAAAGAATCTCTCATTTGGCTATGTATGCCCTTGTGTGTCATATTCCTGGGCAACACACGGTTATAAAAATGGACTCAGCCAGGTGCCGTGGTTCACGCCTGTAATCCCAGCACTTTGGGAGGCCAAGGCAGGTGAATCCCCTGAGGTCAAGAGTTCAAGACCATCCTGGCTAACATGGTGAAACCCCATCTCTGCTAAAAATACAAAAAATAAAATAAAAAAATAGCCGGGCATGGTGGCACACACCTGTAGTCCCAGCTTCTCGGGAGGCTGAGGCAGGAGAATCGCTTGAACCCAGGAGGCTGAGGTTGCGGTGAGCTGAGATCACACCACTGCACTCCAGCCTGGACGAGAGAGCAAGACTCCATCTCAAAAACAAAAAACAAACAAACAAAAAAAAATGGACTCACCTCAGGCACAAATTACCTCAATCAAAGGTTGTCCCTATTAGTGAGTGGAAACTAATTCTTCACCCGTAACCACTATCTGTGTCCTGTCTCCTGAGTAACCCTCTAAGAACAGAACTACAGAAATCAGTCCTATGTCTTCCCTCTATGAGCCCAGTTCTCTGGCTAGCCCTTGTCTACCTGAATCCCACGTTAATTCTCCAACAAGAATAGAATCTGAAAAACTAAAATATTGGAAATCTTACCTAGTTTTTCCTCCTACATCCCTCTGAAGCTGGATCCTTTAATGATCGATCACCTGAAAGAAATGTGATGTAGAAATATCACCAGAAAATATGAAATTTAAGATACAATGCACTTGCTATGGCTAGATAGGTATATTGGTATAATCACTTTCTAGAGCAATTTTACATCTACGACATTTGAAAATGCCCAAAGCTTATTCAGCAATTTCACTTCTAGGTATGAAACCTGGAAAAGCTGTCAAGAGTTTGTGCATAATTGTATCATAATATTGTCATAAAATAATCTAAATGTCCATCAACACAGAAATGGATGAATAAAATGCAGTATATTTATGTGGTGAAATAATATAAAGTTTAAATGGGAAAAACAAATCCATATGCATCAACTAGGTAGATATCCATATTATAATATTGAGTAAAACATTTATTTTCTGCTTAAGGACACTTATAGAAATGAAAAGGTAGTGTTATTATTTATGGATATATATGTATAATATATACATATACATCTATACCTTCAAATTTCTTTGAATACAAGAAGCTAGAATATGATGACGAAAATCAACTTCCAAACAGTTTTCCTTCTGGGAAAGGAGAGAGGAAAATTGGACTGGAGGAGGAACAAAGAAAAGTTAAAATATTATCTATAATTTTTTTTATAGAATTATTCTAAAGCAATTGTGATCAATCGTTAAAATTGATCATGATGACTTCATGGGTGTCTGTAATGTATATTACATTCTGTCTTTCTTTTTAAAATTAGAAAGGAAAGGCACACAGCCCAGTTTGAGGATAATGTTGAAGGCCTGGAATAGAGGGCTTGGGTTGCTTATGTTGGGAGCCATCTCTCCTCTTTTCTCCTTTGAACTCACATTGAATTTCCTCTACTTGTCTTTAATTCTGCATTGATTAGCCCAGTACACCTTTTACTTTGTTTTCATTTTATCTCTAAAATAATTTTACGTAGTGAGAAAGGCAGGCATTACTATGGCATTAGTTTCCTTAATGCTAATAAAATGAGGTGACTTTGCAACATGCATGTACTGATAGGCCAACCTCTGGATTAAGTCTAGGACTGGTCATCTTTCCAGTTTACTCTGTTGAGCTTGTCATAGAAGCAGGTGTACACCACGTCAGAGTGGTAGCATTAACAGCAGTTGTAGCTTTTGTTGTTGCTGCCACAGTCTTGTTACCACTTTATCTCAAATACGGCTATAAAGCAAATGTATTTTAGAACACTCTCCAGCTGTTTTGTGCCGCAAAGATACAAGGCACTGGGAGGAAAGCAATCCACCATAACGGTTTCTTGGTGGCTTTCTCCAATCAGTATTACATAGGTAGGGAATTTGTTTTGACTATGGTATGAGGTAATGTATTATTTTCTGGCTTAAAAACTGACAGCTAAAAGGGGTTTTGAATGAAAATTGTGACATTTACAGAGAGAGCAATGATCTTATACAGAAGTCAGGTGGTGGCTTTTTTTTTTTTGCCATTCTGACAGACAGAAGACCTACAGTGAAGTTATTTTTTTGTCTTGTTAAAACAAATAACTGAAGTAATTCATACTTTTTTTCTGCCCTATTTTTGCTTTGTGTACAATTAAGTATTAAAAGACAATTTTTCTATTGGGTAAGATTTACCACTGTGTGTATTGATTTCCTTTGAAGTTACTGCAATTGTCTAAGCTGTTACAAGTTTTTATAGCACCATAATGTTCATTTAAAATGACCAAAAAAGAGTAAGGATCTCAGGCAAATATAATTATAGAAGTTTACACCAATAATATAATAAACTTTGGCTTTAGGAGAATGCTCTAAAATTGCCTTTCTATACATACTACAGGCAACAAAAATGCTATAACAAAGATATTAATTTCCCTAGGACATTCAGCCTATTTGCCTAGAATTTTATTGTTGAACATATTGCTAAATATTCAGTTGCAGGAGTGTTTGCATAGTATCCCCCAAATTTACTATTTTAAGTGGTTCATTACCACCTACTGTATTTTGTTAGCTTTTGCCTGTATACCCTGCAGTTATAGTCTAAGGAAAGATAAATAAATGAAAGCAATAGAGATTCATGGTTCATGTATTTTAAATATTTGAATGGCAAGTTACAGCTGCCCATACAAATTTATAGAGACAGGCAATCTCAGCACTGTGACGGAACTTCATATAAATGTCAACAGGCATTCAAAGGTTGTACTTTCACTAATTTCACAATGGGTAAGTCTCTCTTGACTTCCTGCCTTCTGAAACAGTTCGTTTGATGCCTTCCTGACTCTTTACACCCTCGGCAAAGGCCGCGGTAGTAAAGGTCCTTCCAGGACTGGCATGTGGTCATGAACAGCCTGTGTGGGCCTCATATAGTCCCAGCTCATCTGGCAGGATTGGGATGAATGTGATGCTGTGGCCAAATGTTACTTTAAGGGGCCATAAATGTCTTAGAGTATATTGCTTTATTTCCTTGCCTATATAAGAACAAATTTACATTTCGGGAAATATTAGAAGATTTTTTTTCTATATTTCCTAACTCTCTTTTTTTTCACTAAAGTTCTAATGTCTAGCTACAGAAATTTGATGTAGATACCCAAACATTTATGTCTCTTATATCTTTTTGGGGAATGGCAAAGTACCATTTTTAATGTTTTTCTTTCTTTTTTTGAGACAGAGTCTCGCTCTGTAGCTCAGGCTGGAGTGCAGTGGCGCGATTTCAGCTCACTGCAACCTCCACCTCCCAGGTTCAAGCGATTCACCTGCCTCAGCCTCCCAAGTAGCTGGGATCACAGACACCTGCCACCACACCCGACTTTTTTTTTTTTTTTTTTGTATTTTTAGTAGAGACGAGGTTTCACCATGTTGGCCAGGCTGGTCTTGAACTCCTGACCTCAAGTTATCTGCCTGCCTCAGCCTCCCAAAGTGCTAGAGGATTACAGGCATGAGCCATTGCGCCCAGCCTAATTTTTTTTTTTTATTTTTGTGGCTACATAGTAGGTGTACATATTTATGGGATACATGAAATACTTTGATGCAGGCATGCAATGTGCAGTTATCACATCATGTAAAATTAGAGTATCCAGCATTTATCTTTTGTGTTAAAATCCAATTATACTCTGTTATTTTTAAATGTATAAATGAATTATTATTGACTTCAGTCACCTTGTGCTATCAAATACTAGGTCTTACTCATTCTTTATAACTACTTTCTGTACCCATTAACCTCTACTTGCCCCTACCCAACTGTCCTTCTCAGCCTCTGGTAACCATTCTTCTACTCTCCATCTCCATGAGTTCAATCGTTTTATTTTTTAGCTCCCACAAATAAATGAGAATAGGCAAAGTTTGTCCTTCTCTGGCTTACTTCACTTAATATAATGACCTCCAGTTCCATCCATGTTGTTGCAAATAAAAGGATCTCATTCTTTTTATGACTGAACAGTACTCCATTGTGTGTATAAGTACTACATTTTCTTTTTCCATTTATCTGTTGATGGACACGTAGGTTGCTTCCAAATCTTGGCTATTGTGAGCAGTGCTGCAGCAAACATAGGAGTGCAAATCTCTCTTCAGTATACTGATTACCTTTCTTTTGGGCATATACCCAGCAGTAGAATTGCTGTATTAGATGGTAGCTCTATTTTTAGTTTTTTGACTAAAAATACTTAAATTCCAAACTGTTTTCCATAGTCGTTGTACTAATTTTCATTCCTACCAACTGTGTACAAGGATCCCTTTTTCTTCACATCCTTGCCAGCTTCTTTTATTGCCTGTCTTTGGATAAAAGCCATTTTAAATGGAGCAAGATGATATCTCATTGTCATTTGGATTTGCATTTCTCTAATGATCAATGCTGTTGGGCACCTTTTCATATGCCTGTTTCTCATTTGTATGTCTTGTTTTAAGAAATGTCACCAACATGAAGAAACCCCATCTCTACTAAAAATACAAAATTAGCCAGGTGTGGTGGCCCATGCCTGTAATCCCAGCTACTGGGGAGGCAGGAGAATTGCTGGAACCCAGGAGGTGGAGGTTGCAGTGAGCCGAGATCGTGCCATTGCACTCCAGCCTGGGTAACAAAAGCGAAACTCTGTCTCAAAAAAAAAAAAAAAAAGTCTATTCAGATCTTTTGACAATGTTTAAATCAGATTATTCGATTATTTTCCCATAGATTTGTTTGAGTTCCTTATATATTTTGGTTATTAAGCCTTGTCAGATGGGTAGTTTGCAAATATTTTCTCCCATTCTGTGGGTTGTCTCTTCACCTTGTTGATTGTATCTTTTGCTGTGCAGAAGCTTCATAACTTGATGAGATCCCGTTTGTCTGTTTTGCTTTGGTTACTCGTGCTTGTGGGGTATTGCTCAAAAAATTTTTGCCTAAACTGATCTCGTAGAGATCTCCTCCAATGTTTTCTTACAGTAGTTTCATAGTTAGAGGTCTTACATTTAATCCATCTTCATTTGACTTTTGTATATGGCAAGAGATGGAGTCTAGTTTCATTCTTCTGCATATGGGTATCCAGTTTTCCCAGAACCATTTATTGAAAAGACTGTCTTTCCCCAGTGTATGTTCTCAGTACCTTTGTCAAAAATGAGTTCACTCTAGGTATGTGGATATATTTCTGGATTCTCTGTTTTCGTGGGTCTATGTGTCCTTTGTATGTTTTCTAATTTGTGATTACCATGATGCTTGCAAATACTATCTTATAACCAATTATTTTAAACTGGTGACAATTTAACACTGATTGCATAAACAAATAAATAAACAAACAAAAAGCTTTTCTAGGCACATGGTGCAAGCTGTCAGTGGATCTACCATTCTGGGGTCTGGAGAACAGTGTCCCTCTTCTCACAGATCCACTAGGCAGTACCCTCGTAGGGACTCTGTGTAGTGGCTTTGACCCCACATTTCCCTTCTGCACAGCCCTAGCAGAGGTTCTCCATGAAGACCCTGCCCCTGCAGCACACTTTTGCCTGGGCATTCAGGCATTTCCATACATCTTCTGAAATCTAGGTGGAGGTTCCCAAACCTCAGTTCTTGACTTCTGTGTACCTCAATACTTTCTGTGCAGCCCCAACACCACATGGAAGCTGCCAAGGCTTAGGGCTTCCACCCTCTGAAGTCACAGCCCAAGCTGTACACTGGCTCCTTGCAGCCTTGGCTGTAGCAACTGGGACACAAGGCATCAAGTCCCTAGGTGGCACACAGCAAGGGGGCCCTAGGCCTGGCCCACAGAATCACTTTTTCCTCCTGAGCCTCCAGAACTGTGATGGGAGGGGCTGCAGTGAAGCTCTATGACATGGCCTGGAGACATTTTCCCCATGGTCTTGGGAATTAACGTTAGGTTCCTTGCTACTTATGCAAATTTCAGCAGCTGGCTTGAATTTCTCCTAAAAAAACACAGGCTTTTTTTTTTTCTACTGCATCGTCAGGCTGCAAATTTTCTGAACTTTTATGCTCTGTTTCCCTTTTAAACTTGAATGCTTTTTAACAAAACCCCAGTCACATTTTGAATGCTTTGCTGCTTAGAAATTTCTTCTGCCAGATACTCAAAATCATCTTTCTCAAGTTCAAAGTTCCACAAATCTCTAGAGCAGGAGCAAAATGCCACTGGCCTCCTTACAAAAACATAACAAGGATTACCTTTGCTCCAGTTCCCAACAAGTTCCTCAACTCCATCTGAGACCACCTCAGCCTGAACCTTATTGTTCATATCACTATCAGCACTTCTTTAATCAAAGCCATTCAACAAAGGGATCTCAAGGAAGTTCCAAACTTTCCCACATTTTCCTGTCTTCTGAATTCTCCAAACTGTTCCAATCTCTGCCTGTTACCCAGTTCCAAAATTGCTTCCACATTTTCCGGTATCTTTTCAGCAACACCCCACTCTCCATACCAATTTACCATATTAGTTCATTTTCATGCTGCTGATAAAGCATATCTGAAACTGGGAACGAAAGGAGGTTTAATTGGGCTTACAGTTCCACATGGCTGGGGAGCCCTCAGAATCATGGTGGGAGGGGAAAGACACTTCTTACATGGTAGTAGCAAGAGAAAAATGAAGAAGTAAAAGCAGAAACCCCTGATAAATCCATCAGATCTCGTGAGACTTACTCACTATCACGAGAATAGCATGGCAAAGACTGGCCACCGGGATTCAATTACCTCCCCCTGGGTCCCTCCCACAACACGTGGGAATTCTGGACATACAATTCGAGATTGAGGGGGTGACACAGCCAAACCATATCAGACCGTTTATTTTCAGATAGCCAGTTTTTAAGCTATTTCTTTCTTGTACTCTATCAATTCTGCTAAGAGGCTCTGATGCATTCTTCAGGATGTCAATTAAACTTTCAACTCTAGAATTTCTGCTTGATTCTTTTTCATTATTTCAAATCTAAAAAAATTCTGAATTATTTCTTTGTCTTATCTTGAATTTCTTTGAGTTTCCCCAAACAGCTATCTTGAATTATCTGTCTGAAAAGTCATGTATCTCTGTCTCTCCAGGATTGGTCCCTATTGCCTTATTTAGTTTATTTGGTGAGGACATGTTTTCCTAGAGGGTCTTAATGCTTCTAGATGTTTGTCAGGGTCTGGGTGTTAAAGAGTTACCTATTTATTGTAATCTTTGCCATCTGTGCCTATCTTACTTGGGAAGGTTTTCCAGGTATTTGGAAGGACTTAGGCCCCAAGCCCAAAAATTATGTGGTTCTTGAATACTCGCAGAGGTACCACTTTGGTGGTCTTGAATAAGATCCAGATGAATTCTCTGGATTTCCAGGCAAAGACTCTTGTTTTATTTTCTTACTTCCTCCCAAACAAATGGAGTCTCTCTCTCTCTGTGCTGAGCTGCATGGAGATGGGAGTGGGGTGATGCAAGCACCCCAGTGGCCACCACCACTGGGACTGCTCTGGGTCATACTTGAAGCCAGCCCAGCACTGGATATCACCCACCGCCCACTTTAACCAGTACCTGGCTTCTACCTATGTTCGCTCAAGGCCCTATAGCTCTACAGTCAGCAGGTGGGGAATCCAGGCAGGTTTCTATCTTTCTCTTCAGAGCAGTATGTTCCCCAGGCCTTGAGTATCTCCAGAAGTAATGTCTTAGAACCAGAGATTAGAGTCAAAATCCTTAGAAATCTACCTGGTGTTCTACCCTACTGCAGCTAAGCGGGTCTTCAACCCATAACTTCAAGTTCTTTCCTCTCTTCCGTCTCCTTTCCATAGGCAGAGGAGACTTTCTCAGTGGACGCCGCCAACACTGGCCCACAGGAAGTTATGCCAGACAGCCGTCAATATTCACTTAAGGCCCAAGGGCTCTTCTGTCAGCCTGTGGTGAATGCTGCCTGGCCTGGGACTCACCCTTCAGGGCAGTGGCCTCCTATCTGACCAAGCAAAGGTCCAGAAATGCTATCCAAGAGCCTAGACCTGGACTCAGGGACCCTCAGTCCTGCTTGGTGCCCTACCCTACCTTGGCTGAGCTGGTACCTAAGGTGCAAGATAAAGTCCCTTTCACTTTTCCCTCTGCTTTTCTCAAGCAGAAGAGAGTCTTTCACTGTAGTCACTACAGCTGGGAACGTTCTAGGTCTCACCTGAAGTAAGCATATCTCAGAGTCTTACCCAAGGCCCATGGCATGCTACCTGGGTATTACTGTTGAATTTTCAGGCCCTAAGGGCTCTTGAGTGAATAGGTGATGAATCCTGGCAGGACTGAGCCTTTCCCTTCAAGTCAGCAGGTTCCCTTCTGGCCCAGGGTATGTCTAGAAGTGTCATCCAGAAGCTGTGACCTGGAATGGGGGCCTCACGACTCTCTGTCCAGTGCCTTATATTACTGTGGCTGAGCTGGTATCCAAGATGCAAGAAAAATTGCTCTTTACTTTTTGCTCTCCTCTCCTCAAGCAGAAGGAAAAAGTCATTTTCATTGCTGTGAGCTATGCTGTCTGTTATTGAGGGAGTGGTAGTGCAAACACTTCCTTATCTCACCCAGTTGGTGTCTCCCTAGGTGACATGCCACCCTAGTCCACTGGCTCTAAGCCCTTTCCAGAGCTAGGACTTGCCTAGGAATTGCAGTCCTTGTGTCCTTGACTGCCTTTCAAGATTACCTAGGACTATAAAACACTTTAGCCTGCAGAAGTGAGTCTTGCTGAGAACCTCAAGTTCCAGCCACTGGGATGGGCAATTCTCCTCAGCGAGGGCCAGCCCAAGTGTTTTCTCCATGGGCAGGTGCCTGCTGAGCTAAGCACAACTTTGCTCTTGACTGTGGCAGGGCAGCAGTGAGTTCAATGCCAAGTCCCCCAGTGGCTGTGCTCCCCTCACTCCGAGTGCACAGATTCTGTCTGCATTCCATGCAGCTGCTGCCTAGGAATGGTAGCAGAGTAGCATCAGCAATTCAAGACTGTCTTTCCTACCCTCTTCAGTGCCTCTTTTAGCAACATGAAGTTAAAACCAGGTACTGTGGTTGCTCACCTGATTTGTGGTTCTAATGACAATGCTCTTTTGTGTGCAGATAGTTGTTAAAATTTGGCGTTCCTGTGAGAGGGACAATCAGTGGAGGCTTCTACTCAGCCACCTTGCTCCACTTATTAAAGTACCTTTTTTTTCCCTTCATTTGTGACCATCATTTGGATTTGCTTCACCAAAGCACAAAAAGTGTAATTCAGATTGAAGATTTTATCCTGTATTTTTTTTCCTACTTCCTATATCTTTAACCTTTTATCCATAGGGGAGAGAGAGAAATATAATCTGATACAGCCTATTGGAATTACCCTTAATACCACCCTTATATCAGAGTTTACTCAAATTTAAATTATTAAATTTTCAAATTAGGATTTCCTATTCTATCCTCAGCCACCTTTTAAATATTCATGAATATCTTTTATAAGTTTTAAAATTATTTTGTAAAATGAATACAGGACTCTCCCTTTATTTGTGCTTTGTTCTTAACTAAATTCAAGTTTTGTGATTAAAAAAATCAAAGTATACCTCAACTTCTGTTGCAGTTTTCCTGCTTTATCTCACTACTGTACTTACCTTGCCTTACCTAGTCAGAGGCTAACATATTTCTCTTCAAAAAGATTCAAAATAAAATTCTAGAGCAACTTCCTGATTAGTAATGGGGTTAAAATAAAAAACAATATTGCCTTGGAGAAAATTTCTGTCTTCCTCTTTAAAATGAAGCATTATAAGACAAGAGAGAAGTACTACCTTGAATAAAAACCCATCGAAGCTTTTCTGGCAAAAGCTTTTTCCCTGCTGCGTCTTTATTGATTCCTTCAAGCTTCACATCCATGTTAGATATATTTGTAGGTATTAATGAGACAGAGCATGCAGTCCAATGGAGTTACACAGTTTTAAGAAGTCTAGAGCTAATCAATTCAACAGATAGAGGAGTGTTACATTTCCAAAATGATTTTATATGAAATGAGACACTTTTGAAGTAGTACTAAGACATGCACACACAAAAAACTTTAATATATGTTTTAAAAAGAAGCTTAATAAATATAAGCTTTTATTAATTAAAATTTGAAATAAATATCTCTTCAGTACAGAATATATGTGAGATGAAATCTAAGAGGTTTAGTAGAGAGAATACATATAAAATTCTGAGTAGAGAGAACATATATAATTCAGATAAATTATGATGATGATCACCTATGCAAAAATATACGAGATTTAACAGTTGATTCAAGATTTCAGGCTAGGAAACAAAATAAAATGAATGCATTGTGTTTCTCCTTTATGGATTTCTTCATTTGGAATTCCACTGAAAATGTGTGCTCTCTACTCCTAAGTGTATGGTGTGGAAAAAATAAAAACCTAATAGGTGGCACGCCCATAAAGTATATTTTAGAAAAAGTTAGGTAATCTTAGCAGAAATTATGAATAAGAATTTTTAAATTCAAATATGAAACTATAATAACCATAGGGTGTGAGCAGGAGGCTGCGAATCTAGATTTCAGACCCTGAAGGGCTGCTGCAGGAAACCAAGAAAGCAACAGAGGACATGGCAGAGCTCAAGATATTTGCTGAGACCAAATAAAAGGCAACAACAACAACAAAAACACAATAAAACTCCTAAGCAGACTCATGTTGTAGCCTCTACAGTAACCAATAAAGAACAGAAATAGAATGCATAACAAGTTGATAGAAAAGATGGAATAATAAAATATTGTGCAATTTATTAATATGAACATTATGCTGCTATAAAAATTAACTATTTCAAAACTAAAAGTAAAATCACATTCCTCTTTTACATATGATCAAAATAGATATCTTACATGGACTAAACATTTATATATCAAAATAAAGTGATAAATGTAAAGGAAGAAAATATTGTTGAATATTTGTATCATATGAAAGAGGTTCTGAGCATGATGGAGCAGTTGTGTGGATTTTCATTTAATAAAATCTTTAAGTGTCTTTGTATGAATTGGCTTTTAAACATCTACAAAGCAAATGATAAATTTAAAAGTTACAATCTATTATTGTATGTACTTGAAAGGAAACAAAATGGATTACAAAAAAAACTATTGAGAACATTTTTAGGTCACTTTCTAAAGGATAGATGATAGTCGGATTCCGATTTGTTACTCTAAAAATATAAAGCAACAGATATCAATTGTTATACACCCAATTAGAAAATAGAGAGAACTGTTGATATACATAAAACACGCTTTTTAACAAGGGTTTGGGGAGAAAGACACTCATAAAATTAATAGAGGACTATAAAATAGTACCTTTTTTCTGGATATAAATTTGATATTATACATCTGAAACTAGCAACTCCAGTTCTGAGATTTATCTTAAGCAAGTAATCAAATATGTACCCAAAGATGATGATGGTAACAGTGAGAAATTGCTTATAACAATAAAAAATTGGAAACTTGAATGCATAATATCAAGGTGTTAGGTACACTAAAGACAGCTAAATAAAATGCTAATAAAATGCTAAATAAAATGATAAATAAAATGGAATATTATATAGCAATGTTATATAAATATATATAAATTATATATAAATTTATATAAAAATTATATAAAAAATAGCTTATAGTCTTGGAAAACCCCATTTATTAACAATTTTTTGGAGCATCAGTTTATTTTGTAACGAAAGTATTTACATATCTAACTGCATATACATACAAACACACATGCATTACATTGGGAAATTACACATCACCTGGTAACAACAGAAATACATAACTAGTGGAATTTTTGTAATACATTTTGTTTTGCTTATACATATATTTTTCTCAATAAATATGTATTACTTGCAAAATAAGTAATAAAAATACTATCCACAACCCCAGGGTAGAAGCAGCTGCAGAATTCAGTTCACTTCCCCAAGGTTCTTCCATCTCTAGAGTTTTAACCCTCCACGTGTCCACTGTACTCAATCTACGATTTCTCTATTTTATTTCACTTTTCTAATGAATTTCAGAAGGAGCTCTGCTGTGCCACCAGCTATTTATTTCTCCTGGAAGCAGAGCCTGAAACTTTCATTAAGAAAGGCTTATTTTTTGTGATAACTGAATGATAATGAAAATGAGAACTTTTGTTAAATTTCAAATTTATATTTATGTAAATGTACAACTACAATAAACACAGTTTCTTTTGCTTCGATTTATAATTAATCTTAACTAGAATATTGGAAAAACCGAGAGATGTGGCCATGATCACACAGTAGCATTCTTGTGTCATTGCGATGCTAGACTCTACAGTGAATCTCTTCAATATGTCACTTGTTCATAAGTAGTGAACTGGTCGCATATCTTGCTTACAAAAAATCATTACCACTTATTATCTAATATAGCAGGCTTTTTATATTAAATAGTTCTAATTCTCTCAACAACTACATGTAAAAGATAAGGAAACTGAGGTTCTATGAGGTTAACATAAGCAGTTATGTGACTTGGGTCACAAAAGCAGTAAATCAGCTAAACCAGGATTAAAACTCATATCTGCCTAACTCCAAAATTAATACCTCCTTATACATTTAGAACACTTTTATGGTATCCTTCAGCAAATCAGACAAGTTCTGACCACACAGAATTTTAGTTGACTGTATTTGTACAGATCTACCTACTTCTCAGGCCCATGTGTTGTTGGCTTTGTAAAAATGTTGCCAGTACCCTCTATGAGATGTTGCTCCAGTTCCTCATTGCTGCATTGCAAAACCGTTCTCCAATATGACTGATATGGTTTGGCTGTGTCCCCACCCAAATCTCATCTTGAATTCTAATTCCCACAATTGCCACGTGTTGTGAGAGATACCAGGTGGGAGGTAATTAAATCATAGTGGTGGGTCTTTTCCATGCTATTCTCATGATAGTGAATAAGTCTCATGTGATGGTTTTATAAAGAGGAGTTTCCTGGCACATGTTCTCCTCTCTGGTCTGCTGCCATGTGAGATGTGCCTTTCACCTTCTGCCATCCTTGTGAGGCCTCCCCAGCCATGTGGAACTGTGAGTCCATTGAGCCTCTTTATTTTGTAAATTACCCAATCTCGAGTATGTCTTTATTGGCAATGTGAGAACAGATTAATACAATAAATTTGTAGCAGTAGAGTGGGGCACTGCTGAAAAGATTCCCAAAAATGTGGAAGCAACTTTGGAACTGGGTAACAGGCAGAGGTTGGAACAGTTTGGAGGGCTCAAAAGAAGAGAGGAAAATGTGTGAAAGTTTGGAACTCCCTAGAGATTTGTTGAATGGCTTTGACCAAAATGTTGGTAATGATATAGACAATGAAATCCAAGCTGAGGTGCTCTCAGTTGGAGATGAAGAACTCGTTGGGAACTGGAGCAAAGGTGACTCTTGCTATGTTTTAGCAAAGAGACTGGTGACATTTTGCCCCTGCCCTAGAGATTTGTGGAACTTTGAACTTGAGAGAGGTGATTTAGGGTATCTGGAAGAAGAAATTTTTTTTTTTTTTTTTGAGATGGAGTCTTGCTCTGTCACCCAGGCTATGGTGCAGTAGTGCTGTCTTGGCTGACTGCAAACTTTGCCTGTGGGTTCAAGCAATTCTCTACCTCAACCTCCTGAGTAGCTGGGATTATAGGCACCCACCACCACATCTGGTTAATTTTTGTATTTTTAGTAGAGATGGGGTTTCACTATCTTGGCCAAGCTGGTCTTGAACTCCTGACCTCATGATCCACCCACCTTGGCCTCCCAAAGTACTGGGATTACAGGCGTGAGCCACCACGCCCCACCTGGAGGAAGAACTTTCTAAGCAGCAAAACATTCAAGAGGTGACTTGGGTGCTCTTAAAAGCATTTAGTTTTAAAAGGGAAACAGAGCACAAAAGTTTGGAAAATTTGCCACCTGACAATGCAATAGAAAAGAAAATCCCATTTTCTAAGGAGAAATTCAAGCTGGCTGCAGAAATTTGCATAAGTAGTGAGGAGTCAAATGTTAATCAGGAAGACTATGGGGAAAATGTCTCCAGGGCATGTCAGAGAGCTTTGAGGCAGCCCCTCCCATCACAGGTCCAGAGGCCTAGGAGGAAATAATGGTTTCATGGGCTGGGCCCAGGGTCCGTCTGCTATATGCAGTCTAGGGATTTGGTTCCCTGTGTCCTAGCCACTCCAGCTGTGACTAAAATAGGCCAAGGTACAGTTTGGGCCATGGCTTCAGAGGGTGCAAACCTCAAGCCTTGGCAGTTTCCATGCTGTGTTGAGCCTGAGAGTGCACAGAAGTCAAGAATTGGGGTTTGGGAATCTTTGCCTAGATTTCAGAGGATGTATGGAAATGCTTGGATGCTCAGGCAGGTTTGCTGCAGGGGTGAGGCTTTCTTGGAAAATCTCTGCTAGGGTAGTGCAGAAAGAAAATGTGGGGTCAGAGCCCCCACACGGAGTCCCTACTGGAGCACTGCCTAGTGGAGCTGTGAGAAGAGGGCCACTGTCCTCCAGACCCCAGAATGGTAGATCCACCAACAGCTTGCACTGTGTACCTAGAAAAGCTGTAGACACTCAATGCTGGCCCATGAAAGCAGCCAGGAGGGAGGCTGTACACTGCCAAGCCATAGAGTGGAGCTGCCCAAAACCATGGGAACTCACCTCTTGCATCAGCATGATCTGGATGTGAGACATGGAGTCAAAGGAGATAATTTTGGAGCTTTAAGATTTGACTGCCCCCTGGATTTTGGACTTGCATGGGGCCTTTAGCCCCTTCATTTTGGCCAATATCTCCTGTTTGTAATGGGTGTATTTATCCAATGCCTGTATCCACATTTTATCTAGGAAGTAACTAACTTGGTATTGATTTTACTGGCTCATTGGCAGAAGGGACTTGCCTTGTCTCAGATGAGACTTTGGACAGTGGACTTTTGAGTTAATGCTGAAAAAATACCTTTTATGAATTTATCTCTCTGTGGCCTCAATCATTTTGAAAGTTGATTTTTCAGAATCTTTTCTGGCTTTTCCCCAGATTCCAAGTAATATATAGTCTTTCTCCAAACACTCACCATTACTAGCTGTTTTCTTTACTTACTCTCTTTTCATACTCTTCACCAACACCTCCTTCCCAAACCTGGGCTGCCTGCACATGGATCATTCTTTTTTCCTTTTTATATGGTCTCCTGAGAAGGATTATCTGTTTTCTTATCTGAATGTGTTTCTTCTCAGGAATAATTTTCCTCATGATCTCTTGAATATGTTTTTCGTATTGTTGTTAAATAATGTATGATGACTAAATGCCTACATTTTCTAAGACCAACAAATTTTTATAATTGTACACATATTTTTATTTTCTCTTAATGCAAATTTTCAAATGGTCAAATGAAGTAAGAGCCTTGCTCAATTTATTGACCTGCACTTTTACTCCTCATCTCTATTCCATGCTGAAGTAGAAGAAATCAAAGGATTTTCATGAAATCCTGTACATGATTTAAAATTGAAAACCTATATTTTATATGTAATTTGTGCTTTAGTTTATCATTAAAATATTAATCAATACTTTTTCAATAAAAATTTTGATCCACTTTGGTTCAGAAGCAAATTTAGAGTCATGTGATGACAATGATCCATGCTTACAGGACTGCTAGTTATATATGGATTATTCCTAACAACTTAACTACTGGTGGTCTTCTTATTATTCACTATCCCATACATTTCTAAGTCATGTTCTCCAGCTAATAACAATGAAACTTTCATGTTAATCTTAGCTAAACTTGTTGGGGAAGTTATATCTTCTGGGATGAAGTAAAAAAAAAAGTTATAGAATGCATTTGCAAGCCATATAGAAATAATATGTAGATTTATTAGCTTTGGGCATTGTAACTCACTTTTCCTCTATTGATTCAAATAATTCAAATAATTATCTGAGACAGTTTCATTAAAAAATAATGAATAAACTCAAAACTCATGGAATTTCTGGATCTAAGTGTAGACTTATAGTAAAGTTGTAAAATCACCTTGCTTTTGTAGTCTGACCATGATATGCATGGCAACTGGAGGAAACGTTTGAACCAGAATGAAGTGAACAAGCAAAGATTTTATTGCAATAAGAGATAATAAGAAAAATTCAGTTTTTAAGCTGTTTCTCTGAGCAATAGCCAAGGGCTATAAAAACATGTCTGTTGAGGGGATCATGGAGACAGAATGTGGCTGAGAGAGACATGCAATAGAGTCGTTGTATTGGTCCATTTTCACACCCTGAGAAGAAACATATTCAGAAGGGGAAACAGATAATCCCTCTCAGCAGACCATATAAAAAAGAAAAAAGAACGATCCACGTGCTGGCAGCCCAGGTTTTGGAAGGAGGTGTTTGATGGTGAGGAGTATAAAAAGAGAGTAAGTAAACAAAATAGCTAGTAATAGTGAGTATCTGGAGAAAGACCATAAGTTACTTGGAATCTGGGGAGAAGCCAGGGAAGATTCTGAAAAATCAGCTTTCAAAATGATTGAGACTACAGAGAGATAAATTCATAAAAGGTATTTTTTTCTTTGTCTTCTATATCATGCAATGTTTAACTTTGCCATCCACATTTGGCTACAACAGACTATGTATTTTGGTTGTTTGCATAGATTTCTTCTTATTGTGATTCTGTGCTGAGATGGATCACAGAATCGCTCAACTTTAATACTGTTGTAATTACCATTTATAGCTAATATCTATAAATAAGTAACAATCATGTAATATTTAATATATTCACATAAATATACATAAATCCTGTTCCATGAGAAATACAATGTGAAAAACATTTCAAATACCCTAATGTACATAGTTTAGTAATAATACTAAATTACCAGAAAATTATTGGTTTAATGACAATCACAACATAAATGCACACTTTTTTTTTGATAGAACAGTTTTAAATTTCACACATAACCACTTTCATTTTTATATTAAAAGTGAAGATCCTACAGAAAATACAATGGTAATTGTGCTACAGCAACCTATAAAAAGGATAACTAGAAAATATGACTTTGCACGCTGTATACTGCTATTTCAATTTCGTGGCTTATACATTTTAAGAAATTAAACTTTATTATTTCAAGAGGAAATTTATTTAAAAATCAATCGAAGAAAACTAAAAATTGTATAATAAAATATAGATATTATATGGACATTCACCTAAATGTGATATTAATAATACAAATAGTTGAAATTGATTACATAGGGAACAAGTATTCATCCCATAACCTGTAAACAACATATCTTTAAGAGTCTCATGCTCTACTGACTGAGCTAGCTAGGCAGTCACAATATTTTAAAATTAACCAAAACAAATCAATAAATTAAAAAGTATATTTAAGTATGTCATGTTTTTCTAATTATTTATTCATCTATATATTATTTGTATATGATTTATACATATATACTGTAGGTATATATATTAGACAGGTATGTTTTTTACATAAGTGTGGGGAGAGAGAAAAAGGAGGTATTTACTACTACCTAGTGATACTATTGCTAGCATCCAAATTGATAGGTTTAAACCCTAGATAAATGAAAAACTTTCCAAGGTTATTAGGGAGATGAACCACCAGAATATATTCTTATTCTTATGTAAACTAATGCAGTGTTAACATATTTCAAAGCATTGATTATGTTACAGTTTTATATTTCTTCCTCACAACAGCAAGAAGAGTAGGAATTATATACTGTGCACAGTGATGTTTTTGCTTCTCTGAAGAGTTGAAGAATACCATATTTAATCACAGAATATGAAATATAATAATTCACATATGAAAAAATATGCAAGACAGTTGAAAGAAAGAAATGAAAAATTAAAAGGCAGGAAGAAAAAAGAGAAGGAAGGAAGGGGAGGAGGGGAAGAGGGGTGGAGGGAGGGAGGGAAGGTTGTTAGCACCACACAAGCAAATAGAACACAGAAGACAGCACTATGCTTCCAAAGGCAAGAGAAAGCTATAACTTCCCCACTAACCTCCCAACCACTTTAACCTCCCAGGCATAAGCAATTAGGTTTCAGGCCATCAGAGAATGATTAGTGGGTGAACCCAGGGCAGCAGTTATTGAGGTTAATTGAAGAGTAGAAAGCAGCAAGATTGGGACACTGATTGGTGGTTTTGGTGGGAGTGGTGGAGACTCAGGCCTTGCCAATGGGCAATGCCCCAGAAGGGAATCTCTGGGAGAAGAAGCCAGCCACTGCATATAGGCTAGAGGACAGAGGCCAGAGTCACTGAGTCACTGCTGGGATAGCTGGGCTCATTGAACAGGACCACCGGTAATGATGCCCACTTCTAAGGGACACGGGACACATGACCTGTCATTGCAGAAAATACCACTTAGCAGCAGTGTCAGGTGGCCAAAGAGGTGACAGCAAAGGTGACACTTACTATGACTATAACTGAGCTTACATCAACTTTCCTATCAGTGTGAGTTCCTGGGTCCTGAGGTTTAAAACTTAAATAGAGTTGATTCCTAAAACCATCTCCAGTTCTAAATACACTATTTAATTTTGTGATTGGGCTAAAATGTTGTCACTGAAATTACTTTTACTGGAATAGTCCCTGGAATTATTTCAATGTACTCTTACTAAAAATAAAATTTTTGACTTTGTATCTAACTAGCCGCATCCAAAGCGAGTTGATTTACCTTAAGTTAAACCATAGCCAAATTATACTTTAAGGGATTAGTTTATGTATTAAAGAGTTACATATATAAATACGTAGAATATTTAAGTCATTTGTATATAATTATGCTAATAAAAAGTTTAACTTCTATTAAGGGCCTGAGGAAAAAAATGTATTCAAAGATTTGGGACATTGGAGAAATAGAATGCTATATCCACTGTAGCCGTATGACCAAATTGTGACTTTATAGACACACTTGGAATAGAAAAGAACCCTTCAGGGCATCTGATTTGAAATTTCTTCTCTAGCATCTAACACTCCTGCTGATGCAGGAATTATTACATCCCATGGTCTTGCCTCTCCAGAGGCAGTCAGAAGCATTTTTAAGCAGCTCGATTAGAAAAATCTTCCTTATGTTAATCTGAAATAATTCTCCTAGACATTTTTTCACTTTCTTTATTCTAGTCTAAAACTGTAAGTCCACAAGGAATAAATTAAATGCCTCTTGCACAGGAAAGCTCTTGGTTTGTTCAGGAGGAGCCCTCAAACTTCCCTGTAGCCTTCCCTTCTATAGACCCAACAGCATAATTCTTTCAAGGAAGCATCATCTGTCATGCTTTCAACTCCCTTTATAATTCTAATCCCCTAACCTCTGAATGTCTTCCAGTTTGTCAATGTCTCTCTTAAAGCCTGATGCTAAGCAAAATGTTCCAGCTAAGATAAAACAAAATGAATGGAAAACAGAACCATCCCTTCCATTATTCTATACATTGATCAACGTAGCCAAGATCAAATTAACTGTTCTAGAAAGTGTCAATTACTATTACTCCTATCGGTGATGCGGCTCACTCTGTACATGTCAATTAATCTTCAGTATAGTTTTTGAAAAGAAGAGAAATAGAGACTATATATGATGTCTCTTAATCCTCTATTAAAATACAAAAACGTTCACCATTCCATCTTAACAGGACTCCAGAAGTAATTTCTGCTATTTCTGGAGTGTTATTTCAGCAACTCACACTCAAGGGGTTGCCTTTACTCAATGCAAAAAAAGAGAAAAGCAACTCTAAGTCTACCAAGTGTGCAATACAAGCACCTGTTGCAGGGAAGGTAGTTGGCACTAAAGTTGGGCACTGAAGTACAGAGCATCTCACCTTTCTTTGTTGTCTCCTTAAAGCGACCCAGCAGATCAAGATTAGCACCTTCAAAAGTGACAAATCCCACACATAAAAAATATTTTTCTACAAACCGTCCAAAACCAATTTTATGAGCCAGATATTCATGGAAAAATGGTGTTTGTTTTGCTATTCTGGCATCATTCCCCTTAGTCATTTGAAAACAAGAAAATAAACACATTTAAAAGATTTTTTTCATCAACAGGATTGAAAAAGAGCAGCACTGAATAGAACTTTAAAAACTGTGATTTTGATGAAGGATTATCTTAATTTCAAGTAAATTTCTGTATAATAATCAAGACAGACAGGTACATAAGGAAAAATGCCAGAAATAAATATAACTGCTAACATGCATTATCTTCTTATTCATCATTTGTGTGTGTGCCTAAAAATAAAAATATCATTAAAAATAAGCTAGTCACTTGATTTTTTGTGTGTGTTCTAATCAAAGTCCCCACAGTCATAGTACCTACCAGGTCTCTTACCTCTTGTCTATCATTTTAAGTCCTTCATCCCCAAATCATGTAATCAAGCTAGTATTCAGACAACCACTTTCCTCCACAGGTCACTTAGCAATGAATGCATCCATTGCTCGACTAAGATTACTCTGAGCAAATATTTTAGAGTGTCTATTCCTAGAGAATTGTACTAGCAGCTACAACAAGAACAGACTCTTCTTCATGGGCTAATAATGTAATACTTGTGACAAACTTTATTGCAGCTATTAATACAAGATCCATACTAGTTTCTGTTAATTATGTCTTTATTTACATGAACCAAAGAGTCAGCAATTTCAAATAAAAAAGTACCTTAGACATCATCTGACCCAATTCCCTCTCTGTCTAGGTAGGACACTAAAGCCCAGAGAGGCTTGTCAGGAAGCCATATAACCCCAAATTGTCTACTGAGTCATGTTTACTTTCAATAAGCAACCTACCACTTCTATAAGGTATAAGAAGTAGAATTAAATATACTATTTTGAATAATGATTAAAGAGGCAAAGAACATTTCCTAAGCATTGAGACATTTTTCAATTGTGTCTTGTTTCTACCTGCGTAACCTTTATAGAATATTCTCCACTAGCCACCTTTACCTAAATGACTCTAACTTGTCTTTAGAACTCAGCTCAGAGGTCATTTCCTCAAAAAAGTCTTCTGTCACCCCCAGCATTAAATTAAATGTCTATGTTATACAGTGATATGGTTTGGCTGTATCCCAACCTAAATCGCATCTTGAATTGTATAATAATCCCCACATGTCATGGGAGGGCCCTGGTGGGAAGTAATTGAATCACGATGAGGGTTACCCTCATGCTGTTCTCATGATACTGAGTGAGTTCTCATGAGATCTGATGGTTTTATAAGGGGCTTCCCCTGCTGCTTTGCTCAGCACTTCCCCTTCCTGCTGCCATGAGAAGAAGAACATGTTTGCTTCCCTTTCCACCATGATTGTAAGTATCCCGAGGCCTCCCCAGACGTGTAGAACTGTGAGGCAATTAAACCTCCTTTCTTTATAAATTACCTAGTCTCAGGTATGTCTTTATTAGCAGCATGAGAACAGACTAATACATATAATTTTCTTGTCCCACCTTTACTCATAGCATTTGTCACATTTATAATTGTACATTCATCTGTGGTTGTGTGATTAACATCTGTCACCCCTACTAGACTCAAAATTCAGTGAATCAGAAATAGCATCTCTGAATTTGCCCATTATTGCACATGAGCTCTTAGACCATGGTTCCAGCACCCAGTAGGTACCCAGTATATACTATTGCATATCTAGTCAACCTCCCAAGCAGACTTGTGTAACTTTGGAGTAAATCACAAAGTTTAGAAGACTACCAGAGACACTGCTTATTTCTGAGCCCCAGTTTGAAAATGTTTGAAAGTTTTCTTTTGAATTCTAAGAAAAAAAAAAAGCTGAAAAATGTCCATAGTAATTAAATAGGGAAATTTCTTTCCACAGTGACCTCTAAATTAACTTCTTGTATCTTTAACCTGTTCTGTTTTTGCAATAACTTCCATACTGTCTCTGATTTTCAAAAGACCTAGAGATCATGGAGAAGACTCAGAGAAATTCCAAATGCATCTCAAAGAAAGAAAGAAAGAAAACAGAAAACCCAATAATTATAAGATTATGTTACTTTCTCATTCACACTTCATTTGCAATTCATCTTGACACCAACTATTTAAAAAATGGGTGAGTTCATCAGTATCCAATCACAGTTCTGAGGGGGAGAACATTTGTTGATTTTTTTCTTTATTTAGTTAAAAAATAATCCATAACATAAGGTTTTGTGGTTATGTCTAAACCCAGCAGTGACTTTATCGTCTTTTTTCTTGCTTTCACTCCTTTGAGTCCTGGTTCAGTTTTGCTCCATATTTTCATAAGTTTCATTTCTGAGTCCCAACCTTTCTCTTTTTCTCCCCTGGGATTTCCTTATGAAAAATGTCTTCAGGCTTTTTATTTTTCTATAAGTATTTGGAAAACATTTATTGAGGACCTACAACTTTATGTTTGGTATTTTTTATATTGATGACATTCCAAAGCTTATTGGGTTTATTCTATAATTTACTCATTTTCTTATTTCCTCTGGTATTTTCCAGTGCTACTTAAACATTTTTTAACCAATAAAGCTATTTTTTGTAATTTATAAGACAAAAGCTCAAGTAACTGAATTCACAAAAGCTATCAGAGGGTTATATTATATGCACATTAATCCTGTTTAAAATGATCAGCTTCCTTGCTATACACAAATTTCCAAATAGTGGCATCTAGGTCATCTTTGCACCTGTTCTTTCATCACAGATACACCCTCATTAAAAGGACTTCTTATTGCTTTCCTTATCACCATTTCCTGGTCATGGCCATATGTCAAAGCAAATGTTGACCTTGTTGTGTCACCAAATGAAAATTCTAGAAGTCAGGCCTTTAGATGTGAAATTTGTTAAAATCTCTCTCTTAATTTACCACTTGCTTCTTTTCCTTCATAACTTATGCTTTCTTTCTTTTATTAGAGAAGAAAGTTTTCTGACCCTGAGCATTTTTCCAGTTGTCACAAAAATGAGCCTAGCTCATAAAATTTGTCTTTTCCAAGTTCATTTTCCTTTTGAACATTTATAGCTATGATTCTCTTATTTCATCTTTTTCAAAGTCATTATAGATTATACTCTATTAATTTCATGTTTGTACTAAGTTGAATTTAATAAACCAATGTGCTAATTCCTCTTTTTCAAAATCCGAATAATGACTGTAATTTCCTTTTCAAATATTTGAAAATGCTATTTCAGTCTTCTGTTTGTAATGCTTCCTTTTTTATTGCTTCTCTCTGGACAGTACTTTAAAATTATACTCTATAAAATAAGATATTCATAATTAATACTTTCCACATGCTGACATATATTTACCCCAAACTGTAATCCCAGACTTTCAAATATGAATTTTTAAACTTAAATTTTAATTTCAAGTGCAGGTTTGTTACATAGTTAAACTTGTGTTATGGGGGTTTGTTGTACAGATTATTTCATCACCCGGGTATAAAGCCTAGTACACTTTTGTTATTTTACCTGATCCTCTCCCTTCTCTCACCCTCCATTCTCCAAAAGGCCCCAGTATGTATTGTTCCCCTCTACGTGTTCATTTGTTCTCATCAGTTAGCTCCCACTTATAAGGGAGAACACGTAGCATTTGGTTTTCAGTTCCTGTATTAGTTTGCTAAGTATAATATGGCCAAAGGAATATGAATCATTCTATTATAAAGACACATGCACAAGCATGTGTATATTTATTGCAGCACTATTCACAATAGCAAAGACATGGAATCAACCTAAATATCTATCAATGATAGACTGGATAAAGAAAATGTACATATACACCATAGAATACTATGCAACTATAAAAAAAATATGAGATCATGTCCTTTGCAGGAACATGGTTGGAGCTGGAGGCCATTCTCCTTAGCAAATATGAATTTTTTATGCCTCTCATGCTGTTATCAGGACAACTGTGGTTGGCAGACAAAATGAACACCAAGGTGTATTTATAAAACTATTATTAAACTTATATAAATAGATCTCATAAATGACGTCCGTATCTTTCACATGAATTATACTCAACATCTAATACCTACTTGTAGAACCTGAATGACTAAAAGCAAAGCCTGTGGGGTTAGCAGATGTAGATCTGACTCTTGAGGTATACAATTCTAAATCATATAAAGCCTTGAAATTTAATATAGAAAGAAAAACTCTCACTTGATGTCATTCATATAGATTTTTTCCTAAATTTCTTTTTAAGGCTAGATGATTTGGAATAACTGATAACTTTCCTTTGCCACATTTATTCCTACCAGATTGAGTTGAACACCTGCCTTAAGGGCTTAGCTTCCTGTTTTCTTAAGGGAGTTATAATTCCTTAAGAGATGCCATTATTGGGTATATACCCCCCAAAATATAAATTGTTCTACATAAAGACACATGCATGCATATGCTCATTGCAGCACTGTTTACAATAGTAACAACATGGAGTCAACCTAAATGCCTATCAACAGTAGACTAGATAATCAGACGGGTGTGGTGGCTCACACCTGTAATCCCAGCACTTTGGGAGGCTGAGGCAGGTGGATCATCTGAGTTCAGGAGTTCAAGAGCAGTTTGACCAACATGGTGAAACTCCATCTCTACTAAAAATACAAAATAATCCGGGTGTGGTGGCACATGCCTGTAACCCCAGCTACTTGGGAGGCTGAGGCAGGAGAACCACTTGAACCCAGGAGGAAGAAGTTGCAGTGAGCTGAGATTGCAGCATTGCACTCCAGCCTGAGCAACAGGAATGAAAAAAAAACAAACAAACAGTAGACTGGATAAAGAAAATGTGATACATATGCACCATGAAATACTACATGGTGATAAAAAATGAGATCATGTTCTTTGCAGCAACATGAATGAATCTGGAGGCAATTATATTAAGTGAACTAATGCAGAAACAGAAAACTAAACATCACATGTTTTCACTCATAAGTGGGAGCTAAACATTGAATACACATGGACACAAAGAAAAGAACAACAGACACTGGGGCCTACTTGCAGGTGGAAGCTGGGAGGAGGGTGTGGATTGAAAAACTACCTATCAGATACTATGCTTATTATCTGGTTGATAAAATCATCTGCACAGCGTACCCCTGCGACATGCAATTTATTTATATAACAAACCTCCACATGTACCCCTGAAGCTAAAATAAAAGTTGGGAAGGAAATTTAAAAAAAAAGAAAGACAAAGAAATTTCCAGGGGAAAAAAGAGAGATGAGCATGAAAAAGTTTATTTTAAAAATTATTATTCTAATGTGTATTAGTCCGTTTTCACGGTGCTGATAAAGACATACCAAGACTGGGCAATTTACAAAAGAAAGAGGTTTAATTGGACTTATAGTTCCACATGTCTGGGGAAGCCTCACAATCATGGCAGAAGGCAAGGAGGTGCAAGTCACGTCTTACATGGATGGCATCAGGCAAAGAGAGAACTTGTGCAGGGGACCTCCTTTTTTAAAACCATCAGATCTCATGAGACTTATTCACTATCATGAGAACAGCATGAGAAAGACTTGCCCCATGATTCAATTACTTCTCACTGGCTCCCTACCACAACACATTGGAATTCAAGATGAGATTTGGGTGGGGACACAGGCAAACCAAATCACAATGTTTTGCAGAAATCTAGGAAATTTAAGATTTTTCCTCTAATGTTAGATCTGAAGATTTTTCAGTTTAAGGATAAGGTCATGAGACAATGTAGTTCTAGAGTTCTCCCCAGACAGAGAGCAAAGGTTATGAACTAATGAATGCCTCTTGTTTTGATAAAATCTCTTCAACCTCACTTCTCTTGTCAAACAGTGAACTCGGGTATTGTATTAAGACAAAGATGAAAATGTGAAATTGAGACATCACTGTAAATTGTGTGCTTAGAAAGCCTATGAAAGCTTCATTCATTGAGTGCAACTTGGACTAGAATGTTGCTTGACGTCCATAGCATGGGGCAACACCCTGTAGCCAATGAAATCTAAATATGATGTCAAATTGTCTCTGCTCTCTCCATTTTTTAGTTATATCAGGATTTCAAAAAGGTTATCAGTTCCAAGAGGAAATTTATAATAATCTTAAAAGTAATATCTTAAAATAATATTTTAAGTAATTTACTTAAAAGTAAAGTGAGATATTATTTAACATTATTTAATTCTTGAGATACTTTTTAAGAGATATTATTTATTTAATTCTTAAAGTAACTCTAAGAATTAAATATGAAAATGCTAAAACAAGTGGTGATATGATTTGGCTTTGTGTTCCTACCCAAATCTCATCTTGTAACTCTCATAATTCTCATAATTCCCACATGTTGTGGGAGGGACCCAGTGGAAGATAATTAAATAATGGAAGCAGTTCTTTTCCCTGTGTTGTTCTCATAAGAGTGAATAAGTCTCACTAGGTTTAATGTTTTTAAAAACAGGAGTTTCCTTGTACAAACTCTCTTATCTGCTGCCATGTGAGACATGCCCTTCACCTTCTGCCATGATTGTAAGGCCTCCCCAGCCACATGGAACTGTTGAGTCCATTAAACCTCTTTCTTTCGTAAATTGTCCAGTCTCAGGTATGTCTTTATCAGCAGTGTGAAAGCAGACTAATACAGTAAATTGGTACCAGGAGTGGGGTGTTGCTGAAAAGATACCTGAAAATGTGGAAGTGACTTTGGAACTGGGTAATAGCCAGAGGTTGGAACAGTTTGGAAGGCTCAAAAGAAGACAGGAAAATGTGGGAAAGTTTGGTACTCCCTAGAGACTTGTTGAATGGCTTTGACCAAAATGCTGATAATGATATAGACAATGAAATCCAGGCTAAGGAGGTCTCAGATGGAGATGAGGAACTTGTCGGGAACCAGAGCAAAGGTGACTTTTGTTATGTTTTAGCAAAGAGACTGGCGACATTTTGCCCATGCCCTAGAGATTTGTGGAACTTTGAACTTGAGAGAGATGATTTAAGCTATCTGGTAGAAGACATTTCTAAGCAGCAAAGCATTCAAGAGGTGACTTGGGTGCTGTTAAAAGCATTTGGTTTCAAAGAAAAACAGAGCACGAAAGTTTAGAAAATTTGCAGCCTGACAATGCAATAGAAGGGAAAATTCCATTTTCTGAGAGAAATTCAAGCTGGCTGCAGAAATTTGCATAAGTAACAAGGAGCTATATGTTAAATTTCATAGGCTGGGCCCAGGGTCCCCTTGCTGTGTGTAGCCTAGGGACTTGGTCCGCTGTGTCCCAGCCACTCCACCCATGGCTAAAAGGACCCAGTGTAGAGCTCAGGCCATGGCTTTGAAGGGTACAAGCCCCAAGCCTTGGCAGCTTCCACATGATGTTGAGCCTGCAAGTGCACAGAAGTCAATGATTCAGGTTTGGGAACCTCTGCTTAGATTTCAGAGGATGTATGGAAATGCCTGGATGTCCAGGCAGAAGTTTGCTGTGGGGCAGGGCCCTCATGGAGAAACTATGCTAGGGCGGTGTGGAAGGGAAATGTGGGGTCAGAGCCCCTACACAGAGTTCCTACTGGGGCACTGCCTAGTGGAGCTCTGAAAAGAGGACCACCATCCTCTAAACCCCAGAATGGTAGATCCATGGATAGCTTGCACTGTACACCTGGAAAAGTGGCAGACACTCAATGCCAGCCCATCAAAGCTTCTGAGAGGGAGGCTATACCCTGCAAAGCCACAGGGCCAGAGCTTCCCAAGACCATGGAGCCCACCTCTTGCATCAGCATGACCTAGATGTGAGACATGGAGTCAAAGAAGATCATTTTGGAGCTTTAAGATTTGATGGCCCTGCTGGATTTTTGATTTGCTTTGGGCCTGTAGCCCCTTTGTTTTGGCCAATTTATCCCATGTAGAATGGCTGTATTTACCCAGCGCTTGTACACCCATTGTATCTAGGAAGTAATTAACTTGCTTTTGATTTTACAGACTCATAGGTGGAAGGAATGAGACTTTGGACTGTGAACTTTTGAGTTAATGCTGAAATGAATTAAATCTTTGGGGATTGTTAGGAAGGCATGATTGGTTTTGAAATGTGAGGACATGAAATTTGGGAGATGCCAGGGTGGAAAGATATGGTTTGGCTCTGTGTCCCCACCCAAATCTCATCTTGTAACTCCCATAATTCCCACGTGTTGTGGGAGGGACCTGGTGAGAGATAACTGAATCATGGGGGCGGGTCTTTCTTGTGCTGTTCTCATGATAGTAAGTCTCACGAGATCTGATGGTTTTAAAAACTGGAGTTTCCTTTTACAAACTCTCTTCTCTTGTCTGCTGCCATGGAAGACATGTCTTTCAGCTTCCATCATGATTGTGAGGCCTCCCCAGCCACATGGAGCTGTAAGTCCTTTAAACCTCTTCCTTTTATAAATTGCCTAGTCTCAGATATGTCTTTATCAGCAGCATGAAATAAACTAATACAGATGGTTATTATTGTTATTGTTATCCATTTCTTTTTTTAAGTCTAAGGTATCACTTTTTTGTCAGGTTTCAACTAGAGAAACAGAACCAGCAGGAAGTATATATTAAGAAATTTATTGCAAGGAATTGTCTTTCTTGATTTGGGAGTCTGGTTAGGCAGATTCAAAATCCATAGGGATGGCTGTCAGAAAGTGGAGGCTGAAACTTTCGTGCAGGAGTTGAAGCTATAAATCCACAAACAGAATTCCTTTTGGTCCTGAAAAACCTCAGTTCTGCTCTTAAGGCCCTTAAACTGCTTGAATTGGGTTTACCCAGGTTATCTAAAATAATCACTTCAAATCAACTGATTATAAATATTACTCACATCTATAAAATACCTTCACAGCACCACCTACACTAGTGTTTGCATGAATGACTGGTAATGCATCCTTCCCAAGGTTACACATAAAACTGACCATCATAATAAGATATCCATTGTTAATGGCCTTAATAGTAAGATATTAAAAAGCAACCACAAAATAACTGTGACAAATAAAAATAAATATTTATTTTTTGCTACCAAATCTACAAGTTTGCTGGGTGACTTTCTTGGCTCACTTGATGTTGGCTGACCTTGCCCATGATTCTGCACACAACAGACAGGTTGTAGCATGCTGCTGTAGTTTGGCCTTAGTTGGAGTGACTCAGTTCTCCTTCATATATTCTCTCATCCTTCAGTAGGCTAACTCAGGACTTGTCCTTATGGTGGTGGCAGGGATTCAACGAGAGAGCAGGAGTGCACACAGCTATTAGAGTCTTAGGTTTAATCACTTCTACCACATTCCATGGGCCAAAGAAAATCACTAAGATAGCCAAAATTCAAGACATGGGGAAGTTAATATTATCTCCCAATGGAAGGAGCTACAAAGTCATGTTTTATATGGCATGGATATAGAAGAACTAGAAAATTGAGACCATTTTTTACAATAAATCTACCAAATCTAACATATAAAAAAATAAAAACATATAATGATTTATGGGTCATCTAATATGTTGTTTTAATAAAAATTTGATATCCTGCTCATACGAATGGGAAAAAGTTTTTTCTGCTAATACAAAGTGGACTTAGACCGTCATCTACATGTCACACCAGTTTGGAGTGCAGTAATGTATAATGTCAATTATTATCCAGCATGATTTAGAAGACAGAATGTGAAAGCCAAGAAGGCAGATCGTAAAATCAACTTGTAGTTCAGGCTTTGTATAACAGATAGTTCAAATAGAAAAGAAGGTAAAGAATTGAGGCCCGGCACGGTGGCTCATGCCTGTAATCCCAGCACTTTGGGAGGCCGAGGTGGGTGGATCACAAGGTCAGGAGATTGAGACCATCCTGGCTAACACAGTGAAACCCCGTCTCTACTAAAAATGCAAAAAATTAGCCAGGCTTGGTGGCAGGTGCCTGTAGTCCCAGCTACTCAGGAGGCTGAGGCAGGAGAATGGCGTGAACCCGGGAGGTGGAGCTTGCAGTGAGTCAAGATCGCGCCACTGCACTCCAGCTGGTGACAGAAGGAGACTCCATCTCAAAAAAAAAAAAAAAAAGAATTGAGTTCACACAAAAATGAGTTGAAATTATTAGGCATTAAGAAAAACTGACAGACGTTAATGAAATGGAAGAAGCCAAGGGACCAGAGATCAGAGTGTGGGTGAAATGTGTGTATTGAGGCCAGCCCTGCCTTAGCCTTTGTGAGGCCTAGAGCCAGAGTACACATGATGTTCCCCACACTAGATACCTACACGTTTAAAAATTATAATGAAACCTAGCAAATTGTTATATAAAATATGTCTACTACTCATCTCTTGATTAACCTACCTTTATGACAATCCAGAAGGGCTGGAGGACCACACCGGAATGGACAGCACAGGAAGGGCCAGCCCCAGTTCTCAGCCTGCCATCTTGTCTCCCGGCCTGACTTCATCTCATACCAACACATCTGGTCCATCCTGTGACTCAGCATGCAGTCTGAGAAGGAAGTACAGAGGCTCCAAGTGGGCTTTTGCATTTGGCCCCATGAAAGCCTCAGCCCATCAGAAGGCTTGTAGCCAGAGGAGAAGCAGAGAAGGGCTTTTTATAAAGGTAAACTTTTTGCCTAGGACTAAGAGGTAGTATTGTAGTAACAAGGATTTGAAGAACAGAAATCTGTGGAATTTAAAATCTAATCTCCAAATAATTAAAGCGAACCATAAAATATATGTTCAATGTACTTGGTTGCTGAAGTAAAAATAAGATAATATTAAGATTGAGGCAAATCAAGATACTGGATAAAGCAGGCCCACAGGTGAACAAACTTAGGGATACTGAAGGGCCCTGGTCAAGAGCCAAAGATAGAATAAGGGGGACCCTGACATATCAAGTGTCAAAGACTATGATGAATGAAAGAAACAGTGAGGTTCAAGAGAGGGCAGAATGAGTAGAAATGATGACATGAAAATCCTGTATCACCAAATGGCGGACTTTAGCACAGGTGGATTTGGGAGAACATGGACGTGGAATCACTTGGAAGACACATGAAGAGCAAGAAAAAGACTGTTGATACCACCTCCTACTGTTATCAAGAGCACTTCACGTGAAAACAAGCATCCGTTATTTAAAGGCTGGGGAAGAACCAAGTTTCAGATTATAAAGAAGGTAAAGGAAGCAACGAGAGTGAAGCAATAGGAAGGGGTAGGTTTCCAACGCTCTGTGGTAATGGAACCATGACCACATTCCACACCGTTGCATCACCAGGGCCACACACAGTGCCCAGCACACTGTATGTGCCTCATTAAAATAGCTGAATTTATGCATTACATTTGACAGAAGAAAATCTTTCTAACAGTGGTTCTTTCCAAGGAACACATAAAACATTATAAAGAATTGCGTAGACCTTCAGAAAGGGGATCACATAAAGCATTAGATGGCTTTTCAGTTCTGTTCCAAAACTGTGAGTCTACCATGCTGGTTAGGGTACCTGAGTTTCAGTGCCCCAATATTTATAACACAAATGTAAATTACACATGAAACACACACCCCTACAAACATTGCACAAGATTTTTTAAGTTATTATGTCCATAATTTAAAGCTGAAAAGTCCAGCTATCTATAGGTTATAAATATCACAAATCTCCACTGTGATTTTAATATTTAGAGAAAAAAGTCAAAAAGAATGTGACCATCTCCTAATGAATGCAATTACTAAAAATATCATCAATTAGAAATGATTTTCACATCAACAGAGCAGTCATAACAGTGTTTTTGAAACTACAGGTGGCAGCCTATTAGTTGTCATGAGCAGAATGTTTTAATGAAATAAAAAATGTAAAACACATTTCACATTGTACATAACGATTGCTTGATTAAACTCATCTTGGTCATGTATCATAGATATTGAAGTATTTTTAAATGCTTTATTATTTGTTATGTATTTATTTATTGCTCAAACATTTACAGAGTACCTCCCGTGCTAACACTTGAAGGTAAAATTCATTTTAAAAGACATGCAAAGTTTCTTTAGAGCTCATAATTGAATGGCAACAGCAGATAATTATACAAGCAAAGAAGCATGAAAATAGAAAAGTAAAAGTTGTCAAGGGAGATCAAAAGTAACTCAAGGGGTAAGGAAGAACCACTTTAGAAAAAGTATGGATTAAGATGATACTTAAAGAATGAGTGAGGGTGAGCTTAGCGATCAGTCAGGCTGGTATATTCTATACAGGAGAATAGCAAGAGGCAAGAAAGAAAATATCACGTTAATAAACTGAAAGGAATCCAACCAACTTAGAGCATAGAGTGTGAGAAGGTTAATAACTGGAGGTGAGGATGGGAGGGTAGGCAGGGGTCAGATTGTACATGGCCTTATGAACCATATACAACAATTTGAACCTTAAAGCAGGACACTTGGAAACCTACAAAGGATTATAAACTGGTTGGTAACATGATCAAATTTTAATCTCAGCAGAGTAGAAAATATAAAAAGAAAGGAGTAAGACAGGAGATTAAGTGACAAATCAGGAGGCATCTATCCAAGTGAGAGGTGCCGATGAGTTGGCCCAGGGTGGTGAGTGAGGATGAGGAAGCATCATTTAATTGGATGTTGGCACCAGAGCCCATGACTCTTGCCCACTAAGGTTGGAATAGGGGAAGAGGAGCCCATTTGTGGTATAATGAATCTGTTCAGCCCAGATATCAGTTGACTTTGTAGGGCTTAACAGACATCTAAGTGTTATGGCCATGGGGCAGATAAATAAAAGGCCCAGACACCAGCAGAGAGGTCTGCCCTGTAGATACTAATATGCTCAAGCCCTTAATGAATAAATAGTAACTGGACATTTTCAGGGTTCAAATAACCATGAGAAGACAAAATTGGCCCTAACTGAAAGCTTAAGCATTATGAATTTTGGTCATGTTCACTTACTATCTGCAAATGAAACACATAGATATTAAAACCTACCTAGTCACATAAATGGAGAAAATAATACAATACCATAACTATAGAGAAGAAACAACAAAGAGGTGCTTTATAATGCTTCAATATGCAAATGCACATTTTTAAGAAAATACTAGTGAATAATATTTATTCTCTACATAGGACATGGTGAGCACGGCATCTACAGACTTAATAAATCATGGTTTATAAATGATTTTGATTCCACAAGGAACACCGCCTCTGGGAACATAACTTTTCAAAATGGTAAGAAATTCTTGAGTAAACTTCTTAATTATACCATATACACTCTTTGTCAAGTACCACAGTTGTTTCAATGCTGGAAATTTCAGGGCATATGAAAATGACACAAGTAAACAAAAAAAATGCTTTGTTTATATTTAAAACAAAAAGGTCACTTATTTATAATTAGGTTTAGCATCCCCTTCCCTGTCACTTACGTGTATATCAGGCAGGACATTTGAAAGTTACATGAAACCTGGGCAAGTTCTTCACTGTACCAGTCTCTACAAGGGTTTTGAAAGATGTATCATCTCTGGTCCATTCTTGTTAATAAAGCTGATAGCCCAACACCTCAAATGTGACAACTAAAAGCACTACATTTCTAAAATATTCCATAGGGAGCGTTGAAGTGAACTAAATATGGCCTAAGAAGGACTCCGTACTTCTGTAGTTGAGTCCTTTTGGAGGAACTGCAACCTAGCTTAATAGGTAGATAAGACTGAAAACCTAATTTAGGAGTATGTGTTTGTAACAATAGCTGAGACTTGGCCAATTCCAGTGGCGATATTTCAACCATTCATACACTGCTGAGTGTTCAAACTGTGTTCGAATAAGGCAAACGCCAACCTGTAACCAATCCAGCTGCTCTGTACCTCACTTCCAATTCCTATATGGCATTTCCCTTTTTTTGTCTGTAATTCTTCTTCCACCATGTGGCTGTGCTGAAGTCTCTGTGAATCTGCTGTGAATCTGCTGTGGGCTGCCTGATTCACGAATCATTGGTTGCTCAATTAAACTCCTTTAAATTTAATTCACCTGCAGTTTTTCTTTTATCAGGAGAAACTCCAATGCTGATTTAGAACAGAAAATAGAAGCATGGAGCTTTCTAAGGAAACAGAGAACAAATAACCAGAATGATAGGAGGGGGAAAAAAAAATCCCTAAATTTAGTACAACTATTTTTTTTTTTTTTTTTTTTGAGACAGAGTTTCGCTCTGTTGCTCAGGCTAGAGTGCAGTGGTGCGATCTCAGCTCAGTGCAACCTCCACTTCCCGGATTCAAGCTATTCTCCTGCCTCAGCCTCCTGAGTACCTGGAACTACAGGTGCCCACCATCATGCCTGGCTAATTTTTGTATTTTTAGTAGAGACAGGGTTTCACCATGTTGGCCAGACTGGTCTCGAACTCCTGACCTCAGGTAATCCACTGGCCTCAGCCTCCCAAAGTGCAACTATCTCATTTTTTATCTGACACCTAAGCAGCGCTTAACAGCACTAAATCTGGCAACATGTTGATCATGGAGTTACTACGGAGGGGAATCCAAAGTCATCTTCAAACCAAAACCTTCCAGGAAAATAAGTTTATAAGTTATAAGTTGTCAGTATGACGACATTGAAAATGTTTCCCTTGGCGAAGAGAGTGTTAGTAGGAACACAGGACTGATTTCTGGGAGCTGAAGAATGATAATGCAAACACAAGTTCCAGCGATCGGCCAGATGCAAGCACAGGTTTATTAACTTAATTTGATGTTTGTTTTGTAGGCTGCTTTGTTTCATGCCTTAGATGAGAAAGACTTGAACATGTATAAATGAAGCAAGGCATGAGTGGACAGAGAGAAGTTAAATATGCAGAAGACAGTTAAGTGTTTTTTTACCTGACAAAGAGGAAGACGGAGGAAACCTTTTCACAGTGGGATTTGCTCCATGCTGCCCAAGGGAAAATCTGATTTACATGTAGATGCAAGTAAGTTCTTGGTTTTGGCACCAGGAGACTCAGAGGTTGTCTTCCATAGGCTGGCATTTCTCCAGTGATGTCAGAGAGGCTGGGATCAAAGGGAACCAGACAGGAAGTGGAAGGATCTGAAATATAAAAAGAGAGCACGTTTGAAGTAGTTGCGGTGCGGTGGATAATGGGAAAAGCTGCACAGACAAATTTTATTTTTAAAATGGGGGGTAGATAGCTATCTAAACTGATAAGTAGCATTTATTAGAAGATTTTTATACATGTTGAATATTGAAGATAAGTGTTCTGAAAAACATACAGTTCCAGTAAAGGAACATAAAATAATATTTCCTGACAACTTTGAGGGAAAGATTGGTTAATGCCACAGGAATTGCTCGGATTTTGGAGAAGAACATGGACTACAACAGAGGGCCATTTTCTGTGTGTAAAACAAAATGCTGCTTGCTTGCTTGCTTTTTTTCTTTCTTTTTTTTTTCTTTTTTTGAGACCAACTCTTGCTCTGTGGCCCAGGCTGGAGTGCAATGGTGCAATTTCGGCTCACTGCAATCTCTACCTCCTGGGTTTAAGTGATTCTTCTGCCTCAGGCTCCTGAGTAGCTGGGACTATAGGTGTGTGTAACACTCCCAACTAATTTTTGTATTTTTAGTATAGGTGGAGTTTCACCATGTTTGCCAGGCTGGTCTCAAAATCCTGACCTCAAATGATCCACCCACCTCAACCTCCCAAAGTGCTGGGATGACAAGTGTGAGCCACCTCTCTCGGTCACTTCTTGCTTTCAAAGCAAGAACTTAGCACCTGCTTTAAACCTACACACTGTATATTCAGTCAGGTAATAAGTCACTAATAAGGTTTAGTTCTTCTATTTGTACCTATCATTGTAAGTTGTTTCAAGATGCCCTCAAAAAGAGAAGGAAAATACTCAGACCACTTTGCAAGAGGTCGAGTTTTAGGAGTTCAACACAAAGTTAACCAAATGGACTCCATCATGTTTGCAAAAGACTTTCCAGTATTAATAAAATATAACATCATTATAAGTAAAGATTCCTACTGGGATGATATCAGGAACACAGAGAGGCTACCTCTTTGTTTTGTTGCAGAAATGAGGGAGGAAATCAAGAGGAGGAAAGGAATTATATCCCAGTGCCATCTGAAGGGTGATTATTTCAAGGCTTCTGAAATAATTCAAGAGCTTAAGTACTTCCTCCTTTTTGGAAACCTGAGTAGTTGTAGTTTAAACCTTCATTCTTTCCCTAATAGAGATGAGGAATTAGTAGCTCTGGAAAATTGGATTTAAGAAACATTTAGATACCTATTTGGTGCTGTGGGGACACTAAAATGAAAAGCCACAAAACAGCTCACCAGCAAGCTCTAGAGAATGACTCATTTGTATGTAGTTGGGATACAAAACAGGGATCACAGCATAGGGGCTGAAAGCCCTTGACTCATATCTAGAATTTAATTCTGGTCTTATGATTTATTAACCGTGTCACTAACTTTGCATAAGTTACTCTTCCAGGCTTTAGTTCTCTTTTCTGTCAGTACATGTGAGAAACTACAAAGTGTCTATAATGATGCTTATCACGCATGAAATGAGTAACAAATGGAAAATGGAAGCTATTGTTAAGTGATGTGGAGGTCAATTTAAACTGAAAGATGTTAAAGTATAGAGAAAAAGGCCTTTATTTTCCCCAACGCACACTTTTATTTCAGGCCAGATTCAAAATCCAAAGTCATCTTCAAACCAAAACCTTCCAGGAAAATAAGTTTATAAGTTATAAGTTGTCACTATGACCACATTGAAAATGTTTCCCTTGGCGAAGGTCATCTGTGGAGAGAGGCTTTCATTTTGGGAGCTACATATATTAGATTTTGCTATCAGAAAATTCCCCACCTCCAAACATCTAAATTACATCAGCTATAATCTGATTACTCTTGAATTTACTTCAACAGCACCAAAAATCATGTTCTATCTTTAGGGCTTATATCACTGCCATGACAAATACCACTGAAAATAATAATAATTGTTCCTCTGGGCTTCGCAACCCTCTTACAACAGCTGTTTTTGGGTTAATGACCCAATATGAAACATTCCATTCTAAATAAACCCATAAAAATACATTTACCACCTCAGCAAACCTTTAAAATGCATGGGCCCTGATTTAAAACACCAAAATAAAGAGTAAAGTTTAGTTTTCTTTAACCTCTAACTTAATAACCCTGAGTATATCTGGAGTATATTTTACATAGCTTCTAATTTTATCAAGTTTTATGTAAAACCTAAGCAACTTATAACAAATCATCACTCCTTCTTTGTCGTCCTATACTCTTAGTTGATGTTAAGAAAAGCACAAAATTTGTGGGGGTTGAGTCAAATTAAGATCGTATACAACTAATGGATCTATTACATATTATAAAAATTATCTTTAAAGCCTCTTGCTACAGACAGGAATTATAACCCTCATTTTATTCCAGAGACCTAAGGTCCCAGAAGCAGTGAATGACAGAGCTAGAATGTAGGTCTGATTCCTTTAGACTTTTCACTTCCCCCAGTCCCTCTCCCAGTCAGGAAATATAAGGGCCCACCAGCCCCAGTATTTCTCTGCTAGGATTTTTAAAAAAATAGATTTCATTGATTTTTTTAAAAATCTATGAAAGAACAAGATGTCTCAGAAAAAACAGGATTCACTCTACCTTTGACCTACCCTCCTTCAAGGCTCTCTCGTCCAGCGTTCATATGCTCCCACCCCCAGAATGGGAGAAAACAGCAGTATCTTTGAATCTGTTAATAATATTCATAGCTGCCATTCCTGACATATGTGGAAGCCAGAATATGTCTATAATAAGTATAGCAAATTGCATAATAATATATATGTATAATATCAATTTTGGAAGAAAAAGTGTGTGTATTATTTGTACAAGCATAGTTTAAAGTGTAGTTTCTGCAGAAAAAATAAAATTTGCGATGGGAGAAGACCTTAGTTTTTTACTTTATGCAATTCAAGCATAAGTTGTTTTTATAAGAAATGCATATCACTTTCATAATAAAAGAAAAATAACCAAAAGAAGTAATGGTGTAAAAATCTGTATCGTGGCTATCTTTGGGGGGAATGAGAGATTGGAGTAATATTTGAGAAGGGTCATGAGGAGAGCTTGTGTGGGTAATATTGATATTTTAATTTTTTCTTTTTCTTTTTTTCTTCAGAGACAGGGTCTCAGCCTGACACCCAAGCTGGAGTGCAGTGGTGGGCTCATCACTAATTGCAGCCTCTATCTCTGGGGCTCAAGCCATCCTCTCACCTCAGCCACCCAGAGTAGCTAAGACCACAGGCATGTGCCACCACGCTCAGCTAATTTTATTTTATTTTATTTTTTAGAGACAGGGTCTCACCATATTGCCCAGGCTGGTCTAGAACTCCTAGGCCCAAGAGATTCTGCCCCCTTGGCCGTCCAAAATGCCAGGATTACAGACATGAGCCACCGTGCCTGGCCAATATTTTAACTTTTGATCTAGGTAGTGGTTACTTGGCTCATTGGTTCATAATACTTTTTTGATTTTCACATCTTTCTTTTGTATCATTTTAATCAAACTGCTTTTAAAAAGAGTCACCAAAATCAATTACCAACATGTTCAGGTTAATTATACGTTTGGATTTTACTCCTGTTTCCCAGTGTAATTGTTGATAATGCTGACTTGTGCTCCCTAAAGTTTTCTCATTTGGACAATAAATTACATGGTTTTCTATAAGTAGCCTACAAGCATTGTAGTATTTTTAAAGCTGAAATAAACCTTAGAGGTCAACTAGGGCCCAGTGGTTTCCAAAATGTTGCCAAGAAAGCATTCTGAAATGTGTGGTAAGGTTTTTGGTTGTCCCAATGCCTAGAAAGACTATGGGTATTTAGCATAGGGTAGCCAATGGTGCTTATTTCTCTACAGTATGATAGAACTACACAAAGGAATGTGATCTTAGTCTTGTTTTAAAGAAAAAAAAAACCCTGAAATCCAAAATGTTAACTGAATTGCCTAAGAGCACATTCTTAATAAAGAGTAGATCCCATGACTAAAACCTTAGGTTCTTGCCTTATCTACCAGCCTTCTTAGGCACTACGCCAAAACCAAAAAGCTGTTGCTCCATCTTTCCTTTCTTCCTTCCCTTTTGTCTTCATCCTTTTCTCATTTGACTTTCAAACTAAAAATGTGGGTTTTTTAACCTACAAAATAAAGGCAATACCTTTCAACTTTTACTTATAAGTGGTAGAAGATTCAATTTAGCATCAGAAAGCAGGGAATTGTTTATTAGCCAGCTGCAATAAGTAATTTGGGGGTAAATCATTCTGAAATACATATTAAAGTCATAAAATTGCATTTCTTCTCACCCTTCTCTTCTCCCTCCAGGTTTTCCTCCCTCACCATGAAGTTCAGTTGCCTATCCCCCAGAATACAGGATACAACATCTGTGGTGGCTTCTACTGAGATTTATTTTCTACATTTTCATTAAAATAGCAACTGAATTGACTCAATAAAATGTTGCTTATCCTAATAAAGCCCTTTAGAGCCTTGCAAATTTGCATTTAATACTCTTTAGTGTCATTACAGCATTAATAATCTGTGCCTAAAGAGCAATAAAAAAAAAAAACCTTTATACTTTGTATTTAATAGAGGTAGCTTCATAACCCTTCATTTTCATGTGACTCGGATCTTAACGTACCTTAAATGGAATCTCTGACTTAGGCTGAGTAAATCTGAGACTTCTTATAATCTATTGGTCCTCCCTGTATTTCCCAGTCATGAAAAATAACACAGATACATTGCAAGCACCACAGTATGAGCCTTAAGCATCTCCTTAAGAATTAATGATTTCTGATTTACTCAAAGTCTTCTCATTGCTAATGGATCTGAGACAGGAAGAGAATAAAAAGAAATGGAGGTGGAGAAGTAAGGGTAATAAGTTTGCACAAATCATCTGCTTCTTGTGGAGAAATTTTTCACTGCTAACAACTGTACTGAAGGCATTGTGCAGTTAGCTGGAAGGCGTGAAAATAAACTGATAAACAGGAGACCAGCAGGTATGATCTAGGGGACTCACATGTCCCAATGTTTTTATTTATTTTTCCTTCAAGTCATTGCCAAAAAATCACATCCAGCAACAATTTGTGTCTTTTTTGGTATCTGAACACAATCTGATGGGAGAATCATTTTTATTTTTCCATTGTGTTCGAGATCCATTTTGAAAAAAAAAATCAATGAGAGAAGGTGAAAGAGTATTGGAAACTGAGAGATCCACTAGTGGAAAGACACAGGCTGGGCACCCCGCATTTTCCAGGAAGTGCATCTGCTGTGCTACGGTAATAGTTCTTTTGAGCCCTGTCTGGGCTCAAACTACTATTTAATGTTCAGAGCCTCGGGTTTGCTCTGAGCTCAAGTATGATTATAACAATTTTAAAGCTCAATGAAAATAGAGATGAATGAAATGAAAATGAAATGAAAAGCTGTAGAATATCATGCAGCACAGCAGCCTAACGCATCTGGCATAGAAACAAACCAAGAATGTCTTATTTTTCAAAGGGAGAGAAATAAAAAAAAAAAACTAAAAAAAGAAGATGAATATATCAAAATTGTCATATAACAATAAAATAATATAGTTTGAAATGCAAAAAAATAGTAAGGAAGAGAAGGAGAAGGAGATGGTTAGTGAAGTTCGATGCTAAAAAAAAAAATCACTGATTAAAAGGAGAGAAAAATGTTCAAACTAAGCAAGAATGTAAGTGAATAATGCATTTAAGAATTAAATAAAAAAGCCAAGAACTTGAAGCTCTCAGGCTCTCACTCAGATAAAAGTTCCCTGACAGAGGGAAGCAGCTTCTGCTCTGGTGACTTCATGCAGGGGTGAATATATCTAAAAAGGAACGATTCAGGCAAAAACAAGAAGGAGAGAGTTTACCAATGGAAGTACAGAAAACATGAAAATTCAAAAATTGAGGAAATGGTCTAATTGTCTTTAAAATAATATATCTCAGCAAAATGATACAATGGAAGATTAAGCCTGAATTTAATGACCATTTAAAAACATGGCATCACCAAACCAATAACTTCTATGTCAAAAAGTACAAGCCAATTTACAAATGGCTTTAACCAAATCTTCATGAAACTCCTTTAAATGCAGGGTAAATGGAAACCCTTCCGACTCCCACTCTAGAGCTGTACCAAACCCAAGCAAGGACAGTACAAAATAAAGAATCAGGCTGGGCGCGGTGGCTCAGGCCTGTAATCCCAGCAGTTTGGAAGGCCGAGGCAGGCAGATCACCTGAGGTCAGGAGTTCAAGACCAGCCTGGTCAACATGGTGAAACCCTGTCTCTGCTAAAAATACAAAAATTCGCTGAGCATGGTGGCACACACCTGTAGTACCAGCTACTCCAGAGGCTGAAGCAGCAGAATTGCTGGGACCTGGGAGGAGGAGGTTGCAGTGAGTCGAGATCACACCACTGCACTCCAGCCTGGGTGACAGAGCAAGACTCTCTAAATAAATAAATAAATAAATAAATAAATAAATAAATAAATAAATAAATAAATATCAAGGCGTAACCTCATGTAGATTAGACAAAGGCAGGGGATCTTGCAAATCAGTAAAAAAGTGATGATCTATAATTCAGTAAATGTTTCTGATCCTTCATATAAACCAAGATAAAATTAAAGTCCCAGATCTCACATGTGAAAACACATGCAGTAAACAACCTTTTAAAAATCTTTTCATCAGACATGTACAAATGCTACATGAGTTTTTCCTATCCAATAAGCTGTTCTTGTACATTATTTTCTTATATTTTAAATACCATGAAAGGGCACAGAAAATCACAATTTAGGATGAGAAACATAAGTCTGTGGCATGATGAGAGATGCAGCGAATTGTGTATTTTTAAAATGCCTATACGAAAATCTAAGACATCAAAATTGCCATTATACTGGTTTTTGAAGAGGTACTTTCTTTACCCAATCTGTTACCACTTATTTAAAGAGGTAACCTTTTTTTAAGAAATGCTTTCAGATCTGATTTATAATTTACCCCTTAGTTAAAGAATAAGCTTTATTTCTTGTAGAGAAGAAACTAGTAAGCATTCACTGAGATGAACAGCTTCGTTTAGCCTCCTTAATTCATTTTCATTCACTAGATATTAGGAGTATAACTCAGAGAAGGAAAAAAAATTTTCCATTGAAACAAAGACATCTCAGTTTGGATAAATATATTATTTGTGAGCAAAGAAAGTGAAGTTTCTCTATTAACTACAGAATAAACATGAGTTTAAAAAAAAAAAAGAGCAGAAACTTGGCTTTTCATTTCAGTTCCTGCACTAGCTGTGTTGTTTGAAATATCAAAACATATTTGTATTTGTATTTTGCAAAAACGGGAATAATATCAACCTACTTCACAGAACCCATAAAGAGTATGATAATAAGTAACATAACATGAATGGAATTGTACATAAAAAGTATGTAAAAACAAGAAAATAGTTGAATATGTATATTATTACATGTGAACATGAAAAGAGCTTAATGTATACAAGCGACCTTCATCTGCACTGAATTACCTCACTTGTGATGAAGATGAGATGAAGATAAAGGATCATACAAAATTCAAACCAAAGTGTGAATTTTTCCCAAGAGTACCAAAATGTTACTGAATATAGTGTGTGTGTGTGTGTGTGTGTGTGTGTGTGTGTCCATCCAAAAAATTTTATCTCAGCAGAGGCATCCCATGAATAAGAGTAGGATGTATGTGATTAGAAAAGAAAGAGTAGCAAAGTTTCCTCATCATTTTGGTTAACAATTGCTTATACATTTACTTTTGAATTTCTCATTTGCTTAATTCTGCAGGACAGATGAAATAATTGTTAATACCTTTTTCCTCCCAAGGAAATCTAAGTCTTTCCTCTATGTTATTCTCTAAGTAAACTAATCTGTTAACATAGAGATTAGTTGAAATCTAATCTCTTAGATTCTTAACTTGAAAGGTACATTCTAGTTACCCATTATTTTCTATGTGGTTAAAAAGTCACTGCCAAAAAGCCCAGAAGATGGCCATAAAATAATTTTTCTGCTTCACCTTAATGATAAATTTACAAAATTAATTCTGTGACTGAAAATGTCTTGTATTATATTTCCATGTGAGTTTTTCTCTCTTCTCTACTAATCTTCAACCTTCTGAAGACTGGACATTATTTAATCATGTTAGCAAGCATTCGAGTTTTTAACAAGGATCTTTGCACACAGATATGCCCAACCAATGTTTCTTCCACTACAGAACCAAATTAAAAACAAGGAAGATGACAGGGATTATGCTTTCTCATTATTTTTATGTTTTACATAATTCAGCAGTACCGTGTTGCAATAAGAGCATAGCAATCAATATTTCTTGAATATATAACTAAGTGCAATCTGAAAAGTAAATGAATGAGCACATAAGCAGCTAAGAACCACAGAGAGGGCCTGGTGTAGTGGCTCACGCCTGTAATCCCAGCACTTTGGGAGACCAAGTTGGACAGATCACTTGAGGTCAGGAGTTTGAGACCAGCCTAGCCAACATGGTAAAACCTCGTCTGTACTAAAATACAAAAATTAGCCAGGCATGGTGCTGGCAGCCTGTACTCCCAGCTACTCAGGAGGCTGAGGGAGGAGAATAGCTTGACCCCAGGAGGTGGAGGTTGCAGTGAGCCGAGAGCGTGCCACTTCACTCCAGCCTAGGTGACAGAGTGAGATTCCGTCTCAAAAAAAAAAATAGAACCACAGAGAGGGATGCAGCAGTAAGCCCCCTGCCCCTGACCCCCCGTAGTAGACAGCCATCAAGGTTTAGGCCGTCACCTCTTTCTCATTTCATTTCCGATGTTATAATAACCATTAAGGGATTTGTGATTATTTCCAAGTTTGGAATCTATTCTTTTCTCCTCAACTTAGTTTTTGAAGTTAATGTCTTTTTTGACTCAATCAACTCCTGAACACTTGGGAAGGACACCATCAGACAGTTTGGTTATCTTGAGATACACATTTCAGAAATGATCCTCTTAGACTACCCAGCTGAAACAGGCAAGACTGTGGGTAAGTCTTGAATCAATTCTTTTGCCATCTATTCGATGGTCTTTGTTTCTAAGTGCCAAAGAAACCTTCAAGCTCATTCTAATCTTCATTTTGTCAGTCTAGTCCATATGACTTAAATTCTACTTTCCTTCTGCTTTGAATTTCAGTGTTTTCTTATATGGTTCTCAAATTGGCTGGGCCAAGATGCCCTGCCTACCTTTCAATCATTTCCCTTGGAAAGACCAAACGTAATCTTTTCAATGTTTAATTACCAGCTCTGCTCTCACATCGAATGCATTAATTACATGGGATTACAGCAATGAAGTCCATAGCTCTTTCCTAGAACTTTTCAGTGCTATGTCCCACCCCTACAATTGTAAAAGTGTCTTTAAGAATCAAGTTCAAGTTCACTATTGTCTCTTTGGTTCTAGTCATTAGACAGTGGCCACCTTTGTTAAAAACTTATTCCAGAGTTAGTTTCACAGACCCAGCAACTGTCTCCAGCAGGCTTGACAATCAAGGTTACAGCCTTTATTATGGCCAGATCCGCCTTGTCGCTGACAATTTGAAAGCTGATTTTTGCATCGCTGCTATTTAAAGTTCAATGAAAAACCTTGGAGGGAGGAAAATAGAATTTTGACTTCACTGACATTAACTGTCCTCAGACCCTCACCCTACCCTGCTATTTGGGCGTTCAGTTTTTCTGTTCTGTTTCTCTTTGTACTTATAACTAAAATGGTGAATTCAAAGGTTCAGAAAAATAAAGGAAAATTCTATACGTAATATTCGAAGATTTAGTATTTCTTTTTCTTCCAACTGACTTTTTAAAATCTTTTGTTCCCAAAAGCAGATATCACCAGGTTCTTTTGTGCCATGTTTAGATGAATAAAAGCTTTACTTTATAAAGACTGTTCAAACATTTTAATAAAACAAATAACAGCCAAGCAAAATACCATGGCAATGTTAGCAAAGCATTTCCTGCCAAATCCAAAAGGAGATACATTGTTCTAAGCATTGCATTTGTACATACTAAGAAGCACTGTACTAAGTTGATATCCTTTGCAGGTATCTGCTCACTTAAAGTTCAGAGATTTACAGTGTTCTTCAACCAACCCACGGCTGTAGGTAGAAATCAGCTCTGGGCCCAGTTATATGAGTTCAATGTCCCATGCGCTGATGTCTTTTCTAGAAAACTATATTTCCTAGACAGGATCAGAGAAGGAAGGCAAGAGCAGGAAGACTACAGTTTTGACTTAGGTAACATAAAGGCAAATTTTGTCTCAACCTCCACTCCACCTAAATTTCACCTAAATAAGTTGGTGCAAATTTTTTATTAATGAGAGTCTCGGCCTTTTGTCATGGCAGAGAGGAGCATGTGCTTCTCTTCATGACAATTACATGACTGCTGTCTGAAAGAGGGATGGTCTCATAAAGAAACTTCCTTCATTTTCTTGGCCGGGTGCAGTGGCTCACACCTGTAATCCTAGCACTTTGGGAGGCCGAGGCGGGTGGATTACCTGAGATCAGGAGTTCAAGACCAGCCTGGCCAACATGGTGAAACTCTGTCTCTACTAAAATACAAAAATTAGCCGGGCATGATGGCAGATGCCTGTAATCCCAGCTACTCGGAGGCTGAGATGAAATTGCTTGAACACAGGAGACAGTGGTTGCAGTGAGTGGAGATCGTACCACTGCCCTCCAGCCTGGGCAACAAGCAAGACTCTATCTCAAAAAAAAGAAAAAAAAAGAAACAAAGAAAAGAAACTTCATTCATTTTCTATTGTGTCTATCTGAATACGACATCAGTGTTTCCACTTGAGTAAGGCATTGTTAGTTTTGGTAAAATTGGACTTTTCTTGGTGGGTTGTTTTTCAAATTTGAAGAATTAATACCAAATAATCCTACACCACTTAAAGAACCAACTTATGTGTAAAACTTGCAGCAAACTGATTTTGGCAAGCCCACTGCATGCACCATTGATCATGTTCAATGTGTTACACAAGCCAAACCTTGTGCCTGCCAAGATCATAGCTGCTGGTCCTTGACCAGAATTTTTTTTTTTTTTTTTTTTTGTGCAACATGGTTAGCAGTGTATTTGAGATAATGAGAACATTCAAATCTGCTTCCTGAAGAAATACACATTATTAGTATAGACTATACAATAAAACTAGAAAGCTACCAAGTGAATCTCCTCAGGGGTTAGATTACCTATCTAATAATAGGTTCAATGTGGAGCCTTACTCTTCATTTGCATGATTTTTCTGCTACTTACATGTCTTTTTATAGTACACAAACTTCACATCAAGTTTGAGAACCTAATATAATTAAGCAAAGAGAACATTAAATTTTTGTATTAACCTAAATTTGCAAATGTAAAAACATTGACATCCTGAGCAGGAAGTATGTCAATTAAGTGATAATGATTCTAGGATTAACTGTGACATCAATATTTAAAACTAGTAAACTATTCTTTTCATAAAATCAAGATTTTATGTTCATCTACATTTGTCCTGTGAACCTTGTTAAAAGCCATTTATAATTCCACAAACAATGTATTTATCATTTTATTTTGGGTGGACCTCATGAGAGCTACCTATATCTGTATAACAATTAAAAACATTTACTTAAAATTCTAGTTTATATTACAGGTTATAGTATTATCTCTGTCTTTTTTTGTGAGTATCAAAAGAACATGCTCATACAATATACTTTATGTAGAATAATTTTCTGTATCCCTACAAGTATTTGCCTATTTTAAATATTTTTGATGTCTTGGTACAGTGGCTCACACATGTAATCTCAGCATTTCGGGAGGCTGAGGCCAGAGGATTGCTTGAGGCCTGGAATTCTAGCTAGCTTGTGCAATATAGTGAGACCCAAATTTTTGTCTCTACAAAAAATTTTTAAAAATTAACTGGGTATGGTGGTGCACACCTGTAGTCCCAGCTACTGGGGAGGCTGAGGCGGGGGTTTGGCAGGGATCACTTGAGCCCAGGGGTTTGAGGCCACAGTGAGCTATGGTTGTCCCACTGCACTCCAACCTGGGTGACAGAGTGAGACCCTGCCTCAAAAAATAGGTATTTGTGGCTTTCCTTAGCATCAATGTCTCAAAGAAAATGTTAGGTGTTTTTTTTTTTGTTTGTTTAACGTTTTATACCTTGTTTTAAAAGTGAGAGATTAAGTCAAGAATAATAGGACTCCATCCTTGTATTTCCCCCCACCTCTCTCAGAGATTGATTGAAGGGAGTTGAAAAAGGAAAAAGGGAACTTCAGAGATGAGGAAATAATAGTGGGTATAGTCATTATGGTAATAGCAAGTGAGATACCCCTCCACCCAATTCCAGTAATTCAATAGGATATTTTTTTACTTTTGCAAATAAGTCCTTAGTCACCTGTCCTAAAAGATGGTTGACCACAATTTCTGCATAAGAGGAACAGTACTTGGCTTTTCCCTTGGCAGCTCAGGCCATGGGTTACACCTGTCCTACCCACCCAGTGAGGGGGCCATTGGAGAGCACCCAGCCCAAGGACATACAAGGTTGCAATGGGATGAACGGTGGCCCTTGCAAAAAAAATATGTCCACATCCTAACCCCTGGAACCTGTGAATGTAATCTTATTTAGGAAAAGAAAAATGTATCTTTACAGATATAACTCAGTTTGGGATCTTGAGATGAGATCATCTGAGATGATCTAGGTAAGTGTTAAGTATTATAATGAATCCCTAGAAGAGACAAAAGAGAGGAAGACACAGACACAGAGAAGGTCATGTAAAGACAGAGGCAAAGACTAGAGTTATAAGGCAAGAAACATCCGGAGTCACCAGAAGCTGAAAGAAGCAAAGAAACATTCTTCACTAGAATCTTCCAAGGGATATAACTCCACCAACCACCTTGATTTTGCATTTCTGGCCTCCAGAACTGTAAAAGAATAAATTTCTGTTGTCTTAAGCCAGAAACAATTTAATTTTGTGGTAATTCTGTTACAGCAGGCCTAGGACACTAATACAAATAAGCAATCAAAACTGCCTTAAAAAAAGAGCCTTCAATAAACACTCAGCTTGTCAGGGAAGTTGGTGACTAAATTATCCCAATAAGTATGTCTCTGAGAGTTTGAAAATAAAATACAGAAAATAATGAAGATGTTCATAACTGGAAGAATACTAAGAATAAATATAAAGAGAACAATCAGAGAGAGGAGCTGAGTCAGGTTCCTGAAGAAACATAAATGGATGGGTAGGCTGAAGACAAATCAGCCAGCCAGAGCTCGACACCCCTCCCCAGCTACTGTGATGAAAATCTTTAGTTGGCATAATTCTCATTTCTAAATGCAACCTCTGATGAGTACAGTAACCTCTGGCCTTTGTAACCAAAGTCTTCTTATTAACACAATCATTCTAAAATAGCAGTATGGGGTTTTGCTGTGGTCAAAGTTTATCCATGGAGCTAAGTGCACTTCTACATATCCAGTCATAATCAGCCCTGCTCATCTCCCTAGATCACAGCTCTGATGCTTCAAACAAGCATTTTCTAGACTCAAAAGCATATGCAAAGCGGCTATTTGGAAAACCCCTCAGAATTTCCTACACATTCATTTGTGCCAAGGTGGCTGGTCCGCTCTCCTAGTGAGAACACCAGTGTGTTATCTCAGCTTCCATGAGAGCTCATTAACAGTAGCTCCTACAGGTTATAGAATTCAAAGAGTATCGACTAGTCTAAAGTCATGTCGCCTCAAAAAATGAAAATTTCATCAGCTTTGCCAATGAAATGATATTTTAGAAGATGATCAAGTACTATTTATTCAACCCTTTAGATTTTTCAAGATCATTTTTATTTCAAATTGATTGATTAGTAGACTATACTCATAACTACTTTACTAAATTATATTTTATATTTTATTGTATATTGTTTATATTATACATATATTATAAATTCTTATGTCTTTATGCAGTTTTCCAAAAAGAAAGTTAGTGAAGAAGAAAAAGTTATATAAAGAATGCCTCAAGATATATTAAAATTATTGAATATTATTTTCCCCATAAAGTCTTACATAATTAGTATCTAATAGAATTTAGTAGCAAAATAACTTGTTCGTTTCTTAAAGAAATGTCATGATTACTTTTAATAAATAAGAGAAATTTTTGTCATGTTTTCTCATCTTATCTTGATTTTAAGAAGCCTAGAGTTCAACCTAATGCTTAATTACATGTATTATTTTAGTGTGTTTCAAGAGGCCTATCTGTCATAGTGGTTAAGCTCAATTTTGGACTCTGACATAGCTATACTTAAATCCTGACTCTGCCAACAGACAGTTACATGACATTGGGCAAAACATTTAATCTCTCTGGACTCCAGTTTTCCTATCTATGAAGTGGAGATAAAAATAGCACTTACTTCTGCGCGTTCTTGTAAAGAACAAATTAGATAATGCATATAAAACACTTAGAAACTGGCTTGACTCTAGTATCAACATAATACAGTTATATCTGTATTTCTGCTTTGATACCTTTATTCTAAACAACTTTTTTTATAAACAGGTAAAATACGAATATAAACACAAGACATAGGAAAGGAATACTAAATTTAAAAAGAACCCGAACGGCTTAGAGAAACAGATTAATAAATGCAACTGCTGACTTTAAAAGTCTGCACTGAATTTCTGAGCTTTCTTTTTATTCCTCCTTTAAGATATATTTATTAGTGGTTAGATAAGTTAGAACAAAGGCAGAAAAAAATGTGGCATTTGGGACATCATAAAGTGATGCTTGGTCACAAAGGTGAAAACTGGCAATTTCCCCTTATTGGTAGAGATGGAAATTAATCTTATTAGTCTGTCACAGGAGTGTTATTTTCAATGTGCCCCAAAGTACTGGTCCAATTCTTTTTGCTCCAACATAAATCCCATTTTTAGAATGATAGGATAGCTACTCAAAATGAGGGAAGCACTCATTCAAAAGATAAAGCAAAATTAGAGAGATGTGGAGAAGAATATCTAAAGAAGATTCAGTCAGGCATCAAGCCTGAGTAAATCTAAATGATATGTTTTGAATCAAGGATTAGCCAATATACAGTTGTGCCTGAATACTTGTGGACTAGAAAAAGAAAGACTTTGCAAAATGAAATTAGGAGGCGATCAATAAAAATATTTGTGGCATGAGAACTGTCTTCTATTCTAAAATGCAAACCTAAATAAAATCATATTACAACTGGAAAAAGGTTTGGGAAACTTCTAAAGCTTCATTTAGAGCTCTGTCATTAATTTATTTAATTCACCATAGTGTCAAGAGCTACAAATCCCAACACTATTTCTTTTTTTTTTTTTTTTTTTTTTGAGACAGAATCTTGCTCTTTCACCCAGGCTAGAGTGCAGTGGTATGATCTCAGCTCACTGCAACGATCACCTCCCAGGTTCAAGCGATTCTCCTGCCTCAGCCTCCTGAGTATCTGGGATTACAGGTGCCCACCACCACACCTGTCTAATTTTTGTATTTTTAGTAGAGACGGGGTTTCACCAACCTGGCCAGGCTGGTCTCGAACTCCTGACCTCGTGGTCCACCTGCCTCGGCCTGACTTCTAGCTCAATAAAAAATAAATCCAGAAGCCACAGGCATATGCAGATCTTTTAATTGCTAGGTAATTATTCGAGTATGAGATGTACTTTCAATCAGCTCTATCTGTCAAGAACTCTCTTCTGTTGTCCTATCAAAATCTTTACTCAGGACTCATTGCATTGATTGATGCAAAGAGATTATTAACATTACTTTTAAGTTTACAAATATGAAGAGTAATTATTTTTTAGCCTACAAAGTTAAGCTTATATTTCAAAATCTCCTTAACAAAGGGCCACAGATTCTGAGTTCTGTCTTCATCTAATCCAGTCAGCAGTGATTTTCAGAATGTCTGAGATCCCACAGATGAAAATAAAATGACTCATGTTCTACCTGGCTGCATTGGTCATTGCCTTTTTCCATATATCAGTCATCATAACTGAGATCAGAGCAGTAAGAAATCTTGCCTTAATGTTCCCCCATTTGAGTCAGAGTAAAAAATCAGGGCTTCCACTGAAAATATCAATTATTCAGGTGATGTGTTTTATTGTCTATTATATATTAAGTTACTGTTTTTTTTTTAGAGATAAGATTTTTCCCTGATGTCACGGCATGCCATAGGTATGTCTCTGAGAGTTTGAAAATAGAATATAGAAAATAATCAAGATGTTCATAACTGGAGGAATCCTGAGAATAAATATGAAGAGAAGAGTCATAGAGAGAAGAAACAGAAACCTGGAGTGTAGTGGCAAGATCATAACTTGCATAGCTTCGAACTGTTAGTCTCAAATGATCCTCTCATCTTCGCTTCCAAGTAGCTGGGAGTACAGGTCCATGCCGCCATCCTGGCTAAGTTTTGTTTGTTTGTTCGTTTGTTTCTAGAGAGATGGAGTCTTGCTATGTTGCCCAGGCTTGTCTCAAACCCCTGTCCTTGAGCAATCCTTCTACCTCAGCCTCCCAAAGTGTTTGGATTACACAGGCTTGAGCCGCCATACCTGGCCTAAATTTTATGCTATGAAGAGTGACTCCCCCATCGCCACTCACATGGTTGAGAATAAATTGGTATGACAGGAATTTCACAGATATTTGTAATAAGCAGGAGTTTCTCTAATCATAGAAAAATTCCCTAAGTCTGGTAGACTGCAAAATGTCTCCACAAAGATGTTCATATCATAATACCCAGAATCTGTGAATGTTACATTGCATGGCAAAAAGGATTTTACGAATATGACTAAATTAAGGATCTGGACATGAGAAGTTTATCTTGTATTAAATGGATGTGCCCAATATAATCGCAAGGGTCCATTTAAAAGGGAGGCAGTAGAGTTAGATTCAAAAAAGGCTAAGTGATAACAGCAGAGAGAGAAATTAGAAGATGCTAAACCACTGGCTTTGAAGACCAAAAGTGGGACCACAAGCCACGGAATGCAGGTGGCCTCTAAGCTACCAAGGGCAAGGAAACTAATTTTCCGCTAGAACTTCCAGAAGGAATGCGCTCTGCCAAAAATGGGGTGTTTGCTCAGCAAGACCATTTTGAACTTCTGATTTCTAGAGTATAAATTTGTGTTGTTTTCATTTGAGTTTATGAATAATGAGTTTATGGCAATTTGAGTTATGGCAATTTGTCACAGCAGCCATAGGAAATGAATGCGCTAAGTTATTTCAAATTTACTGTATTTTTATTCATATTTGTGTATGTAGTCCATGCAGGTGTAAAAAGGTGATACATAAGCAGGGGCAGACCCCAAGCAGCCTCCATTGGGTAAACACTGCTCTTTACTGGTTCTTCATACCTACATAACACAATCTGCTTCAGTTCAGGTAATCTCTTTATAGCCCAACTAGAGATTTCTTAAGGTACCTTAGAAGTTCCTTCATAAGAATTTCATGAAGCAATTGGGACTAGTTGAGAATTATTCAAACAGTGAATTTTAGAAGAAATGTTTACTGGGTAAATACAGTAACATTTAAATTATAGATAAGCTGATTATATTTTACTATCCAATTTCCATGCCTTTCTCACTGGGCAATTTATGAAATCATTAGTTGTGTATGGCTAAGGGAAATATTGATGTGCTCTATGAGTGGAGTGGCATCTGCTTTATTTTATTACTTGCTTCTGCATAATCCCCAGTCCTCTTGAATTTTGATCTTGAATTTGGATGGATGTCAATCCATAGATAATTCTGCCTGTCTGAATTTTGTTCAAGATTCTGAATTTTAAACCTAAGTTCTCTTCTATGAACAACTATATTTGTCCTGTTTTTTTATCAACCATTATTTAATTTAACAAACATTTATAGAGTGCCTGCTGTATGCCATCCTCTCTTCAATGTACAAAACTGTCCAAAATTCCTGCCTTTCGAAGCTTAATTCTAGTGGATCTGAGCAAACATGTAAAGGGATAAATATTCCTTCAATGTAAGTCTAGTAAATGTATCTACTGGAATCACCGACCAAAACCAAAGAAGGGCTCCTTTCTCTTTCTCTGATGGAAAGAGAGGGGGTGTGATTGGTGGAAAGTGAGGGAAGGGAGATGAAAAAAGCATTACAGAGGTGATATTTCATGACTCTGTTGACTGGGGACACAAAAAATTTCCACATGAAATACTTTTTCAAAATGTCCTTACCCGTTACTATAAATTTCAGTGATGATTTCCTTCAATGCCCTGTAAGCAAATGTCTCTGATTTTGCTACTAAACAATTAATTCCATGTCCATAAATGCATTGCTCCACAGTGCCATCACCATGGATGAGGAAAGGAACCAGTAGGGCTATCACAGCTTAGGTCCAGTGAACTGCAACCTGCAGCTTCTTGGCTAAGAGTAATGATATGAAAAAGTCTAGCTGTAGATAATACAGTGATGTACAGCTGCAAGAAAACAACCTGGGCTTCCTAAATGCCTTTGGAAAAGACATTTCACTTCTTTGGGCCTCTCTTTAAATATATATTGATTGAGAAATTTGCATTTGATAATCTTTAGATTTCTTTCCAGTGCTAATGTTCTATGATTCTATTGAAATTAAACATTCATATATGTAAGTCTAGAATCTCTTAATTCTATTCCTGTATGGAATATGTTTAATAATGTGTGTATTGTTGCATTAATTCAGTATCTTACTTTCTCCTCTAAGACACATGGAGACTAAAATCCCTTTGAAAACTACTGTTCTCAAAGTACTGTTACCACACACACATACAGGCATACCCAATTATATTTACATTCTGAAATTATACATGTATGTATAGACTGTATGTGGTTTAATCTCTTAAGTAGTATAATATCTTAGATAACATTAGTTAAAGAGCAACATAATAATTTTTTCATTTGACATAGCTTAAACTTTCTCCATATTTTGCCTTACAAATTATAAAAGATGCTCTCATTTTTTTTGTAGAATGGATCCTCAATTAAGAACCACAAAGTACCATATTATTTCACTCAATTTATGAGAGCGAAAACACATACAGACACACACACACACACACACACACACACACACATAAATGCACATATCAAAGGCTGATTAAAAACAATTCTGGCCGGGCATGGTGGTTCACGCCTGTAATCCCAGCACTTTGGGAGGCTGAGGCGGGTGGATCACCTGTGTTCAGGAGTTCGAGAGCAGCCTGGCCAATATGGCAAAACCCCCCATCTCTACTAAAAATACAAAACTTAGCTGGGCGTGGTGGTACACGCCTGTAACCCCAGCTACTTGGGAGGCTGAGGCAGGTGAATCGCTTTAACCTGGGAGGCAGAGGTTGCAGTGAGCCAAGGTCACACCACTGCACTTCAGCCTGGGCGACAGAGCAAGACTCTCTCTCAAAAAACAAAGAAAAACGAAACAATTCCACAAAATTTTACGAGTCAGCACACATTTAATTTCAGCTCATTATTCTCATAAATATACCAGTGCTTGTGGTGGAAACATACAAGGCCACAGAAGATCCTTAATCATATTTTTTTTTTTTTGAGATAGAGTCTCGCCCTGTCGCCCAGGTAGGAGTGCAGTGGCACCATCTCGGCTCACCGCAACCTCCGCCTCCTGGGTTCAAGCGATTTTCCTGCCTCAGCCTCCTGAGTAGCTGGGATTACAGGTGCATGCCACCACGCCAGGCTAATTTTTGTATTTTTAGTAGAGATGGGGTTTCACCATGTTGGCCAGGTTGGTCTCTAACTCCTGACCTCAGGTGATGCACCTGCCTCCGCCTGCCAAAGTACTGGGATTACCGGCGTGAGCCACCACGCCTGGCCAATCATAAAATTTCTAAAAAACAAATATGGGTACATACTATATCTACTATGTTAAAAAAATGAACTGAAATACTCTAGAGATTTTCCAGATAAAGTCAAAACCAAAAAAGTGTTTTATGACTAATAGTCCATCATAAAACTCAAGTAAGATAATATTCAAATTCCTAAACACTACGCCATAAAACTTGAAATATACAAAATGTATTTAAATGTGTATATTAATATTAAAGTACTTACAACTTTTAAAATAAATGAAATATTTGTTCGGATGCATAAAACTTTTGGTACTAAGAGGCCACAACTATAAAAACAATTCTGGTCAAATCACCCGTGGATGTATTATAAAACCAAGGGCCTCTTCTCTATAATTGAGTGTTGTCAAGATCAAGTCACATTTTTCCAAGTTCAGCTGAGAATGATTTTGAATAACTTTTAAAAGACCCTGGTGAAGCACCATGGAATATTCTATGAGTTATTCAGTCTTTGGGCATGATCATGAATATATTTACTATCTCATTTTTATGATCTCTTAAAAAGTATTTTCAAAACATCTTGTGGGGGTCTCAGAGGCAACATTTGGTGAAAACCATCTTCCAAACTACATTTCTGTGGATTTGTGTACAGTTACTCTGAAAGGAAGTGACCCTTAGCCATTAAAAGGAGAGATTTACCTGAGCAATGCCAAGTAGTATGTTGGCACCTTATTTTCTTTTTTTTCTTTTTTTTTTTTTTTTTTACAATTCTTCTTGTTTATTTCTTCACAGTTGGGGCAAAAAAAAACCCTCAAAATTTAATGCACTCAATTACTACAAAATAACACCAAAATGGTTATGAAAATAAGTATGGAGGTGCTTATGTCTTTAGTGTGGTTTTTCCTTTCTTCTTTCTTTTCTCCCTTCCTTCTTTTCCTCCTTCCTTTATTGCTTCCTTCTTTCTCCATCATTTCTGTGTTTGTTTTTTTCATGATTATACATGTAAGCTTATAAAATAAAGAAGCTTTTCTTCTTTTTATAGATGAAAAGCAAGAGAAATAGGAAAGGGTAAAACATCCTGCAAAAACGGCAAAAATGTAATTGAACTGTCTTCAATATATGCTGTAATACCATAAATTCCTTTGTCATGGAAAATATTTAACATATTGGCACACATAATTATGGTATATCTACCATGTATATTTCAATAAGCTATTTTTCTTGAAACACTGTCACTGGACAGGCCATGACACACAGCTCTTTCCATAGATTCTCTCATGAAGATAAAGAACAGTTATTCCTCCAGGCAGAACACGGTAAGGAAGAATTTTGTGTAACGGTAGGAAACCCAGGGTAGGAGGAAGTAGTTTACAATGACTCAATGTTAGTGCAAACAAGAAAAACATACTTGTTTCAAATGAGGGATATTCTACTAAAATGCATATGCTGCCAGCGTGTGATGATTTTAATGAATTAAGATTAATTCTATGCACAAGAAATATATAAACATACTTTATCAAACATGACACTTCAAACATATGACATAGCCATTTTATTCAAGTTTATTACTCATAAACTTGAATGTTTATATACATTGTATTTATATATATAGGATATATATAAATTATATTCTTCTTATGTCCCATTCACTCTTAGATATTTCTATCACAAAATCAGCTGCTAGCTGCTTCTTTTAACAGACTAACCCTAAAATATAAATTTCAATAACATTAAACAAGAAATGACAAACATAAGAGAGCTGCCAATAGCTTGATGATAAGATTGATGTGACTCCACAGAAAAGGATGATGCTCCAAGACTATATACTAAGGGGCTGCTACTTAGCAAAACACCCTTACTAGTTTCCAACAGGGTGTGTAGAAGCAACGATCATTATTTTAAAGTTTCTAGCAATTTTTTTTTGTTGCAAAAGCTGATTTTGCATCTTAAAATTTGGCAGTTGGAAAAAAAAGACAATATTTTGGATTAGAAGCCAGTTCTGTCTTCTTGGATAGAAATCAGAAGTTGTTCTGGGGACAGCCTCCCCCTTAATACCAGCAGAGACCACTTGGGTAAACACAATGAGTCAGATGGTTGTAATAGATGTAGCCGTTGTTCGTAAAGAAGTCTCAAACCAATGCCAGATAAAAATATCATCAACTCTTGAGATTGTCTAAGCCCCAGGCAACAGAATGCTCCTGTGTGGGTAGCATGCGTAGTGACTGAAGTAATAGATGCTTCCACAATCACTAATTCAGAAAGAGGATTAAGGAAGTGGGACCTGTTGCGGATAGGAAAGTTTCATTTATTTCCTGAACTCTAAGGAGTGGCAAAATGATTGAAAGGGCCCTTGAGGAAAAATAAGCATGGCAGCAGCCTGCTGCGGTAGAGAGAAAAAGAAGGGGAAAAGAGGAACTCAAACCAAATAAGAAACCCTATAGAGGAGACTGGGTGCACTCAAAGGAGTGATGATAACTGATGAAGAGGATTTTACTTTTTTTGCTTATGTTTTGAGTATTTTGCATTGGGTATTAGTCAGGGTTCTCCAGAGAAAGTGAATCAATAGGATATAGATAGATATAAGAGGAGATTTATTATGGGAATTGGCTCAGATACACCACACTGTTTCTTTTTTTGTATTTATAAATAGATGATATGGGTCTCCTAACTTCCTGTAGAACCAACTAATTTTGTTTACTAAAATGATCTCAAGCTGGAGAACCAGGGAAGCAGGTTGTGTACTTCAGTCCGGTCCAAAGGCCTGAGTTGCAGGAGAATCAAGGTTGTAACTCTCAATCAGAGTTTGAAAGCCTAAGAACTACAAGCGCTGATGTTGAGGACAGGAGAAGATGGACATCCCTACAAGAGAATGTGAATTGTCCCTTCTTCTGCTATTTTGTTCTATCCAGGCCTTTGATAGGACAGTGCTTGTGTATGTTGGCGAGGGTAGATCTTCCTTATTCAGTTTACTGATTCAGATGCTAACCTCCTCTGGGAACACTCTCACAGACACATTCAGAAAAAAATGTTTTATCAGCTATGTGGGCATCACTTGGCCCAGTCAAGTTGACACATAAAATTAACCTTCACACATTGTAATTTCATCCGTCTCTTTAAGGTTGGTCTTTGCAATTCTTTATGGCACTTTGAGGTGTTTTTTTTTTTCTCTTTTTGGACAGAGTCTTACTCTGTCACCCAGGCTGGAGTGCAGTGGCACAATCTTGGCACACTGCAACCTCAGCCTCCTAGGTTCAAACAATTCTCCCGGCTCAGCCTCCCAAGTACTGGAATTACAGGCACCCATCACGATGCCTGGCTAATTTTTGAATTTTTCGTAGAGACGAGGTTTCACAATGTTGGCCAGGCTGGTCTCTAACTCCTGACCTTAAGTGATTCACCTGCCTTGGCTTCCCAAAGTGCTGGGATTACAGACGTGAGCTACTGCACTCGGCTACAGTTTTAGATTTCTTAGCCTTTTGCTTTGGAGAACAATTTGAATGTATGATTATGTTACCAGGGCGGGTAGAGGGTGTGACCCTGAATGTAGCCTAACAGTGTGCAGAGAGAAGATAATGAGAGGGCCAAAAGCAACAGAGCGCTCTGAACAGAAATCTCTAGCAAGAGATGACAAGCAGCCACATAGAATGGATCTGTCAAACATTTAAGGATCCCAGTAGTATTTAAACTTAACAAGGACAGAACCCCATAAAAAGCAAGAATTTACTGCCATCAATGGGAAGATGGCCGAGGTTGTGTTATGTGTTACCTACATAATAACGAGAAGGGTGATCTCTGAAGACATGGGAATTTGGGGGCATTCAGGTTCACTGCAGAATGTTGTAAATGTTAGACAGAAAGAGTGAAATTTAGGCATTTGCCCTTGGAGCCTTCCTACCACTTTCTAGTATTTCTCGGAAATACAAGCACCAGAGAGCACCTTTTCTTGCACGGATTACTTTCCTGAAGAAATGTAAAGACCATTCACTTAATGCCTCAATTAATTTTGTTTACTAAGCAACATGCTAATCTAAAATACCATTTTTCATTTGAATTAGAAAGATTGTGAATAGAGAAAAACTTTTAAAGTAAACTACAAATGAAAGCTTTTGGGTCGTACTTGTTTTTGAGTTTTTTTCTACCATGTTATACTTTTTTATTTCTTTTTTTCCTTTTCTGTAACACAGTATCAAGGTCAACAAATGGCTTGATTTGAACTCCCTTTGAAAGTTGCTGGAAGCTCAGAAAATGTCATCAACTAGAGATAAGAAATTTCCTTTGTCTTATACAGGACTCTGTATAAGACTGTATTCCCTTCAGTATATTTTATTGTTTTCTTTTTAAATTTCTTATTTTACTCTGTGATCCTGCCTGGCAGTCTAGCTTCTGTTTCCAAATCCCTGTTTTCTTGACATTTTCAGTGGCTTGTGATTCCCTGTCACCAGCAAGGCATATAATTGAAACGAAGAGTGTGAGAACAATAGGAACCTGATAATAAGTCATTGTTACAAGATCAGGTTCTTATATAGCAATGCAACAATATAAAGAAGTATGCTTCCAGGAGGTAGGTGGTTATTTCTATTCAGACTCAAAGAATGTTAAGTCACCCAAAAGAGGAACTTATTTTTAACAAATTAGAAAAACAAAAAATACAATGAATACTTTTTTTAGTTTATGAATTTCCTCCCCTCAATTAATCATTGGTTAGATGCTAAATAATACGTAAAAATTTTCAATATGACTTGCTAATTGAGAGGACAATCATGATATGTATGTATACATTACATAATATTATATTTTAATATGCTTTTGCTGAACACTTCGAAAATGTTTAATGCTTAATAGCCTGGCCAAGTTGAAATTTGAAAGTCATTTCTGTATCAGTTATGTTCTCCCTCTCCTCTTTGTGTGTGCAGGGTATACATTCATGCATTACTCAACAACAAGGATACATTCCAGGTAATGCATCTGGAGGCAACTTCCTCATTGTGCAAACATCATAGAGTGTACTTACACAAACCTAGAGGGTATAGCCTACTACACACCTATGCTTATACTACAGCCTACTGCTCTTAGAGTACAAATCTGTGCAGCACGGTACTGTAGTGAATACTGGAGACAATTGTAACACAAGGTAAATATTTTTGTATTGAAACATCTGAACATAGAAAATGTACAGTAAAAGTACGATATTATAATCTTATGAGATCACCTTCTAAATGTGGTCCTTCATCAGCCAAAATGTTATGTGGCACATGACTGTAATACCTTTTCTTACACTCCAAGAGAATGCCAGAAGAAACTCATTTAAAAATCTGAATTTTTAAAAGCAATTTGAAGTCAGATTTCCTTTTACTTTAGGATGCTAACATGTTAATTCTTTCAGGATTAGAATAGAAACTACATAATTTTACATCAATAGACTCTACACCTTGTTGCTTAATATTGATTTAAGAAATTCAAAGCAAATATAAAAGAACTAAAAAGGTTAGTATGTGTAGGCAACAGAAAGCTGATATTTGTAACAGACATGATTTGCTATCTCTGAAAGGCTTTCCCCCATGTCTCCCTAGCTGGCGGAGGTGCAGTGTAGGTAAAGTGACCACCTTCAACCTTCTACTTGGCCATGCCAAGGGAGGTTACCCTATCCTCAGTCGTGATAAAGCTCATCTTGGCAATTGCATTGCTCTTGAGAATAATTAACCTACTAATAGACGTGTGACTTTTTTTGCTATTTAAAGAACTAAAACCAAGCAGCCCTTTGATTAAAAACATAAATTTGTTGAGAATAATTCCTTTTCCTGCCCCTTGAATAAGGCTCTGAAGGAAAGTAAAGGCTAGAGCTGTGGCAGCCAAATTACAACCATGGAGGAAAAAGCCTGAGGTTAAAGCCAACATTCTGTGGACTGCTGAGCCCTTGGTAATATTGCTACACAGTTGAACTAGTCAACCCTGCAATTACTCCGCATGTTCTATAAGATAAGAAATTCCAGCTAAGCCATTTTAGACATTTTTCTGTTATTTTAAGTGAAAGCATCCTTATAGAAACATATGCCTATGTGCTTGTATACATAGATGAGAAAAAATTAATGTGAAAAGTATGTAGTATTTATATATAAATTACATACATATTATGTTTATTTCTCATACTTTCAAAGAAATAATATCTGGTTAGGAATTGTATTGCTCTACTTCAAATTGCATTTAGAGCAATTTACCAATGTTCAAAGCAAAGGAAGCAAACTTTTATCTACAGATACATTTGCTTTCTAACTTAAGGTTTCCTCAAAAACATGTATTTTACTACAAAAAGAAAATTAGTTTGGCGTGATGGTGTGTGCCTGTAATCCCAGCTACTCGGGAGGCTGAGGCAGGAGAATCACTTGAACCCGAGAGGCAGATGCTGCAGTGAGCCGAGATCGAGCCACTGCACTCCAGTCTGGTTACAGAGCGAGACTCCATTTTAAAAAAAGAAAGGAAGAAAATAAACCATGTATTGTACAAAATATCTTTTAGTGAAATGGATTATTCTGCAGACCCCATTGAACTTTAGGGAGTACAGCTCAGATTGTACTCAGCTCAAAAGTAAAAATTTGACTACACCAAAGTACCTATAATCTAACTCCTATATAATTTGTAATGGCTTTTTGTTTCTGTTATTGTAGTAAGTACAACAGGTTTCAAAATTATCCTCTTCTTTCTGGAGTATGATCGCTATAGTTTCATGTTTCTACTGAAAAATCAATGCAGGAAGAAAAATATATCTAATTCAAAATTGTCCTAAAGACAAACCTTAAGTGATTAATTTATAATCATATTTGCTAGACTCAAATACATATTTTACGGTTTAATTGCTTAGCACTGTATTTTTTTTTCTTGCCAAAAATGATAATAGATAAAAAATGAAGTTATTTTAGACTGAAATGAACACTGCAGGTTATTGATCTTTTCACATCACATTACAATCACATGGATTGTGGACCAAACTACTGACAATCAAGAGCAAATTCACAGTAATTTCAGGAGAAAAAAAGTTGATGGTCTATGGCCATACCACCCTGAATGCACCTGATACTGTCTGTTCTCAGAAGCTAAGCAAGGTCAGGCCTGGTTAGTACTTGGATGGGAGAAAAAAAGTTGATGTAAATATACAAATAGAGTCAGGATTTCCAAAGAGGACTCTTAGGTGTAACATCCTTGGAATTTAATTCCAGAAGTCATTGTACCATTGTACCTGTAGATATGGCCTGACCCAAATGAGCTCAGTCTTAGTTTATTTTGTGCTGCTATAACAGAATATCACTGAATATTCTGGATATTCTGAGCTGATTGGATAATTTATAATGAACAGAAATTTATATCTCATGGTTCTGGAGGCTAAGTCCAAAGTGAGGGATTAGCATCTTGTCAGGGCCTTCTTGCTGCCTCATCCCATGGCAGAAGGGCAAAAAAAAAGAGTAAGAAAGAAAAAGAGATGGTGATTGAAGTTGTCTTTTTATAAGAAACTCACTCCCATAAAAATGGCAATAATTCATTCCAGAAATCGAGCCTTCATGGCCTAATCATCTCTTAAAGTTCCCACCTTTAAATGCTGTTGCATTGGAGATTAAGTTTCCAACACATGCCATTTGGGGGACACATTCAAATGATACCTAGCTTTCTTTGGAGAGCCAGCCCATAAACTGCAGCTCTGCCAATCCTTGATTTTGGGTAGAGAGCTGTGCAGTTTTTTCAGAGACTAAATCTAAATCTCCTCTAACAACCAGGAACGATCATATATATCAGGTATGCCACGCTGTTTCTTTTTTTTTGTATTTATAAATAGATGATATGGGTCTCCTAACTTCCTATAAAACCAACTGATTTTGTTTACTAAAATGAACTTAAGTAGCTTTGCTTCACTAGCTACTGAAGTTCCCAGATCTCAGGTACCACATAGCCTTCAGAGACCAGGTAATGGTCATAAAGAACCCAGTATTTAGAATATAGATGTATGCAACAGTCAAATTCCTATGTTTACCTGACAAAATGTGACATATTTACTTGATTAATACTTCTAGAGTATATCAAAATCTTATCACACAGTGTTCACTTTTCTGTATTATTTGTTAATTCATTCACTCACTCATTAAATCAATAATATTTATTGGATTTCTCATGTTCTGAGAACCAAGAGTATGGTAACAGACAAAAAAAAAAAAAAGATATGGTCTCTACCCTCAAAGTTTAGCGTCCAGTGAGAATAATAATAATTCACACTATGTAAATTCCACTACTGGTTTATAACACTTACCCATTTAAGTTCTTTATACATGTATTCTTCTTTATTCTTTCGACCAATCTGTATGGTATTATTAAGCATATATCACAAATGAAAAAACTGATGCTTACAATGCTTAGATAATGTAGACGGATTTGCCAAGCTAACAAATTGTAGCATTAAAGCTTGAGTTCTAGCCCACTGTACCATAAAACGTATGTTTTTAATCAAAAGCAATGACTGATTATTCAGTCGTCTACGCAGCAAATGTTAATTGAGCACTGGCTAAGTACCAGGCATTATAATGGGAGCTAGGAAAAGAGTGAAGAAAAGACAAGGTTCCTGGCCATTTAGAGCCAACATTCTTATAGAAAAGACAATACAAAACAAGCAAACCAGTAAAAAATTTAGTTCAAAATATAATAACTTCTGCAAAATCCACAAAGCAGGGTGCATGCATAGAGATGGAAGGGAACAGCTTTCAAGAAAGTCCTCTCTGAGAAAATGGCATAGGAGCAGAGACATGGATGATTTTAAGGAGCAATCTCTGCAAAGATCTGGTAGAGGCACCTAGAAGTCCAGAAGATAAAAATATCTAAGGATTACCAACAACAGGAATTGGCAAACTCTGTTCTGTGGGCCAAATCTGTCTTATTGCTTGTTTTTATACACTCTGTGAGTGAAGAATGGTTTTTACAGCTTAAATGGTTGAAAAAATGTAAACACATATTTTGTGACATGAAAATTATAAAAAACTCAAGTTCAATGGCCATAAATGAAGTTTTATTGGAACACAGCCACGCTTATTTGTTTGCATATTGTCTATGACTGCTGACATGCAACAGTGGCAGAATGGAGCAGCTGTGGCAAAAACCATAATGACAAAAAAATCCTAAGATACTTACTGTCTATCCCTTATAGAAAACATTGCTTGACTTCTAATGAAGAGGCCCAGTGAGAGTGAAGATGATTGCATAAGGAGAGAAGAAAGGGATAGGAGATGAAGTGGGTGGGCTACACATAGGTCAGTTCAGGTGGGGCTTTGCAAACTATGGTAAAGTGGTTTGGATTTAACAAATTGAAAGAAGAGCCTGTGGAAGGTTTTGAACAGGAGATTTGACTTAAATTGTTAAAAGATCTTCTTGAATGTTTTGTTTCGGGCTGGGGTGCTGGGGAAAGAGTAAGAGTGAGGGCAGAGAGAGAGAAGCCTTGGAGTATTGCATTATGAAGACAAAATCTGATGATATCCTAAACTAGGGCAGCAGCAGAGGAATTGGGAGAAGTGTCCATTTAGAATAAACAGAATTTGCTGGTGGACTAGAAGTGACATAGTACAGAAAGAAAGAAAGTAGTGAGGACTCCCAAGTGTCTGGCCTTTTCAGTGGGACAGTCTTTAGAAATTTTTACCAAGATGAAGAAGACTGCAGCATTGCTGATTTGAAAAAAGAATCAAGAACACTGTTTGGGACATAATAAATTTGGCATGCCTATTAAACCTCCACCAGGTAATGCTAATTAGTCTACAGAACATGAACATCTGAAACTCAATGAAGAGGTCGGGAATACAAACATATGTTTGGGAATCATCACTCTATAGATGGAACAAAAGACATAGGGTTGAGTGGGATGACTTGAAGATGTGCTGCGTGGATAAAAGAGATAAGACAGCAAAGCACTGAGCACAAAAGATGCTCCAACATTTAGAGTTCTAATGGTCAAGAGCAAACCTGAGTGGCCAGTGAAGTGGAAAGGAAACCAGCAGAATCCACCCAAGAGAAGAAAACCTCTCGTTCAAAGAGGCAGAAATATCAAATGTGGTTTGGAAAATAGGTGATAGTTCTTAAACTTCAAAACATTATCTTCTTATTAATTATTGTTTTTTTCTTCATGTGATCTGTTTTTCCTCTTCCTAAGAAGGAAGACTCTACAACTTTAAAAATATTATATTTTATTGAGTACAAAACTATTAGCAAGGCCAGAAAATAACATTCTAAGAGTTCAGAAGATTCATTAATTGCATTTAAACTACCTCTATCCAAACAAAAAAAAAATAGAGCATGTCTATGTTCCACTCAATAATCAAATCTACTTTTAATTAAATGACATTATTTAGAAAATAAGGAAAAAATAATTCAATTTGCTGTGCAAGTTCAGTATCCTACACACGTACCCATTACATATCCAATACTTTTTTATTGATACTTTGCCAAGAATAGGAAAAATAAAGAAGCAACTACAAGAATGGCATGAAAGCCCTGTGCAAAACTCCCACTCCTATTTGCAGCCTCTAGAAGTCAATAACCTCAGTGTATGTCACTATGACTTCTGAGGGGTTTAGGCCAAATGTTCTGCTGTCATGTAAGGAGCTGAGGGACAGTAAAACAAATAATTCATAACCCCATGAAAGTTGAAGGCTTTAGCAACTCTGTATTTTGTAGCTAAGTAAAAAATATATATATAAGATTTCTTTCTCATTGCAATTTTGATTGATTTTTATGGAGGAAAAACATGTTAATTTGCTGTGCTTTGCCCAATTTAGTTATAAAAATTCATTCAACTTTCAAGATTATTTAAATTACTAATCATACTTTTTTACTTGCTTGTCATGTTGGCATTATAACTGCATTAAATAGTATCTATAGTTTATAAATATTTAATGGAGGAATGACAGCCAGCTTTCATAGTTGCTTTACTATAGCTAAAATGAAGTATGTAATATTTGACAGTCCACTAAAAATATTTAACAGTCTACTATACTAAAAATTATTTCTGAAAAAACACTTCCCTTCAATGTGTTTTACTCAGAACCTATCAATCATAGGATTATACTCCCAAAATCAGATTAGTTTAAAAATGATCTTTTGCAAAACCATTCATTAAGAAACTACCCAGAAAAATCAAAGGTATATTGTTATTAAGTAACATTTTAAAATGTTGCTTAAATCAAGATAAATTCCATCTGGGTTCTTTTTTTCTTTTTCTTTTTTTGCCCATTACAGGAAAGAAGTTGTGTTGGCTGGAGATTCTCTATTCTGTAGAGAACAGTATTTATCATTATCTAGAATTATCTGTGATCACCAAATTGATAAGTAGAGTGGAACTCAGCAATCCACATTGATTGAATGATTACTAAGAGAAACACTCTGTACTAAGTGTTGAGTAATTAGAGACAAAAGCTCAATTTCTGCCCTGAAAGAATTTACATTCCAATAGAGAAAGCAACCAAGCAAGCATGGTCACCTAACACAGAAGGGAAGGTCTCACGACACTTCCCAAAGATGATAGGTTTGGAGCAGAGTCTCCAGAGTCCACAATTAGATACATTTGTCTCAATGGCTTAAGTAAACAGAAACAAATCTTGTTTCTTGAGATCCCATTAAAATACCAGGCATACAACTACCTTGCCTGGTGTTCTGCACATTAGTATCAATCCTTAAAACAGCTTTTGGTTTATGGATATCAAAGGAATCCTAGAGAAATAAAAAAATTAACATCTTGCCCAACATTACATATTTAGAATGGCAAGTTAGGATTCACCCCATCACCCCACATTCTCAAGGATGTTTGCTCGGCTTCAAAGCTATCCTCTCTCCTCTAAATCACAGTACCTCCCATTGTTGATCTGGTTTGTTTCAACCAACAAAAGCTATAAAGTCAGATCTAACATAGATAAAACATTTGGCCACGTGTCTAAGTGTTAAGTTAGGTCTCTGTCATTTTTCATCTATCTGTTTGTCTTTCCTTAAAGTCTTCTCCAGTTTTCTTCTGACCATCAAGAATGCTCAAACACCCTATGCAGGTGAAATTATAAAACTAGGAGAACTGACTTCAAAACCAAAAAATTAATTACAATTAATCTTTAAACTAGAAATGTCTCTGGTTTTAATTCTCTGTGATTCTATTAAGACAACTTATTCTATAATTTACCATTTCCTGATGGAGTTAGGTATCTTTATGTTTAGGCCAATTTGTAAATTCATGTCATTTACGTACACGCTCATCTCTTGGGTAGAGGTAAGGCAAGTCCGTGACCCTCCAGAAGATCACCCTGGGCCCCAAGCCAGCAGGGTGTTGAGGCAAAGGGCACTTGTACCTGCTCCCTAAATATCACTAAAATTCAATTGTGAAATTTCTGTCTTTAAAGTTATTTGAAGAGACCTTTGAAAGATGTGACTACATGCACTTCCTTCATGTTGGTTATCTTGACAGTGTCCTACACTGGTTCAGTTACCTCATGATATGGTTTGGGTCTCTGTCCCCACCCAAATCTCATGTCAAATTGTAATCTCCAGTGTTGGAGATTACGCCTGGTGGGAGGTGATTTGATCATGGGGTGGATTTCCCCTTTGGTGCTGTTCTCATGATAGTGAGTGAGTTATCGGGAGATCTGGTTGTTTAAAAGGATGTGGCACCTCTCCCTTTCCCACTTCCTCCTGCTCTGGTCATGTGAGAAGTGCCGGCTTACCCTTTGCCTTCTGCCCTGACTGTAAGTTTCCTGAGGCCTCCCCAAAGCTGAACAGATGGCCAGCATCATGCTTCCTGTAAAGTCTGTGGAACCCAATTAAACCTCTTTTCTGTATAAATTACCCAGCCTCAGGTAGTTTTTTAAAGCAGTGCGAGAATAGACTAATACACCTAGTCTTCCAAATACACCTCTAGGCACAGTGCAGGTCACAGACACTCAAATGCCTAAGAACCTTCCTACTTGAATGAGATTTAAGAAAAAGATTTCATCTTGTCTTTGCATCTTTAATGGGTAATGCAAAGTGTGACACTTGGTAGATACTCAGTAACTGCCTATTTAATGGAAACTGATAAAATACCACAACTTTTATGATCTCATTACATTGGGCTATTTATGGTTTAGTAAGATTCAGAAGAAATAATGGGGCTTCTGGAATTCTATAATAATATATTGCCAACATTCCCACTCTCCTAGAAATTTATGGTTGTGAACCACAATTCTCTAGATTAGGGTTACTGAGAAAATAAAAAGTAATAATAAAAACTTATGCTAGGTATCTGATAACTTATGCCATTATCATGATACCTATAAGAGGTAATATGATGTCAACTATAGAGAAGCATAAATGGAGCACAAGGCAGTTATGTCAACTTGCTCAAGGTCCTATAATGATGAAATGTGAAGTTAGAATTTGAACTCAGGACGCTGGTTTCAGAGTCCAGGCGAAGTCTGATTGGGAATTTTAAAATAATTCTCCCAAACATATAGGAGTCAAAGATAAACAGTCTCTTCCTCCATTGTTCCAGAAGGGTTTTTGGACAAACCAGAACTGCAGTATGATTGTTACTGTATAGTTGAATAACTATTTAAACCATTGAATATTAATTCTTCATTAATCAATTATTGAGGCTATAGTTGAATATTATGTCATGTCTTTTACAATATTAATGTGCTCTTCCAGGAATCTAAATCTTATATTTCAATTTGATATACTATGTATTTTGTATATAAAACATATCCTTAAAACAATAAAGAGGCCGAAGCACATTCTCAGAGTCCTGATGCTTACTGATCTACAGTCTCTTATAAACTACATATAAAAGATTAACAGAAAACACACCATTCACAAAAGACGCCTCATGGTCTCTATTGCAGACACCTTCACAATCAATTCAGCTCAATGAGAAGAGGCCCATCAATCAATCAGCCAGACAGTTAATCAAAACACACACTGAAAGGTCTACAAGTCAGGATTCTAAAAGGAATTTAACTTCGATTATTTGAACACTAAGAATGCCTAGGTTTTAAGAGTTGGGTTGCTTCCAAATAGAGGCTGGAGTTATCCTTTTTTCTATGAAATAAATTGTCCCACATTATTCAAAATGGGGTCAGCCAATCAATCAACTTTCTGAAATGCAATTCTTTCTAAATGGTTACAGATAGCCAAGGATAGAAAAGAGATAACAGTGCGATAATAGTGTTCATTGAGTTCTTTTTAATTTCTGCAGAAACATGTTACACATAAAAAAACAAGAGCTTTAAATGACTCTAGACCACTAAAGAACAATTATACATCAAGGAAGAAATGAGATGAGGTAAAATTGTACCATCCAAAGTTATTTCTTCCCCTCTCACTTAATGCAAATTTGAGTAGCAAAATGTTTGCTATTATGTGAAGTCTCAAATTTCCATGTCTCTTTTCTAAAGCAATCATCAAAGCTTGACCATAAGCTTTACAGCTGCACACACACACATACATGCACACACACACACACACATATATGCACACACACACACATGCAAAATCCTGCAACCTCATCACCTCTCACAAGCTTGTATGCTATTATAAAAATTTTTTAATAAGAAACTTTTGCTTACAATTAGTCAATAAGACTGATGGACATTTATAAAGATCTGTCCAAATAGGCTCTCAACTCCATGGCACATCACACCTAATAGGGATAATTTACATTCCTAAAATCAACTGAATAAGTGTCCCTGAACTAAGAAGGATACTTAAAAATTAGAGGCAAGGATTGTATAAAAATTTTAAAAGGTAATTAATATGGAAACAAAATATATCCATTGCTAAGCAATTCAATTCCACTTTTTAAAAAGTTTGAATAACAATATTTGTAGCTTAACTGCATTAACCTGTAATGCATTACAATCTATTTCACAAAGTAATCTTGCAAAACTGCCTCAAGAAACGACCCCAAAAAGAAATGAAGTAGAAAAAAAAAAGTAACCGAAATTTTGGCTGTTCAAGAGTACATCTTGTCACCCCACACTCTTCTTAAGGAAGATGAGTTGAGTTACATTATTAAATCTATGCCACAGTTTAAGTTCACTCTACCACCACTGCGTTTTGTGGAAATCCAATCACAGAACCTCACCAAAAAAGTATTATCACCTTTTTTACATGTTTCTTTTTTCCTTTTTTTCTTTTTTTTTCTTTTTTTTTTTTTTTTGAGAGAGAGTCTTGCTCTGTCACCCAGGCTCAAGTGCAGTGGTGCGATCCTGGCTCACTGCAACCTCCGCCTCCCAGGTTCAATCAATTCTCCTGCCTCAGCCTCCTGAGTAGCTGGGACTACAGGTGCCCGCCACCATGCCTGGCTAATTTTCGTATTTTTAGTAGAGATGGGGTTTCACCATATTCGCAAGACTGGTCTCGAACTCCTGACCTTGTGATTCGCCTGCCTTGACCTCCCAAAGTGCTGGGATTTTACATGTTCCTTTATAAAAAGCACTTCTATCCTGAAAATGGTGGGTGGTACACAGTAAAGGTTAACATGATCCTTTGCTGTTTCCTCAGCCTATTGTTAGATCTAGTGAATTTCATGCTGCTCCTGGTATTCTAGAGGTTGAGAGATCTTGTAAACTGCTACTGAGAACCCCCCAAAATAACCATGTGGATACCATGGGTGTCCTTAAACACAAGGGTCTTCTCAGTATCAATGGCTGCCTTTTCTCACTGTTAAAGGATCAATGAGGAATAATGGCTCTGCTAGAAATGAACAAGTACAGAATGCATCCTGAAAACTTAGACCTTCTACTAAACCTTGTCCTTCCCCAACTTATTTTGGTAGACACTTCCCTGCACTTACTATCCAACAGAGAACACTCTTGTGCATCCAAGGTCATGGCACCAGATAGAAAAGTTGATATGAGCCTTCCTTCTCCTTGAAACTCCCAGACTATTATTCCTCCTTAATTCTTGTCAAAGTTCTCTAGATTGGTTCAGGCCACTGATTTGTCTATAAACCAAATTTATGAAGGGATAGCATTAGGAGTCCTTGGCGATAATGGAGCCATCCTAAAATAGATGATAAAAGAGGCAAGGTATAGGGAACTCTAAAAAGAGAGGCAAGAACAAAGGTTCTATAACAGATTCTGATTTGGTTTCTGTCCTAAGTATCCAGCAAACACTTATCTTGACCCATTCATCCTTGATTTTGGCTTTGCTCTCATTGATTTTCACTTTTGTGACCTGGAACATCTTCTCTGCTTACTGGAACCTTCTTTCACAGCTAAATTCTGGCTTGTATATCCTGTGGTCCTTCATGATGGACTCCTTTAGCCAGGCATATGGGAAAGTGGCCCAGCTCTTTCTCCACTTTGGCTTGAAATCAGACACTCCCTCTTGGGGCTCTTTTGGCAACTTAGTCCCAGCTGGCAGCTCTCCAGCTTTCCTGGCTTGCTACTAAAGGTACAGACTCCTGTAAGCCAGTGCCTCCTTTGGTTTTGGTGTTTCTTGTTCATCCTAGAGTCTCGCTTTTGGTAATTCCTTGAGGATTTAGATCACCTCTTTGACTCCTTTCATGTAGCACAATGTTTGCTAAATGAATAACAGATTAGTATCTCATCCTTCACCTGTGGTTTTATTTTCAGCCCAGATGATAAGCACTTGGCAAAGTTAGGATGCATCGAGATCCCAGTCTTTAATTTATAGGCATCTTGTAGACAGAAAATAAAGGTACAAGCATTAAGAAAGCAATAGTTTTTTTCTTTAAGTCAAGCCACATGTGGAGCTGGGTCCATATACTTTACAGATGAATTTTTTTCTTCATCCCCTTTTCTTTTACCATCTGATTTTCTTACAACACTAATTTTATGCATGGAGTTGTTTGCATTCTCCAGAGTTCTAGGGACCATGACACTGTACACAGAGGAGAAGAACTGACTGAATGCCTAGCTGAGGCCTCTGATCCATGACATAGAGGATGAACATCTAGGATCTATGGTATCCTCAAGGCCATCACTCTTACATTCTATCTTCTTTCCTGTTACACAGAATGAAGAATAGGGTAAAAGAGAAAAATATGACAAAAATTCTAATAAAGTAAACAAAGCCACTGAAGACCAAGCCAGTTTCTTTGTCTAAAAGTAAAAGAGACTAAAACAACCTTACCAAGAGGCCTGAGCTCCCTAAAAATGAAGTTGAGTTTGAGCCTTGGGGTGGAGTTAATGAAGGACTGGTGAGGGACCTCTTGGGAGAAAGCAAGAGGCAAAATAGCTTTGCTCTGTCACATCCAATGCCTCAGAGAGAAAAGGAGCTTGTAATTAAGCAAGGCTGCACTCAGCTACTCCACCGTCAGCCTGGTGCAAATACCCCACCTACACCCTCCCCAGACACAATTCCATGATTTGATGCCTTCACAGTGGCATGTTCTGGGGTTACATGGGATTTTCTAGAGCCCTACCTGTCAGGAATGAGCATATCTGTCATTGATTTCCCATTCTGTCACTTACAAGCTGCCTGACTTTTCGGGTTACTTATCCTCTCCGTACTTAAGAGGCCCCAGTGGTTAAGTGGAGAAAATAATAGTACCAACCTCATAAATGATTTAATAAATTTCAAACACACATATACGTACATGATTCAAGCATTTAAACAGGACCATAGTACAAAGTATTTCAATATATATTAGGTATTGTTGGCTTGGTGCTTTCCTTTTTCAAAGCATCATGCTCATGTCATTAATTTGATTATCATAGTCACACTGTAAAAAGCTAGTGAAGTGAGTATCCACCACACTGACCATAAGAAGAAACTGATGCTCAGGGAATTAAATGACTATCATTTCTTCAAGTTAGTATCACTACCAAATGGTGAAAACAAGACTGAGTCCCAAGTCATTTTATATTTGATCCAATGCTCTCCTATAAAACCATCTTGGCTGAGTTAAATGAAACATTCATGGAGTTACCTAGGAAGACCCCTCGGTGGGATTCCCCAGGTTAACACTCTTCATTCTAGGGTGTTGGGGTGGCAGGAAGACAAGAGCTACAGTTTCTTTAATACCTCGTTGTGGATTGTATATATTATGATACTGATGATGAATATTAGTAACTATTATTACCTATCACATGAGAAAAACCAACCACTTCCCAGATTGCATAATCATAAGAAATAATAAACAATTATTGTTTTACACCATTCAGTTTTAATGTAGCATGTTATATAGCAATAAATAACAGAAACAACCCCTAATGCCTTCAATGACCTGCTCTAATCTTGTAACATTCTGGGAAGAAATCGGATGTTTATGAAAATGAATAAATGAGACTAATCCCCACCCAGGCTAATATGAGACAGAAAATGTAAACATGGGCATGTGGAGGCGAAAGGAACATGGGTAAGTATCACTACCTTCTAGAATGCATAGAGCCTGCTCTGGATCATGACAAGGGTATGTCCAAGTTTATCTAGATCTCAGAGAAGTATCTGCTCTCTTGAAGGCCTAAAGTTTCCCTTAAAGAGTTGCTTAAGAAAAAAATAAAACTCTCTACCACTTAGAAACTCATTTAACTCACTAATATGGGAGAGAGTATAGTGATGTGGTTGAAAGCATAATCTCTGGAGTCCAAAGTCCAGGTTCTATGCCTGGCTTCATTATTTACAAGCTGTGAAATCTTGGCCAAATTGCTTAAATTCTCTGTGTCTATAAAAAATGGAAATATTAATAGCTCCTATTCCATATGAATAATAAGTTAAGTCATGCAGTATGCTTGGAAGGGTGCTACTGCTTAGTAATGCTCAAGAAGTGTTGGCTATTAATATTAATGCAGATTTCGCCGCAGCCATTCTACCACCTGTCTGCTTCACCCTTTAGCAACTTGACTCAGCCTTATAGCATCGTAACAACAGTCCCGCTAGAACTTGAAACTTGTTAAAGACCCATGATCCTTGATATTCTCTACTCAGCAGTGTCATGTATTTAGCATGTGTTTTTATCTATCTCCCAGCCTCCTGCCTTTTTTGTCCTTGGTTTTCAAACCTACTGAGATAAATACATCCATATAAGCATGTATCCTGTCTTCCTTTTTTTTTTTTTTTTTTTTTTTGAGATAGGGTCTTGCTCTGTTGCCCAGGCTGAAGTGCAGTGTCATGATCTCGGCTCACTGCAGCCTCATCCTCCCAGGTTCAAGTGATTCTCATGCCTCAGCCTCCCGAGTAGCTGGGACTACAAGCATGAGCCACCACGCCTAGCTAAGTTTTGTATTTTTAGTAAAGATGGATTTTTACCACGTTAGCCAGGCTGGTCTTGAACTCCCAACCTCAAGTGATCTGCCCGCCTTGGCCTCCCAAAGTGTTGGGATTACAGGTGTGAGCCACCATGCCTGGCCCCATTTTGTTTCTTCCCAAATTCAAACCTCCATATGACTGCATTCTATTCATCATTAAATATATTCACCACTTTTCCAAGCCATTCTCTATAATTTTCCTGTTCACAATGCCCTCTGGAACTACTGCATAATAAGAAAATGAATAGATTAACCTTTATCCTTCACGTTTCCTTAAATATTTCATTATTTTCCTACTTTCTGAAATCACACACAAGTTTTATGGAGTTACGAATTAAGAAGGAGGAAGCATCATACTTAGAAGATTTCTATCAGACAAAACATTCTCAGTTGACTCTTTAAGAGATGTGAGTCACACTCAACTTGGATCCAGATTGCCAGATGGGTGGGCAGGACCCGCCCCGGTTCCCACAGAGAGATACGTGATAGGACGATAGGAAAGGCTTTTCTCAGTAAGCAGGTATGGATGTGCTCACCCACTGGTCTGCTTCTCAAGAGCAAAAATAAAATGCCACTGCCATGGAGCATGTAAGAAAGTTCTTTTTATGTTCACATGACTAATGTCATTCGAAAGAGGAATGAATGTGTCTCGGGGGCTCTGCGGTGGAAGCCCAAAAGTCAGTAGCAGATGTTTGCTTATTTAAATGAAACTGGACACATCATAGTCAAAGCCCATTGCTTTGGCTTCCTGGTCATCTGTATCACGTGTGGCAGCCATGTTAAGTCCAGACTGTCTCTTGTGTTAATTACATCTCGAATACCTAGATAAATCAGACCATACACTTTTCATCATCCGGAGCAGGACCCATGTTTTCTGCAAGGTAGTTATGCTCATTCGTGTTCCTTTGTGAATCCACATATCCATGTTACACTTTCTGCCTCATGTTAGCTTGGGTGAGGATTAGTCTCATTCGTTCATTTTCATAAAGACCCAGTTTCTTCCCAGAATCTTGTAAGATTAGAAAGTGTCACTGAAGATATTCTAAGTTGTTTCTGTTATCTAATGACATATGCCATATCACATTACAATTTAGTAGCATGAAACAACAATCATTTATTATTTCTTATGATTATATAATATGAGAAGTTATTTGTAATTTTCTTATGTGATAGGTAATCTGGAGTTATTCTCAGAATATCAGTCACTTTATACTTCCCTATATCCTTGAAAATTATACTGGCTTACTCTGAGAAATCTTGGTTAGCTAGCAGAAACATGCTATCTGATCAATGATACCAATAAGTTACATCTAATAGAATCTTTATGGAAAATAGTCACTGAACCTAGATGCTGAGAGGGGAATAAATGGAAGGTAAGAGGAAACCAATTGTTATTAAAGGAATCTTCATCCAAATGGACTAAAAACTTTCTCTTGCAGCCAGTGTTTGTCAGTCAGCAGGAAGTAGATTAGGTAACCTTTTCTTTGATGAAGTGTCTCAGTGTCTTCCTGTGCAATAATACAAACATTAATCAACAGTATAAATAATTTTTCTAGCTAAGAAGTCTCTTCAAACAAAGAAATAAAATGAGAACTACAATTGACAACAATATTTTTCTTGTCCACTTTTTTAAGGTAGAATATTTGCAACAGAAATAATGCTTTGTGCAGGGGTGTTTATGTTCTTAAAGTTGGGCCCTGCTCAGATTAGGAAATGAATCAGATTTGCATGTTATTCTCAGTTCTACATTTGGTTGACTGAGAGTCTGTAAATAAACCAATCTGTGGCTTTACCTAGAACAGTAAATAAACCTTTCATACGTAGTAAGAAGATGAAGTTAATGGGTGCAGCAAACCAACATGACACATGTATACATATGTAACAAACCTGCACGTTGTGCACATACACCCTAGAACTGAAAGTATAATAAAAAAAAAGAAGAACAAATACAAATCCAGAAGATCAGACACTGAAATTCATAATAAAATAATGTTCTCCAGTAGCAATGTGGCTATAATTAAAATAGGAATCATAAGGCATCGCCATCAGAAAAATATTGCTCCCTAGTGGTGGCCTCTATTTAGGTTGGATGGAAGTTTTTAATGCCCATAAAAGGCAGATTTATTGTGCAGATGAATAATCTCAGAAATTCAAATTTGAGAAAGATATTTTACCTAAACTATCCATTTGTCCAACAACTAAGGATTAGTAAATTATGGTATGTCCATTGTGCAACATGAAATTATTAAAAACAGTTGTTACAATATACTCAAGTGTTAATTGACTTGAGCAATGTTTATTCTTTCTTTTTAAGTAAAAACAAAAAACAAGATACAAACTTTATAGTAATAATGGCTAACTCTACGTTTAAAAATGATGATTTCTCTTGTCTGATCTATATGTTCTAAATCTACTAAAATGAGTAGCTATTATCAATATCATCAAAATAAAATCTATCAATCTAATGTAAAAATTTAATAATTTGTATTTTGTAAATGCAGGATCATGCCAGCTTCCAAACCACATCACATCTTTCCTTCTAGAAAGGGTTCCTCCATCTTTTAATGTGGAGATTGCAATTTATGTAACTCTGAACATGCTGGGTCACTGCAGAAGGGTGCCCAGCTCAGGAGCACATTGTAGCAGAAATTTAATGTGTGCTCTGCTTAAAAAAACTGTGCAACTGCAGAGGGGCATCTACTCAAAAAAAAGCATGGGAGATAAAAGAATGCTCTTTAAAATTTCCATTAAGAAGCATCATGTGCTAACAGCAGTCTTAACAAATAAATTTTCTATGTGGAGTGGTATTTTTATTTCTGAGCAATTTATATAGAACAACTTCTGTAATACAGAAGCCCTTTTGGGGAGTAGAATTTCTAATTCAGGGGTGATGGGGATTACAGATGAAAGTGAATATCCATGGTGATTTTCAAGTCATTTGGCCTCTGGCTCTGGTGCTAGGTTTATGACTAAAGGTAGAAAATTGAGAAGAAAATGTATTTTTGAGTTATTTGCCAACTACCCAGTCAAGACTAACCTATGTGTTTAACAGGCAGAACCACAGTCTATGAGATAGGTGGAGGAAGCCCCAAAATGAAGAGAATAGGAGTGGAAGACTATCAGCAAAAGTCTAGAAGAAATAAGGGCACCAAAAATCATACAAGTATGCAAAGCCTTAGAAAGTATTTTAAACACTGTGTTTGCATCAAAATGATCCACTTTGGAAATAAAGAATAAATGTCTTTAAAAATTCTACCTACAGTGTTCAAAATGTTTCTTAATGTTGGCTAGCTTAACATACAGAAATTCATACATTCGATGGCACAGTTTAAACATTTACATTTTCCAGACAATGTCTGCAAATACTCAATAAGAACATAGCATTTATTAGATTGGATATAAAATGTGAAGGAAAAGTTTTAGGGATGAATAAGGTCAAACTAGTTTTTTTTCTTCCTATAATTCTTCATCTAAGTTTGGGGAAATGTGAATTTGAAATTCATATAATTCAGTTGTAAAATATTTACATTTGTTCTCCAACACAAAAAAATGGAGACACTGCCAATAGTTGGCTCTTTAAACATATTTTCTGAAAGGAAGTGTTTATTTAAAATAATGTTTAACATTATGTACAGAATGTGAGAAAACAATAAAACCCTGCCCCACTCACAGGGATGGGTTTGATGAAAATTTTGAGAATTATGTCAAAACATCCTCGTGTGTAAACTCTTGCCATTCTGGTTTTTTAAGTCATTTCTATACTTATTGCAAGAATCCTTTCTTAATATTTTCAACCACAGTCTGATCGAAATTCTAAGGATGGCAAGCCAGTACCAACATGTTTACTTTCAATTTGTCTATTTTGTACAGTTTCTTTTCAGAACTTTTAGTTATTATAGGCACAACACAAAATGTTAGATGCCACTCAATAATGCATTGTACACTTTGCTTACTAAAGTACCATTTTTAAATATGTATAAATAAAAAATTGATTATAGAGTGTTTTACTTATCATCTGGAATTCCATATCCGTCTTCAGTGAATAACATTTCACTATCTACTAACTATAACATTCTAGCATTCGACAATAATATTCAACAGGCAAAATCTAGTTCACATTTTTCTTTTGCATAAAACTCCTACAGTTTTTATTTCATTTGACTTTAAATTATATAAAAAGTGAAAGTATTGCAACGAGGTTTAACAAGTTAATGGTACATGAATGCACTCTCTCCTTTATTAGGCAAATTTGCAAAGTGGTGGAGCATTTGGCACTCTCTTCTGGATAGCAGGATAGCACTTGACATTTTATATGCAGATGAAGTAACAGCTTTAATGAACTTTTGCCTAACCTATGCCTTCATACACGAAATAAGTAGTAAAATTTTTTCAATTGCTGAACTAATCTGTGCATAGGGAAAAAAGCCAATTTACAACTTACTACGTAATACAGAATTCCATTTCTAGTCTTGTTACTCAGTGTATTCCTACTGAAAAAGATGACTACTCTCAAGATGACTACAGTCAAGTAAAAAAAAATTTCATTTTGATTTCAAATTAAAATGTATAATGTATTCCATTAATTATTCATATGAAAAGTGACTTTGTGATTCCTGAGCAAACAAATGAATACAGTTTTTCTTTCACAATTAACGGATAACACTTTCTAATCTTGCAATTCTTCCCATTCATCTGCATTAATTCTGGTTGTGTCAAAAGATAAGAATCATTTTTTGATCTTTAAAAAGTTGAAATATTTCAAAAAAAGTTATTATTATTGTAAAATCATTTGGTTTTTATCTGAGTTTACTCTTTCTTCTGGTTTATCAATCAAGATACAGAATCATCCCATAACCAGGGGTCAAATTGTAGTTATACTTCTAAGTTGCCATGAGGCACATAACCAATATTTTCTGCATGTTTGTACTCAATTAGACTTTAAAATTAACCTAAGTTGATTCAAGCACCTTGAATGTATAATAAAATAGTATATGTAGTGGTAATAGAAAACAGAAAGTTTCTCTTTTCACATACACAGACACACACACACACACACACACACACACACAAAGGTTGAAGGAAAAAGGAAGGCAGAGAGGGAAGCAGGAATTAGACTCTTTCAATGTGACCTGTGGTAATAAAGTTCTATTTAGGGCCTCAGTTTCTCTAACTTCATTCAGTGCCCTAACACACATCCCCAGTTTTTTGGTTTATCTGTTTGGTTTTATTCATGCCTCACATCACTTTTCCTTCTACCCTCCATCAATGCAGTATTTCCATACATCCCAAGTGACTATATTTATTATTATTCCTATTCCTTAGCCTACTCCCCCTGTTCTTGCCTAATAACTCTTCCAGATGATAAAAGCGTGGAAGGCTTCCATGTACCACTTTGAATTTTTGACATTTTTATCAAACTCTATCACCATTTAATGAGAAAAAGAGGGAACAGGTCAAAAGTGAAAACCAATTTTGTAAGTTCAGGAAAGTCAATGGGAGGAATGTAAATTTTGTTTTCAAACCCAAAGAAAGTATTATTTTCTTAAAGATCAAGCTAACACATGAAATGTGAAAGGCAGCCATCACAATAATTTACTTCTAAAGTGATGGTGTTGTTAATATTTGTTGCATAATATGTGTTCCATAAGAATGGTTACTATTGACTTGATTTTCCTCACCATTAATATTGATACAATTCAGAAGTTCCCACTAAATAGCAACAGTTAATTAAGATGAGAAGACAATATGATTGCTTCAAACTACTACATATTATATGAGTTTACATATTTTTTCAAAAAGCCAAAAAATTTAAACAAACAAAATTTACTTTTTCTAATTTAAAGTATTATCTGACTCTAAACTTCCCTAACACTGAAATGATTCCTTCACTTTCAGTCTATATACATATTCACAGGTGAGGTGAGTCTCTTGTAGGCAGCATATAGCTCAGCCACTCTATGTCTTTCAATTGGAGAATTTAGTTCATTTACATTTAATGTTACTATTGGTAGTTAGAAACATACCACTGATATTTTCTTGTTTTCTAGGTGTTTCATAACTCCTCTCTTCTTTCCCTCCTTTCTTACTGTTTTTATTTTTTTGTAGTCCAGTGACTTTTTTTCCGGTAGTATGTTTTAATACACTGCTTTTTATTTTTAATATTTTCTATTGTCTGTTTTTACTTTTTGGCTACCATGAGACTTACAAGAAACGTTCCCTAGGTATAAAAAGTTATTTAAAACTGATACCAACTTAACCTTGATTGCAAAACACTAAGAAGAAACAAAAAAGTCAACAAAAAAGGATTGTACACATTAAATATCCCCACATTTAGAATTTTTAATGTCATAACTTACATTTTTATAGTGCCTATCTTTTAACAAATTTGGGGAGTTATTATTTCTAATAGTTTTGTCTTTTAGTCTTCTTAGTAAGGATATACATGGTTTACATGCCACAATCACAGTATTAGTGTAACAAACACATTAGCATTTTTTTTTTTTCAGTTTGAAAAACTTCCATTAACATTTCCTATGCAACAGGTCTGTAGCAATAAACTCTCTCAGCTTTTGTTTGGGGAAACATCTCTCCTTAACTTCTAAAGGATAACTTTGCTGATTATAGTATTCTTGATTGAAGTTTTTTTGTTTGTTTTGTTTTTCTTCAGCACTCTGAATGTATCATTCCACTCTCTCCTGGCCTGTAAGATTTCTGCTGAGAAGTCTGCTGTCATACAATTGGGTCTCTCTTATACATTATTTGCTTCTTTTCTATTGCTTTTTTTAGAATTCTCTCTTTGTCTTTGACCTTTTAGAGTTTGATTGTATGTCTTGGGGTATTCTTATTCATAATAAAGCTCATTGGTAAATTTTGACCTTCCTGAACCTGGACACTTATGTTTTATTCTAGGTTTAGGACATTTTCTACTATTTCTTTGAATACGTTTTCTATTCCTTTCAAAAAATTCTTTCTTTAATTTCAATAGACCAAATATTTGCTTTTTTGAAGTTGTCCCATAGATCCTTTCAGGTTTCTTCATTACCTTTTATTCTTTTTTTTTTCATTTTTTCTCCTCTGCCTGTACTTTAAAATAGTCTGTCTTTGAACTCATTGATTCTATTTGATCAATTCTGCTCTTAATGCTATGTATTGCATTTTCATTTCATCCTTTGTATTTTTCAGTGCTAGTATTTGTCTCGTGTTTTCAAATCATTTCAATGTCTGTATTACATTTCTGTGATAAATTTCTGAATTGATTATCTGTGTTTTCTTAAAGTTCACTGGGCTTCCTTAAAACAGCTATTTTGAATTCTGTGTCTGAGAGATCCCACACCTTCATCATTTTAGGGTTGGTCTCTGGCACATAATTTTTTCTGTTTGATGACATGAAATTTCCCTGAATGTTCTTGGTGCTTGGGAACATGTGATAATGTCTGTGCACTCAGGGACTGAGTATTTATTTTAGTCTTTGCCATCTGCCCTTGTTTGTGCCTGTCCTTCTTCAGAGGCCCAGGCCTTCCAGGGATTCTAAGCAGATTGTTGTGTTCCCTGACCCTGTGACCACTGCAGCTGTGTCAGCAGTAAAAGACTCTCTAAGACTAGGCTTGTCATCAATCTCATGAAGACTCCAAGGTTGATGCAGCTTTCTGGCCAAGTGGACCTTGGGAAGACCCAAGGAGGGTTCTGGGGCTGTGTGGGAACACTGGCCAGGCACCTGGGTCTAGAAAACTATCCCAGTGGCTCAGATGGGCATATCTCCAGTCAGGTCTCTGCACAGATGGAATTGATCCTCAACTGCAGCATAGAAGTTGGAGTTGAGACTGTGCTCTCTTGGGATCTGCTATGGGAAAGAGGCTAGTGAACTCACCTTCTTGGCTCAATGGTTATGAATCACCTAGCAGGCCCCTGCCAAGTGAGGTAGTTCCTCAATTGCAACAGGAGAGGCTGGAGCTGAAACTAGGTCCCCTTGGGATCTGCTGTGGGACAGAGGTTGGTAAGCCTGCAGAGAGGCTCAGACTCTTGGGCTGCAATATATGAGTGGGTCTCCCTCTAAGTCCCTGTGTGAGCTTCTCTGAGCTGGGACCTCAGCTGGGGTTGGGGACTCCTGTAGCTGAGCCACAGGGCAACTCTTAGGTTCACTGCCAAGTCCACTGTCAGTGGACAGACAAACCTTTCCACCAAGACCCTAGTGCATATGATTCCTTTTGGACCCCTTGGCAGATGATTTTGATTGCATGCTCAAGGCCAAATGGGGCTGTACCCAAGCCCCTTAGAGGACTGAGCTATTTCCAAGTTTGATGTTTTTAAATCACTTCAATCATTTTATTTTGACCTTCCTGTACCTGGATACTTATGTTTTACTCTAGGTTTATTATTTTTTTGAATATATTTTCTACTCTTTTCTAAGTTTCTTCCTTAATTTCAGTAGTCCAAGCATTTGCTCTTTTGAAGCTGTCCCATAGATCCTGTAAGTTTTCTTTATTCCATTCTATCCTTTTCAACAATAGAAATTCCTTTCTATTCTTTTCAAATCAGGAGCAAGCTTGGTGAATCAGCCACCTGTGTGTCAGTCTGCACTCTCAAAATGATGCTCCAATGTCTTGGGCTCCACTGGGGTTTCACAAACTTCTACCTGAATCTTGAGTTTCTTGCAGATAGACTTTTGACTCTGAAGGTGTGCAGAACTCTTGTTGTATGAGGATATGAGTAGGTTCCTTCCATTGTGCCTTTTTTTATGCTCTGTGTTCTTATAAGTTGTGTGCTAATATACATTCATGCCAGTATTCTGTTTTCAGACATGGTGAGAAAAATCAGAAAGAAAGAAACCAGCATGACACAGTTTCTTATTTGAGCATCTAAAAGAGTTTGGTGCTCCAGACAGGTAGAAACATAGACCCGCATTTCCATAATAGTAGAAGTATTTGTGTTATTTGGAAATAGACTGAGTTGAATGCTTAGACACATCTATAACTTAGCCCTTTAGCCATTCAGCAGTGACTCTAGTTAAGGATAATTTTCAAGCCAGTTATCTATTTTGCACACTTTCTCATTTTTATATTGGCAACTACTTAGCCATATACTATTTACTATTTCTTTTTTTTTTTTTTTTTTTTTCTGAGACAAAGTCTCACTCTGCTGCCCAGGCTGGAGTGCAGTGGCATGATCTTGGCTCACTGCAACCTCTGCCTCCCAGGTTCAAGCAATTCTTGTGCCTCAACCTCCCGAGTAGCTGGAATTACAGGCATGGGCCACCATGCCCGGCTAATTTTTTGTATTTTTAGTAGAGATGGGGTTTTGCTATGTTGGCCAGGCTAGTCTCGAAGTCCTGGTCTTAAGTAATCTGCCCACCTTGGACTCCCAAAGTGCTGAGATTACAGGCATGAGCCACCATGCCTGGCCACTGTTCACTATTTGTTTATTACTCACTTTATTACTTGGTTATGTTCCTGAACTATAAGAGTTAGAAGAAGGAACTCCCTACTTGGACATGCCTCTGAATGCAAATAGCTATCTTCTCTCAGCTACTATACTCATTAGAAGATGCAAACAACAATTTAACATTTTTTCAACAGCACAAACTTAATTTACCTTGAAAAGAAATACTGAAGCGTAAGATCAAATTGAATCATTTTAGGAACACCATTAGTATATGCCTGAAAGTCCCTGTGTTCACTCTGCTGCTTTATTTAGATGCTCTGTTGAGAGCATTAAAATATGAAAGAAAAAGATATGGTTAAGAAATATGGGAAATTAAATATCGTTAACTCATTTACTATGTGAAGTAAACTTTACAGATGGCTATATAGATCAGTACTGATATATATATATACACATATATTTGTGTATGTGTGTATATATATGTATATCTACGGATATATGGAGAGAGAGACATGCAAATACACATATAGTTAATTTCACTTTTTCTCCATGGATCACTATAGTATATAAAAATAGATAAAGATTTTTTTAAGTAACTGAAAATGTCAAAACTGAAATGTAAACTTCTCTAGATTAAAAATAATAATATAAACATATACGTATATAAAAATGTACTGTATGCATTACATGTACAGTATATATGCATATATATAGCATACATATACAAATAGTACTATACCTATATGCATACATATGTACACTCACAAATATATTCATTCTGTTATGTATCTAGCAGTCTAGGAAAAAGTTTGTTAGTAAATCAATTAAAACTTGGCTTAGCTCTCTGGTCCATTATTTCTTTTAGATCAAATGGCTATTCCAGCTAAACAGAAAATGCTCCAAGCTAAGCGGCTCTTGGTGCCTGCCCACATGAATCCAACCATCTTCTCCACCTACGTATATCTTGTCTAAATATGATTTCATCTTATGGGAAGTATGCTCTGATTTAAAATGTTTTCATGACACACAAATTGAAGGTCATTTACTTTCATTAACTCATTGTTAATAGTTTTCCGAGGTGTAATTGACATGCCTTACAATTCACCCATTTAAAATTAATTCACTCATTTAAAGTAAATGGTTTTTAGTGTATTCAGATAGTTGTACAACCATCACCATAGTCAATTTGTTCTCTATTTCCCCAGCTTCCCCCCTACCCACCTGCTGATAGCCCTAGGCAAGCAGTAATCTTTGTGTCATTCTATAAATTTGTCTATAATGGATATTTCATATAAATTGAATCATACACTATGTGATATTTTGTGATTTTTTTCACTTAGCATAATGTTTTGAAGGTCCATCATGTGTCATTAGTTTATTTCTATTTATTGCCAAATAATATTTCACTATTTGAATGCACATTTAGTTTATGAATTTATTATAAACATTTGGGGTGTTTCCACTTTGGGGCTATTATGAATAATGCTGCTATAGACATTCATGTATAAGATATTCACGTGCATATGTTTTTACTTCTTTTCATATATATATATGAAATTCCAAACTGCTATATAAGAGGCTGCACAATTTCACATTCCTACCAGTAGTGCATGACAGTTGTGACTTCTTCACACATGTTATCTATCTTTTTGACTATGGCCATCCTATTTGATGTGAAGTATTATTTTATTGGGTTTTTGATTTGCATTTCCCTGTCTAAAGATGTTGAGCATCTTTTTATGTGTTTGTTAGCCATTGTATATCTTCTTTAACAAAGTATATGTTCAGATATTTTGTGCAGCTTTAAATTGGGTTATTTCTTTTTATTGTTGTTTTCATTACAAGAGTTTATTGTAAGAGTTGTTTACATAATATATTCTAGACCCAAATTTCCTATCTAATATATGGCTTACAAATATTTTCTCTTATCCTGTGGCTTATGTTTTTACTTTCTTGATAGTATCCTTTAAAGCACAAAAATTTTGAATTGATTTTTTCTTTTGTTGTTTGTGCTTTTGATGTCATAGCCAGGAAACCATTGCCTATTTCAAAATCATGAAGATTTATTCATGTTCATCTAAGAATTTTATAGTTTTAACTCTTTTATTTAGATCTTTGATACATTTTTATTTAATTTTTATATATGTTTCCAAAACATGGGTCCAGCTTAATTCTTTTGCATGTGGATCTGTACTTGTGCCAGGAGGATCCGTTGAAAAGACTGTTCTTTCCCCATAGAGTAGTCTTGTCATCACTGCCACACAGCAGTTGGCCAGAAGTGTGAAGGTTTGCTTCTGGACTCTCAATTCTATTCCATTAATCTGTGTGTCTATACTTATGTAATATCATGCTACCTTGATTACTGTACCTTTGTAATAAGTTTTAAAGTCTGAAACCACGAGTCCTTAAATTTTTTCTTTTTGTTTCAAGATAGTTTGGGCTATTCAAGGTCCCTTAAATTTCCATATAGATTTTAGGATAAGCTTATTATTTTTTACAAAGCCAGTTATGATTTTTGATGAGAATTACCTTCACTCTGTAGATCAATTTGGGAATATTGACAGCTTCACAATATTAAATCTCCTAATCCATGAACACAGGATGTTTTTCTACTTATTTAGATCTTTATTTCTATTATGCTATGTAGTTTTCAGAGTACAAGTTTTGCATTTCTTTTGTTAAATTCATATATGTGCTCTAATCTTTTTGAAAAATTGTAAATTGTTTTCCTAATTTCATTTTTAGGAGGTTCGTTGCAATTGTGCAGAAATACAATTATTTTTGTAATTGATCTCTTATAATGCAAACTTACTGCAAACTTACTGAACTCCTTCATTAGTTTTAATTTGTTTTTTAGTGAATTCCTTTCAATTTTCTATCTACAAGATCATGTCATCTGCAAATGGAGATAGTTTTACTTCTTCCTATCCAATTTGGGCTGCCTTTCCTTTTCACATTTTATTTCCTGATTGTCCTACCTAGAACTTCCAACATGGGGTTGAGTAAAAGTGATTAGGTGAACATATCTGTTTTGTTCTGGATCTTAGGGGAAGATATTCAGTCTTCCATAATGATGTATAATATTATTTGTGGGATTTTTGTGGATGCCCTTTGGCAGGTTGAGGAAGTTCATTAATTCTTAATAAAGGTAAATATATTATGAAGGACAAGAGTCCAGCTGGTAACTCTCCAGTTGAAATAACAGAATAAGGGAACCAATATATTTCAAACCTAACACAATTGAGATTTTTCACATATGTGAAATCTTACACTGTGTTTGAAGTGTCTCGTTATCCTTACTTAACAAACAAGCCAAATCTCAGAAATTTTGTGTAACTTTCCCAAAATCATAAACACTGTAACAACAGCAGTATTTGACCCCAAGCCTCTTGGATTTCAAGAAAAACATAAACCAGTTTGAAATTGTGATATTAGACTTGACTAAAATGCTTTCAATGAAAACAAAATGAGATGATTCTTTCTACTGAACCGAATAACTTAAAGATAATTTGTTCCTTTTGCTATTGTTCTCTCAAGAGACCTGAAATTTTTCCACTAAACCACAACTTCTTTAAGATATAGCTTTTACTTTTACTACTGTTACAATATAAATATTCATTTTTTTCAATCTGCTGCTTCAGTTCTTTCTGCTCCAAATGTGCAATGATATACATTTGTGGGTGAAATGAAGAAAAATATATATATTTACTACAAAAACAAGTTGGCTTTCAATGGTGTGTCCTTTAACCGGTTTTATCTTTTCTAGTTCAAAGCCAGAGTTAATCTTAGCATTATGGCAATTTCTGGGAATTGTTAAAACACACGTATACATATGCACACCCACGCACACATCTTTTTATTTGACAATGGTCTTGTATTCAGACACAATACTTTCAGACAGAAGATAGTGCTGCAAATCATTTGGGAAAGAAACACGTTTTTTTCTATTAAAAGAATGATTTTAAGTAACATATTTATATTCATGTTATTATGTGTATCTCTAAATAAAGTGTTAGCATGTAGTTTGAGGCCAGAGCACATAAATCAGAGGTCATCAGCCTGGTAAGGCAAATAGAATTTTATCAAAATGGTATTTGAGGAAGCAAATATTTAGAATTCAGTACTGTCTAAAGGTGGAGAATATTATCCTAAGGAAAAATTGCAAACAGAAGGAAGAAAAGGCAGTCTTTGTGGGCTTCTTTTTAGCTGTCAACTTTTTATGTTGCCAGACAAAAATCACATGGAGATTTCGATCTAACATATTCGCTCTATATTTGGCAGAGTCCCTTGTCACAAGCTTCCTGGAGAGAACTCTGATATGATAAGCCTCCCTCACTACTATTTTTAATATATATATATATATATATATATATATATATGTGTGTGTGTGTGTGTGTGTGTGTGTGTGTGTGTGTATTATATTTCACTATGACTAGCTATCGCTGCAGTAAATGGGAGTTGAGCATCCCAATATCTGATTAGACTACAAATGTATCTCAAAATTTATTTTTTATACTTTCAATGCTATTAAATAAGTTGCAGAACACCTAATTCACTTAGAACATACATTTCAGGAAACAATAAATTTTGATTTATGTTCCTGAAATAACATTTTATTCCTACGTCTTAAATCAAGTATTGAGTTTCTTTCCTACATTTGCCCTGCACTGAAAATTCATTAAATTCTCATAGAACTACCCCCACAGTCTTCCATGGTGATTCAAAGTGACTCTAGCAAAAGCCTCAGATGTATGCACTCTTTTAACCAATATTAAGGACATATTCAAGAAACCTCATCTCTATGAAAAATACAAAATCCTGGACATGGTGGTTCATGCCTGTAGTCCCAGCTACTTGGGAAGCTGAGGTGGGAGGATGGCTTGAGCCCAGGAGGTTGAGGCTGCAGTGAGCTGTGAGCATGACCCTGTGTCAAAAAAAAAAAAATTAATCAACTTTTAGTTGATTCGTATCTAGAAATTATGAACATTTACCTTTTCCTTACTTTTCTGAATTTAATGCTACCAGAAATGTTTTGTAAGAAAAACATAAATTCATCATCACAGCAAGGGTAGCACAGGGCATCACTTGGAATATAACCCCAAGTATTGGGAATTTTCTCCTAGATATGAGAAAAAATTTCATCACTGAGTGCAAAGCTCCTTGATGAACAGGGCTCATCTCAGTGTTATTGACCTGTATCTCTTACGGAGTCAGATATATACCGAACAACAACAAAAATGTTTGTTAATTGAGCTGAAGTAGCTCAGGGTTACTTTTTCTTTTAGATCTTATGTTTCTCTCTGCTGAAAAATAATATGTAGAGTGCCAAAACATGGATAGAAAGTGGTGTATAGGCTGTCCTCAGACAGTTGTGCTAAACAAACATTTCTGTTTTTCAGGAACACAGTTTAAATACTACCCTATAAAAACTTATTCTGAAAATGCAATAATGAGAGAAATGGAGAAGCTAAATTTGAAAACATGCAGAGGATTTATCATTCCAACAATTTGTAGTCTACAATTTTACTTATCTACCAACACAAGTCCTTTACCTAAAGGAAAAAGGTAAGTGAAGAATGTTTGATACAATGTTGTTTTTTGCATAGAGTGAGCACTAAACAATATCTAGCACAATAACAAATATCAGGGTAAAAGGGAAAATGGAAATGGTCATTAATCAAAGAAAGAACGGAATAGCTTTTAAAAAAGGTTGTTGAGATTGAAGGATGGTCTCTTCAATAAATGATGTTGGGAAAACTAGATATCTACATGCAGAAGAAATAACACTAGACTCTTATCTCACCCCGCATAAAAAATCAGCTGAAAACAGGTTATAAAGACTTAAACATAAGACCTGAAACTGTAAAACCACTAGAAGAAAACATAAGGGAAAAACCTCTTGACAGTAGTCTTGGCTAAGATTTTTTAATATGACCCAAAAGCACAGGCAACAAAAGGAGAAATAGACAAATGAAATTACATCAAACTAAAAAGCTTCAACACAGCAAAGAAAACAATCTACAAAGTGAGAGACAACCTATGGAATGAGAAAAAATATATATAAATGATATATCTAATATGAGGCTAATATCCAAACTATATAGAGATCTCAATTTATCAGCAATAAAACAACCTGATTAAAAAAATGGGTAATAGACATATCTCAGTAGAAGACATACGGAAGACCAACAGGCATATATAAAGATGTTCAGCATCACTATCAGGGAAATGCAAAATAAAACTACAATGAAATACTACCTCGCACCTCTAAGAATGGCTTTTATCAAATAGACAAGATAACAAGTGCTGGAGAGGACTGGAGAAAAAGAAACCCCTCAACACTCTTGGTAGGAATGTAAATTAGTATAACCATTACAAAAAGCACTATAGAGGTTCTCCAAAAAATTAAAAATAGAACTACCATAAGATCCAGCAATTTCCTTTCTGAGTACACATTCAAATGAATTGAAATCAGTATCTAGAAGAGATACCTGTGCTCCCATGTTTATTGTAGCATTATTTACAATAGTCAGAACATGGATCAAAGTGTCTATCAACAGATGAATGAATTTTAAAATGTGGTATATACAAATATCAAAATGTCTAGGCTAAGACATATTCATATACATAATGAAACACTATTCAGCCTTAAGAAAAGAAGGAAATTGTGCCATTTTCAGTAAAATGGATGGACTTGGAGGACATTGTGGTTCATAAAATAAGCCAGAGGCAGAAAGACAAATATTACATGATCTCTTTCATATGTGGAATCATTAAAAAATAGATCTTATAGAAGCAGAGAATAGCATGGTGGTTATCAGAAGCTAGGGGAGAGTGGCATGAGTAATGAAATGGGAGACATTGGTTAGACAGTACAAAGTTTCATTTAGACAGGAGGAATAAGTTCAAGAGATCTATTGTACATCATGCTGACTGCAGTTAATAACAATATATCGTATACTTGGAAATTGCTAAGAGAGTAGAATTTAAATGTTTTCATCACATAAAAAAGATATGAGGTGATGGATATGTTAATTAGACCAACTTAATCATTTTACCATGTATACATGCATCAAAACATCATGTTGTATACCATAGATAAATGCAATTTTTCATTTGTCAATTTAAATAGTTAAAAATAATATAATAGATAGATTGTTCTTTCAAAGCATTCAACACTTCTAGAAGTCAACTTGGAAATATTAGCAAAGTTTTTAAAGTATCCTTAATACTACCACATAACACCACTGATAGGAATTTACCCTAAAAATACAATCAGTTTCACCCAAAGATCTCTTCTTCCTAATAGCAGAAAATCAAAAGCATCATGAATGCTCAGCAATAGGAGATTATTTCTGTATTATCATATTATCATTGAAACCATTATTTAAAATGTACACTCATATGTAAAATGATAAGCAACCTATTGATATATCTATATTCATGTAATAAGAAAGGCAAAACAATAGTGTTAATAGTGATTTGCACTAAAATCACTTGGGAATTATTATAAAGAAAATTATGAGAAGTTCATAAATTATTTCTATAATCAGAAATGTATGAAAAAAATCAGTTATCTTCAGTACAAACCAAATTGCATATGAAATATACCATCTGAAAATATATATAATATTTTATAATTGAAATTGTGCTCCATGAGAGCTGGATTTTCATTTTATTTATATTTGCTTTCTAAGTACCTGAGCCAGTGCTCAACTCATAGAAGATGTTAAATTAACGTCATATGGGTTAACATATTCTATTGATCAATCAGGAAAAAAATGAACTCTCAGTTTTCCTCTCCTGAAATTCTGCGTTAAGTTTAGTTTACTTCTTACAAAGTAAATCACCATATCATAAAACACCCTTCTTCTCTAGTGGGGAAAAAAATGAAATACTATGGGACTCCAATTTTTACTTATTTAAATTTTATCCTTCCAAAATATAAAAGAAATGCACCTCATCTTGGCCTAATTCAATTTCAAAAATGATATCTAGTGAAAAGAGTACATCTCAGTCGAGTATGAACGAAACCCTTTTGACTATACTGAAATCAGGTACAGGTTTGTCTCTTCACTTGCCCTTACTAAAAATAACTATTCTAGTCTGTTCATATTTGTATAACCTTAGATAGTAATTTGAAAAATCTAACCCATGGCCATCTATCTTTAAATATGAAAGTAATAAATTCTTCTTAAGCCAACATCATGTAATGAAATAACCTTTTAAAAGCAATACATAAACAAACTCACACAGATTTTTTCTGACTGGTTTAGAAAAAAGAAAAAAAAACAGAACTCACCCTTATCGTTCAAATGAAACAACATAAGCAGTATAATATTATTATAATACCAAGTATACATTCAGTAAAATTAATTTATATTTTAAGGATTTCTACTCAGTCAGTATTTTTTACAATAATATTTTGTTCATTGTAACACATTTTCTAAAGCATGAGACTGCTAAATTTATGCATTAGGTCTATGATTTCAAATGCTGTCTCCAAGAACAATAGAAAACATAAATAGAATTCATGTGGAAAAGGTAAGCTAATGGAAGTTGACCTACGTATTTCTGAATTATTTCACTAGCTGCTCTTCATACAGTATCTGACATCATTGTGAAAACAATCTCTCTCAGCTGTAGGCACAACATGATGTCTCCAGAAATACCATTTAAACCAAGAAGTTTCATGTAATAACAAAAGCACAAAATGCTCCAAGTTATTCCAGAAAACTTAGATGTTGATGTCTTCATCAAGAGAAAAGCATAAGAAAAAAACAGATCTTAAACCAGAAACTAGTTTAGTCACTACAGTGCAGAATAGAGCATTTTTGGTGTCTATAAATTTTATATTTCCCACAGGGATTTCCAAGATAAAAGAATGAGAATCACAATTCTTTGAAGAAGAGGAATGACCCATTTCAAAATTCTCTATTCCTTGGCAAAGTTCAATAACACAGAAGAAAAAAAATAAGAAATGGAGCCCAGTTACCATTGTGTGACTACAGCATTCATCTCTTATCTCTGCTGAACTCCTATTCTCATTTCATGTCCTCTTAAAAACAAGAATTAGACTCTTACCAACTCTATCACAGGATCTGAAAACTAAAGACCTATAGAATCTACAACTTTATATTTTTGTTAAGAAAAAAGAAATACTCTGTCACAACTATATTCTCCAGAGGACTGAAGCTGTTAAAGTCCAAGGAGTTATTATTATTGTACTCTATTCCACAACTTCTAAAATTCATGATTTCTTTATTTATTAATTTAATAAGTATCTATAAAGTGCCTGCAATATGCTGAAATCTGCCCTACACTAGAAATACAGTAGTTAAAAAATACAGAGTAAAATACACCAAAAATAATAATCATCACCATAAGTAAATTACATAATATGTTAAAAGTAGGTAAGTGTGCCTTTTTTTAAGTACAAAAACAAGTCCAAGGGAGGGGTTAGAATTTTAAAAAGGAATTACTATGGTAATGTTCCCCAATAACAGGACAATTGGACAAGAAAAGAGGAGATGAAATAAGCCATGTAGCTATCTGATGGAAAAGCATTCTAGGCAGAGGAAACAACTAATGTAAAGTCTAGAAGGTGGGGACATGCTGGCAGGTGAGCAAGTGAGAGAGTACAGAGAGATGAAGCTGGGAAGATAAAAGAGCACAGATCATATAGGACTTTGTAGACCTTTCATCAGGATGAGGACGTTTCTTTCCATTCCTTGTAGGCTGAGAGATTTTATCATGAATGAATGTTGAGTTTTATATAATACTTTTTCTACATCTATAGGGATGAACATGTTTTATTTTCTTTTTAAGACTGCTGATATGGTATATTAAAGGCATTGATTTTGATGAGGAAACTATCTTGCATTCCTGGCATAAGCCCTATTTGGCAAGGATACATATTTTAAAATACATTTCTGGATTCAATATGTTTACATTTCTTAAGAAATTTTTATCTACATTTATGAAGGATAATGACTGTAATTTTCATTTCTTCTATCTTTGTTTTTTAAAAAAGTCAGAGTGATACCAGTCTCGGAAAAAGAGTTTTAAAGTGTTCCTGTCTCAAACATCATTCAACCCATCAATTCCATTAATGAGCATATACCCAAAGGAATATACATTGTTCTATTATAAAGATACATGCATGCATATATTCATTGCAGCACTGGTCACAATAGCAAAGACATGAAATCCACCTAAGTGCCCATCAATGATAGACTGGATAAAGAAAATGTGGCACATATACACGAAGAAATACTATGCATCCATAAAAAGGAATGAGATCATGTCCTTTGCAGGGACATGAATGGAGTGGAGGCCATTATCCTTAGCAAACTAATCAGGAACAGGAAACCAAATACTGCATGTTCTCTCTTATAAGAGCTAAATGATGAAAACACATGGACACATAGAGGGGAATAAGGCACACTGGGGCCTATTGGAGGGTGGAGAGTGGGAGGAGGAAGAGGATCAGGAAAAAAATAATCAATGGATACTAGCCTTAATACCTGAGTGATGAAATAATCTGTACAACAAACCCCCATGAAACATGTTTACCTATGTAACAAATCTACACCTCATGCCCATATACCCCTAAACTTAAAATAAGAGTTAAAAAAAAACAAGTATTTCTGCCTCTTCTATTCTTTTGAAGCATTTGTGTAGAATTTGTGTGGAATTACGTAGAATTTTAAGGTGTTAAGCTTGTGGTAACCTGTTACACAGCAATAAAAAAACTAATATATTTTGTATGCTTTCAATTTATTGTAATTTTGAAAATTAAGATTCAGTACATTGTCAACTTTAATGTTTCATGTGCATTGAAAATCATGTGAGTGTAGTAATCGTTGCATAGATTGTTCTATAAATATCAATTGTATGAAGTTGGATGATAGTGTTGTTCAAGTCTTCTATATTCTTCCTGATATTTTTATCTATTTGTCCTATTAATCATTGATAAAAGAGTTTTGAAGTTGCCAACTACCTAGTGATAAATTTTTCTCGTTCTGTATCAGTCTGGTCAGGCTGCCATAACAAAATACCATAGACTAAGTGAATTAAACAACAGAGACATATTTTCTCAAAAGTTCAGATGACTAGAAGTCCAGGATCAAGGTGCCAGCATGGTTAGTTTCTGATGAAGTCTTCTATCTCAGATTAAAGACAGTCACTTTTTCACTGTGTCCTCACACTGCTTTTCCTCAGTGCACGTGTGCAGAGAGAGTGAAAGAGAAAGCTCTCTGTGTCTCTTCTTAAAAGGAAACGAATCATATCAGATCAGGATCCTGTTCTGACCTCAACCTTACTTCCATAGAGGCCTCATTTCCTAGCACAGCCACACTGAGAGTTAATGTTTCAAAATATAAAATTTTGGGAGACAAATTCAGTCTATAACAAGAGCTCCTTTCAGTTCTATAAATGTTACTTTATTTATTTTGAAGCTTTATTACTGAGACCTTAAAATTTTAGAGTTGTAGAGCACAGTAACCTCAGCAAGATGGTGAACTAGGAAGCTCCAGGCTCTCATTTTCTCACAGGGATACCAAGTTAGCAAATAAATACAGAGAATAACAACTTTGCAAAAACTCTAGAGAGACCAGTTAAGAAGTTGTTAGACCCAGTTCAATGTATAACCAAGAAAGGATTCCCGTGAAAGAGGCAGGAAAATGTGCAGCATTTCGCAAAACCATATATGCCCTACCTTTCTTCAGCCTAACACACTCCAATCTAGAGGAAACCTTCCACACCAGGGATTCTCCCTTTGAACAGAAATAAAAGAGTGGGCCATTGTTCTGACTAGTCTGGGGCTCCCCAAAGAACTGGTATCTGTCTCACCTGACTCAGAACAATGATAAGGCTGTAGATCTTTTTGGAAGTCTATGAAAACAGGCACAATGAAGGCAGCATGTTAGAGATATAATTCCACAGGAAGATGCCAGGTAAAACAAAAGAGAAAAAGCAGGAACAAGCTGATTAGGAAATTTGTGATGACTAAAAGTATATACACAAGCCCAAATAAGATACTCCAAAGATGTTTGATAGGTTCTAGATCTCTAGATATACTGCTCAATGAAAGTGTCCCCCTGAACAAAGCCAGTCTGCAAAGACTGGGTGAGATGATTTTTTTTAAATGTCAAGTCTCAGCAACAACAAAAATGACAAGACATGCACAGAAGCAAGAAAATATAACACAATCAAAGAAAAAAAAGCCACAGAAATCAGTCCTAGAGAAAACTGATCTATGAGCTGCCTGACAATAATTATAAAATAACTATCATAAAAATGCCCAGTGAGATATAAGAAAACACAGACAACTAAATGAATCAGGAAAATGATGCATGAACAAAATGGGCATATCAACAGAGATGGAAATGACAAAGATAAACAAACAGAAATTTTGGAGCTTAAAAATACAGTAAGTAAAGTGAATAATTCACTAAAAATATTCAATAGCAGACTAGATCAGGCAGAAGAAAATATCAATGAACTTGAAGACAGATCATCAAGTCAGAGGAACAACAGCAACAAAAAAGAATGAAAAAAGTGAAGACAGCCTAAGGGACTTAGGAGTCAGTACCAAGGAAATCAATATATACGTTATAGATGTATCAGAAGAAAAAGGGAGAAAAATGAAAAGAAAGCATATTTGAAAAAATAATAGCTGAAGAATTCTCAATTTCAAAGAGAGAAATTGATATACAAATTCAAGAAGTTCAAAAGACTCTAGCCATAATAAATCTAAAGAGACTCACACTAAGACATATTATCATCAAACTGTCAAAATCAAAGACAAAGAATTGTGAAATCTGCCAAGGAAAAGTGACTCATCACACATAAGAGATATAACATAAGATTGTCACAGGATTTCTGAACAGACACTTTGCAGGTCAGAGGGAAGTAGGGTGACATATTCCAGGTGCTGAAAGAAGAAAACACCCTGCCAACCAAGAATATGGCATCCAGAAAAACTTTCCTAGAAGAATGAAGGAGAAATTTAGACTTTCCCAAATAAACAAAAGCTGAGGGAGTTCATTACTACCAGACCTGCTCTGCAAAATGCTAAAGAGAAACCTTCAGGTGAAACAAAAAGATGCTAGACAGTAACACAAAACCACTCATAAATAACTTCTTCAGTAAAAATAATACATCGACAAATATGGTAACCTGTATTAATACTGGTGCACAAATTCACTTTCAAATTTTATAAATAAGAATTTAAAGGATGAAAACATCTAAAACTAACTATAAATCTATATAATGAATATACAATATATAAAAAAATTTGTGATCACAATAACATAAAATGGGGGAGGTAGAGCTGTATAGGGGTAGAGCTTTTGTATGCAATTGAAATTACCATCAGTTTAAACTGAACTGTTATAACATTAAGATGTTTTATGTAATTGCAATGGTAACTATATTCTATAGAATATATTAAAAAGAAAAAGAAAATAGGAAGGGAATCAAAGCATGTCCTTGTAAAAAAGTCAATGAAAGCAAAAGAAAGGCAGAAAGAGTGAAAAGGAGGAATAAAAAGTTATAAGACATAAAAAAAATGAAAATAGTAATAGTCCTGCCATATCAGTAATTACATTAAATATAAATGGATTAAACTCCCTAATCAAATCATAGATTGGTTTGCAAGAACTAACTTTACAATTAAAGACACACAGCTGACGGTGAAGGGAGAAAAAAAACTTCCATGCAGTGACCAAAATAGAGGAGGGTGGCTGTATTACTGTCAGACAAAATAAAATTTAAGTCAAAAACTGTTACAAGAGTAAAAGAAGGGCATTATACAGTTAAAAAAGTAAATTCGCCAGGCAGACACAACAATTATAAATATCAATACATAAAAATAAGAGCTCCTAAATATATGCAGCAAACAGACATAATTGAAGAAAGAAATAAATAGCTAAAATGGTAGAAGACTTTAATACCCCCACTTACAATAATGTATAAAATAACAAGACAGAATGTAAATAAAAATGTAGAGAATTTGAGCAACACTGTAGACCAATTGGACCTAATAAATATACTCAGAATAATCCATCCAACCAAAGCAGAAACAGAATATACATTCTTTTCAAGTACACATTTGACATTCTCTGGGATTAACTACATGTTATGCAACAAACAAGTCTCAACAATGTTTAAAAGTCTGATATTACACAAAGTATTGTTTCTGATGACGATGGAAAGAACCTAGAAGCCAATAGCAAAAAGAAAATAGAAAATCCACACATATGTGGAAATTAAACTACATGCAATTAAGCAAAGGGCCAAAGAAGAAGAAGAAAAAAGAAAACACCGTGAAACAAATAAAAACAAAAATACAGCATATGAAAATGCATGGGATGCAGCAAAAGTGATGGTAAGAGAAATGTTTATAGTTATAAATGCAAACCTTAAAAAAGAAGAAAGAAAACAAAAATACTCAAATTAACAACTTTACAAGTCAAGAAGGTAGAGAAAAAAGAACAAACTATACCAAAAGCTAACACAGAAAGAAAAGAATAAAGATTAAAAACAAAAACAATTTAAAAAATAGCAGAACTAAAAGTTGGTTCTTTGAAAAGATCAACAGAATTGACAATTTCTTAGCTACATTAAGAAAAATACAAGACTCAAATAACACAAATCAGTGGTGAAAGGGGGTATTATAACTGATGCCACAGAAATACAAAAGGATCATAAGGGACTACTACAAATTGTATGACAACAAATTGAGTAACCTAGGATACCTTGATAAATTCCAAAAAATGCACAATATACTGAATCATGAATACATGACCCTTATAAATCAAGACTAAATCATAAAGAAATAGAAAATATCAACAGACCAATAATTAGTAAGGAGAATAAACTAGTAATCAGAAACCTCCCAACAAAGAAAAGCTTAGGACCAAATGGCTTTACTGGAGAATTCTACCAACCATTAAAAGGATAATTAAGACCAATCTTCCTCAAACTTTTAAAACAAATGTTAAAGAGGAGGAAACTCTTTCAATCTCATTCATAAGGTCAGCATTATCCTTATACCAAAACCAGACAAAGACACTATTAAAAAAACTTAGACCAATATCCCTGATGAATTTCGATGCAAGAATCCTCAGCAAAATACTATCAAACAATTCAACAGCATACTTAAATGATTATATGCTGTAATCAAGATGCATTTATTCTTTGAATGCAAGTGTAATTCAACACATAAAATTCAATCAATGTAATACACCACATTAACAGAATGAGAGACAAAAACCACATAATTATATCAACTGATGCAGAAAAAAATCTGACACAGTTCAACACCTTTTGTGATAAAAACACTCAACAAACTAGGAAAAGAAGGAAACAACTTTAACACATCATATGCTCACTGATGAAAATCTACAAGTTCTTTATAAAAGATCAGGAACAAGACAATAATCTGCATTGTTACCACTTCTATTATACGTAGTATTGGAAGTTCTAATCAGAGCAAATTAGGCAAGAAAAATAAATAAAAGGCATCCAAAGTGGAAAGGAAGTAAAATAATCTCTTTTTACAGATGATATAACCTTAGAATTAGAAAATCCTAAAAATTTCACATACCAAGAAAAAGCGTGTTAAAATTAATAAGTAAATTCAGCAAGTTGACTGATACAAAATCAACACAGAAAGCTCAGTTGTGTGTCTGTGTGTCTCATACACTAACAATGAACAATCTGAAAAGGAGATTAAGAAAACAATTTCATTTACAATAGCATCAGGAAAAAAAATAAATACTTAGGAACAAACTTAACCAAGGGGTTGGAATTCCTGTATACTGAAAACTACAAATATTGCCAAAAGAAAATAAAGGAGACACAAATAAGTGATATGTTTTTAATATGTCCACCCAAAGTGATCTTCAGATTCAATGAAATCCCTATCAAAGTTATAATGGCATTTTTCTGCAGGAATGTAAAAATTTATCCTAAAATTCATATAGAATCTCTAGGTACCCTGAGGGCCAAACAATTTTGAGAAAAAAAAAAGAACAAAATTGGAGGACTCACACTTCCAGATTACAAGAATATTTACAAATTACATATTTACAAAAAAAATTACAAAGCCACAATAATCAAAACAACGTGGGATTTGCATAAAGGCAGATATATAGACCAGTGGAATAGTATTGAGAGTCCAGAAATAAACCCTTAGGTATATCATCAAATGACATTTGACAAAGTGCTGGTACCACTCAATGGGAATGGGACAATTTGTTCAACAAATAGAGCAAAGAAAACTAAACATCCATGTGCAAAAGAATAAATCTGGACCCTTATATTACACTATAGACAAAATTAATTCAAAATGGATTAAAGATCTAAATGAAAGATCTAAAACTATAAAACTCCTAGGAGAAAACAGAGGAAAAATTTCATGCTAATTTGGCAACATTTTGTGATGTGACACCAAAAGCAGAGTCAATAAAAGCAAAAATTAGACAGATGGAAATCCATCATAGTTTATAACTTTTGGTCATTAAAGAACAGTCAACAGAGTGAAAAGGCAATCTATAAAATGGGGGAAAAACAGAAAATATGTGCAAATCACAGATATCTGATAGGGGATTCATATCCAGAATAAATAAAGAACTCCTATATCTCAACAACAAAAAATCTAATCCAATCAAAAAATGGGCCAAGGGAGTGAAGATACATTTCTCCAAAGATGTTATACAAATGGCCAGGAAGCATATGAAAAGATGTTCAATGTCACTAATCATCAGAGAAATGCAAATCAAAACCACAGTGCAATATCACTTCACATTCATTAGAATGGCTTCTGTCATGAACAACAGAAAATAACAAGTGTTGATGAGTGTGTAGAGAAATTGAGACCTTTATATAATTTTGGCAGAAATTCAAAATGGTGCAACCACTATAAAAAATGATATGGAGGTCCTCAAAAAATTAAAAATAGAACTACCATATGATCCACAATCCCACCTCTGGGTACATATTCAAAAGAATTGAAAGCAGGGTGTTGAAGATATATTTGCACACTCTTTATAGCAGCACTGTTCACAATAGCCAAGAGATGAAAGTAACCCAAAGGTTCATGAAGCAATGAATAAACAAAATATATTATGTACATAGAGTAAAATACTGTGCAGCTTTAAAGAGAAAGGAAATCTTATACTATGCTACAACATGAATGGAACTTTAGGGCATTATAGTAAGTAAAATAAGCCAGTTTTTTTTAAAGGACAAATAAACACTATACGATTCTACTTAAGTATTTAATGTTGTCAAATTTATAAATATAGAATGTAGAATAGTGGTTACCCTGAGCTGGGGGAAAGGGGCAAAGGGGAATTGTTATTTTAATGGGTATAGTTTCAGTTCTGCAAAATGAAAAGGTTCTGGAAATCTGTTTCACAATGTTGTAAATATAATTACTCTGAAATTGTACACTTAAAAATGGTTAAGATGACAAATAGAGTTGTGATGTCTTCTTTTGTTATTATATAGAAAAACTTTTTCATATGATAATAGTCTTTGTTTTTAAGCTGACTTTGCTGATATTAATATAATCCTTCCATTTTTCTTTAAAATGCTATATGCTTTCACATAATTTTGCTTTACGTTGATGTATTTATACATAAGGTGGGTTTCTTATAGATACCACGTTGTGTGTCTTTTTTATCTAAGTTGATAGACTTGCCTTTTGTTAGGGTATTTAAATAATTTATATTTAATGTAATTATTGATATAGTTGAGTGTGTTGATTTTTGTTTTCTATTTGCTCCATCTGTTGTTGGTTCTCATTATTCCTCTGTTTCTACCTTCTTTTGTACTAATTATTATATTTTATTATTTTTCATCTCAACTGTTGGCTTATTAGCCACATTGCTTTTAAAATTTTTAATGATTGCTCTAGGGTTTATAATAAACAAAATGTTAGCATTTTCTACCATCAAATATTTTTACACTATTCATGTATACTTCAATTTCTTTCTTCCCATCCTTTGAACTATATCTTCATACATTTTACTCTACATTTGTTATAACTCAGTGCTTTGAAAGTCAATTATTTTTGTCTTTGACAGTCAATGATTTTTAAAGAGTTTAACAGTGAAAAAAAATGGCTTTCATCTTTTTCCATTAGATTTCATACTCCTTCTGCCTGAAGAATTTCTTTTAATAGACCTTGTACTGCGGGTCTCAGGCAAGAAATTCTCTCAGCCTTTGTTGGTTTGAAAAACTGCTTATTACACCTTTGTTTTTGAAAGATATTTTCACTAGGTATAGAAGTCTGGGTTGACAGTTCTCATTGTTTGTCACAGCATTTTTAAGATGCCCATTCAATTGTCTTGTCTTGTATAATTTTGGATTAGTCTGGTGTATTTCTTACCTTTGTTCCTCTCTGTGCAATGCTTCAACCATCCCACTTCAGGCTGCCTTTAAGATGTTTTCTTTTCCCTTAATCTTTAGTTTTTAGCTGGTTGACAGTGACGCATCTAAGTGTAGTGTATGAGGTTGCTTTTATTGTCACTGTTGTTGTTTCTTTTGTTTTGTTTTGATTTTTTTTAGGGGTATCTAGTCTTTTTAGACCTGTAGCTTCTCATCTTTCACTAATTTTGAAAAATGTGACTTGCATTATACATATACTCTCTGTCCCTTCACTGTCTGCCTACTAGATTTGTCTCCTGTCTTTGGATCAATTTTCTTGACCCAGATCTCAGATTTTCTCACAGTATGGGCTCAAGTCTTGGCTCACACGTCTAAATTCAGCCACTTCTTAGTATAACTGCTTTTTGAATCTCAGTTAGTGCATGAGATGCACAGGTTTCCAGAGAATTATTTAACCCCGAAAGAATATCATAGCTACATGCTGAGGTTGCTGGAAAAAAAAAAAAATCACATTCTCAAATCCTTATTAGATGACATAATATTCAGGCCGGGTGCGGCGGCTCATGCCTGTAATCCCAGCACTTTGGGAGGCCGAGGCAGGCAGATCCCCTGAAGTCAGGAGTTCGAGACCAACCTGGTCAACATGGTGAAAACCCATCCTACAAAAAATACAAAAATTAGCCAGGCATGGTGGCAGGTACCTGTAATCCCACCTACTCAGGAGGCTGAGGCACGAGAATCACTTGAGCCCGGGAGGTGGAGGTTTCAGTAAGCCGAGATCGTATCACTGCACTCCAGACTGGGTGACAGAGAGAGACTCCGTCTCAAAAAAAAAAAAAAAAAAAAAAAGGTGACCTAATCTTTTTCAAGGGATCTGCTAATTTTATGTATTCAAATTGGCCAAAGCCCTTTTTGTATAATCTACATAACTGATGACTATTTTCTAAAAGCCCATGAATAGAGAAATCAGTTGCTATCCTAGGAATGACTGGAATTTATCACCAAATATTGATATCCAAAGGGAGAGGTTAGGTTATGCTTTGAAATAGGTAACCCTATAATCAATGGCTTAGAACAATAAGACTTGCTACTCCTTGTTCTGTTGTCCATCACCCTTATTCAAGATCCCACACTGCACTTCAGTGCTTCCACAGTTACCAAGACTGGAAAAAAAGGGATGTGTAGAATTATGCAGTAGATGTTAAATCTTCTACCTGCAAGTGACACCAATACTTCCACACCCATATTAGTGATCAAAATAAGTCATACAGCAAAATCCAACTTTGAGGGATGCCAAAAGGAGAAATTTTTGGTGAAAAGCACTAACAAATGACCATAATACTAATTATTAATTTTCCACAAGTTAAAAAACTAGTCACCAAAATTTTCATCATTACCCTAATATAATAACAATAATTACTAAATATATGCAATATTATTTTCAATATTTGCTCAGTCAACATCTGTAATTACTATTTTCCTTCCAAAATAAAAAAAAATCCTTATTTTTTTCTACCTTCTGTATATTCCAATGTTTCATAGGGAATTAAGTTACCTCTGGGACTCTATTTCTTCTGTCTATCATTTTTCTTTTCTTTAAGAAACCAAAGATTAATGCCTCTGGGCGTAGCATTTTGTGATCAGATGTTTTAATTTCTTAACTGTCTGTTTCACAAGACACAGCTTTCCTTCAGCGTTTTTATTTTCCTGCCCTGACAACTGTTTGATTGTTTCTGGCATCTGTTTCTCTGCCTTCCTCACTTAATGTAGACACAAATAAAGCCTTGAGGGTTTGGCAATGCCTCCATCTGGTACGAATCCATTGCTCTTGCTGTGTTTTATTGCTAGAGACCCTGAAAAATCGTGAGTTACAGGACAATGCATTGACTGGGATCAGACATCCAGAGGGCAAAATTAATATTTTCTGATTCAACGAGATGTTGGGGAAGGAAACGCATTGTTCAACGTCTGGAACCTATTTTGACAAGCTCCTACTTTAAGGAAAACATTTCAGAATTGAAAAGTTTGCTAAGGATATTTGCACTTCAGTTCATCTTAAGTAGTTCAGGGCTTAAGATTTATCAGACTTTCTCCATCAGCACTAGTTTTGGATTTTATTTTAGCTTTTGGAGAGTTAATGATATCATAACCAATTCTTCATTACGCACACACCTTATTCAAATATGTGCACCATCCACTCTGCCTGGTGGATGGTGTGTGTGTGTGTGTGTAACCTCAGCATTGTCTCCTCATGCTTCATAGAGCCAGCCCAACCCAATCTTTTTCGACTACTCTATAGATAGATGGCAAACCTAACCTCTGGGAATTATTTCACATGATTTATCTTATTAGCCTTTCCATTTTCTCCCTGTGTATTTCCTCCATATCATTTGATTTTCAATCTAAAACTAGAAGAAAACATGATGCTTTTATTTCTTAGCTCCTTCTCAAGGGGGCATTTTAACTGATTTCCCAGGGATTTGAGAATATTTTGCAACAGAGTATATTAATCCTCAGCCACAAAGTAATCTAATGGTTTGGTTTTGCATTTTTATTATTTTTTAAATAATGAGATAAAATAGAAAATCTTCAAAACATTATTCCTAAAGAAATAAAAATTAATACTATAAAATATGAACAAAAATTTAGAGTATTTTTATATGAAATTATATACGTGCAATTTTAATAATAAGTTTAATTCTAATTTTTTACAACTATTGCATCATATTTTTTAGCATTTGGAAGTGCTTGAGAATCAATGGAGAATTTTATACCAACTTTGACTCATCTTAGGACAATTGTTCATCTTTTAAAAATTTATGCAGAGTAATTTTCCCTGGCTTGTTTCTTTCCTACAATCATGATTGGTGGATGGAAATATTGTCCCTGACTCCAGACTTGAGATCTGTGGCTTTCACATCATTGCAGGGACTCAAAAAATTATTCCTCTTCCACCAAACTTTTTTCAATAATAAGTGAAAAACTTTCTGTTTTTCTCCATCATCCACAACCTGCATGTGAATCTGTCATACCTTTGCAGGACAGTATTCTCATCTAAGGGCCATTTCACTGGCAGTTCCCTCTGCCTCAATATCCACATAGAACAGTCCTTTTTCCTTTAAGGCTTTGTTCAAAAGCCAGCTTCTCAGGGAGACCTCTCTTATCATGCTTTAAAATTGCTAACTTTTCCCTTTCTCACATATAAACCACGTCCCCTCTTCCATGCTGCCAATTTTTTTTAAATTGTACCTATCACCATCTGTATCAGTTCAGGTTTTCCAGAAGCAGGCACCAATACAGAGTTAGAAACACAACAAATTGATAGAGGGTATTGCCTATGAAAGACAAAGGAGTGTGGCTGCAGGAGTTTGTAGGCGAAGCCTTCAGACCACAATGCAGGTCTGACTTGTTTTGGTGGTGATATGGTTTGGCTGTGTCCCCACCCAAATCTTATGTTGAATTGTAGTTGCCATAATCCCCAGGTGTAGTGAGAGGGACCATTGAATCATGACGGCAGTTACCTACATACTGTTCTTGTGATAGTAAGTGAGTTCTCACAAGATCTGATGGTTTTTTTAAGGGGCTTTTCCCCTTCTCCTCGGCACTTCTCCTTGCTGCTGCTATGTGAAGAAGGATGTATTTGCTTCCCCTTCTGACATGACTGTAAGCTTCCTGAGGCCCCCCAAGGCAGGCCGAACTGTGAGTTCAAACAATGGTTTGAACTAGTGCTCAAAAAATGTGTGTTAAGTCAATGAGTGAATGAATTAAAAAAATGAGTCCAGTAGATAAAATAAATGTTGAAAGAGCAACAATCAATAAGATTCTGAGTTTCCTTAGGACAGGTATCCAACCATTGTTTTTGTATTTCCACTGCCTTGCACATTGCTTGATACAAACTCAATAAATGGCGACAACTATGTAAATTAATAAATGATATTTTAAAATCACAATGAAAATATTTCTTTTTTGAAGATGCAAGTAAAGTCATAACTGAATGCTTTTACTTTTGTAACATATCTCTTTTTATGAGTAATGCCATAATTGAATTCACAGTTTCAGTTATACAGTGAATCGATTGTGTAAGCTGTCTCTCCAAAAGAAAGGTAATATTACCTCAGGAAGCTAAATCACATCTTATCTACACATGCAATTGAGGGGCAAAGGAGCAGCTTCCCTCTTAGAGGGAAATAAAATCTCTTGGGGATAATGTACTTAAATAGACAAAACTTATGAAGTGGCTTAAATCATGCTGTATGTGGATTACATGGCAAAGAAAAATTGCTGATGGGATTCAACGTCTCATATCTTTGGGCCAACTGTGTTCAATTAAACTAGGTTTCTTAGGAAGGAAAAAATATATCAGTAAGAAGCCCATGGGGAGGGCTGGGAATTCACTGATAAATAGTACACTGAGCTTAATAAATAAGATACGGATTAAGAGTAGACCTGAAACTGAATTGTATTTTTGTAGGTTGCACACTTCAGAGTTCTGCTGTACAGAGCAATGTGTGGTGAAACATATTGTGATCACTTGGGCACAGATGGTACAGAGCTGACAAGTCTAAAACTGCAAGGTCTGTAACAGTAAACTCATCACCATAAGAAAGAAGCCAACCAATCACCTCTAAAATATGCTGTGTTTCTGCCTTATGTTTACTAAAGAAAACTGGGAATGCATGTGAATAAATGTATTGTCATGTTACAATCACCTGAAAACAGTTCTTTACATACTTAACCAACCCTTGACTTATAAAATGTCATTTTCATGATGATCCACATGTTCCAAGACTTTGGGTTTGTAATAAAATATTATAATTGTCCTACTTGGTTGATTGTGGTGTAATTTAAATCCACATTTAAGAAATTCATTTGTTTTAAAATATTGATAATTCAACTGGGCGTGGTGGTTCATGCCTGCAATACTAGCACTTCAGCAGGTTAAAATGGGAGCGTAGCTTGAAGACAGGAATCCAAGACCATCCTGGGCAACAAAGCAGGACCCCATCTCTACAAAAATTAAAAAATAATTAGCCAGGAGTGGTGGCACATGCCTGTAGTCTCATGTAGTCTCAACTACTTGGGAGACTGAGGTGGGAGAATCGCTTGAGCTCAAGAGTTCGAGTTCCAGGCTGCACTGAGCCATGATCATGCCACTGTACTCCAGCCTGGGCTTCAGCACAAGAGCAAGACTCTGTCTATCTATCTATCCATCTATCTATCTATCTATCTATCTATCTAATAAAAGAAAAACTTCAGCCGAGTTAAATTTAAAGAAGTTTAATTGAGCAATGAATGATTCATGAATCAGGCAGCCCCCAAAATCACAGCAGATTCACAGAGACTCCAGGGATGCCTCGTGGTCAGAACAAATTTATAGACAAAAAAAGGTAAAGTGACATAGAGGAATCAGAAGTGAGGTACAGAAACAGTGAGATTGGTTACAGCTTGTCATTTGCCTTATTTGAATGCAGTTTGAATATTCAGCAGTCTATGAGTGGTTGAAGTATGGCATCTGGGATTGGCCAATACTCAGCCATCGTTACAGGTGCATACTATTAAGTTAGGTTTTCAATTTTGTTGGACTATTAATCTAGGTTAGAGTTCATCCACAAGGACTCAAATGTAGAAGTACAGAGTCCTTCTCAGGCCATGTTATTTTGCTTTAATGTCTGTGTGTGTGTGTGTGTGTGTGTGTGTGTGTGTGTAATAAATATATAATTCTCTTTAAATTAAAATTATGGGAATTTACAGACTGGATTTTACTATCTACACTCATAATCACATGTCAAAAATAAAACAGATACAAAGTTTTCCCTCAAACCTGAAGACAAAATAATGTAATTTTAATTTAAATTATCTGCATTTTATAATGACTTTAGTAGAAAGCTTAAAATAGGAAAACTTCTCCCCCAACTAAGTGAACTTTTTCTCAAGACACACTTAATATACTATTTAAAGAATACAACCTCAATTTTTAACTTTGTCTCCCATGAATAATAATAGTACCAGCTGAATTCAGTACGATCTCCGCCTCAGGCACATTGTGAATTTGAAGTCCTTGCAATTTCTCATTCTCTTTAAGTCAAAAATGGACTTGAAATGTCATAAGAATTTTAAACCTAGATAGAAACAACTGTCTAGCTCAGCAATTACTGTGCCACCATGTCCTATGCAAGATTCATCTACAGAAATTATCACAAATGATTTTTATAAATCTGTAATTTAAAATAGCACACTTTAAAATAATAAAAATTATAAATTAAATTAAGCATTATTATAGAAAATCATTGGCCCCATTGCAGAAGATAATTTAATGAGTCTTCATTTTTGGGAAATGACAGTAATTGAAGAGCATTATATATGTATATAATATTTTTATATATAAATATATATGTAAACATATAAATTATAGCAGCTAACATCTACTATAGGCTATTTACAAATTTATATATATGTAACTTATATGTTTCATATCTATAACATATAAGTTCAAAAATCTTTCTATTATAAATATTTCAGAAAATTGTTATTCTTGAAATAACCAAAAAATTAACTATAGAAGAAATACTTATATTTTTAAAATTACTGATAGCCAATATTTTATGCTCTAAAATATTCACAAAACTCAACAAGAAATATCTAAACTCCCCATATATAGATGGGCAATAACATTGATACAAAGTAAGAAATATAGGCTAAAACAAATTTCTGTGATATACTGTGTCACTAATAACCCTATAAATGGAAATGAGAGCAATATAACGTAACATAATTCAGAATAGTCAAAACTCTGAGCTGAAAAGTCAATGCCAGTGAAGATAAGATAAAACCACTACACTTCTGAGAAATAAATTGGTATACTTATTTTACAGACAACAATTTGCATTACAGCAAGTGGAAATGGAAGCACGCTATATTGTATTCTATGGAAAATAACTACAGGTTTTAAAATACCAACATATACATGACAGAAAAGACTAGTTTTGATGAAAGAAAAAATATCCAGTGATTATTCCAGTTGTTTTAGGATGGTGAAATTAACAGGCTTTTCTCTGTTCTACTTCTATGCATTGGTTTTAATGTTTTTATAATTTTAAATGATGATTATAAAGACACTTTTGAAACATGAAGATATTTATTATATAGCATTGACTAAAAATATATTCTGGTGTAACTTGGAGTTTCTAAAATATGAAAAAAGGAGGTAAGATATTGTAAAAAACAGAAATGTAGTGTTGTTAAAATTTTAAAAATAAGGATTTTTAAATTATTTTTCATTGCCTTTCTTTTTGTGGTGACATCTTTTAAACAAGAAGTTGAATGATCAATACATGTTTCCCAGAAGCTAAGATTCTCTATGATTTGTTGGCAAATATATGTTTTGTAATAGTCATCCAAATTCTATCACAGATGCAGCTTTTGTGTGCTAGAATTATTTGACCACGCAAGAACTGATTTATTTTTAATTTTATATATATTATTATGCCACGTTTTGGACTTGTGAAACATGCAATATGAATTTTTTCTTGTTGAGGTTTCTATATTTAGACAGCATATTTTTCAGGAAAGTAAAAGGTTTATGTAGCTTTTTAGAAAAAGCAAACATTGTGATGTTCTGGAGTAGGCAAAAGTTAGTACAGAAACTACTGATTCAAAACATCGACTTGCTAATATTGAGCTTGCAGTAGATGTTAGCTGCTGTGTTTTGAAACCTTCATTAGACCACAGTTTTAGACACTTAGGTTATTTAACAGCAACAGTGGCAACAAGAACAACATCAAAAATTTATTAAGGCCGCTTCTGTGCCTGGCACCTTATCGCCAGTCTCAAGTTTAATTCATATCCCAGCCCTATGAGGTAAGGTTATTATTATTCCTATTTTATATATAAAGAAACTTAGTCCCTGAGAGATTTGGTCATTTCTCCAGGAACATGCAAGGAGGAGTGAGTGAAAGAGATCAATTGCAAGCCAGCGGGACCCTGGAACTGAAGCCTTCACCTAGATCTCCCTCCCTCTTGTTACACTTTCCTTATCACTTCTCTGTCTACATATGATGCGCTTCATCTATAATATGGTTTGGATTTGTGTCCCTGCCCAAATCTCATGGCATTTTGGAGGAGGGGCCTGGTGGGAGGTGACTGGATCATGGGGGCAGATTTCCCCCACGCTGTTCTCACGATAGCAAGTGAGTTCTCACGAGAACTGATGGTCTAAAAGTGTGTGGCACTTCCCCATCACTCTTTCTCTCCCTCCTGCCACCACGTGAAGGGGGTCAGTGCTTACCCTATGCCTTCCGCCAGGATTGTAAGTTTCCTGAGATCTCCCAGTCATGCTTCCTGTTCAGACTGCAGAACAATTAGTGAGTCAGCTGAACCTCTTTTCTTCCCAAATTACCCAGGCTCAGGTAGTTCTTTATAGCAGTGTGAGAATGAACGAATACAATCTGGTCCTTCATACAATAACAAGCATGCTTACAATGTGCCCTCAAAGAGCACCCAGTCACTTACTCCTCCAGGTAATCACCATCACTGAACATCTTCATTTAATTTATAGCAAAAGCTTCTCCCTTCCTTCATCCTGAGGTTTTCTCTGGCTTGAAAGATTCTGTTGGAGCAGGTGCAGGTGAGCATCCTCTCCTTCCCTACTTTGCTTTTCTTCTCAACTTCCTCCTCCATTCACCAGCTTAGGTTCTACCCCATGCAGGGTCAGGCCAAGAAGTGAGAGATCAAAAGAGATTGGATTTGATTTGGGGAAACAAATGCTGTCATGATCTGTGAGGGTGTCTTCTGGGTAAGGCAGGCACCCAGCTTTGAATCTTTCTTTCTGAAGTGCTGGGTGAATTTTTCAGATTCTCCCTCTGGGAAAAATTCTCCCACTAGGAGCAATTTGAGAGATCTACTGCTCCCTCCACTGGCTTCTTTCTGCTTCAGTTTGCTACCTTCTCTTCCATGCAATCTGCTTGGAGAATCCCTCTGTGTGAACACCGAAAAGACAGATGTTTGTTTCACCATGAGTTGAACTCATCTCTGATAGAAAGCAACCTGTCTCTTTCTCTTTCCTCTGTCTCTGGCAGATCTGGACTCACCTTCCATTGCAGCCCTCAGACTGTCCAAACCTGGGTGAGACAAACTCCCTGACTTTCCTAGTGATTTTCTTCTTCTTCACCTCTCCTTGGGCTATGTTAAATATCTCTTCTCGTTACCCATGTTGTAGGGAAAGGAGAGAGGCCACAGTAGGCAGGGGGCAAAGAGCATTTCAATAACTATGAATAATTCTATTATTAAAGACACCTTGTAATGCTAATGACTTATAACCCTAACACTAGCAGAAACAGTTTTACCATTTCTTACCATATTCCAGCCAAGTATACTGGTCTCGCTTTATGAAAAGTGAGTGCTCTGCATTTACTGTATTGTTCATGTCTTTGGGTTCTAGAGGCACTGAGACACTAAGAATCTCATTTTAACAATATAATGTGTACCACAACCTAGTTCTTTCCAGCAACCCTCTCTGCTTGTTAGTTTGCTATACAACTCTAGGTTCTGACATCTCTGCTCCCATGCCCTTTCCTTCACTTGGAATAGAGAGCACAAAGGTAGGATTTTTTTTCTTTTTAGTTCTGATGTATTCCTTGTATCTGGACCAACACTTACTATACTCACAGTGACTGAATATAAATTGACTTCCTCAAAGAAAAGAAGGGGGCTTCACTCAATTGTCTTTTAGTTAATCTTGTTCTAACCTCTGACTCATGTCTCCTACATTCTGATTGATGGTCTCAAACATCTGGTTGGAGAGGTCAAAAATGCATTAATAGGCTCAGTCTTCTAAGACCCTCTTTAGAAATTATGGAGGAAAAGATTTCTACCCAAGCACAGCTTTGCAGGATTGGAAATGATGCCTTCATTACCAAGTTATCTATTATGAGCTATCCTCAAGTAGGACTCACCAGTCATACTTTAGAACTGAATGATACTATAAGACATTAAAAATATTACTTCTTTTCAATAGGCTTCTTAACTAGATTAAGAAATGAGCTAACACATCATGTAGTTGGTAGCCTCACAGAAGGTCTCCAGTAATCCTTGCTTCCTGATATTCATGCCTTTCCCTGTGTAATGTGGGTGGACCCAGTGACCCTCCAAAGAATCGGTTTTGACAAAGTAAAGGGCTGTCACTTCTAATATTAGATTACAAAAAGTATGGGGCTTCCATCTTGGGTTCTATTTCTCACTCTCCTTCTGGTCCACTCTTAGGGAAGCCACCTTCCACTTAGTGAGCTGCTCTATGGAGAGGCCCACTTGTTAGGAAATTAAGGGTGGCCTGAGCTAAGAGTGAGCAAGAGACCCTGACTGAGAGTTACTAAGCTAAGCCACAGCTTGATCCCTGACCCACAGAAAATGTGACCCAGTAGATGCTGTTTTAAGCTGTAACATTTGGAGTTAGTTTGCTATGTAGCAGTAAAAAATAATAAACACGCAGAAATACATAAATAATGATGCATGCGTTTTGCTTAGATAGTAAAACATATACATTTCCTTCCTAATTTATTGATTTGTATTTTTAAATAAGTGATCAAACCGAAAGGATTTTATATCTAATTTTCAGTCCAAGGGAAACTTGCTATAAACAGAACACCTTGTTAAATGAGTATTTTATATAACAAATTGTTTAATCAGGAGAGGATTCGAAATATTAAATCCTTATACATACCTAGTGCTCTATAGTCTCTAAAGGTCATTCACATGTAGTATTTCTCTAAACCTTTTATAGCCTTGTAATGCAGATATTAATTTTATTTACAGGTGAAAATAAAACTCAAAAATTGTGATCTCATGCATACACAATTCACACATTTTTCCCTTAGAACACCTTAAGCCCTGTCTTTATCCAACAAACTCTTCCTCATGCTTCAAAATCCAGTTTTACTCTATCTTCCTCTTAATTCATCTCCTGACTCCCATTGCTATAAAAAGAATGTTCATGGCACCCTAAAATTCATATGTTGAAACCCTAACCTGCAATATGGTGGTATTAGGAGGTAGGGCCCCTGGAAAGTGATTAGGATTAGATGAGCTAAAGAGGATGAACCTTTCATGAATGGGATTAGTGCCCTTATGAGAGTCCTTAGAGAGCTTGCCTCTTTCTACTCTCCTCCATGTGAGGATACAATGAGAAGTCAGCCATCTACAACTGGGAAGAGAGCCCTCACCAGAAAAGGACCATGCTGGCATTCTGGTCTTGAACTTCCAGCCTCCAAAACCCTGAGAAATAAATTTCTGTTGTTATGAGCTACACAATTTATAGTATTTTGTTATAACAGCCCAAACTGACGCCCTGCAGAGTTCATGTCTCCCATCATTTGCATGTACATATTTTTCTTCAGCTTTCACAGTCTCACAATTCCTCTTCCATGGTGGAAACTTCTTTACTGGCTGAAAGCTTCTCTTAGGCAGGAGCTACGCAATATTCTTTTTCATACCCTCAATACATTACAATACCTGAGATAGCAAGTGCTTAGTAAATGAGTCTTACATTATTGAATAAAGCATTAAATTTGGCATTTTTAATGGAGTGGTATTGCTTCCAAGGGGACAAGAATTGATTCTTGGGGAGAAGGTCTTTAAAAACTTACATATGGCCGGGTGCGGTGGCTCACGCCTGTAATCCCAATGCTTTGGGAGGCCAAGGTGGGCGGGCGGACCACGAGATCAGGTTATTGAGACCATTCTGGCTAACACAGTGAAACCTTGTCTCTATAAAAACACACAAAATTAGCCGGGCGTGGTGGCAGGCACCTGTAATCCCAGCTACTCAGGAGGCTGAGGCAGGAGAATTGCTTGAACCCAGGAGGAGGAGGTTGCAGTGAGCCAAGATCTCACCACTGCACTCCAGCCTGGGTGACAGAGCAAGACTCCATCTCAAAAAAACAAAACAAACAAACCAAAACAAAAAAACACAACATACACAATATACAACTATGAATGTCTTACAGTCCATAAGTAGGTATACAGTACGATCAAAATTTTAATGACATTTAGCTAATTAGGAAAAACATCTAGAAAGACTACTTCTTAGAAGAGCAACAATGAAAAAAGTTGAAAAATACTGTATTAAATGAACCATGTAAATTCAGGAGGTAGGACTCGAACACAGATTTTTCTGATTGAGCTAGATGTCATTTCCTTTATGCCATCATCTCTTCAGCAATTAAAAGAAAAAAGAGAAAAAATTTACAAACATGTCTTCTCTGAAAACAAAGATAATTCAGAAGCTATTTTATATGAAGATATTTCCTTGTGTTTTATTTTGTCTTTTGTTTTCCTCGACCACTCAAAATTTGCTAAGCTTTTATACATACACATACACACGCACTATACATACAGCTTATTTAGATGAACCCTAATGATATGGCTAATCCACTTTACATGATGAGCAAGCCAATATAAAGTTTATCCTTATTTGTATTTAATCATTTAATTTGAAACACAATCATATGGGCCAGGCTTTGCAGATGCCTTTCTTGCTATGTAGGGAGTTGACAATGGTAATTATCTGATTTGCTCCAACAAAGTTAACCTCAGCTGAGGATTTCCAGCCCATTAACAATCACCTACAGTTTGCAGCGCAAATGGATCTCCCACTGTCAAATCGGATTAGCGCTTTCCTTGGCCTTTTTGAATCATTCCCTGACAAAAAATCAATTGGTAGAACTGCATTACAGCTGTCTGTCATCCATTTGAATCAGCTTCATCATGACCATTTGTCAAAACTAGTGCCAAATACCTTAGAAAATTTGACAAGATAATGGTAATGGCTGTTCAACATTCAGTGTATGGAAGATTTGTGCAGCAATCTCCATCATAAAACATCAACACTACTGAATACCTATTGTGAATTATTATATGTAAAAAGCAGAACATCAGTATTTGCTCTCTGGAATCTAAAAATGTGTGTGAACTTCAGCTAAACAATGAGGGAGAACACTTAGATCCAATTTATAGGAGCCAGAGGCAAAACGTACACAATGAATGTGCAGGTTTATGAGAATGAACATGTTTCCTTTTTAAATCTATAATCGACTTAAAAAATTTAAAAAAAACACTAATCTATTAAAGCAATTCCCAGGCAGTGTCAAACATCCAATGAACTTTTACACTTTGTATGGCATATTGTTAATGATCGGTAAATATTTTTGACTGATTAAATCATTCTCATTAAATTGATCTGTGTTAAACAGTTTACCCTTTCCTTTGAAATCACGTCTTCCGGTTGAAAAGCTAAGAAATCAGTACTTTTTAAAAAAAATTTTAAATAAGAATTCTTGTTCTGTGACTAAATAAAAGTGTGGGGATTTAAGAAAGAAAAGTGAAAATCAATGCTAAGTTTTTCAGAATTGTAGCCTTATGCAAGAATGTACAACTCACTGTCCCCTATTCACAGTAAGGCCCAGTTTACTAACATCGATTACTTAGTTTTCCCTCCCTTACAGTCTACTGGCAGAGAAGCAAGCAGGTTCAAATACACACTCTGTGTTAGGGATAGTATAAGATTTCCAGAATATTAACCAACATGTTTTTGGTGGTGTTGTTTTTCCCCCTAAAATGGCTTTTATCCCACATCCCTTCCTCCTTGTCCAGGCTGCTCTTGTCTCAGGGAAAGCATGACATAGCAAGAGAAAGAAACATGCCTGCCCTTGCTTTAAAATGTACAAAGTCCCTCTTCTGGAATAAATCAAAGGGACTCCTGTGTAGGAAAATACATGCAAGTGGGAAAATATGTGAGAATGTGAGGGAGAGATTCTGAATTCAAAAGATGTGATAAAATTCCCAGGATAGGAGCAGAAGAAATTTAGAGGAGAAACAAAAGCTGAGTAGATGCTGTGGGTCCCCGAGTAAGGACACTTGCCCACCCGATCTTTTAATGTGAGCTTAGGGAAGAGGGGAGGCAGAAAGGGCTTAAGGTGTCTGACAGAAACTACCTGTCATAAGGCTGGGCACGGTGGCTCACGCCTGTAATACCAACACTTTGAGAGGCCGAGGCAAGCTGATCGCCTGAGGTCAGGAGCCTATCCAACAGGGTGAAACCCCATTTCTACGAAAACTACAAAAAAATTAGCCAGGCATGGTGGCATCTGCCTGTAATCCCAGCTACTAGAGAGGCTGAGGCGGGAGAGTCACTTGAACCTGGGAGGTGGAGGTTGCAGTGAGCTGAGATTGTGCCACTGCACTCCAGCCTGGATGACACAGTGAGACTCCGTCTCAACAACAACAACAGAAAAGAAAAATAAAGAAAAGAAAAGAAACAAAACTACTTGTCGTAGACTGTTTGAGTGGCAACTAAACACCATAAATGCCACCATTTCCTGGTGCCTTCTCACTGTGTCCTCATATGATGAAAGGGACAAGGCATCTCTCTGGTGCCTCTTTTATAAGGACATGAATCCCATCTATGAGGGTTTTGTCTTCATTCTCTAGTGAAAGAAATTTTTTCTTCTTTCTCTAATGGAAACCTCCCAAAGACCCCTCTCCTAATATCATCACATTGGTGATCAGGTTTCAACAAATGAATTTGGGGGAGATACAAACACTCAGACCATAGCAGTATTTTTCTCGATTTGCCCTTTTTCCTGGGTAGAATTTCCAGGAAGCAATGAAACCCCAGAGGACAAATGCCTGTGGGATGTATCAAGGCAGACAGACTGAGCAGCATCAAATAATTCCCGGTGCCTCAGCAGGAGCTGCAAAATCAATGGGTTTCCCCTGTCCCTGAGTGTAGCATGAAATGGGAAAGGACATCAGATAATGTCACAGAGGGTCCTGAAGTCCAGTGTAGGGCAAGGGAGTAGTAGAATGATCTCAAACTGTCAAGAAGTTCCAGGCTGGGCATGGTGGCTCACGCCTGTAATCCCAGTACTTTGGGAGGCCGAGGCAGGCAAGATCACGAGGTTAGGAGATCGAGACCATCCTGGCTAACAGGGTGAAACCCTGTCTCTACTAAAAATACAAAAACTTAGCCAGGCGTGGTGGCGGGTGCCTGTAGTCCCAGCTATTCGGGAGGCTGAGGCAAGAGAATGGGGTGAACCCGTGGGGCGGAGCTTGCAGTGAGCCGAGGTAGCGCCACTATACTCCAGCCTGGGTGACAGAGCAAGACTCCGTCTCAAAAAAAAAAAAAAAAAATAAGTCCAGAAACACCTTACAGATAGAAAAGCAAAAGAACACAGTAGTAATCTTAACAGACCAAAATTTGTAATCAGTTCATAATTCAAAGGACAGGTGATGACAGAGGACAGGAAATGCCATCTGCACCCCTTGTCTGACCTCAACACTCATCCTTGACAATCACCAACCTATAGTTTTATTTCACAAGAATTTTCACAATGATTTCACAATCTTTCCTTTCCTTTTTTTTTTTTTTAATAAGAGTAGACCTATGGGTAAAGAATGGGCTCTCTCTTCTCTCATTCATTCTCCGATGTAAAGGAACAACATCAGATCCAACTGATCTCATTCATAACAAATGTTATAAGCTTTCATGCAAATAACTACCATCCTGTCCTTTATTTATCAACTTTTTCCTGAACTGCAGGTACTGGACAGTTACTCAAAAAGGGCAAAATATAAGAAAAAGTAGAGTTAAGACTGGGCAATGCTTTTTAGGCATGCTTTACCTCCATAACAAAGATTATAACAAAAGTGAAGAATGAGCACATAGATTTTGTTTTGAAAATTTTCAATAGTTTATGCAAATTTCCAAAGGAAAAAAAATTTAATGTAACCATCTTAGGAAAGGTCATTCTGCCTAATAGGGGAAAAAAATGTATATGTGACTTGAGCTGTCTGTTAAACAGAAACATAAAGTTGTCTGTTAAACATAAACAGGGAGGAAACGTATGTTACTGTTAAACATAATTTTTTGTTTATTTGTGATAGAAGTAATAATAATTTACTAAGCATTATTAAAATTTAAGAAGAAATGAGTTTGTTCTGGGTTATGAAAAACAGAACTCAGAAAGATTCTACATGTCACACCGGCAGGCAACACAGCATTAACAAATGCAACTGTCCAACAACTCACAAGCTCTACTTCCTTTATTTTTTTTCTGTTTTCCAGGTGCCCCCTTCATAGAATTTCTCATTCATTGATGTGGTCCAATACCATATCATCAATCCCTGTGTCCCTGAAGCAAATTCATCAAGTAATCCATTATGCTCAAAGTGGGCGTAAAATATTTTTATTTATCCACAGAAAGTCTGGATCATTCTACAGATTTCTTTGTTTACTTCCTCAGACACCCCACTCCTACCCATTTTTGGAAAAGTGTATATAACATGCAATCGATTTTCACATTCTATCCTTTCTTCTAGGTAATGACAGGGCCAGTTTACAAAAAAGTGTGTTCATTTCCTCCTTTCAGAGTCTCCACATTGAGCCCAGGTGCAGAACATGTGCCCTCATCATGCCAATATCCTTCTGCTGTAAGGTATGGAGTGGAGCGAAGTCATGTGCTAAGATCAGCCCAGGGTGGGTGTTCATTCTCTCAGGCTCCCTTTGTCCACTGCTCTCTCAAACTCTCTTTAAAGCATGGCAAGTAAAAATGGTGAATGTTCCTTTCTGACCAATTTTTTTAAAAAAATCTTGAATACTTTTTATTTACTCAATTGAAGTTTTAAATACCTAAATTTAGAAACTTCTATATTATTTCTAAATTAGTGTTCTATTTTTTAATATGGTAGCAGGAATTAACAGGATACATGGTAGGTCTTAAAGATGAGAGATTTTCTATCTTAAATGTAGGAATAAATAAACATTTATTGTATAACATAGATTTTCAATGAATATTTTGATAAAGTAGAATCAGAAATATAAATTCAGTTGCCCTAGAACCATCTGGGTAGCTGAAGATGGACTCTAAAGAGCAACAAATAATAATAATTAACATTTATTAAGCATTCTTCCTAAAGGTAAAAATGTATTACCTCATTTAATCTTCATAATAAACCTATAGTTAGGCACTGTTATTTCCTCATTTTGCTGATAAGGAGACTGAGAAACAAAGAAGTTAGGTAAACTTTTCTTACAGTTAGGAAGAGAGAGAGCCTGGATTCAAATCCTTACCATCTTGTTCCACAGACTATATTTAACTAGAGTGCCTCTAATATAGAACAAGTCAAGGCCTTCAACTGATGCATCAATAAGAACAATAAGATAAAGAGGCAGAAAATGGACATACAGGTGATTGGTAGATAGCTAGCTAGCTAGCTAGATACAAACATACATATATAGATGATAGATAGATAGATAGATAGATAGATAGATAGATAGATAGATAGATGGATAGATAATAGATAGATACTTAGAGAATGGACGGATGGAGAGAGAAAATGATGATGATGATGATGATGAGAAACTGATGTGGATGGATGGACAGATGGGTGGACAAACAAATGAACAGAGAGATGGATGAAAAATAAAAGATAAAAGATTGATCACATCCCTGTTTCCAAGGCTGTAATTCAAGCTGGTCCACAGTTCAAGTTTCACATCACTCTTGGAATTTGTATTTTTTCCATTCAAAACTATCTTCAATTTATTGTGCTAGGAGCCACAGATACAGAGATGTCCAAGAGGCTGATTCTGTCCTTAAGAGTTCACAGTCAACAAGCGGGGACAGAGAAGAAAATAAATTGCTATAAACTGCACAGCAAACATAACAGAAGTAAGCCAACGCCAAAAAGGGAAAAGTAGGGGCAGAAAAGAGGGGAAAAAAATCAAGCGTCTATATGTTGCTCTTACAAAATATCATTCAGAACTGCACTCAAATCTGTATATGTGAAATGTCTAGGCTGATTGAATAGGGAGTTTCCATTTTCAGTCTTTTGGTCAGGCTGGGAACAGTAGACCTGGGGTTGTAAGGTGTACAAAGAGTACAGGAGCCTGGGAAGCCAGTTTCTGTGCAGCGCATTGCTCAGAAGCAAGGATTTGGGCCAGACTAATCTAATTTAACTCTTAATTAACTGTCATCTGGCACTTAAGAAATCTGTGGGCTACGTAAAATTAATGATAGTTCAGTAAATATATACTGATGCTGACCTAAATCTTATTCCTAACCTGAATCATGTTCAGCTCCTTTTAAAAACTGAACATCATTTTCCATCAAACGTCTATTGAATTTTAATTATAACTCATATTCATGAGTGTTTTCTACGTGTCATGCATTATTTTAGGTACTTCACAAGCATTTTCTCACTTAAAACTCACAAAACCTCTTGAATTTCTACTACTCCCTAGAGGAAATTGAGCCACTGAAAGGTAAAGTAGAATGCCCAAGATCCCAGAGCTAATAGATGGTGAAGTTTAAATTCAACCCCAGATGGTCAGATTGAAGAGTCTATACTTGAAACCATCTTACTATAGTGCCCTAGCACCAACAGCATCTTTGTTAATGCATGTTACTCTATTTTAGATCAAATATTTACCCCAGAAGTTACATTGAAAGCATGGGCCACTTCTAAGCTTGGCTAGTTGTAAATAAATACTTTTCAAAGGAAATGATCTAAGATTGTTCCTATTCATATCACTGAGCCAATTCTGGCTTAAGGGATAGCTCAGCATATACAAGTTCAATGAGTAGTAAGAAAAAAATCCCTATGCAAAAGTTGCTGTCTGATTTAATAGAATTTTTTAATTTCTGTGTATCTCTGTTTAATCTTACTTGGCTTTTAATAGTCCATCAGGAGGAATGATATTCAAATGCTTTCAAATAAATTTTTGTAATATGCACATGTAGATAAGAAGAATATTTCACTAATATCTAATTTCCTTATTTGTTACTATCGCTCACTATTTTCTTTCAAAAAAACAAAGTTTTCTATGTCAAAGAAGGTGTTTTATTTTTACCATGCTAAGGGTATTAGCACAATTGCATCTGTTTTAGATAGATATTGTCATATATGATCAGTATTTGTACTAATAATGTAGTCAAAATTATAATATTATTTTATGTTAAAACAGTTTATCACAATAATTGTTAATATTTTCCTTTGAATTGTACTTTCTGCTTGTTTGGAGGCTTTGTGCTACACTCTTTATGTGCATAACAAGAGAATAAATACATTGTTATATTCATATAACAGAATACCACTCAATGATAAAAAAAGAAATGAATTATTAATTGACACAAGGACATAGATATATTTCAGAAACACTTCATGAAACACCTTCAAAAGGCATTTGCTGGAAGAAAACATACACACACACACACACACACACATACACATTCATACTGCATGATTGCATTCATATGACCTACAAGAATAATCAATTTATGATAATGGAAGTCAGAAAAATAGTACTTCCGTGGATAGAGAAAATTGACTCGAAGAGCACATAAGAGATTTTGTGATAAAAATATGTTTATTGGAGTGGCGGTTATGTGGATGTATATAATTGTCGAAGGTAATCCAATTGAACCTTTAAGATTCACGCTTTTGTATTTTTTGTGCTTTTTTCCTCAATAAAAATAAATAAATAAAAGGCATCTCTGCAAGAACATGTACTCGGTTCTCTGAATACTTTCATGCATATTGATAATACAGGTATACCTGTCTGTTTATATCAGTGTTTCTTAACCTTGGCACTACTGGAGTTTTGGACCCGATGTTTTTCTCTCAGAGTGGGTGGAGAGGGCTGTCCTTTGCATCGCAACATATTTAGCAGTATCCCTGGTCGCTACCCACTAGATGCCAGTAACATCCCCAGGTTATGACAACCAAATTTTCTTCAGACATTGCCAAATATTTCCTGGGATGGGGCTGGGGGGAATTGACCTAGCTAAGAACCACTGATCTACCTGTATATGTACACAACAAATCCTACCTAATGGAATCTTTACCAGAATGTGCGTAGTGATTACCTTTGGGCAATGGGAATATAGACTACTTACTTACATTCTTTCTGTAAACATGTGTTCATGTGTATGTGTTTATACACACATACATACAACATATATCATTTTATCCAAATATAGCATATATAATTTTAAAATCTAAATATCTTAAAAATTAGCAGAAACTTGTGAAAGGAAATCAAATCTTGGGACCCAAACTCATGAAACCAAAGGAAAAATTTAAGCTGGTAACTGAGTCACACAAACCTACCTCCCTCTTTGGGTTCCTAAATAAGATGGGTACAAGATGAAAAGGTACAGGCCTACCCCATATTTTGCTCACAAGGAAATTCCTAGTTAGCTCCAAGATCTTTACCCTAAGGTGTTTCTGTTAAGATTTCACCATGGCAATGTGAATTGATAGCTTAGTTTTACAGGTGCAGTCACCATCCTGCCCACCAGACACAACTGCACATCTGGTTATTTCCCTGCCCTATTTTGTCATGTTATCTTATATAAAAATGCAGATTCTCTGCATTTTTCCTATGCCCCATTTGTCTATCTCATCTTAAGTAAAAATGCAGATTCACGAGCCAGACAAACGCATGAATGACCATTTTTTGCTACTCCCCCTTTCATGAAAAGTGTGTACTTCTCAATATTCTCCCCTTTCTCCTTTAAATTTGGAGCCTTAAAATTATCTTTAGAGAAAGGCATAGACCTGCCTCCCAGTCAGGCTCACATCCTTAACTTTGGCAAAGAAACTTCCTAAAATGATTGATACTTGTCATTTTTCTCGATTGACAATCTCTTATAGGAAAATTCAAACACAGTCCATTTCTCCATGTTGCTCATTTGCCACTTTTTTTTTCTCAAGACGGAGTTTCGGTTGCCCATGCTGGAGTGCAGTGGTGCAATCTCGGCTCACTGCAACCTCCACCTCTCAGGTTCAAGGGATTCTCTTGCTTCAGCCTCCCAAGTAGCTGGGAATACAGGTGCATGTGACCACGCCCAGCTAATTTTGCATCTTTAGTAGAGACAGGGTTTCACCACATTGGCCAGGCTGGTCTCGAACTCCTGACCTCAGGTGATCCGTCCACCTCTGCCTCCCAAAGTGCTGGGATTACAGGTGTGAGCCACCGTGCCTGGCCACTTATTTGCCACTCTTGTGTCTCCACCTGACTTCTGCCCATATCTCCATGGACATGGAAGATCATGAGTGGCAGGATGGCTGGAGATGAGATTCTGTAAGGCTCACAGCAGCTGGAGGTGGCAAAAACCACAGAATAAAAGCAAGGACAGAGCAGTTCTGATGCACCTCTGGAGCCAGGCTCTGGTATTCCCCAAAGTAACGAGGCTCAGAAATGGTTTATAAAGTTGGAATTTGGAGTCATGGCCTGAAAAATGTGAGCAAGTAAAGAACAAATGGGGCAGAAAGAGGATAGATGATGGTGAATCTTCAAAGGTTAGCCTTTGAAGTTTGCTATCTTAAGAGGCAGCTGACGACTTAGAAAATGAGTTATTTCTACTCAATAGAAAAGAAATATTGTGGAAAAAGTATGCATCTGAAATGAGCATGAGGCCTTCTACATTCATTCAGCACAATTTTGGACCTTTGATTTTGCTCAGGGCTCTCTGTAATACCAATCTGTCTCAGTGCCTGGCGAGTTTCAGATCCTTTTCTGTTTATCTCATGTATCTTGTTCTGAGCTCATCCCTAAGACATCACAAGAGATATTGATTTCTTGACTTCCGGACACATAGTGTTCCTTACAACATGCCTGTCCTCATCCTCTGAAATTTTCTCCTCTGGTCCTTTTGAGCAACCATCCACTGACCCAATTGAATCCCCCATGACCCTCCTATATCAAACTGCATAAGGGTGTAGAACAGGACGGTCACAATGTACCATGGAGATTTTAAATCCTTTGTAAAATATAGAAAACAGTAACCAAATAAACCCCAAATAAAGCAGATCAACAGTTTTTTAGGTAAAGCAACCTAAAAACTAACCTGTCTACAAAAGGACAAGAGTAAAGTTATCAGAGGCATTTGAACCAAAGTGACTCCATTTTGAGTGAGGGCTAGGAAAATGAGGCCGAGACCTGCTGGGCTGTATTCCCAGAAAATTAGGCATTCCTAGCCTCTAGATGTTTACTGTTAAAGGAAAAACTAGTAATATTTATTAAACAGACCCATCTTGGGAGTGTCCAGATATCTCAATATCTAGAGAACAAAGGCATTCCTAATTTTGCTTTAAAGATAATAATATCAATTCCTTAAAAATACAGTATTTAAGAAAATTAATCCTTTATCACAAACCCTTATAGCAAAATACACCTCCCCATATATACAAGCATTGCTATGTACAGTGAATGCATTCCTCCTCTTACTTTTAGGCACGCCCTACTCTGTCTATGGAGTAGCTGTCTTTTCATCACTTTACTTTCTTAATAAACGTGCTTTTGCTTTGTACTGCATACTTGCCCTGAATTCTTTCTTGTGTGAAATCCAAGAACCCTCTCTTGGGGCCTGGATCCAGACCCCATTCATTTAACAAAGTGATATGGTTTGGCTCTGTGTCCCCATCCAAATCTCATCTTGTAGCTCCCATAGTTCCCACATATTGTGGTAGGGACCCAGTGGGAGATGACTGAATTATGAGGGCGGGTCTTTCCCATGCTGTTCTCATGGTAGTAAATGGATCTTATGAGATCTGATGGTTTTAAGAAACAGGAGTTGCCCTACACAAGCTCTCTCTTTTTGCCTGCTGCCATCCACGTAAGATGTGACTTGCCCCTCTTTGCCTTCTGCCATGATTGTGAGGCCTCCCCAGCCATGTGGAACTGTAAGTACAATTAAACCTCTTTCTTTTGTAAATTGCCCAGGCTCTGGTATGTCTTCATCGGCAGCATGAAAACAAACTAATACATAAAGATTGTTGATTTTAGGCAACTTGCTTTTGCTTAGTACAAGTTACTAGATAGTGAGCAGTAAGTTGGAATAACATAAATTCTGATGACGGTACCCTGTCATCTTCATCTTGGGACCTCATAATAGTTACTGCTATCATTTGAAGTAATACAAACACAATAAAGAATTATTTATTTTAATTATCTATAAGGCAGATTTACATAAATGGTACTGGAAATTTAACCTTTCATTTCTTATCTTAACCTATCTAAATAATGAGATCACAAAATGAATCTCTAATTCTCCCTTCAATTCTATTGATCAGTATCAATAATTTTTAATTAGGCAATTTCTCATTTGCAGATCTTGCAAGTATTTATTTAATCAAGTCAGATGGTTTTATCTAGCTGATCTAATTTATAAAAGCATCATTTTTAACAATAAGTAGGATTTTGATAATAGTTTATTGTAGTGATCTACATATTATCTGAAAAAGCTAATCCAAAGACAAAAAAACTAACATTACTCTCTTATATTTTCTGTTTTTGATAAACACAAACTCTTAAAAACTAATGTTACTGTATTATCTTTTCTGTTTTCAATAAACACTAACTCTTAAGAACTGATTCAACAATAATGTGGCTAAATTTTTTAAATAATTGTATTCATTAGGGCATTCATAAACTCTTACTCTAATTTTAAAAATCATCATTTTGATTTTCTCTACCACCAAAATGAAAATGTATCGAATGCTTTATCATCAAAATTACATGTAAAAAGATATCAAGGGTTTAGGGTAATGTTAGAATATATTTCTACACTAAGGTATTATTTAGGATTTTTTAAAAAATAGGTATTTTACAACTCAGAAGAAACTTAGAATTGGAAATATGTATGGAAATCTTTTTTCCTCAAAAATGAGAAATGGGTTATAAAGAAAATGAATATAAATGCTAATTCAAATATGAAACTTTTGCTTTTGAAAATCTCCTTGAATGTTCTGTATTTAGGAAAGATGATTTAATATTTCTTGAAATATGTCCTTTAAATAAACTAGTTTATAATGTTCTCACTCTTTATCATATCAAAGCAAAGTAAATCTCGATGCCCTCTAAGGTAATTATTTGCTTGATTAAATCCCAACTATGTGGAATAATTTCAATTTGGACAACATACATTGTCTTTCTATGATAACATATAATAGTCTAAAACACAAAGGCCATAGTTTATCCTGGCCAAACATTTAACTCCAAAGCTTTATGCATTTCTGAATTCTAAAATCTCCTTATATAACTAATATTACATTCATTTTATTGAATTCCAAAAAAAAATCTAGTTATTGCCAAAATAGTGATTTCCAAATATAATTTATAACCAAGAAAATATGATCATGGAAAACTGAAAAGGATCAAATCATTTGATCTTCTAAACAGCTATGAGCTTTTAAGAAAAAACAAATGTATTATATCTAAAAACAAAAAGATAATCACATTTGAATTGGTTTCTGTATATTTCTGATACAATTTAATATTTATAGCTTTTAAACTATAACAGCTCAGATATATTTATATAACACCATATTATGTGAAAGTAAATATTTCATAATAAAGTCTTTAAATTGTCACCAGGAAATCATTTTAAAAAATGATATGCTGATTTCTAAACCAGTATTTTATCTGTAAATTGTTTTCAAAGTTGTTTATTATATTCTGGTTTTTAAAAATAGTTCACAGTATACTTAATAATGCTATTGTCAAACAACATATTACTTATCTTTAAAACATAAGCATAGCTTTTAAATTGTATTCCCATTTAATGAAATAAAGTGAACACCAGGTAGCCCTTATATCTGTAAAAATTACAATATCATATTTTTTTAGGTTTACAAAAAAAAAAAAAAAAACACCTGATCCTTTCAGGATATCTGAGATTCACTGCAAAATAATCCAGTGGGGGAGGGGAATAATAGATGAAATAAGAGTGGCCATGAATGGATCATTAATGTCAGGTGTTGAATACATGGTCGGGGGGAGGGGGAAAGAGAAACAGGACTATACTATATTTAGTACCGTTTTGTATATGGTTGGCAGAAAAAGTTTTAAAACTGCATATAACTTATACGCAATCTATGTTCATAAAACAATAACACAATAAAAATAAGGTATTCAGGCAATAAATAGCATGATGAATAGAATAGTATGTCACATCTCAATACTAACATTGAATGTAAATGGCCTAAATGCTCCAATTAGAAGATATAGAATAACAGAATGGATAAGAACTCACCAACCAAGTATTTGCTGTCTTCAAGAGTCTAAATTGACACACAAGGACTCACATAAACTTAAGGTAAAGGTGGGGAAAAAGATATTACATGTGAATGGACACCAAAATCAAGCAGGAGTAGCTATCCTTATATCAGACAAAACAAACATTAAAGTAACAGCAGTTAAAAATGACAAAGAGGGACATTATATAATGACAAAAGGTCTTGTCCAACAGGAAAACATCACAATTGTAAATATTTATGCACCTAACACTGGAGCTCCCAAATTTTAAAACAATTACAAATAGACCTAAGAAATGATATAGGTAGCAATGCAATAATAGTGGGGGACTGCAAACTTCACTGACAGCACTAGATGGGCCATCAAGACAGAAAGTCAACAACAACAAAAAAAATGGACTTAAACTATAGCCTAGAACAAATGTACTTAACAGATATTTATAGAACATTCTACCAAACAACTGCAGAATATACATTCTATTCATCAGCACATGGAACATTCTCCAAGATAGAACATATGCTAGGCCACAAAACAAGTCTCAACAAATTTAAGAAAATCGAAATTACAGCAAGTTCTCTCTCAGACCTCAGTGGAGTAAAATTGGAAATGAACTCCATAAGAAACCCTCGAAACCATGCAAATATATGGAAATTAAACAACCTGCTCCTGAACAATCGTTGGGTCAACAATGAAATCAAGTTGGAAATTTTAAAATTCTTTGAACTGAATAATAAATAATAGTGACACAACTTATCAAAACCTTTGGGATACAGCAAACCAATGCTAAGAGGAAAGTTCATAGCATTAAATGCCTACATCAAAAAGTCTGAAAGAGCACAAATAGCCAATCTAAAGTCATGCCTCAAGGAACTAGAGAAACAGAAACAAACCAAACCCAAACTCAGCAGAAGAAAATAAATATCAAAATCAGAGCAGAACTAAATGAAATTGAAACAAAAAAACACAAAAGATAAATGGAACATAAAAATGTTTCTTTGAAAAGATAAACAAAATTGATAGATCATTAGTGAGATTAACCAAGAAAAGAAGAGAGAAGATCCAAACAAGCTCACTTAGAAATGAAACTGGAGATATAACAACCAATAACACAGAGATACAAAAGATCATTCAAGGCTACTGTGAACATCTTTACATGCGTAAACTAGAAAACCTAGAGGAGATGGAAAAATTCCTGGAAATATACAACCTTCCTAGGTTAAACCAGGAAGAAATAGAAACTTTGAACAGACCAATAACAAGCAGTGTGATTAAAATGACAATTAAAAAGATACCAACAACAAAAAAAAATTCAGCACCAGTGGGATTCACAGCTGAATTCTACCAGACATTCAAAGAATAATTGGTACCAATCCTAGTGACACTATTCCACAAGATAAAGAGGGAATCCTCCCTAAATTATTTTATGAAGCCAGTATCATCCTAATACCAAAACCAGGGAAGGACATAACAAAAAAAGAAAACTACAGACTTATATCCTTGATGAACATAGATGGCCAAAATCCTCAACAGAATACTAGCTAACAGAATCCAACAGCATATCAAAAAAGATAATCCACCATGATGAAGTGGGTTTCATACCAGGGATGCAGGGATGGTTTTAAATATGCAAGTCAATAAATGTGATACACCACATAAATAGAACCAAAAACAAAAATCACATGATTATCTCAATAGACACAGAAAAAGCATTTGACAAAACCCAGCATCCCTTTATGATTAAAACCCTCAGCAAAACTGGCACAGAGGGGACATACTTCAAGGTAATAAAAGCCATCTTTGACAAATCAACAGCCAACATTATACTGAACTGGGAAAAGTTGAAAGCATTGCTCCTGAGAACTGGAACAAGACAAGGATGCCCACTTTCATCGTTTCTATTCGATATAGTACTGGAAGTCCTAGCCAAAGCAATCAGACAAGAGAAAGAAACCATGGGCATTCAAATTGGTAATGAGGAAGTCATACTGTTGCTGTTTGCTGATGATATGATTGTATATGTAGAAAACCCTAGACTCCTTCAAAAAAAACCCCTAGAACTGGTAAATTGAATTCAGCAAAATTTCAGGATACAAAATTAATGTACACAAATAAGTAGCTCTGCTATACACAAACAGCAACCAAGCTGAGAATCAAATCAAGAACTCAACCCCTTTTACAGTAGCTGCATAAAAAGAAAAAAAAAACCTTAGGAAAACTACAAAACACTGCTGAAAGAAATCATGATAACACAAATTAATGCAAATACATCCCATGCTCATGAATGGGTAGAATCAATATTGTGAAAATAACCATACTGCCAAAAGCAATCTACAAATTAAATGCAATTCCCATCAATATATCATCATCATTCTTCACAGAACAAGAAAAAAAGAATCTTAAAATTCATATGCAACCAAAAAAAACCCACATAGCCAAACCAAGACTAAGCAAAAGAACAAATCTGGAGGCAATACATTACCCCACTTCAAACTATACTGTAAGGCCATAGTCACCAAAACAGCATGATTCTGGTATAAAAATAGGTATATAGACCAATGGAACAGAATAGAGAAGCCAGAAAGAAAGCCAATTACTTATAGTCAACTGATCATTGAAAAAGAAAAAAAAAAAAAAAACATGAAGTGGAGAAAGGACACCCAGTTCAACAAATGGTGCTGGGATAATTGACAAGCCACAAGTAGAAGTATGAAACTGGATCCTCATCTCTCACCCTGTACAAAAATGAACTCAAGATGGATCAAGGCCTTAAATCTAAGACCCAAAAACATAAAAATTCTAGACAATAACATTAGAAAAACCCTTCTAGACATTGGCTTAGGCAAAAACTTCATGACCAAGAACCCAAAAGCAAATGCAACAAAAACAAAGATAAATAGATGGGATTTAATTAAACTGAAATGTTTCTGCACAGCAAAAGAAATAATCAGCAGGGTAAACAGACAACTCACTGAGCAGGAGAAAATCTTCACAATCTATATGTCTGACAAAAGACTAATATCCAGAATCTACAAGGAACTCAAACAAATCAGCAAGAAAAAACAAACAATCCCATCGAAAAGTGGGCTAAGGACATGAATTGACAATTCTTAAAAGAAGATACACAAATGGACAACAAACATATGAAAAAAATGCTCAACATCACTAATTATCAGGAAAATGCAAATCAAAACCACAATGCCATACCACCTCATTCCAGCAATAATGGCCATAATCAATAAATCAAAAAATAATAGATGTTGGCATGGATGTGGTGAAAAGGAAACACTTCTACACTGTTGGCGGGAATGTAAACTAGTAAAACCACCATGAAAAACAATTTGCAGATTCCTTAAAGAACTAAAATTGGATCTACCATTTGATCCAACAGTCCCATTTCTGAGTATCTACCCAGAGAAAAAGAAGTCATTATACGAAAAAGATACTTGCACACACGTTTATAGCAGCATAATTTGTAATTGCAAAAATATGGAACCAGCCCAAATGCTCATCAATCAATGAGTGGATAAAGAAAATGTGGTATACATACATACCATGGAATTCTACTCAGCCATAAAAAGGAATTTTAAAAAATGGCATTTGCAGCAACCTGGTTGGAATTGGAGACCATTATTCTAAGTGAAGGAACTCAGGAGTGGAAAACCAAACATCGTATGTTGTTACTCGTAAGTGGGAGATAAGCTATGAGGATGCAACAGGATTAGAATGATATGATGGACTCTGGGGACTTGGGGGAATGGGTGGAATGAGGGTGAGGGATAAAAGACTACACACTGGGTATAGTGTACACTGCTTGAGTGATGGGTGCGCCAAAATCTCAGAAACCACCACTATAGGAATTATTCATGTAACCTAACACTACCTGTTCCTCAAAAACCTATTGGCATAAAAATCAAATTAAAAAGAAACTTTAAAAAGTTTTATTGAGGCATAATTGACAACAAACTATAGATACTTAAAATGTAAAATTTGAGAAGACTGGGCATATGCAAACACCCATGAAACCATCAACACAAACTTGAGTATATCCTTTATCCCCTCAAATTTTCTCTTGCTTCTCTATAATCGTTTCCTCTTCCCATTACTTGCTCCCTTCCTTGAGCAAACACTGATCCCTACATGGTGTAATATTTTGACCCATGATACCAATATCATGTATTTAGACCCGAAACATGGAAGTATCACAAAAATGTGATTTTTTTCTTTAAACAAAATGTACAGTTGTTTCACTGAATGTAAATTCCCTCTTCTAATTTTTTAACATAAAAGTGAACCCACGTCTACATTATGAAGTGAGGTGTGTGTGTGTGTGTGCAAGATTACTCACATTATAACAAATTGTAAGGGTTCCCTTTTCTAATACATAACAATTCATAATTACTGTGTGGTTTTAGGGCTTAAGTAACATGTTCGCAGTCCAGGCAGTAATTCAGTTTGTTAGCCTGGCAATTTGAGATAACTTCACCTGCCAACAGAACCCTAGATGTCATTCATTCTGTCACTACATTAGTATTGTCAGTACCATGACATCATGGCATTGCTTTTTCCAATCTACTTTCCAAAAGTAGAAAGTGATTCTTTCTACTTTTTCTTATTTCTTGCAAGAAACTGCAATAGTTTTACCTGCTTGTGAAAAAAATATATTCTTTAGTTTTTGATGCAATCATGATGAAAAAAAGATAATGTATACATTTTAGGTTGAAATTGTGCTTCTAAATTCCTACAGAAAAATTAGATAAGCCTAGCAATAATTTTAACAAGGATTATATACAAAACATAGGACATTTACAGTGTTTTTCATCTATTTAAACAAACTCTTTGACCAAAAATACTGTAATTTCATATTCCTATTTTGTTTTACATTATGCTTTTACATCTGTATTTTTGCTAAATATAATCAAATATTGTTCTCCAATAACTCTATATGTTATGTTATTTCAATATGGAAAGTACTGAATCAGTACCTCCAGAACTGAAGCTCCTTCACCAATACATCAAAAGGTGTCAATAAGTGTTTGCTTTCTTTCTTCCTATTATCAATCAATATTCCTTTTACCAATGTGCCTGAAGTCACACTTGTAAATAAATGTTCTCTCATTCTTTCCTACTTTCACCTTCTAGGTTTTTTATTAATATAATTTTAACTAAGGATCTCTTAATAAATAAATAAAAGAGAGTTTAAAAGCATGAGCTTTGACATAAACTTGGTAGAAAATATTTGTAAGCCACGTATCTGACAAGGGCTTAAAATTCAATATATGAGAAACTGACATGACTCAATAACAAAAGGGTAAATAACCCTATTAAAAAACAGGTAAAGGACCTAAAAAGACATTTTTACAAAGAAGACATTTAAAATATGGCCCACAAGTGTATGAAAAGGTGATCGACATCACTAATCATCAGAGAAATACAAATCAAAATCACAATAAGGTGTCACTTCACACTGTCAGGGAGGCTACTGTCAAAAAGCCAAAAGATAACAAGTATTGGCAATGGCATGGAGAAAAGGTACACCTTGTACACTGTTGTTGGGGATTTAAGTTACTATAACCATTTTTTTTAAGTATGAACATTCATCCAAAATTTAAAAATAGAAATACCACATGATTGAGCAGTCTCACTTCTGGGTTGACTGCCAAAGAAAATAAAATCATTATCTCAAAGAAATGTATGAACTCCAATGTTCTTTTGCAGTATTATTTATAATAGCCAAGATATGGAAACTACATAAAAATTTGTCAACATATAAATGAATAATGAAATGTTGCACATATACATGTCTTACATATAATGAAATATTATTAAGTCTTTAGAAAAAAGTAAATCCTACCATTTGCAATAATTTGCAAGTCAAATTTATAGTAATAGAGAGTAGGAAGGAGGTTACAGGACAGAAGAAAGAAAAGGGTAGATATTGATCAAAGTGCATGAAGATAGATAAGATAGATAAGTACTACAGACCTAATGTAAAGCATGGTGTCTATAGTTAGTAATAATGTATTACATACTTGAAATTTACCAAGGGAATAGATCTCAAGTGATCTCACCACAAAAAATAAAATGGTAACTGTGAGATGATGAATGTATTAATTAGCTTGATTGTGGTAATCATTTCACAATTAGTATGTATATCAAAACATCACATTTTATACCCTTAAATACATATAATTTTTGTTTGTCAATCATACATCAATAAAGCTGGGAAAAAAACTTGAGTTCAGATTTCAGTTCCACCCCTTACTGGCTTTACAACTTTGGCCAAATGCTTTTTTAATACTGTTTTTAAACTTTCTGCGCCTTAATTTTCTCTTTTGTAAAATATATATCTTTAGGCATAGAGTAGCTATGACATTTAAGTGAGATAATGTATATGAAACTGTAAGCAGTGCCTGCCACATAGAAAATGATCAGTAAATTTCTCTAGTCATGACTACAGGTATAATTACTGGTTATGAATTCGATAAAGACAAGAACAAGATTTATATTCAGATGTGATAATGCTCTTATCCAAGCTAGAGAAAAAATACAAGCAATATTATATTTTACATTTTCCAATTTGAACATTTAAAATGTTACAGCAAAAGAACTAAAAATAGAAACCTTCACGTGTGAATTTTTTTAAAAAGTTTTAAAGGAGGTCAGCAAGTATTTGACTGAATGGGCTAATACAAGAGACCATATGAATAAATTTTTGAGTCAAGGACCGTGTTTGAGCATGCTCCTGAAAAAAAAATGCAGGTGCAATACAGTCTGCTATGCTGTCTCTCACCTGCTGTGAATGGATCATAATGAGTGGGCACATAAAGGTATCAGATAATTATAAGTCTTCAGGATCTAACTTCTTATTCATCTCTGGCAGATGTGTTATCTGAAAGTATAATTTTTATGCCACCTGCAGTGCAGCAGCTGAATATTTCTGGCTTTAGAAGTAGGAAGCTTACAATTCACACTGTACTGTGCCTGCCCCCCTGGGGTTATAGTGAATTGAACTATAACAGTCCCATGTCAAGAATAAAATATTGTGCAGTGAATTCTTTAGTTTTCTACTTTAAGTTAGGTGGCTGCACTAACTTTAAACATGTTGCCTCATATTCAAAGGAGGATATTTTGTAGAAGAAGGACACTTTAGTTCATACCGAATAAGTATATAAATATTATGGAAATATGAACACTATATTTGCTTTTCATTATTTTTGCTAATACAAAATTATTTGAATTCCAGTTCTCAAAAGGCTTTTCAATTAATGTATCTAAGATTAAAAATCGAATCTAGTTGAGAGCCAGTAAAACAAGTCATCAAAATGTACATTCTAGTTATCCAGATATCTGAGTTCTTAAAGACTCTGAAGGTTCTTAAAAAACTAAACTTCAAAATTTCAAGAAAAACCTTTAAAATGTTTTCCTTAAACAAATGTTTTTTAAAAAAAATCCCTACAGCAATGATGTATTCACATATAAATGCTAGTCTATATGAAAGTCTCTTATTTTATAAAACCAGCATAGAAAATGATTTTGTAAATGTGCTTTGAAATCTCAACTTTTTATTTTTCCCAATAATCTTATAAAAACATAACAAAGTACCTATAAATCAATGGGGAAACTGCATGTTAATTTAATAAGTAAGATAAATATTGAATCCTTTGTTGTCTTATTTTATCAGATATTTTTTACTTCAAAGGTCAGCAATTCAACATTTATTCCAGCAGATGCGATCAGTAATGTAAGCCTTCAAAAGAGAAAACAATCAAAAAAGGTATTTTCATTATATTCCCGCATTTATATTTGAAGAGGAGTGTGTATTTACAATGCTGTAAAACTGGTGATATTCCTCAACGTTTCTCTGTATGTGAATACATCAAAAAAGAACCTAGAATTACCAGTCTCCCTCATTTTCAGAGCTATTTTCAGTTTTATTTCTATTTAAAAGACTTTTGTTGGTGCTGAATCTAATTTTATTAAGAGAACTCAGAATTCCTTACTTTCTAATAAAAGATTACATGCAATATAAAAAGAAACAAAATCATGTAAGATTTTCCCAAATTTTGGAGAACTGAGAAGAGAGAAACTCAGAGTAAAACTACATTATCTATTGTCTAATTATGCTTATGAGAGCTTAAATATTTGCAAAAAGCAAGTTTCTAAACATATCACAGAGTCAAAGAGAGTTAAAAACCATCTTCATTACAAAAATGGCAAAACAGTCAGGCTCATGTAGATGGTTGTTGTACCACGGAACTCTTATTTAATCTGTTTCATGATAGTCAGTTCCCATATGGTTCCTTAAAACTGATCATACTTGCTTATGCTTATTTATCAAAACTCAAAACCTAAATAGATGAAAAATATGCTTATAGGACATTGGTGATGCCCACAAGTTTGAGTTGCCTCCCAACAGTCCAGAAACCTAATTTAGAAACTTCTCATACATAAAACTACCCTTTGGTCAATGTGATTCAAAGATTCAATGTTTTTTACTTCAGTAGCCCACATTTAACAAAAAATTTTAGACACCTTTTTCATAAAAGGTTTATTCTTTGCTACCTAAAAGTTCTTTTAATTGTACTCCTGCATTAAAACAGCATCTCATGTAAGAATAAGACAGCTGACGTTTTTTAAAATTTCACAGCAAATAATCGTATATTCTTTTTCCTTTAGTTTATTAACCATTTTCTATCTGTTATTTCACACTGATTAAAACAGAGCTAAAGATACCAAAAAATTTAATTTAAAAAAAACTGTGTGGATGTGAAAGTAGCAAATGTTTATGCATAGGCTAGAGACAAAGTAGTATGTCTCCTCCCTGCAGTAAAACTCCACTCTCTGAACAATGGGTCTAGAAACTGTGTATTTGTGTACCCACACCTAAGCTACTGTTCAAAAAGGGTCTGTTTTTACTTATGTATGTAGCTAAACTTTCACAGCATTCTGAGCAGAGGGGCAGAGAGAGCCTGGAATTTTATATTACATTTAAGCCTAGAGATAGTAATAACCATTATTAAGTATATTTAATTATTGAACAACGTGAGGGTTAGGAGAATCAACCATCCAACACACTTGAAAATGCATGTAAAACTTTTGACTTCTCAAAAACTTAACTAATAGCCTACTGTTGACTGGAAGGAAGCCTTGCCACCAAATTAACATATGTTTTATATGTAATATATATTATACACTGTATTCTCACAATAAAGTAAGCTAGAGAAAAGAAAATGTTATTAAGAAAATCATAAGAAAGAAAAGATACGTTTACAGTGCCATACTGTGTTTATCAATACCGTAAATTTACACCATCTTTTTGTAAGATCAATCATCTGTCTGAAATAGTAGACAACCACAGCTGCAGACCTCAAACTAAAGTACGTATAAAATAATTCAACTTTTTCTTGTAATGTCATGACTTTTCTCTGTTTGGGGGAGCACTTCTAGCATCACTGGTAGCACTTCATATGAGTCCCATGGCGTTTTTCAGCGTTTATGATATTGCACTAAACACAATGGGAAATACATGAGAGCTTCCAGAAATCCCTTTTTTCTATAATAGGCAATTTACTGGAGAGGCAAACTGCTCACTTGGAGATGATTAGCCTCGCCTTGGATATTTGCAACACTGAGCTCACCACAATAGCAACAAAGGTGGCTATCAAATTATTATACTAGTACAGAATGTACTACAGAAAATTGTATGAAGTTATGATTTAATATGGCATCTTTATATTTATTTACATATTCTCCTTTATGAAAGACAGCATGTATATTCTCTAAGTATTTGTGTGCATACGTTTTGATAAATTTTAACTTTTTATAATAGGTTTGTGTATATCTTATGGTAGTAAGTGATAAAATAGACTAGTACCTACGTCTATTTTATGCATTCATGACATATACTTTTCTTAATTTGGTGATATTTCTATGCTATGCAGTTTGCAAGTTTTTTCAAATCTTTGTTAATCTAAAAAAAAATACAATCTATGTATTTACTGAAAAAAATCTACATATAAGTGGGTCTATGCAGTTCATATTCATGTTGCTCGAGGATCAAGTGTATTTACCACCAAGAACATAAGGGAAGTCATATTCATACCTACCCATGAATACATTAGCTGTGCACAAAGTTAAAAGGAGATGTGCTCCAGTTGTGGGAGTTCACAGAAGTAAGATTCTGGGAAGAGTCCATAAAAAGCACCAAGGTTAATTTTACATGCCAACGGGCCATAAGCTTCCTAGACATCCACTTAAATTCTGTTCTGGGTGTGTCTGTGAAGGTATTTTGGGATGAGATTAGCATACAGCATATGAACGAATCAGGAGACTAAATATTTAAAACACATAGCCCTCCCCACCATGATTGTGCCTCAACCCATCTTTTGAAGACCAAAATAGAACAAAAAGCCAGAGAAGGAGAAAATTTGCTCTATCGACCTGACTGTCTTCAAGCTGGGACATCAGTCTTCTTCTGCTTTCCAACTCAGATGGAAATTTACACCATCAGCTCGACTGGTTCTTAGGACTCAGACTGGAGCTCTACTGTCAGCTCTCCTAGGTAAGGAGACCCAGATCCCTCTCCCGTAACACACCCCACGACATGTGCAGATTTCAACTGCTGCTCATTGTGCTACCCTACGGGAATTGGGGTTCAGGGAGCTGGTGCAATTGCCGATACTCTGGCCATTGCCATTCCTGTGAATGAAGAGTCCCTTGCCTGACCCAGGAGTCTCGTCTCTCATGTCCACATCCATTAAGCCGTAGTTGACTAATTGTTAGCTTGACTGTAAGGTAAAATCTCAGGGCCTTCCCAGTTCTTCACAGGTACTAACTAGTTACTTCTTTCTGTAATTCTCTATTACATTAGTTAGCATGGGCTAGATTAAGCTGTAGTACCAAAGAATATTTTAATGCAGCATCTCATCCAGCCAAATTCTGCAGTGGTTCTAGGTGAATCTCCAGAGCATCTGTCCTCCACATGTAGACTCTGCCTCTGGCTGCTTCATTCTGATGTTTTCTCCTTATAAACTGTTGCTGCCAATTTATGAGAAATAGCTGGCTGGGAAGTTGAGCTTCGAAAACCAAATGCTTTCCCCCATGAGCGTCATATGTCACTCCCTCTCATGGTCATTGGTCAAAGGAAGTTACCCAGGCACACCTAGTATTAAGGAGTATGCGAGTGCCATCTCCCCATGTGCCTGAAGGTAGAGGAATGAGATTAACATATGAATATTTCATATTCAATGGAGAAGAATATTTATAAATAGTAAAAATGGTTACTAGGACTCTTACATTATTTTTTATTTTACAATTTTAAGCTCTTTAAATTTATTTTAATCAATTTTTAGGGTTTCTTGCTTTATTAAGATATGACTGATAAATACAAATTGTATATATTTCACATGTACAATGTGCTGTTTTGATATATATATACATTGTGAAATGATTACCATAATAAAGCTAATTAACGTATCCACCATCACCTCATGTAGTTACAACAGTGTGTGTGATGAGAACACTTAAGATCTATTCTTTTAGTAAATTTCAAGTCTATAATACAGTATTATTAACTGTAGTCATTATGTTATACATTAGATCTCCATAATGTATTTATCCTGCATATCTGAAACTCTGTTCCCTTTGGTCAACATCTCATCATTTCTCCCACCATCACCCACCAAGTTCCTGGCAACCAACATTCTATCCTCTGCTTCTATGAGTTTGACTTTTTTAGATTCTAAATAAAAGCTAGATGGTGCAATATTTGTCTTTTTGTGCCTGCTTTATTTCACTTAGCATGATGTCCTCCAGGTTCAACCATGTTGCCAGAAAATACAGGATTTCTCTCTTTCTTGAGGTGGAACAATATTCTATTGTGTGAATGCATCACATTTTCTTTATTCATTCACTCATCAATGGACACTTAGGTTGTTTCCATGTCTTGGGTATTGTGAATAATGCTGCAGTGAACACAGCAGTGTAGATATCTATCTGAGATACTGATTTCAAAAAGTTAAAAGTAGAACAATTTTTATCATCCAGCAATTTCACTGCTGGGTATATATTCAGTGGAAAATTTTAAGCTTCTTGTGGGCAGAAATGGTCTTACTCTTTTAAATAATTCTCCACAATGCCTTACACAGCATAATCACCTAAGCATTCATTTTACTGATTAATTTTTATTTAATCTAAAAAATTACCATCTTTACTGAGTTATAAGAGGCAGGCAATAACAGCTGAAATCAGAATAATCAGTCCTTTGAATTACAGCCTTGAAGATGAATGTCTAGGCTATGTAAGCAGATTGTTCACAGCAGAGGGTGAGAAACAGAGTAAGTCTCTCCCATATTTTGGTGTGATTGATAATAAGCTGAAATACTAGCAGAACTAGGGCTTGTCTAATGGTAACTCTGCTTTAAACCTAGAATTTCATTTCTCATCTTTAGGTCAATGTTTCCCAAAGTGCTAAGATATGAATAGGTGTTATATGGCAAAGTAAGGGCCTGTGGTCAACTAACTTCAAGAAATTCTGGGATTCACAAAGCTAAAGAGGTCTATTTACTGCAGAGCTTCTCAGAGCCTCCAATATGATTTATTTAAAGCACTTTGTGAATTAATTGAGGAAGATATAGTACTTGCTAAAGTATATATGTGGACATCTTAGCCTATGTCATTCCCAAAAGCAGAGATTGTGTATTTGGGAAACGATCTCAGGGAGCAGGTATGAGGAACCAGAAGAGTAGAAAAAAGAGATAAGCAAAAAAATAATGATAAGATTTGTATTACAAATGTGTTGTTATGAGTAACTAGTGCTAGATTTATCTAGGATCTTCTGAGAAGGCTTAATGGAATGAGACTAAGAAATCTACAACTTGGCAAGCAAGGGGCAAGCACTTATCAATTCCCTCCAGGCCTAGGGTAGCCTCACAGGTATTGTCTTCCCCACATTCCCAGCATTTGTGTATGTGAGCACAGAGTGTGTTGTCTTAGACCTTCCACCCTGCATTATCAAGGGAGCCCAGAGGATACGGTGAGAGACATGTGGACCTGGCTTGAGGAAGGGGTGCTGCCTGGTTACACCTGTCCTCAGCCTTTCAGAGCATGCTCAAAACCAGTTGCTGCAGCAGCTTCTGGGAAAAAAGTTGGGACCAGAATGATTTGCAGTGGTATACAATGGTTTTTAATAAAATGCCAGGCTTCTCTTTTCAGAAAGCATTCTACAAAATTACTTTGGAAAAATCTAATGAAAGTTTCCTCTACTATAAAAGTAGAGGAAAAAAGCTACCATACAAGTTTAAGACATAACGAAGTACAGTATATGGCTAACAAATGTTCTTAAATATAAAAAGATACTTTAAAATTTTGTTAAGAGGATAGATCTTACGTTAAGTGTTCTTAACACCCACATGCACACACACACACACCAAAGGGATACATGGAAATTTGGGGAGGTGTTGAATATGCCAATTTTTTTATTGTCATGAAGGTATCAGGGATATTTGCATATGTCCAAACTCATTGAATAGGACACATTAAATATGTTTATTTATTTGTATTATTTGTAAATATAGAGAGACTGAATTTATATGTGTGTGTGTGTGTGTGTGTGTGTGTGTGTGTGTAGTGTAACCAATACCTGCATTTTTTCAGAATTTTTAAATTTATTTTTCAAGTAATTCTAAGTATGACCTAAAAGGTAAAGGACTCACATTCTGAAGCAAAACAAACCTGGATTAGTAATAATGAGTCTTCCTAGAATTTGAAAGCAAATAAAGTTGTAAAGAAAATTCTGATTTAAATTCTGAGCAACACTGGCTGTAACAAAATGTTTATAGTTATTGTAAAATGCCTGAAAATCTGTTTTTACAAATAATATCTTATTTTCTATAAAAAGCTTTATATCCTCAATTCTTAGGTTTTTATTTTATAAAGGCATTCATGGAATCTAATGAGATTATTATTACTTCCACAAGTGTAACATCTGTAGCTCAATTAAAAGCAAGACTACAGAAGCACCATTCAACAATACAAACATTCTCAAGTTGTGTACACAAGGATAAACATCCATTAAGTAATCAGCTTAAAAGAGAGGTGCTATGAGGCAGAAACAAGAAAATAACAATCAAGAAAAGCAGTTTTAAAATGAGAGGGAATGATAAGCTAGAAAATTGACTTCTAATACAACAGGGTAGGCAATTTTTTTCATACATATATTTGAAGTCCTTACCATTGATTTTTTCTACACCTTTGACCAAAAAATTATTTTCTTAATGTTTCTAATTATTTTCTCCAAAATATTACATTGAACCATAGTTTTCAAAATGAACTTTGTCATTGAGTCAGTTTAGAAATGATGGAAAATGGAATAAGACCACCATTAATTATGTGTTCCTGGATGGTTTAACTGTTCTCTTTCCTCACCTGCCAGATGGCAATAATAATGCTTGCTACCTAAGAGGGCTATGGAATTCCCAAATGAATGGTGTTATGTGAAAGCAATATACAGTTACTATTCTCAAGAAAGCAGGTCAAATACTTTCCTGCAGGTAGTAATGAAGTTGTTTCCTCGTCATTGTGTTTTTATACCCATGAGTTTGAATTGAGAGCTTTTCATTTTTTTCAAGTCTAATATCAAATATACTTCTTACTTTAACCTATGGGCTAATATACCATTTGATCTAAGTCTGTTTTCCATATCCAAATCTATTATTCCACAATATCACTGCCAGTAAACATTCAGACTCTAAAATTCAAGTTTCAGAAATAAATTCAACTAGGTTTATCAAGAAGCAAATTTTCAGTGCTGCAGACTGCATTAGTGTTGTTCATTATAATTACAAAATACTATTGTTAAAGAAAAATTGCACCCATCAAGATGAGCAAACAGAAATTGTTATTCCAACACCATTTCCAGCAACAAGGGAAAGAACACAGACCAACTCCTAATACTCAGCTCTGATAAAACAAAGGGCCAGAAAGGACATGAACAGATGCTTTTCAAAAGAAGACATACATGCTGCCAATAGGCATATGGAAATATGTTCAACATCACTAACCACTAGAGAAATGCAAATCAAAATCACAATGAGATACCATTTCACACTAGTCAGAATGGCTATTATTAAAAAGTCAAGAAACAGATGCTGGTGAGGTTGTGGAGAAACGGGAATACGTTTACACTGTTGGTGGGAGTGTAAATTAGTTTAACCATTGTAGAAAGCAGTGTGGTGATTCCTCAAGAAGTTAAAAACAGAACTACCATTCAACCCAGCAATCTCATTACTAGGTTTGTACCCAAAGAAATATAAACTGTCTTATCATAAAGACAACAGGCACCTGTATGTTTACTATGGCACTATTCACTATAGTAAGGACATGGAGACAACCTAAATGCCCATCAATGGCAGACTGGAAAAGAAACTATGGTAATATTCAGCATGGGATACTATGCAGCCATAAAAAAGAATGAGATCACGTCCTTTGCAGGGACATGGATTGAGCTAGAGGCCATTATCCTAAGAAAACTAACGCAGAAACAGAAAACCAAATACTATGTGTCCTCACTTATAAGGGGGAGCTAAATGATGAGAACACATGGACACAAAAAGAGGAGCAACAGACACTGGGACTTACTTGAGGATGGAGGGTGGAAGGAGGGAAAGGATCAGAAAGAAAAAATAATTATTGGGTACCAGGCTTAGTACCTAGGTGACAGAATAATCTGTACATCAAACCCCCATGACACAAGTTTACATGTATAACAAACTTGCACATGTATCCCTGAACCTAAAATAAAAGTTAAATTTAAAAAAGAGCTGGGGTAGGGGGATGTTAGACTTTCTCTGTTTGCTAATTGGCTTTACCCAATGGAAAAGAAACTTTCTCCTGTCTTTATGACAGGAGGTAATTTTACAACTTGAAATAAGATGCCCATGGAAGTTAAGCTCCTACATTTGCAAAGAGGAGGGGAGATGGGATTCTATCTTCCCTGATGATTACATTTCAAAGGGATGGTTCCCAGGAGCTTTAGAAAGACTGTCCTGGATTGAAAAACTGGCAAGAGGCTTTTTAAAAGATTTACATCTCAAAGGGAAATAGAAAAAAATTTAATTACAAGTTTTCTAAAGTGAATGGTGAGGACTAGAGCTAGGAAGAAACGTGTCTAAGGTTTAGTCAAGCTGCGGGCAGAGCAACGTGAAAGCTGTCTTGGTCACTGTCAATGTGCAAAACTTAAGCCAATTTTATCTCCTGTTCCCCAATAGCTAATAATTTAGATGGAAGACAAGAAAGACAATAATAATGATAAATAAGTTCATTATATTTGTTTAGTTCTGTTCAGCTTACAAAGTACTTGTGGTGGATGGGAACAAGAAGTCCAAAATGAAATCTGAAGGGACAGAAATGATCTGGGGCTCACAGACTCTCAAAACTAGCACCCTACAGTTCCTGCCCAAGACAAAGCTCCAACTGAGAGTCAATCCAAGGAATGAATGACAAATTGAGAACAGAAACAGTAGACACAAAGAACAAAGAATGTCCAGATGAAACTGAAGGAGGAGATAGATTCAGGAGTTCTCATGAAGTCCCATGTCTGTTTTTTAAAGAGTTTATAGGAACACCAGAAGGGGGAGCCTCAGTGCAGTAAAGTTAAAAGCTCTTCTGAACCACCATTCTTTTTTTTTTTGAGACGGAGTCTTGCTCAGTCACCAGGCTGGAGTGCAGTGGTGTGATCTCGGCTCACTACAACCTCCGTCTCCCGGGTTCAACCGATTCCTCTGCCTCGGCCTCCCAAGTAGCTGGGACTTCAGGCATGCACCACCATGCCCAGCTAATTTTTTGTATTTTAGTAGAGACAGGGTTTCATCATGTTGGCCAGGATGGTCTCCATCTCCTGACCTCGTGATCCGCCTGCCTCAGCCTCTCAAAGTGCCGGGATTACAGGCATAAGCCACTGCGCCCTGCCCACAATCCCATTCTAAAAATACAGGAAATTCCTTCCACATAAAATTGTGCAATAGAAAAGGATAAAGATAAAATTATATATTAAGTTATTATAATAAAACAGAGAATTATGTCTCTTCACGTATTGAAACTACACCAGAAAGATAAGCCTTCAAAAGAGATAAACATGAACAGGAATTTTAAAATGAGGCAAAGACATCAGGGACCTTAAGAAATGAGTCAAGAGGTGTAGGAATAACATACATCAGAATAGAGAAATGCAGAGGTGAGGTGATAAATCTCCGGGGAAAAAAATATAAATAAATGTGTTAAAGCGAACTAAATATGGTTTAAGAAGGACTTTATACTTCTACATTTGAGTCCTTGTGGACGAATCATAATGTAGCTTAACAGGCAGACCAGATTGAAAACCTAACTTAGGTTGATTTCTTTTGTCTGTAAATTTGTTCTGACCACAGGCACCCCTGGAGTCTCTGAATCTGCTGTGATTCTGGAGGCTGCCTGATTCGCAAATCATTTCTCCTTTTTGTGCTCAGTTAAACTCCATCAAATTTAATTTGTCTTAAGTTTTCTTTTAACAAAAGAAAAAATTTTCTGAAACAAAAACAATAAAGGAAAACAAAAATGTAAGAATAAGCACAAAACATAATATTTTAAGAAAAATAAAAGATTAAATGGAGAAAAACATTTAAAATAAAAAAGAAATGAAGAGATGAAAGGTTTTAATAGAAAGAGACAAAGTCAAGACAAAAAAGATTAACCATATAACAGGATTTACCAAAAGGGGGAAAAGAGCAAGCAGGAAAACAGCACAAATACTAAAAACTTTAAATCAAGTAAATGATCCATGAATAAAGAATTTGAGGTATCTATGTGAATTCATAAACTATTTCATATTTACAAACTGAAAAGACTCAGAAATAATGATTGATTCAGTAGCAACAAGCATCCCTAATTTTTACATTGTGTTCTTAAAATACTATTTCCCAATAAAGACACCAACACTGTAAAAGATAAACTTGAAACATTTTGTCATACCAGATAGCAAGGACACTGCAAAAATTATTAAGATTTTATTAAGAAGCCACAGAGAGGCCGGGTGCAGTGGCTCACACCTGTAATCCCAATACTTTGGAAGGCCAAGGCGGGCAGATCACTTGAGGTCAGGAGTTCGAGACCAGCCTGCCCAACATGGTGAAACCCTGTCTCTACTAAAAATATAAAATTAGCCAGGCATGGTGGTGTGTGCCTGTAAGCCCGGCTACTTGGGAGGATGAGGCATTAGAATTGCTTGAACCTAGGAGGTGGAGGTTTCAGTGAACCCACCTTCAGTGAGTCAAAACACACAAAATATGTTAAAAAGGTCACTTGTGGAAAAACACTTGCTAAGAAAACAACCCTTTGTTTTGAAAACTAGTGAGGGGAAAGGAATCTGGCATTAACTTTGCCTTTCCTATTGTAACTACACAACATTAGATAACCAGAGAGTTAATGAAGTGAATTTTTTCTTTACAGAAGTATTCCAACTAATAAATCAAGGAGAACTTAGAGAATCCAGTCATCATCTTGTAACCCTGATGAATTAATGGATCTAGCCATTGAGTCTATCAGTGACTGCTAGCGTCACAAAAAGGAAGGCAATCAATCATTAAGTTTCTCCTGATGGAAGCAAATGTTGCCATCTATGAAGCCAGTTTGCCAAATAACTAAGCCTGAATCTCATTAAACTTCTAGGTCAATACGTAGAAAAACCAGAGGACAGAGGTACATGTAACACTACAATAGGAAGAAGAAATCAACAAACATATATATATAGGGACAGATGGAGAGAAAGAAATTGTGAGAGAGAAAATAAACTAGGTTTTAAAATGCTTAGATATACATATTTTTAAAAAACTAAATTACAGTGGCATTTGTGTGGAAAATAAACGTAAGCAATACATTACCAAGAAGCCCAAATAGTGGTTACTTTTGTTGGGAGTGTCAGTGGTGAGGTTTCACCATGCTGGAGGGCCCATGGAAAGTATGTGAAATGGCTGGGGATGTTTAATCTCTTGACCTGGATGGTGGTTACAAGGATGTACGTCTTACAGTTCATTAAGCTGTGCATTTGTTTTGTGTGGTTTTCTGACTTTATATAATATTTGACTATTAAGAATATTAAAATTTTCTAAAATAGGTTTAGGAAATAATAGGTTAAACACTGTTAAATAGGATTCTTTAATTTAGTTGCTCTTGGGGCCTCGAAAATGCTATTGCATATTGCAAATTGTTAAGGCAGTGAATTAGCTTGCAACATTTAACAATCTAATTTGGCCAAGGAACACTTTTTTCCCAAGTCAGCTTTTAGTAGTTCTCAGGACACTAGTGTTCCCTGAAGTACAGCTCAAGGAATGCTCCTCTGTTTAATACATCAGTGTAGAAAATTAGTATCCTGGGTCCTTTAAAAATATATATATATAGCATCAAAATAGCAATTATCTAATAACAAGGACTTAATTTACTAAACACTCAGTACGAACCATTTTAAACACTTCAGGCTTGCCAGTATAAGGTTTTACTTCAACTGAGAATATTCCAGTTCTTAACAGGTAGTCATTGCCGTCCATTGGAAATAAAGTTGCAATGACTGGTTTTCTGGCACTATCCATTGCTTTCTTGATCATTAAAATAGAATAATCCTTTTCAATAGGAACAATGAGACTATGATTTAATAGGAGAATACAAAATTAAGGTCAACAAAATTAAAGTCTCATAATTATTATAGTTTTATAATACATTTTTTGTTGTATACTGTAAAAATAGTACCTATGAAAAGCTCAATTAATTTATACTACTTATTCCTATTAATTATGTTCCACCATAATGTATCACCATGCAAGATGAAGATCACAAGTTTTAAAGGAAACTTGCAAGAGATGCAGGAATTCAAACTGACCTCCCCATATGCAACCAAAATTTTCTGCCAATGTGTTGTGTGTTCCATCAAGACAGAGTACATTTAGGAGGCAAGAGAGTCCCAGTATAAGCCAAGGATGTAGTGTAGAGGAGATATAAATGGACAGGAATGCTGAGAGAGGTGAGGTAATCAGTATATGCTGAGGGCACTAACGCTATGCAATGTGGAGCAGATTTAAACGAACAGAGGCCCTGGGGTCTAAGTTAATGCTGCTTCCAGGGGAGAGGTTTCCAACAATAAAGACAAAGAAATTATTCAAACTAGTTAATTTTTTAAATGGGGCTTACACTTTTTGTTCCTGTTTTGCCCAAAAGATAAGGGCAAGTAAGCACTGGGACTTTTCAGTCTAAGTTTGTTTTCCATAAAATCAAAGTATTTGGGAAATTAATTTTTTATGTTAGAAGAAATTAATATGAAGAAGGTCATGTCAAAACAACTCCATTAAATATAAAATTAGATTATGGGTACCCAAGTGGTCTTTCACACCGTTTCCTACTGTGCCGCAGAGTGATAGTAGGCCTCTCAGTCCCCTTCCCTCTTTTAAAAATCTCCATAAAAATGTCCCTTCTCTTTATTATAAAGAGAAATTCATACAATAAAAATTGATATAAAAGCCTTATTTTAAAAATAGAATTCATCTCATCCATTTTAAGTTTGAAAATTAACTGTCTTCAAGCTTTGCTCTATCAAAGTGCTTGGGGAGCCAAGCTAGGGGATTACCTATATGAGGGAAAGCTTTTGGGAATGAGATCTGTTAGATATATTCAGGTAACTAGACCCTACATGTAAAACTACAAAAGTGTGTGAATTGTGATGAGGTATGGCCTCATTTTACCAATTTAATATTGACTACTAATACGAGGCAAATGCTAGTGTTTGAGGTTCTTTTCTTTCTTTCCACTTCAAAAAACAGTATTAGTGAGCCATTAAATAAAAACTAAAGTCTACAAAAGAGATACACAACTGTCTCTAAACCCTTTACTACTATGCATAATTATAGCAAGTATTAAGTACATTATCAAGCTAAACTAATGCACTTGTAACTATGACTGAAACCGTTTCAGAAGTTGTTATCATGAGTTAAATGCATTCATTCATTCATTTATTCAACACATATTGAATAATCAATATGTATTGATTATTCAATCCATAGATCAATAGAAAAACAAATGGCATTATTCTTGCTCTCTAAGAACAAGAAGTCACGAGAGAAAGTCAGAGGAGTAAAGAAACAATCAGTATTCCTTTAAGCAGTGAGTGCTGCAACTGTAGAAACACAGTGGATCTAGGAGTGTCCAGTGCAGGGGAATCTAACTAGGACTATACAAATGAGAGGAGACTCCTAGAGAAAGTGTCTTCTAGGTTAAAAAGGAATTGACCAGGCAAAAATATGACAGAAGCACTCCGTGCAGGAAAAATATGGACAAATGCTTTTGGCAAAAGAGAGTGGGAAGTATTTGGGTAATCGGAAAACACTAATCAGCTGAAGTCCAAGTGGAAGGGGGTTGGTAGAGAGAGGAAAAAGAGGTGGGCAGAAGGGGGCAGGGCTCCTTGTGATGCTTGATGCTCATCCAGAGCGCCATGGGGACCCCCCTGAAGATTTAAATGACAGTGAGTTAGTCCTTTTTTTTTTTTAACTCAAATAGCCACTTTACAGACCCACTAACTATTTGTTTTAACCCAACACATGGTTTTTAAGAATGACTCTAGACCTATCTTGTCTCTTACTGTATACTAGCAAATGGAAAGAGGCATAAATGAACACATTTGAAGAAAAAAAAGAAAATGACAAGCTTAATAGGGAAGACTGATCCAACATAAAGTAAGTCCATTGACACAGTAAGCATCTTTTTAGTTGGACTTAGAACATTTTGTTAATACTTTATTTAGTTATATAAGCATTTTGTATAATCATTTCTATCATCTCTCTATTCCATGGATTTAACTTTATTTCTGGCTGAATCATGTCCTATAGTTAAAAGATATTTGAGTGTTTCTTTCATTACAGCATAGGAGCCTTTAATCCCATAATCAGCATAATAACGTGATGTTTAGGTGCTACTTTCAAAATTCATCTTTGCAAAGAACATGCAGCTGAAATTTTCCATGGTATTAGGAAATTTAAGGTAAATACATAATGTTCTCACAAAGTATTTCAATTTACTCAATTTTCCAATTTATTCATTTAGAGAGTTCAACTTATTAATCAATAAATGGTGCAAATAAAGCCAATAACATAGCTTCAATCTCGATATGAATCAGTTTCTCCGAATTACAAAATTTCGGATTCAGTGTTATAACTGCACCATAACTTCATAAAAAAAAAAAACTGGAGAAAATTGATGCCTTAATTTAACTTATATTTCTAATGGGACATTAGCTCTCCCTGATGAGAGGGCAACAGAAACAGTGCATCATGTAAGCACAGGGCCCCAGTTGGCTTTATTTTAACTGAGACATTTTTAAGTGGATTTGGAGCTAAACCTAAGAATAGAAACACCTTTAAAAAATATAATAAGGATGAGAAATTATCTCTCTTTCTAATATAGCAGTGATTTTGTAAAATAATTTATCAAACTTATAGACTAACTTTTCTAATAATCCTACAGCATTTCTAGAACATTGGCAAACCATACACAAAAGGGTTGAAATATGTTAAAATTCAATATATGCATTGCTATTATTAATCTTCTAAGCATCAAATTTCCCTAATATCTATGTCAGTGAACAGAATAAACATTTTTCTTCCAATGACTGTACTTATAGTCATCAAAATATTAAACATTAATTAATTAAGTCTTAAAAATCCCACTATTTGCAAACTCTGTTCCAGGTTAAAAAAAACAAAAAACAAAAAACAAAAACAAAAAAACTCAAAAAATAAAGAAGACTCAGTCTCTGCCCTTCAGATAGCTGAAGTGACAAACACATAAGCACAGTTACAGAACAATGTGCCCTCACAAGAGGTATGCATAGGCAATGTGAGAGCAATGTGTGAGGGTAATTTTTGTACCACTGTCTCCATTTATGTTAAGCTACATAACATTTATACTATAATTTACCTAATATTTTAAAATATTTAAATTACTTGCTTTTTATTTAAATACATTGCTTTCCGAATGAAAAGTTACTTCTCTACTCCATCATCATCACTTGCCAATAAAATAAGTAATCATATGAGTAGGCAGATAGACATTTATAATACACAGTTTTGCATCTTTGAAATATCTCATTTTCTACATTTTAAAATTTGAATAAATAAATAAATAAATATGCCTCCTTCCTTAAATGATAAGAATTAAATTCAAGATTTAACAAACAGTAAGAGAATGGAAAATTTATAAATATTTACTGCTCATTGGCCCCACACCAGCAGTGATAAAGGGCATTTGTCTATCTTGCCCCTTTGGATAAACTCAAATATAGAAAAAATGACATGTTGTGTTGCTGTATAACCAGCAGCTCATCCTGGAAACAAACATGAAAGGTCAAAACTTGCCTCCCTGGTCCCATTTTCAGGTCTTGTTCTTCTGCTGGTTCTCCTACTAGGAATGGAAAGGTAATTACCCCCATAAGTAAAGTACAAAATAGCCAAAAGATAGGGAAATATTTTTCATGACAAGGACAACCTAAGCAGAAGATTGCTGGACAAGAAATCTCCCAGCTCCTCCCCTTTTATTTAATCTTTCATGAAATTTGTTTTCTTTTTAAAACATTGTTCATAGAACAATTTTAATTTATTAAAAACAGAACATCACAAAATAATGAACTCTAACCTATTTGGAAATATACAAATACAAAATGCTTATTTCAGTCCTCTGTTGCCATCTTCCAGGAATAATTAATCTATAATTTTTTATCTTCCTAGATGTTTTTCTACATTTACATAAAAACAAATATGTATATTTATATTATCTATACATACATATCTATATCAATATAGGTAGATGATATAGATACAAATATAGATATAGATGTATAGATATAGATAATGGGAATTTATGGTCAAAAATAGCTTCTATTACTTATATTCAAAGATATCTGGAAGTGCTTACTGAAAATTGTGGAACCATTTATTGAGTGGAATTTGACAAATTAGAATATTAATTTAAATTTCATTAAATGTGTATTTTGATTTTAAAATATTGCTATCTTGATCATGCAAGTCTTCCCATCTAAGATACATGGTCTAATTCAGGTCATGTTCTCTGTCCTTTCTGAGAATTTTAGAGGTTTCCTTATGTTAGGAACTTTAACATTTTCCTGGGGATTTCATAGTTCTTGTTGGTTCTTCAAATATAACTTAATTTCCTTTTCATATTTTAAAGCTTATTACTGGTATAAAGAAAGGACTAATATTTTTATGTATTTATCACATAGACAGCAGTATTGTAACCTCACTCACTAATTTTAATAGTTTTAATTTTTTTTAATTTTCTAGGAATATATACATGTTTTTAAAAGTAAATTTCTTTCTTTTTCCTAATAGTTAATGTTGCTTTGATTTTCACTTAATGAATTTGGTAGCTTATCTGATCCATTGGTAACTAAACGTAAATGAAAAAATCTACGCAATTTCTTTAAACATATGACATGGATTTTCAATACTGCCTGGCAATCCCATTTCATTTCTTCAGTTCGTCTCTCCCCAGTCTTTCAGATGATTATTGCATGCAGACATATCTATTCTCCAACATCTCACCTTTCTAATTTTTAAGTGATAACTTTGAGTCATATTTTAATAAGAAAATAGGAATATTTCATAAGATATTTATAAAATATCTACAAAATATCGAATATTTATAAAAATCTGAACATTTATAAAATATCCACCAAAGCTCTTCCAGCTATCCCCAAACATTACTGTGTCCACTTTTCTTCCCATCACCTTTTTTTTTTCTTTTTTTGAGACAGAGTCTCGCTCTGTTGCCAGGCTGGAGCGCAGTGGCACGATCTTGGCTCACTGCAACCTTGCAACCTTTGCCTCTCAGGTTCAAGCTATTCTCCTGCCTCAGCCTCCCGAGTAGCTGGGACTACAGGCGTGTGCCACCAAGCCCAGATAATGTTTGTTTTTTGTTTTGTTTTGTTTTGTTTTTGTATTTTTAGTAGAGATGGGGTTTCACCATGTTGGCCAGGATGGTCTCGATCTCTGCCCACCTCAGCCTCCTAAAGTGCTAGGATTACAGATGTGAACCACCGTGCTCGGCCCCCATTCTCTCTTAAAACTACTCTAATCAGGATTTCATCCCTACTGCTGCATGAAACCGCTCTCATCAAGAATATCCAAACCTCCCTGGTTTACTTTAAATACTTCTTAATCCTCACCTTTCTTGACCCTCAGCAGCATCGTATGCAGTTGAATGCTCCCTCCTCTTGGCCCATTGTCTCCGCTTGGTGTCAGACACGCCACTCTCAGCACTCTTTCCTTCTACTTGCCTGTCTTTTCCTTCTCAGTCTTCTTTGCTAGCCCTTTGTCTTCTCCCTGTCCTCTAAATATTGGTGTATCCCAGAGCTCAGTCTACATCCCTCTCTCTCCTCTTCCCTACACACTCTCATTTTCCAGATAGTCTCATGTAGTCCTTGGCTTTAAAATACCTACATTTATATCTTCAATCCCAAATTTGCCTCTGAGATGCCGAATCATATGTACAATTGCCTGCTCTGCATTTAAGATGGATACCTAATTGATAACTAACTATAAGCTGTCCAAAACAGGATTCCAGATTTGACCCTCTTCCCAATCACAGATATATGTCTGTGTTGTAAAGATAGATAGATAAATACGCAACGCACACAAAGTCTGACCACTCTTACCACAACCATCTCTACTTTTCCACAATAACCCCCAGTGGATCTCCTTGCTTCTACTCTTCCCTTTCTATAGCAGCCAGTGTGATCTTTTAAAAATACAAATAAAATTATATTATGTCCCCAGACTGCCCTTCCCGTTAAACATAAAATAAAATCCAAAGCCTTCTTATGGCCCGTAATGATCCACATGTACCTTTCTCCCACCCTGTACCTCATTAAGCTCATTCCCTACCTCTCTTGCTCACAGTGAAGACTACACTGGCTTTGTTGCTATTTCTAGACAAATAAAGATCACTCCAAGTTCTGGGCCTCTGTGCTCACCATCTCTCTGTCTTGAAAATACTTCCCCCAATTATATTCATGGCTCACTCCCTCGCTTTGGTTGGGTCTATATACTTAATTGTCACATCAAAGAGGAGGCCCTTCTGGCCATGCTTTCTAAAGTACATTCCCCTCACTATCATTCTGTGTTACTTTTCATCATGGCCCTTATCACTTCCATAAGGCACTCATTATTATCTTATTATCATCTCTCTCTTTATTAGAATACAGGTTCCCTGAAAACACAAATTTCCCGTCTTGGTCACCATCATATTCTTATCACCAAGAACACTAAATGGCAGATAGTAGTCAATCAATAAATGAGTGTTCAGTGATGAGAAAGTGTTTAAAACTAAGTTGAATAAAATTGGTAATACAAAAATTGATAATACCACTACTATTTCTGTCTTTAGTTAACTCCCATACAATTTCCCTTGCTGGGTTTTGTTTTATTCCTATTTAATTCATTTAGAGTATTATTAGTAATAGTCTCCTTGCTTCTATTCTGTTAAGTTTCCTGAAATACTCTTGCAGCCCCTATTTATAGGATAAAATTAGTTTTCTCCTTTACCTTCACATTTAAATATATTGGAAATTTTTGTTATATCACCCTTATATTGTAGGAGTAAATTGTTCTTGTCCATAAATATTTATCTTTATGGCATCTGGCTTTATTGCTAATTTACCAATTGATATCATTTTCTTCTTAACCCTCTTCAAGAGAGCTATTAAATGTGGCAATAAAATGATATGGTTTGGCTGTGTCCCCACCCAAATCTCATCTTGAATTATAGTTCCCATAATCCCCACATGTCATAAGAGAGACCCAGTGGGAGGTAATAGAATCATGGGGGTGGTTACCCCCATGCTGTTCTCCTGATAGTCAAAGAGTTCTCATGAGATCTGATAGTTTTATAAGAGGCTTTTCCCCCTTTTGCTCGGCACTTCCCCTTGCTGCCACCATGTGAGGAAGGGCATGTTTGCCTCCCCTTCCACCACGATTATAAGTTTCCTGAGGCCTTCCCAACCATGCTGAACTGTGAGTCAATTAGACCTCTTTCCTTTATAAATTACTGAGTCTCAGGTATGTCTTTATTAGCGGCATGAGAACAGACTAATACATTACAACATCCTATTTCTTAGGAGTTTGCCCAGGAGAGTGTTGATTCTTAGGCACTTTATGTATTTCAGTAAAACTAATTTATTAAATAGGTAATTTTAAAATATCTGAACTAATATCTATATATTGAATATATAATCTAAAAATAGCTACTTTTCTAAATTGGCCATATAAATAACTTCATCTAACAGACAATAGTCTTTCTAGGTCACATGATCTGATTTGGGATTCGAAAAAACAATGTCAGATATTGCAACTATATCATGGCAGCCAGTGAACAAAGTTCACATTCCATGCTTCTTGTATTTGGACAGAGCTCAAACTACATAACTGAGACCTCAGAGCTGAGATATACCAAAGACCATAGATTTCAGTCCAGATTAACATGTTCTGCTCAAGCATCCTCATGATTTAAGGATTATTTTTATATTACAAAAGACCCCATTTTTCTTTAGCAAACATACCATAAGTCATGTTTAAAGAAAGGTACATAGAGCTAGGTGGATGTTTACAAGAGCCCTTTGAGTTAAATCCAAAATTATTAGCCTTTCTGCTGTATGCTTATAAATGAAGCATAGCACAACATAATAGCTAGATTGACCACAATTAGGTCCCTGAATTAAAGGCAAGAAATAAGACATTTTGACAGCTCTGGAACATTGCATTTCATGGGGTTCAGTGCACAGCTAGGTAACACAGGTCTTCCTGTAATTGCAGTACAATGGGAAAATTCAGTGCTTAATTGCCTTCAGATTTTCTCATGTGATGGATATAAAAATCAAGTGCCAGCATTGTCTCCCTGCCATTAAGTGAAACACAACTAAAAACATTTTGGAGTTTAACTGTCCTAAACCAGAATAAGAGTACATGTTGGGCTTCTTTCTCAGGCATAGTTTCTGTAACTATATACCTGTTTTTTCACAAATATAGAAAAAAATACTTTAAGAGTCCTGGTTGACAAAATGCTTTTAAAAATATTTTAAGAGCCCTGGCTTACGTCATCAGTAATATCCTCCCTTTCTCATATTAAAACAGTGCATCCAAAGTCTGCCATTTCCTTAGCAAGGCTGGGAAAATAATCTTTAACAATGTGCCAAGATGAAAAGAAGTGTGGTTATTTTTGTTACTTCTTTCACCAGAAGAAAAAGGAGAAGAAAGAGGAGGAGGATGAAAATGAGGAGGAGTAGGAAAATGCTGCATTTTGTAGCAAATTGTAAATGTTATATTTACAAACCACATATCACTTTATATTCCGGGATAGAGAGCAGTTGTCGCTGAGGGATTTCTGGAAATATGGGCTAAATCCCAAGAGTGGCTCTGGAAAATACTGGGAAGACAGCAGATGAAAATTACTACTGTGAGGAGAATGTAAATGACACTGTGAAAATGCCAGATGTAGACAGACATATCCTCTACTGAAGAGCATCTGCCTGGGGAGAAGACAGGGAGCTTCATTTGAGCACAGTGAGGCAGCTATAAGCACTCATAGCCACTTCTCCTTCCAGCTGGCCTTACTGAGAAAAACTCAAGACTGAACTCCACTGAACCATCTGCATCCACCCAAATGAATAGCAGGAAGACTAACTCCATGCAGGAGCCCCTGGGCTTTCATGGTCCACATTCATAAATCCCAAGGATTCAGAGCAGCATTCTTTAATGTAATGGAGAAAATACTATTCTCAAACATACTCAACAATAATGTTGTAAAACATATGGCTAATGAATGCATTGTCCTGATTATCTACAGGAACTTGTAAGACTGTTCTTCAGGTAGCCTTGGACAGACCCAGTTCTCCCCATTTTCTCACTTGCAGTTCTCAAGAATAACCATAGAATGTGCAAGGAATGCAACATCTTGAGGTAGAAAGGAACTGGCCAGAACATCCTGGGCTCTGTTCCAGTCCCCTACCCTTGAACAGGATGTCCTTCGATGCCTTATCACAGCAAGTCACGTGACCCTGAAGTGTATAATCCTGCAAAGGGAGCTTTTCAGGCTTCCTCATGTGCAATGCAAGCAGGGCATATGTACTCAAGACTCCACCCATCCCAGGCAGCTTTCCTGAGCCTTGAGCGACTGACTCTCAATGAGTCCTTGGTTTCTGTTATCCCTTGCTGCCCATCTGTAAGTAATAAACTGGCTTCATGCATCTTGTTGCATATAAGAACGTTTTGTCTCACTGGACTCGAACAAGTTGTTAGCCAGTGCACAGTGGACCTGCTTCACAGAATGCGAAGAGTCCAAGGCTTGGGGGTGATGTTTAGGTTGTAACAAAGCCACAAAGCACAGGTGATTGTCCATGGCAATAAAGACTATGTCTTAACATTTTACAGCTGTTACAGACATAAATTGGAAGAGAATCTATATCTGACCCTTTAAGGGGCACCTATGTGAAGTCATTTGCTGCTGAGGGCAGCTTTATACTTTAACCAAAAAGTCAAAGAAAATTCATCATTTCCTTTTGATTTCTGGAGCCAACATCGTTCTCCTACTCAGATGCTCTTCCCAGAAGACATCATCTGTAACTTGTGATCTGTGAACTGTACGTGACAGGCAAACTGAATTCTCTTTAGAATTATCTCTTTTCAGACGGGAAGATCAGTAATGACCAAATGAGTACCGGTTTGTTGCAAGAAGCACCCTGCTACCTCACCCTAATGATTAAATTTGTAATTTTTCCTTGTCTGTGGCCACTAACTATTCATAATTCTGAACCATATTTTTAGAATAATTTCTATAGTGGAATTATTTTATTGCCAGTTGTTGTTTTGTTGATTTTGGCCCACAGAAGCAGATCATAGTGGAAGAGAGAATGCCACCTGAGGCAGGACCCAGTCCAAGACAAACTAGAATGTTTACTTAAGACCTGGCATAAACTAGAATGTTTACTTAAAACACTCCATTATTTTTTGTTTGTTTTTTGTTTGTTTTTGAGATTGAGTCTCACCCTGTCAAGAAACGACAGATGCTGGCAAGGTTGAGGAGAAATAGGAAAGCTTTTACACTGTTGGTGGGAGTGTAAATTAGTTCAACCATTGTGGAAGACAATGTGGTGATTCCTCAAAGATTTAGAACCAGAAATACCACTTGACCCAGCAATCCCATTATTGGGTATATATCCAAAGGAATATAAATCATTCCATTATAAAGACACATGCACGCATATGTTCATTGCAGCACTACTCACAATAGCAAAGACATGGAATCAATCCAAATGCCCATCAGTGATAGACTGGATAAAGAAAATATGGTACATATACACAATGGAATACTATGCAGCCATAAAAAGGACCAAGATCATGTCTTTTGCAGGGACATGGATGAAGCTAGAAGCCACTATCCTCAGCAAACTAACACAGGAACAGAAAGCCGAACACCACATGTTCTCACTTATAAGTGGGAGCTGAACAATGAGAACATATGGACACAAGGAGGGGAACACCACACACTGGGGCCTATCAGGGAAGCAGGGATAAAAGCATTAGAGAAAAGAATGAAATGCATGCTGGGCTTAATACCTAGGTGATGAGTTGATAGGTGCAGCAAACCACCATGCCACATGTTTACCTGCGTAACAAACCTGCACATCTTGTACATGTACCCCCGAACTTTAAAAAAGTAAAGTAAAATAAAATAAAACACTCCATTAGCATGGAATTCAACAAGCTGAGGATTTTCAAGAGACAATTATAATACAAAAGAGATGGAAAAGCTATGTTGTATCTCTACTGTTCAGTAATCACCAGAGGCACCCAAAGACAGAAGCTGATCCCTCACTATGACGCTTAAAATGGTCCACAACTCAACCCTCTAGTCACTCCTGACATGAACATTAGCCAGACCAGTCTTTGCACAATTCCTCAAGTTCCCCTGTGGTAGGATGGCAACTACTTATTCCCCACTCCTGATTTTGCCTTCCACATGAAGGGAACTTTTCTAGCTACAAGAAGCCTAGCCTTTCCTCACCCTTTTACTCATTCCGTTTCCTTACAATAAGGAATAATGTATTGATTGCTGAGATTAGAAGGAGTAATCAGTGAGCCACAGTCCAGCTCCTTTCTGCTACCTGCAGAACACATACTTTTTCCTCTTTTATCCCATACCTTAAATTTCAAAGGGCCCTGCCCCTATGTGAAGTGGTAGTGGAGTGGACTGGGATGGAGTGGGAACACTTATCTTTGCTGACTCATTTGGGGATTTTAGTTTTAGAAAACCCTTGACCACACAAGGGACATTTTGTTCCTCTGTGCCTTACTGCTGTCTTACTTTTCAGTTGGGTCAGAACACACAGAAGAAGTAGGGATGCTATTTTGAGGTCACCTCAAAGACCACAGGACTATATTTGTTCACAACTTCTTGTTCCAGGAGTTTCTGCCATCTGGAAGGTACTTCCTCATTCTTTTCACCTTTTCCAAATGTATGCACCATTCAAGCTATTTTTCAAGTCTTAACTTCAACCACAAAATGTTCCACAAAGCAGCTGTGATATTTAAATAATGTAATATGTGTGAAAGCATTGTGTCTGGGGCAGTAGGTATATACTAGGTGTGACTTTTCTTTTTCCTTCTTAGTCACTCAAGTCTATGTTAATCTTCACCATACACTGCTGGTTTGAGTACCAAGAGGTGCAAATATCTAGAAATCAGTGAGATGTTATATCTAAAGAGCCATAAAATTAACCATGCCCTTTGAGCCAAAGTTCCACTTCTGAGAATGTATGCTGACTTAAAGCTGAAACTGGCAAATATTTATACCCCAAGATATATGTTATATTGTGATCAATAAGAATGACTAAGTAAATTGTGGCATCGACATATAATGGATTATTTCGCAACATTTAAGATTACACTAGCAAGTTTCTAAAGATAACACAAAGTATTTCTATACTTCTGCATGATCTTACCTCAGTGGTAATCATTCCCTCTCCTGAAAAATAATAAGAGCTTTATTTTTCACTCTCTTTTCTGTGTCATTCTTCAACATTATACTTTAAGAGGATTTTTTCACTATTTTCTATCATGATAATCATCATCGTTATCATCTGAAAACACAAAACCATATGTGCTGATTTTACAGGTGTTGCAGTATGAGGATATTCTCTGGAAGTTTACAATACAAAATATGCAACCACATCACACAGTAAAAACTCAATATGTATTCGTGAAGTAGTTGAGTGAATGACCTGGACTAATGTATGTATTAATAATAAAGGTACAGGTATCAAGTTCATATGTATGTACTACCTGAGTAAATAAATGAATGATTAGTGAATCATCTCTACTGTCTAATTATATATCAATCATTCATTTTGTTTTTCACTTTATTCCAGGAGATGCTAATTGCCTGTCCATTTCCCCAGTACTTCTCATATGTTCATTTTTGAAACAGGAAATAACCACTCACGATGCCCTCGGCAACATTGACTCTAAAGTATGAAATAGAACACAATTTCAAAATGAAGCACGATGCCCTCGGCAACATTGACTCTAAAGTATGAAATAGAACACAATTTCAAAATGAAGCAGGCAATTAGGAAAGTACCAGGTTATGACCATAAATAACATTCATTCTCCCACTTCAGTATAGCTGCACCACACCATTAATATACACAAAGTGCAAAAAGTGTTCTCTCCTTATTGCTTCCTGCAATTGGATCTGATGGATCATTTACCTTCAAAAACTTTATGTAAGTCTGTTCTCAAGTCAAGGTTTTAGATAACCAGTTTTTTTCTTTTTTTAGACAGAGTTCACATAGACAAAATAATCGCCCCCAAGTAGCTAAGTCTCAGATGTATTATGAGACAGATATTAAGAAACTAACGTATAAGTATTAAAATACTGAATAAGTGAATCAAATTTGCCATGAATCTCCCTGTTTAAAAAATGTCAACACTTTTATGATTCACTTTAACTGTAGTGGTATCAAGTTGGCATTCCTCTTAGATGCTCTTACTCCTCTCTCATATTACTGTAAGTGACTGATGATATGTATCAAGAATCAGACCATGTTGTTAAAAACACACACACAAGTACGATAATAAATTTTATCTTTTTGTAACTGTGAAATACTATTTTTTAATCTTTTTTTGTTTTTTGTTTTTTGTTTTGAGACAGAGTCTTGCTCTGTTCCCTAGGCTGGAGTGCAATGGCATAGTCTTGGCTCCCTGCAACCTCCGCCTCCTGGGTCTATTTTTTAATCTTACTTGAACCTCGTTATGTTATTAACCTCCCTTTCAAATCTAAGAAAGTATCTTTAAAATGGTATATTGACCATGAACAATATGCAAATGCTAAGGCCTATATGATGTTGTCTGGAGTCCCCTGCTGTCATGCAGATGTCACAGTGATTGGCTTCCTGCTCCCAGGTCAGATTTGCTCTACCCTGAGGCTAATCTGTCCTTGTTACTTCACACACTGTCCTGTGTAGAACCACATTCTTCATTAACATCTAATTTCCTAGAAAATTTTTTTTCCGATAAAGAGCACTTCCTGGAAGATCGGGGCACCCGAATGAGCCGGCATTTTCTACATCTTCAGGGCTTTGTAAAGCTTAAGATAACTGACAAATAGCCTTAAATGTTTGTTGCTGAATTACAAGAAAATTTAGTGTGCATGAAGAACGGTTTCCAGATTTTAATCCATGCATTAATCCATTAAAACACCTTCGACTTCTGAGGCCCCTTTAAAATATGAGGAGCTGACTGAGAATTGTGAATTGCATGCATATTCTAAACTTTAAAAAAGCTATTGACAAGATTTTCTTGGTGGATAATTTTTCCATGACTGCATCATTCTTTCCAAAGCAGAAACATGTTTAGGTTAGCATTTTTAATACTAAGTATTAGACCCTGAACATTTTATTTGTACCATTTATATGGTATTCTGGACTTACTGTGTCTTTGAGGAATTTGTGCTTCAAGAAGAGTGGGCTGAAACAGAAAAATATCACCTTCGAAATAAGACTGATACTAACCAAATTCATGGAAGGATATGTAAGCCAGATGCCAACTTGATCATTTGCATTGAGAATTTCAACTACTAAGGAAAGCAAATTCTCATATCCACTATGTAGTATATTGTTTACCTGTGTGCATAAATATCTACCCTGAAAGACAAACTGTTATCAAAAGATTGCTTGGTGAGTATGGACACAGAGAAATTAGAATGAGCTGTGTGATCTTTATGTTGATTTCCTCAGGCATTGACCACCAAATGTAACTTTTCATAGGCAGATTCTTGGGTTTTTGAGTCAGAGTCTTCTTTCTGACTCAAATATTAGAGGCATACTGAAAAGTTATTATTGTGTTTTACTTTCAAAATCAGTTCTCGATTTTCTTTCAAATAGAGAATAATGCAATGTATTAAATTTTGGGTATTTTTAATTTGTTGGTTTGGTTGAGGTTTAATTTTTATAGATCTTCTCAGACTAAATACATTCTTGATGTACCTTGAAACACTGTATCTTTTTATTAGTAATTATTTTGGAATTTTTCTATAGATGGTTGAATTTTTGTATTGTATCAGTAGTTCTTAATTGATTTTATATCTCAGATACCCTTGAAGATATAATAAAATTACAGATCATTTTCCCAGAAAAACAAATATAGTAAATGCATACAAAATTTTGCATACTCCTTAAGTGTTTGATAGGGATACAAAAGTTAATTCATGTACTGCACATTTGTCGAACTTGAGCTACTTTATCTGTCCAGACCATATCATACTTATACTTCCTATTTTCAGAATGAGACAAAATTTTAGAGACACAAAAAGGCAAACATGCAACTCAACTTTTACATAATTTGCCAAATGCAGTGCCAGGCCAATGCCTGGATGTCATCTGAAGGCAGCAGATTCGGTCAGAGAAGGTGCCAGGCCTAAGCTGCAGAGCTGGCTTTGAGGATGGGGGTGAGCAAGCAACAGAGGATTTTATCTGCAATTGGTCTTAATCCTCTGAATAAAGCATAAGTTTTGGTCTTGATAACTCATGTACCTTAGGGATCTATGGACCAGGAAGGGCAGATTTCACTCAATTTTATATAAAAATAGAAGCAAACAGATGTAATCTCCAAACAGAGTTCCTATTAAAGACAGTCAGTAGACAGTATATGTTCTCTTTCCCTGTTGTAGTAATACAGCCTGTTTTTGGAAAGAACACAAAAAACTTGATTCACTTTGTTTAGGAAAAATAAGCAATAGTTACATCCCATTTTCTTCCCAGAAAATGGTGGTTTCAGTCCTAGGAGATATTCTAAGGTCTTCACAATAGCTGCTACTTTTCTTAATTTCACACAGAGTAGGCATAATTTCAAGTTTGGGAAATACCTTATTGTCATCCTTATCCTTCATTTTACTCTTTATTAAAAAAACAGTAATATGTACATATGGTGTGTTATTTCCAAATGGATAAAATAATAGCTCTCAGATGCTTCATATAATTCAATGAAGTAATAATAAAATATATATTTCTCTTAAATAGAACAACACAAGCCTTGGTGATGATCATGGTGTATAGGGCAATGAGACAGATTGGTAGGTTATTTGTAAATGCTTTTTAGAGGGCATTATGCTGGGTTTCTCTGCCTCCATATTTCCCATCACAGTATCTTATTTGTAGATTTGTGTATTGATTTATACTGGAGTGTATTTTATCATTTGTGTCTACATCTGACCATCTGTTTGCCTGCTAATTCTGTAGCCATTCTTTCTTTCACAGGGTCAGAAAGCTATATATACTCCTTCCATTTCACATTTTTACTGAGTCGGGCTTGTTATCTTTTAAAATTTGATTTGCTTTTCTTCCTTTTTTTTTTTTTTTGTTAAGACAGCGTCTCATTCTGTCACTCGGGCTGGCTTGCAGTGTGGCATGATCTTGGCTCACTGCAGCCTCGACCTCCTGGGCTCAAGGGAACCCCTCATCTCAGCCTCCTGAGTAGCAGAGACTACAGTCATGCAGCACCACAGCCAGCTAATTTTTTTTCGGTAGAGACAGGGTCTCACTAGGTTGCCCATGCTGGTCTCGAACTCCCAGGATCAAGCAATCCTCCCATCTTGGCCTCCCAAAGTGCTAGGATTACAGGCGAGAGCCACCATGCTCAGTCTTTCTTCTCTTCCTTTTAACCTAGTAGACCTAGCATCCTTTAGGATTCTGGTATTATTAAAGCATTAATTACTTTTTGTTCAGGAGTTGTAGAGAATTCTGTTCACTTTTATGTTTGCTTGTCTACATTTCTATTAGATTGAACTACAGGAAATTGCCATTTTTTGGTAAAATATGGTCAAATGTTGGCAATTTAAGATGGCTCACCTATAATTTGTTATGTAGACTTGAAAAAAAATTGGAGAACTTTGTGAGACAAATGTCGGCAAAATGCTTAACACATAAGGGCTTTTTACATGCTATGTATTATCACTATTATATAAAACAATTCAGTGCTATCTATAAAAAGAATCTGATGTATGACAGCTATTCTCAAGTGTGTTTGTGCAATGCTCAAGTAGCCACTTTATAGTGAGACCTCTGGGGATGCAATTTTAACATTCCATAGTCATTTTAAATTCATTTTTAAATTGCCAGGTTTGGCTGTTTTTCAACTTTGGCCTACTTGTTCTATTTTATCTATACATAGCTGTATTCACAAACCGTTATCCTCTTTACAATAACATCCTGCAGGAGCATATAAGTCCTTAAGAGCAAAAGATAGAAGAAAATGTAAAGATCTAGACATGTTAAGTGTTTTAAAATATCATGCTGCAAACGTATCAAATATTTTAGTTTATCATTATTTCTGTTCAAATTGTGTGGATCAAATCCAAAGGCTAAATCCTCTTCAAATCCCTTTTGAACTATCCCCATGTTCTTAACCTATCTCAATGTCATTACGATTTTTTTAAGAAAAATAAGTCTCAAAGAAAAATACAGAGAAGGAGCAGAATAACTGGTTTTGTCACTGGACTCATGATCATTTCTCCCATTATGATCAGTTTCAGGCCTTAAGTTCAAGACCAGTATTTATGTTGGGAGTTGATTTAGGCAAATTTTCATTCAAAGGATAAACTAATTTAAGAGCCAAACAAAGGGTTTGCTAAATTAATTGCTAACTCATTTTTCTAAATTTGAAGCTTCAATGATTGCTTCTGTTAATGCAACATTGTCCTAGAGTATGGGCAGCTTTTGTAGCACTCTTGTCATTGCCATAATTAATTCTTACTTGGAGCAAGTACAACATTCATCACATTTTAGATGGTGCTCCAGCATACTGTGTCAGAACAGAAGGAAGGCGGTGATTGACAAAATGTTTATGTGACAGATACATTCACCATATAAATACACATCTGATGAACTCGAAAATTAGCTTGCTGTTTGGAACAGTCATGCATATTTTAAAGACCAACTTCACAGAAATGCTATTTTCCACGGCTCATTTCAGCTAAAAAGAGTAGTAACATAATGCTCATATGCCAAAACAAAACGACTTATTTTATTCAGCCATTTCAAACAACTGATGGCAGGAAATAGCAGGAAACTTAAGGCCAGGCCACTTAAATTCCCGTAAGAGGCAAGGAGTGCTTTTTTTTTCAATTAAGGAGAAAGCCAAACATTTTTGTCCAATACTAATATTCTTTGGCAATTTTTACTGAATCTTAGAGGTTACTTTTTGTCATTTTAAATATGCATACTTATTTTTGACTTAGTCTTCAGAATTAGTGATGCACACACACAGTAATTAGTTGAGCTCTATCTCCAGTTCACCTGCTCCTTAGTTTCCAGTCATAAATTTTGTCTCTTCTCTCTACTTTCCCATTACACTTCCCAAAGGCTGGCTCCACTCTTTTCTGCTACCTTATGCAATGCTAAGCTCTTCTGCTCCTTAATCCTGGTTACCAATTAACTACTGCTGTGTAACAAACAATCTCAGCAATAAGTGGTTTAAAATAATAGCCACTGTTGTTTAAGAATCTATAGGTCGGCTGGGTGGTTCTGCTTATGTTTGTACAGGTCAGCTGGGGCCTGGCTGTTCTAATATATCTTCACTCTTATGTCAGGTGAATGATTGAGGCAACAGGAGTGACAGGACCTCATGACTCTTGGCATCCAGAAGGCTGGTGTGGGCTCTTTCTCATAGCAGCTAGGAAGAGAGGGAACAGAAGCTTGAAAGGCTGCCTGAGGCCTAGACCTAGAATTGGACCAGTGCAATTCTGCCACATTCTTTTAAACAAAGCAAGTTACAAGGCTAGCCTAAATCCAAGAAGGAAAATAGACTTCACCTCTTGACAGAAGAAGCTGCAATGTCACACTGCAAAGTGCATGATAAATAAGAACTGAACTAGAAACTTCTGTAATCACTCAATCACATTCCTCCACCATTATTCCAAAAATATTTGCTCTACACTTCTTTTCAATGTCCATACCCTGATGAAGCCAAATGAAGTTTGTTGACCAACTTACTTACAACTTACAACCAGCAGAGAAAGCCAGGTTAGAATCCAAAGTCAAGAAGCAAGACAAAAGAGAGAGATTGTCATAATTCCCAGTTTATTATTTGTGTCTTCAGTGTCAACAAGACCAAAATAAAGCTTCTCCACGCTACCAGCTTTGAAATGAGAATTCTGTTCCCTTTATGTTTGCTTGTCTATACTTCTATTAGATTGAACTACATGAAATTGCCATTTTTTTGGTAAAATATGGTCAAATGTTGGCAATTTAAGATGTCTTACCTGTAATTTGTAAAGTAGACTTGAAAAAAATGTAGACTTGAAAAAAAATCATACTTTGATTCTTTGGGAAATGATGGGAAGTTTTTAGAATAACCATACACAGACATTTTTAAATAAAAGCAATTTCTTTTTTAAAAAATCCTTCTAGTTTTTAAAGGATTCATTGGCTCATGGAATTGAACATAAATGGAAGTTTCATGTGGAGAGGAAAATACAGCATGGATTTTGACATGACACAAAACTAAATTCAAATTTCACTTCTGCAAAATTTAATACCATGTGACTTTGACCTAATTGGCCACTCCAGCCTTACTTCTCACCTGCCTTACGGACTCATTATGAGAAAAAAACATGTTGTATTACATGAAAGTCAATACACATGGCAAATGTTAATCATATTTTTATTTATTTAATGCATTACTTTACACTCTCACAGAAATGACAGATGAAGGGGACAGGGCAAACCCAGGAAAACTTAGCCCAGAGCTCTTCCACCTAACAGGGAGTCTTAGAACTATACTTTATGCTTTTTAAGAAAAATAACTCACTTACTAAAAATAGAATTTTGAAGTTAACATTCTTCTTCAAAATTATCAAATACATTTAAAAAGTTCCATTAAGTAATATCACTTCTCCGAACATGTTTGCATGCATGAACTCTTGAAGCATTTTCTTTGATTCAACTACATTCTTTAATATACCACAAGAATATGTACAACAAAAATACTGCTTCAATCAAACCTGTCTGATAAATAAATAGTTTGTATATTTGCATTTGTTAGGATATCTGCTAGTCATAGACTCCTGAAACCTTTGATAAGCCATGAAAAAAGTGTACTGACAACTCAACATATGTGGTCAAAATAAATAAATAAGCAATGCTTTAGTTTTTCTAGAAGATTGTTTTGTTACATGGGAGAAGAAAATGAATCCCTACACCACTTAAAAGAAAGTCTGCTTGCATCTTCAAAACTCAAAAGGAAAGAAACAAATCATTGTTTTACAAAGTTGAAAGGCATCTTTTACCATTTCACAGAAATCTCAAACATTCACATCCCTAGAGTCCCAGGTAATGTCATGTAGTTCATATGTATTTTGAGGTGGTTATATACTTTATTCATAAGATTCTTTTATTTATTTCAAAGAATTTATTTGTACATTGTTTACCTTCTTTGCCAAGTTCAGTGATACACTGTGATGCCTTTTCTTGGTGGGCAGAGGAAAAAATGCATTTCTGGAGAAATTGTGGTTTAGAGCTAGTTTTCAGGGTGGCAGCCCCCAAGAGGAAAATTGACTAGAAAGGATCAACAATCTTTAATTCTATCACAAGTTTAATCTTGTAATGAAACCTGAAAATTTCATTTTTGTTAATAGAGAACCAGCATGAAATGTAGTGAACAAACCATTTCCACTGGCTGCTAACACAGCCACACTGAGTCATCACAGACTCAGCATAAAAAAATTGATTTAATTATATTGAAGAGAAAGGGATGGGGATAGACTGAATCAGCACAGTCAGCCAAATGCAAACAAGGCACACAACTCAAAATTGCTGTGGGGAATGCAATATGCTTTAAGTGTGGAGCTGAAGTGTTCATCTCTGACTGTTCCATTCTTAGGAACATCTCTGACTGTTCCATTCTAATAGGTAGCAATTCCAGTTGTACTGAAAAGCAGCTCTCCCTTGCGAGATATCTGACCCATTTTTCCAATGATTTCTCTGCAGCAGAGCCATAATTTACCAACAAATAAGCCAATTAAGCCAATTAAGTGGTGTGTTCACTCCTTTGGGTCACTTCCTAATGACTCTAAAAACCCATTTGCTATGATCCGAATGTTTTTGTGCGCCCAAAATTCATATGTTGAAACCCTAATTCCCAAGGTGACTGTATTAAGATGTGGGGCCTTTGGAGGTGAATATCATGAGGTATTCATGAGATATCATGATATATATCATGAGAATAGAGCCCTCATGAATTAAATTAGTTCCCTTATGAAAGAGACCCAGTGAAGCTTATTTGCCCCTTCTACCATGTGAGAACACACTAAGAAGACGCCATGTATGAATCAGGAGATGGGCCCTTCCAGACACTGAACCTACAAGCACCTTGATTTTGGACTTCCCAGCCTACAAAACTGTGAGAAATAAATTTCTGTTGTTCATGAGTTATCCAGTTTATGGTATTTTTCTATAGCAGTCCAAATGGACTAAAGCATCATTCTTGTGAATTAATCTAAAACACCCTTCACTTGTAATCTCCAGGAACATTGCCCAAATACACATGGAGTCTACTCTGATCTGTTTTCACTAGGGATCATGTCATTATCAAATTGTAAAAAAACAATTACCCATATATAAATATATAGACATATTATATATTTATATATAGGTATATATACATACACATATACATACAGATATATCGAGATATAGATATATCTGTGAATAAATAAGCTTTACTTCAAGCAGAAAGGCAGCATGTCCAGCCCCAGGACCTAAGATAGCCCTCATGGACTTAGCCTCTAGGCAAGAGCCCACACATCTAACCTCCTGGCTGGCCCCAGTGGATCCAGGCTTGAGGCTAGTCCCCATGCACTATGGCTGCAGAGGACCCAGGGTCCAGGCTCGTCCCTGTAGACCACAGTGCCAAGTTGGCTCCCATGAAATGAGGCTCCAGAATCACCTCTGCAGACCTAGGCTCCAGAATAGCCCCCATGGATTCAGGACCCAAATCTATCCCCATGGACTCAGGTTCCCGGCCACCTAGCACTGGGACAGTTCCCATGGACTCAGCCTCTAAACCTATTCTAGTGAACCCAGGTGCCATGCTCATCTCAGTGTCTGGCTGGCCCTTGCAGACTCAGGCTCAAGGACTACCCTAGTGCCAGTTCAAGCAATGTGGACCCAGGTTTCAGGCCAGCCCCCATGGATACAGACTCCACCACCAGCCCTGGGAACCCAGTCAACAAGTCCAACCTAGTGAAATCAAACTCCAGATCCACCCCAATGAACACAGGTGGCAGGCCTGTCTATCTGCTAACCCAGGTATCAGTCCAGCCTGCCCAAGGACTAGCAGACTCAAGCCTGCCTACAACATGCCTTGTGAAGGGCTTCCCCTAACAAAGCCAGTCTGCAAAGATTGAAATAAGTCTCTACTTCTTCAAATGTACAGACTTCATAAGACAATAAGAAACATAAAAAACACAACAACAACAACAACAAACACTGCCAAAATAACATCATAATCTTCCAGTAGCTGATCCCCAAAGAAATGGGGATATAAATACTGCCTGACAAAGAACTTAAAATAATGTTTTAAAGAATTTCAGTGACCTTTAAGAAAATACAGAGAAATAATTTAATAAACTTAGCAATAAAATAAATGACCAAAGTGAGGAACTTTCAAAAGAAATTAAAATTATTTTAAAAATCAAACAGAAATTCTGGAGGTGAAAAATACAATGAGTGAAATGAAAATTACAATAGAGATCATCAATAGCAGAACTGGTCAAGCAGGAGAAATAAACTCTAAACTAGAAGACAGTATATTTAAAATATAGTCAAAAAAAGAAAAAAGGAATGAAGAAAACTTCTTGGATTTATGAAACAGCATCAAAAGCGGAAATATTTGAGAGATAGAAGTTTGTGAAGAAGACAAAGCAGAGATAAATAGAAGAAAGCTTATTTAAAGAAATAATAGCATAAACTTTCCAAATATGGGAAGCATATACATATCCAACTATAGAAAATTCAAAAGTCTTCTATCAGATTAATTCCAAACAGGAATACACAAACATATATTATAATCAAACTGTCAAATATCAAAGACAAGGAGAGGAACCTGAATACAGTAAGAGAAAAAAAGCAAATGACATATAAGGAGTTCCAATAAGGCCAGTGATATATATATATGTGTGTATATATATATATATATATAGCTGAAGGAAGAAAAACGCCAACCAACACCAACTGTAAGGCACCTGGCAAAGCTGTTCTTGAGAAATGCAGTGACACACATTTTCCCAAATGAACAAAAACAAAGAGTTCATCACCACCAGACCTGTCTTATAAGAAATACTAAAGAGATTTCTTCAGGCTGAAAGGAAAGGACACTTAGAAACATGAAAATATATTAAAGTATAAAAATCACTACTAAAAATAAGTACATGGTCAAATTAAGAATATTCAAATACTGTGATGGTAGGGTATAAATTACATGTCTTTATTGTGAAGGTCAAAAGACAAAACTATTTAAAATAAAAATAACTACAATAATTTGTTAAGGAATACACAATGCAAAAAGAGGTAAATTTTGAATCAAAACATTTAATGCAGGGAGATTGAGTAAAAATGTAATATTATTTTATACAATCAACATTCAGATGTTAAGATTATCAGCTTAAAATAGCCTGTTATAACTATGTTTTATGTAAGTTTCATGATAACCACAAATGAAATATTAAAGGCCGTATTTGGCAAACTCACAGCTAACATCATACTCAATGGTGAAAAGCTAAACGTTTTTTCTTTAAGATTGGGAACAAGGCAAGAATGCCCACTTATCATTTCTATTCAACATAGTACTGGAAGTCCTAGCCAGAGCAATTAGACAAGTGACAGAAATAAAGGGCATCCAAATTGGAAAGGGAGAAGTTAAATTGTCCCTGTTCGCAAATGACCATAATCTTATATGTGGAAAGCCCTAAAGATTGCACCAAATAACTGTGAGAACTAAAATATGCATTCAATAAAGTTGCAGGATACAAAATCAACTTACAAAAATCAGTAGTGTTTCTATATATTCACAATGAACTATCCAAAAACAAGAAAACAAACTCATTTACAATAGATAGGAAGAAATAAAAAATAAAATACTCAGGAATAAATTTAAAGAGGTGAAAGACCTCTGAAGGAAAACTATGAAACTATTAAATTATAAACTAATAAACTATAAAACTAAAAACTGTTGATGAAAGAAATTGAAGAAGATGCAAATAAATGGAAAAATATTGCATATTTACAGATTGGAATAATTAATATTGTTAAATGTTCATACTACTCAAAACAATCTACAGATTTAACACAATTCCTATCAAAATTCCAATGACATTTTTCACAGAAGTACAAAAAAACTTCTAAAATTCATATGTAACCAGAAATGACCCAGAATACCCAAAGCAATCTTAAGCAAAAAGAACAAAGTTTAATGCATCACACTGCCTGATTTCAAAATATACTACAAAGCCATATTTATCAAAACAACAGGGTACTGGTATAAAAACAGAAACATCTGTTAATAAAACAGAATGGAGAGCCTGGAAATATGTCCTTACATTTATAGTCAACTGATTTTTGACAAAGTTACCAAGAACACACAATAAGTAAAGAATAGCTTCTCTTCAGTAATTGGTGCTGGGAAAACTGGTTATCTATACGTAGAAGGATGAAATTAGATCCTTATGCAAAAATCAACTCAACATATTTTTAAAAATCTACTCAAAATGGATTAAAGACTTAAAACTGGAAACTATAAAACTACTAGAAGAAACCATAGAGGAAAAGCTCCATGACTTTGGTCTGAGTGCTGATATTTTTTTAATACATCCCCTTTTAAAAGCACAGGCAACAAAAGTGAAAATAGACAAATGGGAAAATATCAAACTAAAAACTTATACAGCTAAGGAAATAAACAACAGAGTGAAGAGACAACCTATGGAATGGGAGAAAATAACTGCAAACTGTGTATCTGATAATTACATCCAATGTATATAAGGAACTCAAACAACTCAATAGCGAGAAAACAATCTGATTTTAAAATGGGCAAAGAACCTGAATAGACATTTTTCAAAAGAGAGCATGCAAATGGCCAACAGATAGATGAAAAAGTGTTCAACATCACTATTCATCAGAGAAATGCAAATCAAAATCACAGTGAAATATCGCGTCAACCTACTTAGAATGGCTATTATCAAAAAGATGAAAGACAAGTGTTGACAAAGATGTGGAGAAACAGAAATCACTGCACACTGTTGGTGAGACTGTAAATAAATAGAGCTATTACAGAAAACAATACAAAGCTCCTCAAAAACTTAAAAATAGAACCACCATATGATTCAGCAACCCCGCTACTGAATGTATATCCAAAAGAAGTGAAGTTAGTATGCCAAAGAGATATCTGCACTCCCATGTTTATTTCAGTGCTGTTCACAATAGCCCAAATACAGAATCAACATAAGGGTCCAATAAATAGATAAAGAATATATGGTATATATACATAATGAAATACTCTTTAGTTGTTTTTAAAAAAAGGAAATCCTGTCATTTGCAATAACATGGATAAACCTAAAGGATATTATGTTAAGTGAAATAAGCCAGGCACAGAAAGACAAATACGGCATGATCTCACTTATGTAGAATCTAAAAAAGTTGAACTCATAGAAGCAGAGGTTAGGGGATCATATTGGCCAAAGGATACAAAATGTCAGTTAGGTAAGAAGAATAAGTTCAAGATCTATTGAACAACACGGTGACTATAGTTAATAATGTATTGTATTCTTGAAAAGCACAAAGAGAGTGGATTTTAAGTGTTCTCAACAAAAAACATATGTGAGGTAATACATATGTTATTAGCTCAATTTAGCCATTCCACAGTGTATACATATTTCAAAACATCATTCTGTACAAAAGTATTTTTATTTGTCCATTTTAAAAATAAATAAAATATGTAAGAGGAAAAAAAAGAAAGAAAGCATGGCGAAGACTGGACTACAGTCAGGAAACCTATAATTTTGTTCAGCTACCTGTTGACTAGCTCAGGTTATAAGCTTTCTGAGTGATCTTTCTATACCTACAGTTTTCACTTGTAAGAAGTCACAGGATTGGCTGAGATTACTGACAAAGCCCCTCACAGGTCTAAAGTTTTGTGATCTAAAGTTGTTTACCAGGAATCTACAAATTGCCTAAAGCCATGGTCTGTATAAACTAAAGCAAAGCCTACATTTTTAAGTTATATTTTTATAACAGTAGTTTATAAATATAAATAAGAGTACAGGCAAAAATACATGGCTATATCCAATATTCTATTCAAGATCCCTGCAGCAATTTGTTTTATAAAAAATTACATCTTCACAAAAATATCTTCAAAGATATTCCACTGAGAGTTCATACTTTTTCTCACCCTTTAAATGTACTAGAATCAGCAAAGACATATGAAAATCGATCAGTATTCTTTTCATCCTCTCCTAGTTTATATATTTTGATTTTTTTTCTTACTTGTTGATGTCCTGTGTGAACATCAGCATTATTACCTTAACTTATCCTTGGACTTCCATGGAATTAATGAACTGTTGCAATAGCCAATCATAATTTGTGTTTATGGTTTAGCATTCTGTCTGGCTTATAATTATTTTTAGTACAGATCTGCTAGTTCAGTAAATGCTTTCATTATTCTTAGAGCTGAAGAAGCTTTTGGTTATGCAGAGCTTGTCTTGTCCCTGCACCTTACTTCTTGGCCACCGCTTGTAGTAAACATCGTTTTTGCTCCATTTTAATAGAGCTGCCTGCAGAAGGTCATTTATTAGGTAATCACTTGTCTGTGAAAAATTCTAATTACTCTATGTTTGTCAAAGGGAGGAAAATAGCATTGGATGTGAATGCTGAATGAGAAGCAAACCAGAATGCAGATAAGGGAATCAGAAGTTTTTTAAATTGGTAGATAAAAAGATGTGTTAAGTGCACCTACATTTTGAGGGTTAAAAAGAAAAGATACACTATCAGCTATAATAAAGATAAAAAAGCATAGAGTTTATGGTGTTATCAATTTGGAGTTAAAGCAAAAGAAAAATCGTTTATGAAGGGTACAGGGATGTTTTTCCTGTGGAATCTTAGTGCCCCCTGCTGATCCTCAAAAAATGTTTTACATTTACATTGGTTTCTGATTTCTTCCCACATGGGTATTTTCCTATTACGATACTTCCTTTTCAGGAAATATTTTTCCTATGTGACTCGCTATCTCAGTAATACTATCACACATTAGTATCTGTAGCTCCTCATAGAAAAAAAAAGTGATTCATCAAAAATGCATATCCATAAACTTTAAAAGAGTGCAAAGAGTTTGAAATTACTACTTGTATTATAACTGAAATGGTTGAACTTTTAATTAAAAAGAAAGAAATCATCACCACAAAGAAAGAAAATAAAAGCGAAAATACATGGTGACATTATCAATGACCCAGACTGGAGTACTGTTTCTGAGTTGGATGCTTGTTGAATCAGTTCCTTGTTTATGACTTGCTTCAGTTTATAACTAGACACAGACACATCAGACATCAAGACACAACACATTGCCAAAGACCACCCATTAGTAATATCAATTTTTTCACATTTTAGTCTCCTCTCATACACTATCTGTGAGAGAAATACTATTATTCTCATCTGAGGAGTGGGAAAAATGAGACTCATAAAACTTATATAATTATCGAAAGGTTGTGAACCATTGATGGCAGATCATCATCTTAGATTATTTTTAGAACACAAGGGAATATAAAAGCATTTTCCATGCCCACTCCTCACTCCACTCCAGATTATTTCAGAGCAAATCACAGACATTTATAAATATTTCAGTATGTGTCTCTAAATATAAGGTCTCTTTTAAAAAGCATTTTCAAAAATCTAGCAAAACCGAGATATTTAGCTATGATTTCAATGTCCACACTCTCTTCATCAATTAACCATTTCTTTTATTTTCTGATGCTTTGATATCTGCTTGCCTTGCTGACCCTACAAGGACGACTCCTTCCTTCCAGGATTAGCCAATTCCTGGAGATGGTAAACAACTCATCTTTCAAAAGTGAGCACAATTTTTAAATGAAAACCAAATCACTCCATGGCCAGGTACCAGACAACTATGGCAAACTCCTATGACCCAGAGCCCCTCTGAAAATATCCAACCTAAACAATCATAGACCTGATTGTTCTGCCTCACCTATTCCTTCCCACAGAAACCATAATAAAGACTTATATCACCTGTGCCCACCCTGGTACCTCCTTGTGTGGTCCTTCATGGCAGAGTGTGCCCCCTGGTCTGGGAATCTGCAGGTATAACAAACTACCTTTTCAATGGCAGTTGTCTACTGATCTGTTAACATTACTATATATGAATAACAATAAATCCTATTAACACAAAGCACTACCCTACAGCAACTACACACAGTCTCCCTCCATCACATATTCATGAGAAGATAAAATTCTTATAAAATAATAAGTATGTCCTAATCTTAGAAATGCTGAATTATGGGGTCAGTGACACACAAAGCATTTTTATAAGTAGGATAACCCTTTCACATTAAATAAAAATCACTGTCAGTTATTTTGCATCAATAAATGGCTTCTTTGACATTCTTGATTGTCAAAAAGTCATTTTTCCAAACCATCAACTTCTACACAATTCCTGAGCCGTGATAACAGCAACCAGCCCACTCCAACAAAGCAGTCAGACTTTAACAATACTAAATGGTGTTTAAGGTAAAAGATAACTTTGAGTCAGTCTGTCTGAGGAGTTGCAGGAAAAAGATAGAAGAGGGTAGACCCTTAACAGTCCAAATTTCTGTGTGGCTAACTTGAATCAACAAGACTTTGATATCTAACATCAAAATTTCCATTCATAAGGAAGAAGAAGGCACCAAACAAGCTTCTCAACTATATTGTTTAATTTAATTCTCAACATCATACTATAAGGTAGAGTTAAACTATCCTCACTTCATAGATGTGAAATACAAGACTCAGGAATACTAAGATGCTTGCCTGTTAAATTTCAAAACCTTATTCTCACTTTATGCATCATGTTCTTCCCACCAAGTCCCAGCATATTCACAAATGTCTCAAACTCTTTAGCCAAAGCTGTTGTATAGTATAAGGTAATTCTGGCATTTCAAATAAGTATTTGGTATTATCTATAATCTGTTTTTTTTATTATAAACAATTAAAGTTGGGTGAAGTTTCAGGTGGTTTCCAGCATAAAACTCAAATTTAGTTTTCAACTAATCTCAAGCTTAACGCCAGTGGGCCACAGCCAGCCTCGGGTATCACCGATGTAGTGTTTTTCCCGTATCCCTACATAACACTAAGGCAGTGTCTACACTTGTTAGATTGTATGACCCTTCTCAGGTAGTCTATTTCAGTACCAAGATCCAGTTCAGCACGAAGACGCCTTCAGCCCAGAATGGCCTAGCCAGATTCAAGGGGTGAGGTGAGGAAGGGGGGATACACAGTGAAATTTGAATTGCAGATAAACAGCAAATAATGCTTAGGACAAGTAAGTCCCATGAAATATTTAGGACATACTTTCTACAGGAAAAAAAGTATTCCCTATTTATCCATAATACAAATATAACCAGGGGTCCTGTATTTTACCTGGCAACCCTAGTCCAAAGTCTTCTAGAAAACCTGAATTCGTTCTGTGGTTTCATCCAGAGGTGGCTCTGTGCTGAGAAGAAAGCTAAATCCAGAACCCAGTTCCCACACATTTCTTGAAATATAAAAATGCTATGAGGCTCCTCTAGGCCACATCTGTAGGTAATTTCACTCCCATGACCCATCCTAATTTGAAAAGGAAATCACAGAGATAATCTAGAACCAGATAAGCTTCCAGGGTAGAAGAAGCAAGATGGCATGGTTATTTACTTCACTAACTCATTCTTTATCCAAGTAAGACATACAGAATCTCAGACCTGGCATTTGATGTCTTTTTTTTTTTTTTTTTTTTTTTTTTTTGAGATGGAGTTTCATTCTTTTCTCCCAGGGTGGAGTGCAATGGCACGATCTCGGCTCACTGCAACCTTTGCCTCCTGGGTTCAAGCAATTCTCCTGCCTCAGCCTCCCGAGTAGCTGGGATTACAGGCGCCCGCCGCCATGCCTGGCTAATTTTTGTATTTTTAGTAGAGACAAGGTTTCATCACGTTGGCCAGGCTGGTCTCGAACTCCTGACCTTAGGTGATCCACCTGCCTCAGCCTCCCAAAGTGCTGGGATTACAGGCATGAGCCACCGCCCCCGGCCTGATGTTTTCGTAATAGATGGATGTGGGGACATAAGAAAGACAGAAGAGAAAGATAATTGTTATTAAATAAACCTAGAAACAAGTTGCATATAATGCCATCTTTAATATATCAGAATAGGTTTTATTATATGTATTGCTTTGATTTTAATTCGCATTTTCTAATAATAAACAGTTCAGAGCATGATTATTTTGGAGAAAGTGCTGTTCCTATTTCAGACTGTTTGGAAGAGACTTATATTTAATTCACTATAATATTTCTAAATTCTTCTTGTGGTGGTTTTAGCCCCATGGTATGTTATGATTTCCTGGACCCACAAGATGGGGAGGCATTTCTTTTGTCAATGTTGTTTCCTGTGAGAATAATTCATTTTTAAAGAAAAATATAATTTATTTATCAAAATTCAGACTGCTATTGCTGCACATTACCTGCAAATATTTTATGAGGTTTGGGTTTTTTTTTTTAACTTTGAAAACTCATAACTTGTTTCAGTAAGGGTGAAAGCTTTGACTGAAAGATGAAAATAACAATGACAGTCTCACACAAAGTGTCAAAAAGGGTTTCAACTTGAGGGAATATTGGTGGTTTGGTGACATCCATCTTAGTATATATTTCTAGAACAGTGAATATCATATTGTTCCACTTGCCAAAATGTCATGAATTTAAAGCTGGTCTCAGAAAATACCATCAATGCTGACTGTGAAATTTCCTGTGACTTAAGTGGAAGAACAATATTACATGCTCTCTTTTGTGCAAGAACTGTTATTATTAAAGCAATTTAAATCAAAGTCAGTTTTTCTGGGTCAGCCATATAGTTGGAATGCCTGATTACAAACTCCAAACTTGTTGAGGCAATGAAGACACTTAAAGAGAGTTCAAGAAAAACAGCTTCTTATAAATGACTTTTTAAAATCTGATTTAGCACCCCCATCCAAGATAATCATAGTTCAAGATATTTCCATATATAAGATGAGCATTAGAACAAGATAGTGATGGCAGTATTAGCAATGCATTCACTGTGAAAATAAACTGGTAGTGAAGTGATCACAGCAGAAAGTAATGAACATGAATAAGAATACCATTTGGAAGGGGTAACATACTGGGACTCAAGCAACTTAGCATTGTTTGGACAAGATAACCTTGATAGCTACTTCCTGCCTTTCGGTTCCATGATTCTCTGATTATCAGAAAACTCTCATCATACATTTCAGGATGCATGAGGAAATGACAGAAAAATTATTTACATTTTTGAGGAAATGCTTTTTATAGCTGATATCTTTTTAAATTATTTGCTTGCATTTTCTTTCTTCTTTTTTTTTTTTTGAGGGGCTTAATATAACAAAGATTTATTTCTTCCTCATGTAGATATTCGTTACACGTTGTTTGGGACTCCATGCCATATAATCACACCTGGGACACGTTCGGTCAATTGAGGATTCTTCTCCATGTCATTTTCACTGTGGGAGCCAACCTGACAAAGCAGCTTGAATGTGGAAAAACTCAAACTGTGTTTCTCCCACTATTATTTGTATTTTCTTTATACGTATTTTCACCCAATATTTTGTTTCTTAGAGTATTTAAGTGCCCAGTTCTTATTAATGTGAATAATTTTACAAAAACATAAGTCAAATAAGGCTGTGCTATTATAATGATTTGATGTCTGACATTATTATCCAAGTGTTTATGATCTCATTTCCCTGGATATAGATGTCATTGTTGGGAAATTAATCAACAAAGACACCCTTACTCTTCTTCCTCTTCGTGTGTGTACACAGAAGTCTCAGAACTCTATGAAACATCTAGTTTCTCTCTGCCTTATAAGCAAATAAAACAAAACTTAAACTTTATATTGATAGTTGTTTACATGGTTTAGAATAGCAGTTTTTAAGCTGTGTTCTATGGCGCCCTGGGGTTCCCTGAGATCCCTTCAGAGGGTCCATGAAGTTAAAACTGTTTTCACAATAATACTAACATATCATTTGCCTTTTTTACTGTGTGGACATTTGCACTAATGATGCAAAAGCAATGGCGGAGGGGGTGGGTAAAACTGCTGTTGTCTTACCGTGAATCCAGGAAGTAGCAGTAAGTGTAATAACATTCATTGTATATGTCATTGAAAATATATTAGTTAAGTTCATAGAAATTTTAAAAGCCAGTTTTACTTAATAACGTTGTTGATGATGTAGTAGAAAATACTGTCTCAACCTTGAGTTGAGGTCCTTTGAGAAATTTTGTGTAATAACTGAGAAGTACACAGAAAGCATTCCTACTCATACTAAAGTGTGATGGTGTCACCAAGAAAAGCAGGTGGCAGTTGTTTAGGGTGCAAACTAAACCAGCTGCCTTTTGAATCGAATACCATGTTTGCTTAAAAGAACAATGACAACCTACATTTACTAATAACTGGAGATTTGGTGACATTTTCTTGAACATGAACAAGGTGAGACTGTCATTTCATGGAAAACAACTTACAGTATTTGTTACCAATGATGAAATTCCACTTTTAAGCAAAAATTAGAATTGTGGAAAACTTATATCCATATGGCAATGAGCTTGGCTATCTCACAATACTTACTTTTGTGATGAGATTTATTATACATGAATAAATATGATTTTTATATTGTATAATAAGATACAGCAAAATTCGGAAGCTCTGCATAACTCAGGAACCAATATTTTCCAATAATCAATGCATAATCTTACAAAATCATGTAGGGGTATAAGACACATTCAAAGGGCAATAGAAACCAATACATTTTAAGCCAGGAGTATACAAAGTTTATTGACTTGATTTCAGATTCTGCTACAACTAACCTTTAAAACACTAAAGACATTATGTTTTGATGGTGTATCAAGAAAACATCAACAATTATCTGAGAAGACTAATAAAATAATTCTCCCTTTTCTAAAACTCATCTGTGTAAGACTAGATTTTTCATATACTTCAACCAAAAGGTATTACAAGTGACTGACTGCAGAAACAGATGTGACTATAATTATTCTACTGCCTTCTAATTAGCCAAACATTAAAGAGATTGACAAAAATGTGAAACTAAGACATCCTTTTTGCAAAAATTATATTAATTTTGAATAATGATTTTAAATAAAAATATTTCATTTTTATTAACATGTGATGGATTTATTATTTAAAATTATTAATAAATATTTTAATTCATCAGTTTTAACTTCTCATTTGTTAAGTACTTACAGATATAACCCATATCACAGCAAGAAAGCTTGTTTCAGAACACAATAATTTTTTTTTGTTTTTGAGACGGAGTCTTGCTCTGTCACCCAGGCTGGAGTGCAGTGGCTCAATCTCGGCTCACTGCAACCTCTGCCTCCTGGGTTCAAGCGGTTCTCCTGCCTCAGCCTCCCAGGTAGCTGGGACTACAGGCGTGCACAACCAAGGCCAGCTAATTTTTATATATATACATTTTTAATAGAGATGGGGTTTCACCATGCTGGCCAGACTGGTCTCGAACTCCTGACCTCAAGTGATCCGCCTGCCTTGGCCTCCCAAAGTGCTGGGATTACAGACGTGAGCTACTGTGCCGGCCTAATTTTTAAGATGGTAACGATGTCCTGAGAACAGAAATTTGAAACCTTCTGCTTTAGAGCAATGTGGAATTTTCTATCAGCAAAGGAATTGTGAGAAGTTTTTAGAGCATTAGTTGCACAACTAAAACAATTTCCTTCCTATTCGCTTAGGCAAGTACCCAAGACATATATTCCTTCCCCTTGTGCATTTAGATTTTAAAAATAAAAGTCTTTCCATTAGCATTGATCAACTCAGGCATCTCTTCTCCATAAACTATTCCAATGAGTCTCTGCTCAACTAACCAGCTTCTCTCTATTGGAAAAATGATTCACTATTGGGAGAAAGACACTTACAGGAACAAATTGAATCACAGGTTTCTAGAGATGCTTTCCAAAGACCATGTTATGACATTTTAGTGCTTGCTAAGCAGTAAATACTGACTTACTTTCCTGCTACACTCTTCAGAGCAGAAAGAGAAATCTACAAAAAGGGCAATGTAGTTGGGATCCACCACAGCCTTGAGACTGGGCCATGTTTCTACAGCTTACCCACATTTTACCCCCACTTTCTCTGAGAAACAATGCAAACTGGAGAACAAGGTCAGAGAAGTTATCTTGGATGGTAGAAGAGAAGAAAGGAGAAGAAAGGATAAGCAGAAAATCAAAAAGGGCATAAAAAAATTACTGGGGAAAATAATTCTTAGTCACTCACCATTTCTTATGTTTGTGAAAACAGAAACGAGGAGCAAGTGTTGTTGTAAGAATTGTTCTTGCCCCTCCCCCTCCACCACCCACATCTGTCAAGCTATCCCTGTTTCACTGTTTCCTCTGCACTCTCTATTAACTTCTTTGTCCTCCTCTTTTCTTTTCCTACAGCAAAGACTTTTTGTCATGTTTTGTTTCTTTTTCTATTGTTTCTTTCCCTTTTCTAATCCTTGAAGACTATCTTTTCCCCTTCTCTTTTCCATTTATCTCCTTGACCTTTCAAATCTTTTTTATTCTTTAGTCTCCTAATGCATTTTCTTCTCCCATTTTTCCCTTTCTATACTATGCAAATGGTGTTTAATTAATCAAAAGCAATATATCTGAAATTTCCAAACTTGAAACATGAGACCAGTAGGACCGACAGATTTGTAATCTCAAGGTACTCCGAGGTCACAACATTTTGAAATTGTGTTTTCTTTTAAATAAAAATCTAGAATACATAAAACATACAATACAATACATACATACATACAATACAAACATCTTCTAGATGATCCGGAATGGGTATCTTTTTTAAAAATTTCTACTGCTCCCTTTTAATGTTGCACTTTGTGTTCATATTTACAATTGTAGAAGTCTACATTAACGTCACATTATGTCATGTCATATTATTAAAAAAAAAAGTTTCACAGTAGTTAATTGGGAGAATTGAATCATCACGTAATAACACAGACAAATCTAAATTTTAAAAAAACCTGTGCCCTGTGCAACCTGGGTGTGGTAGCACATGCCTGTAATCCCAGCACTTTGGGAGGCCAAGACTGGCAGATCACTTGAGGCCAGGAGTTCAAGACCAGCCTGGCCAACACAAAAATTGACTGGGTGTGGTGGCAGGTGCCTGTGGTCCCACTGCTCGAGAGGCTGAGGCAGGAGAATCGCTTGAACCCGGGAGGTGAAGGTTGCAGTAAGTGGAGATCACACCACTGCCCTCCAGCCTGGGCGACAGAGCAAGAGAATATATTTTGCAGATGCTACCTCAATTTGTATCGCTTTAAAACAGTGAACTAGCATAAGTATAGTAGTAAATATAGGCTGTTGTTCTGTTCCTAACTCCAATAAAATACATTAGCTTATCATTTAATGCAGACTCCAACACTTTCACAGTACTAAATGTTTCTTTTCTTTCTTTTTTTTTTTTGAGACGAAATCTCACTCTGCCGCCCAGGCAGGAGTGCAGCAGCGCAATCTCGGCTTACTGCAGGCTCCCCCTCCCAGGTTCAAGCAATTCTCCTGCCCCAGCCTCCCAAGTAGGTGGGATTACAGGTGCCTGCCACCACACCTGGCTAACATTTGTATTTTTAGTAGAGACAGGGTTTCACCATGTTGGCCAGGCTGGTCTTGAACTCCTGACCTCAGGTTATCTGCACACGTCAACCTCCCAAAGTGCTGAGCCACCGGACCTGGCCAGTACTAAATATTTCTTTAGTACAAAATAAAATAAATTTCAATGACTTATCAAGAATCTCCTTCCTGGCCGACACAGTGGCTAACACCTGTAATCCCAGCATTTCGGGAGGCCGAGGCGGGTGGATAACTTGAGCTCAGGAGTTCGAGATCAACCTGGCCAACATGGTGAAACCCCATCTCTACTAAAAATACAAAAATTAGCCAGGAGTGGTGGCACAGACCTGTAATCCCAGCTACTCAGGAGGCTGAGGCAGAAGAATCACTTGAACCCGGAGGGTGGAGCTTGCAGTGAGCCAAGATGGCCCCACTGCACTCCAGCCTGGGTGACAGAGTGAGGCCCTATCTCCATAAATAAATAATAAAAAAAAGAGTCTCCTTCCTAAAACTGACAATCAAGGAATTTTCTTCATCAAAATTTTTGTCAAGAATATATCCCATTGGTCTTTCTCTTTGAGTACTGAGTGAAATTCTAGTCGGCTGACTTCCAGAAGAAAACTATCAGGATAGAGCAGGTAGATTCTGGTGAGAAGTAACACTCAGAGAAAGGAAGACATACAATGTGATTAAACCTTTAGCAGCTTTTGGCCTGGGGCCAGATGCAGTCCCTGTGGAACACAGGACAACAGAGGAAACTACGGAAAAAAACAGTATGTTCTAATGTGGAGAAGCAGAACACAATCTAAGGAAAGCACAGCTGCTGGAAGGAGTGGAAGAATCTTAGAAGGTACAGAGTCAGAAAGAGAATACTCATATTTGTCTGCCATGTCAGTCTCTGGCAACTCGTGACCCAAAACGTGCAAAACAGACTCAAAGCAGCTCAGCTACAGACAGAAGATCTTATCTGAGACCAGGGCTGCCGCTCAAGTGTTTGCAGTTCAAATCCAATCAATGTAATATCTTCAGAAGCAATGGGAAGGACACTCATCCGAGAAACGTAACAGAATCCAGTGTTTCTGTTCTTACACTCAAAATGTCCAGTATATAATCTTTCAGAATTATGAAGAACTAAGAAAATGGAACACATTCTCAAAACAAAATCTAATGTTTTCAATCTCAAAATAACTCATGTTAGAACTAGTGGACAAGAATTTTAAAGTAGCTGTTATAATTCCCTTAATGAAGTAAAATAAAATATGTTTGCAATAAATGAAGGATAGAAAATTGTAGCAGAGAAATAAAAACAATAAAAAAGAGCAAAAGAAATTCCATAAACAAAATATACAATATCTGAAATAAAAATTTTACTGCAGGGACATAGTATTCAAATGGGGATGACAGAAGAAAGAATAATTAAACTTACAGACAGATCAATAGAAATTACACAATGCGAAAAAGAGAAAACAGGATGAAAAATAATGGACACTTTCTTACTGACCTATGGGATAATATCAAATGCTCAAACATATGTCTAACAGGAAATCTAGAAGAAAAAAGGAGAAGGAATATGAAAAAATATGTAAAGAAATAATGGCCAAAAATTTCTCAAATTTAAAGTAAAACAAATTTACATATTCAAGATATTTAATGAGCCCTGAGTACATTAAACACAAAGCCATACTGAGACGTATTATAATTAACCAGTTGGGTAGAAGTAATTTTGAAAATGGAATGAGAAAAGCAATGAGAAAGCAGAAAAGGAAAAACACATTACAGAGAAGGAGAGTAATTCAATGTTATGGAATTGTGGAAGCCAAAAGCAAATAGAATGAAGTCTTCAAAGTGTTCACAGAAAAAAAGCCTGTCAACTAGAATTCTACATCCAATGAAAATATAGTTCAAAAATAAAGGCAGAACTTAACAAAGAATGAAATCCTGCCATTTGTAACAACATGGATGGGCCTGGAGGGCATTATGCTAAGTGAAATAAACCAGACATAGAAAGACAAATACCGCATGATCTCATTTATACATGGAATCTACAACAGTCTAACACAGAGAAGCAGAGAGTAGAATTGTGGTTGCCAGGGGCTCGGGGAAGGAGGAAATGAGGCAGTGTTGATCCAAAGGTAAAAAGTTCCATTCACGCGAAAGAAAAAAGTTCTGGAGATCTACCATAAAACGCAGGGTCTATGATTAACAAACGGTATTGTATTATATTCTTAAAATGTGCTAAGAGGATAGATCTTATGTAACCTTATTACAAAAGGGGAAAAAGAAAACAAAGTGGGCAGATGGAAACTTTGGAGTTGATGTATAAGTTTATGGCATTGTTGGTGATGATATTTGATGGTTTTACAAGTGTGTCCTTATCTCCAAACAATCAAGTTTTATATATTAAATATCTATAGCTTTTCATATGGCAATCGTACCTCAGTAAGTCATTTTTAAAAAAGAATAAAGGCAGAATAAAAACATTTTATAGAAAATAAAAGATTATTGCCAGCAGATCTGTTAAGAAATGACAAAGGAAGGTTCAGAATGAAAGGAAATGAAACCATATGGAAACTCAAACGCTGAGAAAGGAATATAGAACATGGGAAATGGTATCTGGGTTAACGAAAAAAGTTTGTTTTGCTTTATTTCTCTTAATTTCTTTATAATACATATAATTGCTTAAACCAAACATTATAATATTTTCTTAAAGGATTTATAACATGTTAAAATGCAATATATATAACAACTACAGAATAAAAACTGGGGAGGGAGTCTGATATGGACCTATATGATTTCAAGGTTTCCACATTATGTAAAGTAACATTAACTGTAAGTAGATTGTTAAGGATATATATTGTAACCTCTATTTCCACCACTTAAAAAGTGACAGAAGACACATAGCTGGAAGGTCAACAGAAAAATCAAAATGGATTTCTGACATTTCTAAATAATAAAAAGGCAGGAAAAAATAGAAGGAAAAACAAAGTAGATAAATAAAAAAAATAAAGTAGCTGTATTAATGCCATATAACAGAGATTTCAAGTCAAAAGTTATTACTAGTGACAAAGAAGCTATTTCATAGAAGTAAAAGGATCAATTCATTAAAAAGACATGATTAAAAAGTGTATGTTTTTAATATCACAGCAGGAACATACAAAAGTGAAATTTAACAAATTAAAGGGAGACATAGACAAATCCACAGAGTTGGCGATTTGTTAAATTTCTCTGTTAGCAATTGATAGATCAGCTAGAAATCAGCAAAGATACCGAAGATATGACTAACACTCTCAAGCATATTGACCAGAATATTTGTGGCTAAATTTACATTTTCAGGATAAAGGATGATATATCAGAATCAGGTCTTAATGGTGGTCATATTAATTTGTAATTGTTTATTTCTAAGTATATCAATAGATTATATATTTCTACTCTAGTATTTCAAAAGCATCCAAAGCATTTTCAAGAATTAGAAATTGTCCATTCTAACAAATGAAGCATAGATGATACCATAACTGTCATTCCACATATTACAGAGAGCAGTTTGGAATGTGCGCTCTGAGGCCAAGTGTACTTAAGTTAAGTCCCATCTCTGGCCCTTCTTAGTTACACAGCTTGGGTGTATCACTTAATCTCCCATGATTCTTCACTTTCTCTTCTGAAAATGGAGATAATGATAGCCTCTATCTCACAGAGTTAAGCAAGAATATTAAAATCAAACTGTTATCGTGGTCACTGTGTCATTATCAAAAATGGAAGCCAAATTTGCTTTGCATCTCAGTAAATAAATGAATTTTCGTTTGAAAAGTGCAAATAAATCAAACTTGAGATGATCACAAGGAGCCTCTTAACACTGTTGAAACCACTGGAGGTTTATCCTGCAAAGCTATTTAGATTAAATCTGAAAAGTTCAAATCTTTACACCAAAGCTGAACCCCATATGGTTCAGGAGTCTTTGCCTGAAAATACATATGCTTAAGTAGAGTTTTCAATTTGTTTCTTTTTGAAATTCGTACAGTTTCCCCTCAATTGCACCCAAATGTTTTTCATTTCCTTCTCCAGGTTGACAAAGAATATTGATTTTGGTCATAACAGAATTCTCTCCAGAGAGGTCAGAGAGGTTCTTGTTGATACTGTCTGATTTAAATTTCATTTAAGCTGCTTGTTTTTTTAGGCATTAAATAAAAGAAATTATCTATAGCCAGGAAGAGGGTGTAAAAAGGTGACACAAGTTAAGACCACCTGCCTCCTGACAGAACTGAAGTTTAAAGTGGATTTTTTCTTTGAGTAGACTTTCAATCAAGTAATATCCAGTTTTAAAATAACTTATCCAAAATCTTTGATATTTTTCATTATGTTTTCCAAAATTGACAAACGTTAGAGTATAAGAGTTTAGGTAGAATTATTTAGAGTTAGAGTTAGGTACAATTATTTAGACTTAGAGTACAAAAGTTAGAGTACAAAAGTTAGAATACAAAAGTTTAGGTACAATTATTTCCTTTGATACTAATTCAAAAAGTCTTCTTGAATAAGATACGTTTTGTTAACATTTTTCTTTTCTAGTGTTTTCTTATTGTAATGCACTCATGAAAGAGAAATATTCAACTTAAACTTTCAGAGGAAAAAAAAGCTTAAACAAATATGATCAATCTTTATGTGTGTCAAGAAGCCTCTTAAAATTACCTTTAAGCCATATGAAAAAGACGAACTATACAAATACTTGTTTCTCATTTCAAATAAACTTGTTTAACAAACTCATTTTATTGTTTATTTTCTCAATCATGATGTTTGATTGATTTAATTTGCATGTCCATTTCATAAAGCATGAGTGTTCATACTGAAACAATGCTTACCAAGGACAAAGAGCATTTTCTCATCATAACTGGTGAACTCCCACCATAAAGCCAAAAATGAAGGAAACTGAGATCTAAAAATCAGGTATCATTAAAATAATAACAGAGTAAGAGAGCTTCCTATGATATGTAAAAATGTAACATACTTTTTTCTTAAAATTACTTTAAAAATACTCCTGGCTGGGCACGGTGACTCACGCCTGTAATCCCAGCACTTTGCGAGGCCGAGGCAGTGAATCATGAAATTAGGAGTTCAAGACCAGCCTGGCCAATATGGTGAAACCCCGTCTCTATTAAAAATACAAAAAATTAGCTGGGCATAGTGGTGGGCGCCTGTAATCCCATCTACTCAGGAGGCTGAACCAGGAGAATCACTTGAACCTGGGGGCGGAGGTTGCAGTGAGCTGCCGCGCCGCTGCACTGCAGCCCGGGCAACGGAGCGAGACTCCGTCTCAAAAAAAAAAAAAAAAAACTCGTATTTCAACATCAAACATGTCATGTATTAGCTTTCAGGGAAATGGTTGTGTTGAAGATGAAGGTTCAGCTTCACTTACAATGGCAGAGTTTGGTGTCTATGCAAAATGCCACATAGATTTGTCTTTTTAAATAATTTCAAAACTGTTTACGATTTGATTTGTACTGCCATCTAAATCCATAGCAATTATTCCACAATCAATTATAATAATGAAAGAAAACTGTGAAATGTAGATGAACATGAACATAGCTTCAAATGCTGTAGGTAATTACAGAAACTACGTAAGTGAAGATAAAATGCTTCTGCTGTCATTTACTCATGATTAGCTATTAAAACATCCCGCTAGGTGTTACCCAAATATTGCAATGGGTACTTGCCAAGTCAAGACTAAGCTATCTCTAATAGTGGCTCACATATGTTAATAAAAAGCCTAAGAGTAAAACCTACACTTGTAAACTGAAAGGGATTTATATTTTATTTCAGTGTGTAGTATATATTAATATTAATTTATGTTAATTATTAATATGTTAATTTAAGAAGGCAAAGAAAAGTTACCATTTACTAAGAATTTTATTAAATCTTAGTTCTCCTTAAATGAGAAAGGATGTCAAATAGCCATGCTGAATTACTTTAAAGTAAAAGACTCATCTCCCTGCACCAGTAATGTACTTTGTTCCATCCTAGATTTCACAGGCTAAACTGATTAGCAGCTCACCAGGAACTGTGAGAATTATTCAAAAGAACTAGAAGAGAGAAAACTCGATGTTGTGAGAAGGTCACATAAAGAACAATGAATTATACTTAGGAACTTTGCATCCTAGAGCTCATAAAATGAAAAAAAACTCCATTGCTTTTTCTCTCAGCTCAGTGAGGGGGATACTTTATCAAACATTTCTGAAAGTAAGACATCCTGCTGGCTTTATTTTATTAAACAAGGAATAAAACACATTGCTTTATTAGAGTTGTTTCAAGAATGCATCAAAGCTGTGGGCTCTCAAGACAGAAATCAAAGACTAAAAAAAAAATCGCATCTGCTGTATATTCCCCCAAAAAATATATTTGACTATAATTAATGTAGAATTGAAAGACAACTTGTAGAAATATGAAGAAATCACGTGCCAAAGTGATTATACATTTAACTTTCCCATAACCATAACATCATGATATCCTGGCCATGGAGAAGTTTATCTTCCTCATTATATAATGGTATGATAATTGTTGAGAAATAACATCTGGGAAATTTAAGAGCTCTCAATGAATCATATACTCAATCTGGGTGACTTTTCCCATTGGAATTTATCAGATTACACCTATATCTGAATCATCATTTTATTCAGCTGGGTTACAAATGTGACTTCAAGCAAGAATGATTTCAGTCCCATTTTCTCTCTGAAAAAGTAAAGAGTTCTGAGCAGGCAGCAGATCACACATCGGGCTGTGTGCTGCTCTGAAGACTTGGAGAGACTGCCAGATTGTGGGTCCCAGAGGCAAAATTAATTCACTCCCACAGCCATGGCTGCTCAAGTATTTCCCTGGCTTGTGGTCCTGCCTAGTCTCTTCCCAATCCCACCCTGGTGAGGCTGAAGCCATGTGTGGGGATTCTCATCTCCCATTTTGTTAGCTCATCTCTATCAGACATATTTTTCAATTTGGCATATAAAAAGATAATAAAATAAAAAGAGAAATAAGTAGTTCATACTTTTTACCTCTATCTCTGTAACCTTAGGACAGTGATCATGGTATGGTTATAAATACTCCATTAGTAGGCCAGGCAATGCAATGTCACAGTGAAGAATATATGCTCTGAATTTACACAGATCTTAGAATCTTCTCTGTCACTTACCAACTATATTTGAAGCAAGTACATTAACTGCTCTGTGCTCAGTTTCTTAACTTGCAAAATGAGGATAATGAGGGTACCTAATTTAAAGTGTTGAGAGTTAAATGAGAATGTTAGTAAAATTCTAAAAAGAATGTTTGCACACACTAAATGTTCAATAAATGTTAGTCATTATTATCATTATTATTAATTATTATGATAATGATAGTCAAAGGCTAATATATGAATATCAATATTACTAGGTAGGAAACTGAGGTTAAAAGTCTTCAAGAAAAAGTCAATGTGTCAAGGAGATGACTGAGAAAAAGAAATACAACAATAATGGGGACAGAAACAAAGAAAAAAGAAAGAAAAACTGTAAGAAAGGTCATAGGTTACATGGCTAAAAATATTCCAACTCAAAAATTTCAGTTACAGTTCTTAGATTTCCACTCTGAGGCCAAAACATACCAACCAACTCTTCGGATAGTCGATCCACTCAGTTATTCAGCACACAGCCACTTCATCTTGTTTAAGGCCATCAAAAGAATGAGCTAGAGGGATTAGAATCTAAAGTAGAGCACTGCCTCTTGTGAATTACATTCAGAGGAATAAGAACCATGGAAGAGTAGGCATGGATTGACAAGACCTTCTGGCCAAATGAAAACCCTGAGTAGAAAAAAAGAGTAACAGTACAAAAATAAATAAATAAAATTTTAAAGAAGTTGAAGAGAGTGAAAACAAAAACAAATAAGCAAACAAGGTCAGAGGGACAGGGCAAAAGATCACAGTGTCCCCCCTGGTATTCTGTTGTTTGAAGAATTGAAGACAAGCAGGTTGCATCAGAAAGGGGAGAGTATTTTTTTCCCACGAAGTATAATAAATGCCTCAAACTTCTGGGCTCAAGCGATCCACTTGCCTCAGCCTTGCAAGTAGCTGTCATTCTGAGGGGCTTCAAAAAACAAAGAAAGTGTGACCTATCTACTCAACACTACCAACTAACTCTTCCTTAGACTCAGACTCCAACAATCAAAAAGTAGGCTGATACAACTTCTGCTAAATTTATCTGCTCCTACTGCTCCCATGATAATGTCTTCTATGTTATACTTTCTTTAATTTTCACCACTGATTCATTGCCTTTATTCATAAACTTACTACTACCTGATATTAAAAAATGAATATGTATTTACAAATCAAATAAGTTCAATTAAAGAGTATAATGACTACATGTCATATGCCAATGTTGAACTATGGATGTTTCAACACTTCAAATGGGCCAGCAGCCTCTACATAGCCTCAAACACCTTTAGCAGATGAACTTTAAAACCCACTAGGAAGTAGAGATGAGTCCTGATTTGGACTGTGCACTTTCCCTTTTGAACAACAGCACTGAATTCAGGCTTGTGAACAATACCTGCCAGCAAAGTCATGAGCTAGTAGCCAACTGAAGTCCTATCTTTGGGCCCCACTGAATCATGAGGGAGGCACAGAATGTTCTATATCCCATTAGCCACATGGGCTATTTCAAGTGCAGAAGCAACAAAGGGTATGTGGCAAACACAACCTCAAAAATGCATCCAACCAGTTATGCCAATAACAAACTATCACAAATCTCAACTGCTATCTCTGCAAATTCAATAGACTGACTCTAGTCACACAATCCAGCAATGAATGATTCCGTCAGCATGGTAACAACAATGCCTTAAATTTGTAAAGCTCTTCATGGTAACTCATTTTCCCAAATCTCCTTTGATTCTCATTCTTGAGATGACATGTAAGCAGTGAAGCTTTTCTTAAACTTCTAAATTCATTATTTCCTTATTTAATTTTCATTCCAACTTGGAGTTTTACAAAACCATATGGTCATCTCAATCCAAGGTAGCTAGCATTAGCCTATGCCTCAAGTTACGATTGACAATAATTTGCTTCATGTCAGATTTCACTTCACTAAAGCAGGACTACAAAGAGCTATATTTACTATATGACCAGAAAAATTTAAAGTCATTGCAACCTTTAAAAAATTATAGTTATGATGGCTGGGCACGGTGGCTCACGCCTGTAATCCCAGCACTTTGGGAGGCTGAGGCAGGCGGATCACGAGGTCAGGAGATCGAGACCATCCTGGCTAACACGGTGAAACTCCGTCTCTACTAAAAATACAAAAAAACAAAAAATTAGCCAGGCATGGTGGCGGGTGCCTGTAGTCCCAGCTACTCACGAGGCTGAGGTGGGAGAATGGCGTGAACCCGGGAGGGAGAGCTTGCAGTAAGCCAAGATCACTCCACTGCACTCCAGCCTGGGCAACAGAGTGAGGCTCCATCTCTAAATATATATATATATATATAGTTATGATAATAAGTGATGCTTCAGTGGCATAAAAAGGATCTTCTCTGCATATTCCTTTCAGAGATGAAGTTTTATTTATTTGCATCTGAAAACTTAATGGGTTTATTTCAAGCTGTCCCATATTTTGGCCAAATATTATTTTCTACATCACTGTGATGTTTGAAAACAATAAGCATATTATCTCAAACCATTTTACATTTAATGACACTAAGAAACAAGTAAAGAAATGCTGAAATCTTGAACTAGGATCATGTTCATTACAAAAATGTCAATCACTGGGTGAAAAGTGTGGTTCTCCAGGCAGATGTTTAGAACCCTCAACAGAATGAACTTTTAGGACAGGATTTTGGACAACTTTGTGTCTTTACATCAACCATTGAGTATGAAAACATCTATTGACCTATAGCCTAACTTGGAAATACAAGAGTTCACACAAATATACGACCCCGGTAAGTTGGATAGGCTTGAAAGCTTAGGAGGCAAAATAAATAAAATGGAGTAATTATAGGGACAAATGCTTTATCTCCCACTGCCAACCAAAAACAAATTTATAAATTGTAGGAGGAAATGTCAATTAAGGTAGTGTCTATCTCCCACTCTGCACATAGTTTTTTATACAACAATGAGCAGCGGATGTGAATGGAAAATGCATGCTGCACAGAAAGAACGGGCATCCAGCAGAAGGGCTGCTCCCAAAAGAAAAAAAAATTGTAGAAACAATACCATGGTAAATGCTTAAAAAATATTTTGCTTTCTGCCTCTTCTTTTCTCATTCCTGCTACCTCCCACTTCCACCTCTCATACCAACATCTTCATCAGCTTTTGTTTTCATTTTGTGTAACAAAAGCCAGGGAAGAATAGTGGAAATTGTTATGTAAATGCAAAAAAATGTTCATTTTCAATTAGAGGTGACATTACCCTCCAAATTCCAACTGGATCTGATTCAAAAAGCAAGAGAAGAAGGGGAGAAAGGAGCTTAATTGAAATATAAAATTGAGAGAGGATATAAATTGTACCTTTTCTTTTCAACAAGGGCTGAATTTACATTTTTTAAAAGTCAAAACAGCTAACATTTTGGCAAACAAGCTGTTTCTGTTTTTGCTCAACTATCATGAAAAGCAATGCAGAGCAGAAGTTGCTTTCTGTATAAAATATGGTAGATTGAAAAATGTTTACAATCCAAAGGCATATTCTGAAACTACCATGATATAGAGTCACATAACCTGGAGTTAAGGATCCTACATTCCCCTCTCTACTCTGCTGCTATCATTGACTCAGATTCTTCTATATTGCTAAACTAGTCTCCTAGTTTACAAGCTAGTCATCCTTTAAAGTTCCATTGATTCTGACAGGCCATGAACAAAGACAATGTCTTTTCTGCTTCCTTTATAAGAGGCAGTATAACTTAGTGGTTCAGGTCTCTTACCTTACAGCTCAGGATGTCAATGCTTCTATTTATTCCAATCACTTATTAGCTGTATAGTCTTAGACACACCTATCCCTCATGTATTCATCTGTAGAATCAAAAACATTATTATATGATGTTACATGTAAGGGTCATATAAGCAAAGTTACCCCCAGATGCATAAGGAGCCAAGAAACCAAAGAATGAAGCAAACAAATCTAGTTTGTTAGTAAATGCTGATTTATTAGGTAAACTTACAGACAGAAGTGGTCTTGGGTGGCCGCAAGACAGGTTGATTTCTGTACTGAAAGACCTCAGACCCAGGACTTATATCTCAAGGAAACAGCATATGTTCTCTGGAAGGAATGTGTAAGTAACTGCTGTGGGCATCACAGCCTACAATGTATGCAACATCAAAGTTTGTTTCGGAGGAAAGCCAAAACTTACAGTGAATAGGTATTTCTACACAAAGAGTAATATATTAACTAGACATTTCGGAGGCATTCCTGAACTTGGGGTTTGTTAGGAGTCACATGATGGATTCTCATCTTAAACTGAATCACTCTTGTCCCCATATACAGACTTAATTATCCATAAGATAATTTAAAAATTAGTGAATAGCTTCGATATGCCAAAAGCTGCTCTAAGCACTGGAAATACTGTGATCAAAAAGAACGCAAGTCCTTGACCTGTAAACTTAGATTCTAATTAACAAAGAAGGAAACAAGATAATTTTCATGATGAGATATGTGCTATGAGTAAAATCAAAGGAATGATGTGTAAAAAAGTGACTGAGTGAGGAAGGCGTTGTAGATGGCATGGTCAGAGATGACATCTAAAAGGAAGTGACACTTGATACCTGACAAATGGTTTGTGGAAGCCAGCCAAGCCTAGAACCTAGAAGAGAGTATTTTAGGCAGGTGGATCATAAGGTACAAAGGTCCCAGGGGTTGTAGGAACTTGACTTTTAGAAAAATACAAAAGGCCAGAGCAAAATAAGCGATGGAACAAATAGTGGGTAAGATGGCCCAAGCCCTCAGCCTGGGCAGTGGAGACTGGGCTGGAGGTAGACTGTGCTTGAAAAGCTTAGGGACTTATGTGGATGTCCTCTATTTCCCTCTCTCCATGCTTCTCCTTCCTACTTTGTGACCAGGAGGCTGACTTCCACTCCAATGAAAGGATCCTTTTCACTTGGGTTCAGCCAGTATAGGTATACTAGGCTATTCTTGCATTGCTATAAAGAAATACCTGAGACTGGGTAATTTATAAAGAAAAGAGGTTTAATTGGCTCACAGTTCTGCAGGCTGTACAGGAAGTATAGCGGCAACTCCTTCTGAGGAGGCTTCAGGAAGCTTCCAATCACGGCAGAAGGCAAACAGGGAGAACAGGCACATCACATGGTGAAAGCAGGAGCGAGCAAGAGGAGAGGCGCCACACACTTTTTTTTCTTAATTGAGATGGAGTCTTTCTCTGTCCCCCAGGCTGGAGTGTAGTGGCGGGATCTCGGCTTACTGCAACCTCCGACTCCTGGGTTTAAGTGATTCTCCTGCCTCAGCCTCCTGAGTAGCTGGGATCATAGGTGCCCACCACCACGCCTGACTAATTTTAATATTTTTAGTAGAGACAAGCTTTCACTATGTTGGTCAGTCTAATCTTGAACTCCTGGCCTCAAGTGGCCTGCCTGCCTTGGCCTCCCAAAGTGCTAGGATTACAGGCATAAGCAACTGAGCCCAGCCAATGCAACACACTTTTAAACAACTAGATCTCATGAGAACTCAATTACTATCACGAGGAAAGCATCAAGGGGATGGTGCTAAACCATTAAGGAGAAATCCTCCCCCATGATCCAACCAAGCCCCACCTCCAATACTGGTAATTACAATTCAACATGAGATTTGGGTGGGGACACATATCCAAACCATAGCAATAGGTTACAAGCAGGAGCTCAGAAGCCTAAAATAAAGTGACGATGTTTACTCTAATGTTTAGCTTAAGTCACTAATATTTAGCTCTACTCTTCTACGAAAGCCACAGCCTTAGGGTGGGAATGGCCTACCACCTTTGCTAGCCCCAGGGTTTTGTACCGTGGGTACAGTACCAATTGTTTTTCCTAACTTCTGCCTACAGGGTTTAGTCCCTGTACTAAAGTTTCCTCAACTGATCCAGAATGAATGTGCCATCTCTTTCTTACTAGTACCCTGATTGATGTGTAGAATGGGGTAAGATTTTGGAGTTTAATTCTAAAGGACACAATATATGTAAAATGACTCACAATGTACACAGTAAATACTTTGTATATGCTCATACTCCTTATGATTTTCCCATCTAGAAAAATTACCATCACCAATGCATCTGAATATTGCATTGGGGTATCAGAACCCTCTCTTTTGCTCCCCTAGGCAGTGGTCAACATGTGGATTTATAGCTTTCAGCAAAAAGTGAATATGGATCAAATGGAATGCTTGGCACTGCCTCATCCTTCCCCCATGAAAATGCAGAATGGCATATCATGAATATATGAGTGAGATTAACTAACACACTCTGGTTAAGTAAGAAAATGTGTAATTCCACATTTTTAAAAATGTGAAACGGTAAAGGAAATGCAAAGCCATAAAATTAGTTTTGGTCTCATAAGTATCTCCTTGATAAACTGTATAAATGCAAAAAAAGTTATCAATTAACTGAAAAACTATAAGATATTCACAAAGGGAACAACTAGAATGCTTGAACCTACTGCACCTAAAGTGTTGCTTGCAGTAAAGCATTATTATTTTTTCTCCTAAAATAAAGATATATTAAAATTTGTAAGACAGAACATCACACTTGAGTATATGCTATTCATCTGATAAATATATCATATTTCTCCCAAGACTGCTTAGATGTAATTTCTGGTTTCTTCATTGTAAGATATAAATAGGAAGATATTTAATCAAAGTTTTGGTTTTGTATAAACCTAGATTATATGTATATATTTTTCTCCAAGCTTCTAGTAATTTCTGCCTCCAAGATTATAAATTTTATGCTAACCTGGGTGAACTGCTGTAGAGGTTTATGCAGGAATTTGGTGATTTTGCTCAGTAGAAACAATCAATATCAAGACTTACGTCAACTCTCACTCTTCACATGAGTTTTGGTTATTAAATTTTAATTATTTTCCTGGTCATTATAGCAAAATCATCAACTGAATACAATGGAAGCGTGAGAGTGTTTCTCTGAACTTACTGTATGTAGGGAAACTTCAATTAGGCTCAACAAATTAGATTACTTCTGAAGTTCATAGAGTGAAAACTATAAAGTTGAAAATTACATAGTGAAATTGAACTACATAAAAAATTTTTCACAAATTGAAGCCTTGTCATTCTTCCTACTTACCTTAAAGGAAGAATATTTCTATTTGTAAAATAAAAATAGAAATTTTTATTTGACAGTGAATTCAGTGAAGCCAGTGAGCGAGGCCATTGGAAGCATATGTGTAATGTCAAACATCAGAAGAGATCTTCCAGGGGAAGGGGTGCAGCTGGTTTCAGAGTGTTGGGGGAAGAGAAAAGATTTAACTTACATTATCCACCCCAAGGCTCAAGAATTGTTAAGCACAAACCTACTGATAAATCATATTGTTTTCATTCTACTGTAATGTATGTGGTTTAAAGTTATGAGAATAAAAAATATATTCTTCCCATTTTTACCAGAATCTGTTTGAATATACTCTGAATTTCCCTATTTATAAAAATTCCCTCTTTAGGCTAGTAACTGGCTAATTTCCATGCTCAGTCTTACAATTTGCTCATTTTTTATGCATTGATTTATTCAACAGATACTTATGGAATGTCTATCTAGTTAAGTGCTAGAAATAATTCTAAACAAAAGAATATGACAATTTATTGAAAATATATGATTGTTTCACAGAAGAGCATTAATAACCTCTAACCATCAGATACTAAGTTAATACTCCCAAGCTAAACAAAACAACAACCTTTTTACAGTTATATTGGGATTCTGTAAAAAAGATTTTTTTTAATGAAGCATCACACTTGCCACAGTTTTATTTAACCTGGTATTTATATCAAGTGTAAAGAGGACTATTATAGATAAGAAGACTGGAGAAGGCCATAATATTAATGTCAGATTTGACCTATTGTAAAATTCATCTTACCTGGAAGGTTAAATCAATTCCAGTGCTGCAGGGAGAGTCTTCATTTACACAAAGGAAATTTGACAAGGGTGTTTTTCTGAGCAAAAGCAGTAGCATACTGCATTGTTTGAAGCAGGTAAACTTATACCATGTCTCTTCTAGAATGTACCAAATGTAAATCCTTTTCATTCTATAAATACTTTCTAAAGTACTCACATTCTTTAACTTTTAAAAATCTACTTTATTTTCTTTCAAGGCACTTATAGCACTTGGGGTTAACTTTTTAGCAAATGACAATTCTTAATGACCCACTTTCTAAATAGAAAGTGAAAAAAACAATCTCACAACAAATCCTCAAAGTACAAAAGCAATGACACTTCTAAAGTAAGCTCCCATTCAGCTCCCGGGTATCTTTAATACTCACAGATCTCATCTTCTTATGGATTTAACAACTGTGCTTTAATGTGCTTTAGGTCTAGTATTCATATCTTCCACTATTCCCTTTGATAAAGATAAATAAGCTTATGGAGACAGTGCTGCCCCTGAGACTGCAAATTAAGGAGCGACTTATCAACCGAAGAAGATAAAGAAGAAATGTGACATTGGCAATGCTTTTAAATAGCAATTTAAAATTGCCCGCTCTAACTCAGTGATTGAGTATTTAAAAAAAGCAACAAGAAAATCAACTCTTCATTCCAGGTATGGACTCTGAAAATGAAAAAGGCAGCGTCTCTTTGGGCCTAGGTCTAACTGCCTGCTGGATCAGGGCTCCTTCAGACTCCGCCCACTGCCCTCTCTTGGATGCATTTTCTCTCCAACTTGGGTGCCCACTAGCCTTGCCTTTGATCACAGCCTCCTTTATTCTTATTATGTTTTCAATCGATAAATATCTGCTGAATGATTATATTTTACAATACTAACAAATATTTACACTGGTTAAAACAAGAATCATATTATTTAATTAAAGGAGACCTGAGATCTATTACAATTACAAGTGTACATTAGAATACAGGGCTGCTCTATAGTCTTGCTACTCAAAACTGTGGTACAGGGTCCCATAACATCAGCCTAATCTGGGTGTGTGTTAGAATCTGAAAATTGCTGAACAAGATTCTCGGGAGATTTGTATTCACATTAAAATTTCAGACATGATGTGTTTACCTGAGGATCTTGTTATAATGCAGATTCTGGTTCAGGTCTGAAGCGAGGCCCAAGATTCTGCATTTCTAACAAGCTCCCAGCTGACACCAATGTTATTGGTCCATAAACTGAAACTTGAGTAGCAAAGATGCAGAGGAAATAAAAATGGTTCTAAGCATGTAGACCTATCTAAGTTATCAGAGCCAATTGCCACCTTTGAAATAGCCTTACTGAATTAAACAGAAGAAAACTTTTAAAACTTCTCATTTTTATGGTGAAAAAGTCATAAATTTATTCTGAATTTGTGAAGTTTGAAAGAGTAGTACATCTGTAAAACAGAACAGTCTGGGATAATGAGAAATTGCATCCAGATTGAAATTATGTTTCCAAATATTAATTAATGGCGGCAGTGAGCAGCCGATTGGTTGCTACAGCAAATAGAAATATGCCCTAGCATACCCCAGGAAATATTTGCAGAACTTAGAACAGTAAAGGGATTAATATGGTAAGTGAAAAGATCATAGAAAGAAGGACGATTGATACAGAAGTTCTCCTATGTTCATAATAAGAATTCAAAAAGCAATAATTTGATGAAGAAAAGCTCTCTGCAGAAGATTGAGGAGAAGTAGCAAAGACAACAAAATTGAAGACAAGTTCACTGAGCTAAAAAGAGCTAAGAATTTAAATCAGAAAAAGACCATCTGAATACTAGGTAAAAATGATGAGAAATAAAAGACAAAACAGGTCTTGATAACTACAAGAATTTAAAACAAACAAACAAAAAAACACCTAAAACCAACCAGGCAGAAAACCAGGTAACATACAAAAGAAAAAGAAAACCATATAAATACTAAAATTCTCCTTTTTAAATATATAAAAAGCAAACTGCTCAACATCTACAAAGTACAGATGACTATTGATTGAAATCTACTTCTGGGGAAGATATTATTCGTGTTTAGAAGCAATAAAGACATTATTATATGCAAGAACTTAGAAAATATCCTTCACATGCATTATTTTTTTAAATGAGATACTAGAGCAAATTTTGATGCGATTAAAATAGATGTCTTTTTGGAAAGCAGTATAATCTGTAGTTATCAGAATTATTTCCTAAAGAATTGTTAATCTAGTCATACGACAGCAGCAACATGTAAAATCTCTAAATATATGACATTCAACAGAAAAGAAAGAGTGAGAAAAGATAGAAGGGAAAGAAAAAAGAATGAAAGTGGAAGCCAGGAAGAGGGGGAGGAAGTAAAGAAAGAACATATAATCTCTCATATTAAATAGAAATTTCAATCTGTGACTATTTTTAAATATGGGCTCTAGTACATTTTATTTTGTTTCATTATAATAATGTAAAAATAGTTATATCTAAATCATTATAAAAGTAGCAAAAAATATTAAGCAATATATCAGAATATGGGAAGTATAGAATGTATTTCTAGAAATCCACAAGTAAACTCTTTAGAAATAAATACTTTAGGCAGGAAAGATTGGTAGGTTCACCCCACAACCACACTACAGTTACTCCTGTAGTTATTTGTAAGCCCTTACCTTACTCTTTATTAAGTATACATTCTAATACACTGAATGTATTTCATTCCATAGTGTTGGTTTGGTCTCAACAAATCTCCCATAGTCATCCCATATCCCAAGGGAATTAGCATTCATTACCTTATTCCTGCAGAGCACCTGTAGTTCAGAAGCTGACCACCTCCAGCTCCAAGAATAGACTCTTTTTCATTTAATCTAAACAACTCCCTTCTTTCTCCCAGCCACAGTTAATATTCCTAAATGCTCTAATTCAGAGTAAGTTGAAGAATTCTTGCTTAGAATAGTTGGGAAAAAAAGTGCTCACTGCTTTCCTGTGAATACCATGATGCAATTTACCAAAACTGCAAAATCCTCTTCAGTAATGGCAGCCAAGATAAAAGCAAGAAAAGGAGGCCAGAGCCACTGGATTGCTAAAGTTCTGGACTTCCAGTTACTATGATCCAATAAACTGCCTCTATCTTTAGGCCACTTTGAAATGAGTTTCTTTTGATTGTTCCTGAACACATATTACCTGATGCAAACTCCTTTGTTACCCTTTAAAAGTCTGAATTTCAAAGAATACTTTTTAGGAGTTAAGAAGCTCTTAACATGTTGATCCAAGCAACATTGCTTTCTTCAGTCTGGTGCCCCAGTGGGGAAAGCACATTTGTAGATGGCATGTCCTAAGCAATGATTTAAAATTTGCTTAGGCTTCATATTTTCAATATTGAATAATTTCCTGTTTATATAATCTGGGATTGCCACCAAAACTGCAAGTTCCCAAGTCCCCTAGAAATATACACATCAGAGCATTCTCTCTATAGATGGCAAAACACAGAAAATAATACAATTTATTGTAGTAAGACTATCTCATAGAATTAAATGGGGATAAACAACAACTGAAGTCAGCCTTTAAAAAACAAGAATAAAAGTAGAAAGCTTAATATAATTAATTTACACATTGAAGGGGGAAGCCATATAAAGGATTTTCATAGCTTTCTCATTTCTCAAGAATTTTACTCATCAAAATTAAAACACGTGTTTGCTTGAATGCTAAACATGATGCCATTTTTGATTTTCAATGTATGCAGAACCACATTTTTCAACATCAGAAGTATAATTTTAGAAATGATTTTTCAAATCACTTTCTCTAAAGCACACTTATTAGATGACATCCTAGTGCATTTGGGCTGCTGTAACAATGCCTCAGACTGAGTAACTTGTAAACAACAGAAATGTGTTGCTCTCAGTTCTGAATGCTAGGCAGTTCAAGATTAAGGCAAGATTTGGTGTCTGGTGAGCACTTGTTCTCTGCCTCATAGATGACGCCTTGTTACTGTGTAGTCACATGGCAGAAGAGGCAATAGGGTTCCTTTATGCCTCTTTTATAGGAACATTAATTCTATCCATGAGGTCTCCACTATGACCTAGTCACCTCCCAAAGCCTCACTTCATAATAGCAACACTTTGGGGATTAGATTCCACCATATACATTTTGGCAAATCCATGCTTGCCTGTTGATAAGGTTTGGCTGTGTCCTCACCCGAATCTTACCTTGAATTGTAGCTCCCACAATTCCCACGTGTCATGGGAGGGACTTTATGGGAGGTAATTGAATCATGGGGGCGAGTCTTTCCCGTGCTGTTCTCATGATAGTGAATAAACCTCACAAGATCTGGTATTTTTTATAAGGGGGAGTTTCCCTGCACAAATTCTCTCATTTTTTCCTTTTGCCTGCTGCCATGTAAGATGTACCTCTAGCCTTCTGCCACGAGTGTGACGCCTCCCCAGCCACATGGAACTGTGAGTGTGAAAATGGACTAATATACCCATTAAATAAAAAAAAAAGCTATTTTGCTAGATTCTGCATTTCTCTCCTTATCTGTCCTGTAGTTGACAACCTTCCCCTACTTAATACATAATTGGGCTCAAGATCATTGGTTTTGCAAAATCGCTGAAATTCCAAACTAGAGAAGTACCCCTAATAGGAATTGCCACTGCCTTGCTCTGGTTTCTTCAATTAAGAAGAAGAGATAAAGGATAAAATCATCTCATGTGGAGAAGGCTATAGGGGGCACCCATGGCAAGGAGGAAATGGCAGTGGGGCAGAATAATGAAAACCTGAATTACAGCTCCAGGAATCCCTACTTTGTTCTTTCAAAGCAAGCTACAGAATCTCCTTAAACTTCAAATTATTCTAGTACACAGACCACTTTAAGGGTCAAATGTAAGGCTTTTTAATATTATATGTGTTCCTATTCCAGGTAAGTGACTTCTATCCACTACTTCCTTGTGTTTGGAACATTTGATTTAGGGCTAACTTTCTAACTGTCACTCATTATTTTTCTGTTAATCTGTTATCTCCATCCTCAAGTAATTTGCGTAAGGATAGTTTTAAGTGTGGAAATGATTCATCAAGGGATTTTAAAAGAATTTGCTTTGCTCCATTGTCTGTGGTCTATGTAAATGCAGGAATTAAAATCAGATAGTCTCTCCAGGATTTTCCCAGCCTAACAAGTCTGTGATTCATGAGGGGAGAAGTTTCTGAAACTTGGAAATGGCTATGAATTATATGCTGGAGAGCTGAAGAAGTCAGCAGTCCAGTAGGTGTCTCAAAGTCAACCACTCTTGGATAGTTTCTGAACTATTATAATTGCTCTCAAGGCTCCATAATCACCAGGGACTTGCAAAGCAGAGTGTAAAATAGTTATGAATGTGGTCAAATGTATGACTATTTTCTAAAATTGCTAATGTTCAGCATATAATTTCTTCAGGCAGAAGCATCCAATGTATTAAGTGTAGTACACAGGAAGACAATTTTTCCTGAACACAATCTGTATTCTGCCATTTTTTAGTTTTTAACGAGAGCCTTTACAATGCAGGGGTGTGGAGAATTGACAGATTTTGCACATTTTAGTGTTTTTTCACAATGTTTGCTATGTTCAGCAGAATATAAACTTTCAGATTTAAAATATGTTCTCTAGTTTATCCTACTGTGCAAATCAGTACATTAAGCAAGCCTAGCAGAAAACCATAAGCAGGCAGACAAAAGCTGTGAGAGAGAGGCTTTCCTATCAAATGTGATGGGAAATAAGATTTAAATATGGGTTTGCCCACCAGTGTATGAACCAGAAGTCACAGCCCAGAAACTAAAAAAAGTCACAAAGCAAGGTCAACAGTGACACACAATCGTAGATTGTGAAATTCGAAAGAACCTACTTGAAATAATTCAAATTAAAACATGGCCTTAAGCATACTGCATTAAATATAACGTACTAAAACACACTGTTAATATAGGCTCAATGGCTATAACAAATAAACCAGTGTGGTGTCTATATTTCTTGCTCCGTAATAGTCTAGGCAGGTGTTCCCGGCTGGCAGGCAGCTCTCCTCTGCAGGGATCCTGAGCACTGGAATTCCTCCATCTCGGATCCTGCCATCATCTAGGGAATTTTCATTGCCCGCATCATGTCAGCTGTTCTGCTATGTTGCAAGTTAAGTGGTAGAAGGAAAAAGATATGGAGGCCACACGTACTGAGATAATGGCCTCAGCCTGGAGGCACAGTCCTTCCACTCTCATTCCGTGAAGAACTCAAATTACACACTAACTGCAAGGGAGGCTGGAAAATACAGCCCTGCTGAGTGGCCAGAAAGAAGAGAAGGGCTGTTGGTGCCCAGCAAATTTCAGAAATAAGAAGAGTACGTACAATATTCATCATTTTGAAGAATTTGCTTTGCTCCATAGACTGCGGAGGAAAGGGAGGAACTAGAATCAGATATTCTCTCCAAGATTTTCCCAGCCTAACAATTCTATGATTCATGAAGGGAGAAGTTTCTGAAACTTGGAAATCATATCCTGGAGAGCTGAAGACGTCAGCAGTCCAGTAGGAAAATACAGACCCAAAAATGTATGTTGACATAGCCATTCTAACAAATGTAACTGTTGGGGAAATATTTTAAGACATTAAAAGGAAGTTAGACTAATTATGATATAAAAATCACACAAGTGTAAAAATAATTACAATTGATCATTTTGATGTCTTATCACAAAAACACTACTTTGAAAACACAAGTGGCAACAAATTTCAGGATACTAATTTTGCGACCATCACTCAAATATGACATCAATGTAATTTAAACAATTCAGAAACTTAATGGAAAATAGAAAGGAGAAAATGGTTTTCTTAAGACTTGAATGTAAGTCCTTCTATTAAACATATGAGACTTAGTAAGTAACCTTCTCATATTTCAATTTTTCTTCTTTAAACACTGACCAGATTTCTCCCTAACTACTCACAGGATTTCTGTGATAATCAGACCTAAAATGAGACAAAATAGAGAAAACACTTTGACATGTTGTAGAGCTATATATATAAGACATTTTTAGAATACTAATTTTTATAGTTCTCCTTGAAGAGGTCCTTCACATTCCTTGTAAATTGTATTCCTAGTTATTTTATTGTCTTTGTAGCAATTGTGAATGGGAGTTCCTTCGTGATTTGGCTCCCTGTTTGTCTATTATTGGTGTATGGAAATGCTTGTGATTTTTGCACATTGATTTTGTATCCTGAGACTTTGCTGAAGTTGCTTATCAGCTTAAGGATTTTTGCATCAATGTTCATCAAAGATATTGGCCTGAAATTTTCTATTTTTGTTGTGTCTCTGCCAGGTTTTGGTATCAGGATGATGCTAGTCTCATAAAATGAGTTAGGGAGGAGTCCCTCTTTTTCTATTGTTTGGAATTGTTTCAGAAGGAATGGTACCAGCTCCTTTCTGTACCTTTGGTAGATTTCGGCTGTGAATCTGTCTTGTCCTGGGCCTTTTTTGGTTGACAGGCTGTTAATTGCTGCCTCAATTTCAGAATTTGTTATTGGTCTATTCAAGGATTCAACTTCCTCCTGGTTTAGTCTTTGGAGGGTGTATGTGTCCAGGACTTTATCCACTTCTTCCAGATTTTCAAATTTACACAGAGGTGTTTATAGTATTCTCTGATGGTAGTTTGTATTTCTGTGGGATCCGTGGTGATAGCCCCTTTATCATTTTTTATTGTGTCTATTTGATTCTTCTCTCTTTTCTTCTTTATTAATCTGGCTAGCATTTTATCTATTTTGTTAATCTTTTCAAAAAAAACAGCTCCTGGATTCATGGGTTTTTTGAAGGGTTTTTCGTGTCTCTATCTTCTTCAGTTCTGTTCTGATCTTAGTTATTTCTTGTCTTTCTGCTAGCTTTGAATTAGCTTGCTCTTGCTTCTCTAGTTCTTTTAATTGTGATGTTAGGATATCGATTTTAGATCTTTCCCACTTTCTCCTGTGGGCATTTACTGCTATAAATTTTCCTCTACACACTAGCTTTAGCTGTGTTCCAGAGATTCTGGTACATTGTGTCTTTATTCTCATTAGTTTCAAAGAACTTATTTATTTCTGCCTTAATTTTGTTATTTACCCAGTAGTCATTCAGGAGCAGGTTATTCAGTCTCCATGTAGTTGTGTGGTTTTAAGTGAGTTTCTTAATCCTGAGTTTAATTTAATCGCACTGTGGTCTGACAGACTGTTTGATTGCTGTTCTTTTGCATTTGCTGAGGAGTGTTTTACTTCCAATTATGTGGTTAATTTTAGAATAAGTGTAACATGTTGCTGAGAAGAATGTATATTCTGTTGATTTAGGGTGGAGAGTTCTGTAGATGTCTGTTAGGTCCACTTGGTCCAGAGCTAAGTTCAAGCCCTGAATATCCTTGTTAATTTTCCGTCTCATTGATCTGTCTAATGTTGATAGTGGGGTGTTAAAGTCTCCCACTATTATTGTGTGGGAGTCTAAGTGTCTTTGTAGGTCTCTAAGAACTTGTTTTATGAATCTGGGTGCTCCTGTATTGGGTGCATATATATTTAGGATAGTTAGCTCTTGTTGCGTTGATCCTTTTACCATTATGTAATGCCCTTCTTTGTCTTTTTTGATCTTTGTTGGTTTAAAGTCTGTTTTATTAGAGACTAGGATTGCAACCCCTGCTTTTTTTTGCTTTCTATTTGCTTTGCTCATATTCCAATTTTTCTTTAAACCATGACCAGATTTCTCCCTAACTACTCATAGGATTTCTGTGATAATCAGACTTAAAATGAGATAAAATAGAGAAAATACTTTGACATATTGTAGGACTATATATATAAGACATTTTTAGAATACTAATTCTTGTAGTTCTCCTTGAAGAGGTCCTCCATCCCTTTATTTTGAGCCTATATGTGTCTTTGCATGTGAGATGGGTCTCCTGAATTGAGCACACCAGTGGGTCTTGACTCTTTATCCGATTTGCCTGTCTGTGTCTTCTGATTGGGGTATTTAGTCCGTTTACATTTAAGGTTAATATTGTTACATGTCAATTTGATCCTGTAATTATGATGCTAGCTGGTTATTTTGACGATTAGTTGATGCAGTTTCTTCATAGTGTCAATGGTCTTTACAATTTGGTATGTTTTTGCAGTGGCTGGTACCGGTTTTTCCTTTCCATAGTAAGTGTTTTTTTCAAATGCTCTTGTAAGGCAGGCCTGGTGGTAACAAAATCTCTCAGCATTTCTTGTCTGTAAAGGATTTTATTTTTCCTTTGCTTCTGAAGCTTCGTTTGGCTGGATATGAAATACTGGGTTGAAAATTCTTTTCTTTAAGAACGTTGAATATTGGCCCCCACTCTCTTCTGGCTTGTAGGGTTTCTGCAGAGAGATCCACTGTTAGTCTGATGGGCTTCCCTTTGTGGATAACCAGACCTTTCTCTCTGGCTGCCCTTAACATTTTTTACCCCAAAGTAACTTATAGATTCAGTGCTATCCCTATCAAGCTACCATTGACTTTCTTCACAGAATTAGAAAAACCTACTTTAAATTTCATATGGAGCCAAAAAAGAGCCCATATAGCCAAGACAATTCTAAGCAAAAAGACCAAAGCTGGAGGCATCATGCTACCTGACTACAAACTATACTACAAGGCTATAGTAACCAAAACAGCATGGTACTGGTACCAAAACAGATATATAAACCAATGGAACAGAACAGAGGCCTCAGAAATAACACTGCAAATCTACAACCATCTGATCTTCGACAAATCTGACAAAAAGAAGCAATGGGGAAAGGATTCCCTATTTAATAAATGATGTTGGGAAAACTGGCTAGCCATATGCAGAAAACTGAAACTGGACCCCTTCCATACACCTTATACAAAAATTAACTCGAGATGGATTAAAGACTTAAACATAAGACCCAAAACCATGAAAACCCTAGAAGAAAACCTAGGCAATACCATTCAAGACATAGGCATGGGCAAAGACTTCATGACTAAAACACCAAAAGCAATGGCAACAAAAGCCAAAATTGACATATGGGGTCTAATTAAAGAACTTCTGCAAAGCATAAGAAGCTATCATCAGAGTGAACAGGCAACCTCCAGAATGGGAGAGAATTTTTGCAATCTATCCACCTGACAAAGGGCTAATATCCAGAATCTACAAGGAACTTAAACAAATATACAACAAAAAAAACAAACAACTCCATCCAAAAGTGGGCAAATAATATGAACAGACACTTCTCAAAAGAAGGCATTTATGTGGCCAACAAACATATGAAAAAAAGCTCATCATGACTGGTCATTAGAAAAATGCAAATCAAAACCACAATGAGATACCATCTCACACCAGTTAGAATGGCAATCATTAAGAAGTCAGGAAACAACAAATGCTGGAGAGGATGTGGAGAAATAGGAATGCTTTTACACTGTTGGTGGGAGTGTAAATTAGTTTAACCATTATGGAAGACAGTGTGGCGATTCCTCAAGGATCTAGAACCAGAAATACCATTTGACCCAGCAATCACATTACTGGGTATATACCCAAAGGATTATAAATCATTCTACTATAAAGACACATGCACACGTATGTTTATTGCAGCACTATTCACAATAGCAAAGTCTTGAAACCAACCCAAATGCCCATCAATGGTAGACTGGCTAAAGCAAATGTGGCACATATACAACATGGAATACTACGCAGCCATAAAAAAGGATGAGTTCATGTTCTTTGCAGGGACATGGATAATGCTGGAAACCATCATTCTCAGCAAACTAACACAGGAACAGAAAACCAAACTCCACATGTTCTCACTTCTAAGAGCTGAACAGTGAGAACACATTGACACAGGGAGGGGAACATCACATACCGGGGCCTGTCTGGAGGTGGGGTCTAGGGGAGGGATAGCATTAGAAGAAATACCCAATGTAGACGACGGGTTGATGGGTGCAGCAAACCACCATGGCACGTGTATACCTATGTAACAAACCTGCACATTCTGCACATGTATCCCAGAATTTAAAGTATAAAAAATAAATAAATAAAAACAGAAAAAAAGAATACTAATTCTTTGAGCTCAATTTTTAAAATTCTAAAAACAAGTAAAATTATATGATCTATTAACTCAGTATTTACATTATTTTTTTAAATTTAACAAAATCTTTTCAAGAGTAATTTGTCTCGTAATGAATGTCTCCATTTATGCTGTTTCCCAGGGTTACTACTGAAAAACAAGTATTTTGCTACTTGCCTTGATTCACTATTTTGTAGGTTCTTTGAGGAGAAAAAATATATTTGATTTTATTCCAGAGTTTAAAGAGGAGGAATTTCTTTTATATATATGTGTGTGTGTGTGTGTGTGTGTGTGTGTGTGTGTGTATATATATATACGTGTGTGTATATATATATATACGTGTGTATATATATATACGTGTGTATATATACATATATACGTGTATATATATGTGTGTGTGTATATATATACGTATGTGTATATATATACATATATATGTATATATTCCACCTCTATCTGCAAAGTTTCTTAGCATATATGTTTGTATTTGTGTATGGGGAGTATATAGAAATACATATATAATTCGTATTTACATGCTTTTATTGTTGAATTAATATATACATGGTGAAACAAACCTTGGAATTTTTGATAACGAAAAAACTATATTTTAAATTAATTTTAATTATTAACGGCATAGAAATCTTCTGTCTTCAACTAAAAATTATTGAAAATACTTAATAATTTTATCATATGAGAAAATAATTCATATTGATTCAATACTACCTTAGTGAGAACTATGTGATTGGTTTTGGTTGCTCTAATACTTTGAGATCCAGTTATTCATAGATGCAGTTCTAAGTTCAGTTTATTTTTACATTGATTTTAATGTCTGTCAAAATTGAGGATACTTCACAAAGCTATAATATGTAAAATATGCAAATATGCACTTAGGGGATGGTTCATTCACTGCTAATGGCAATGAATGTAAATCCATATTTCAATAATCATGATGATTCCTAATTTTATTGACTTATTATAAGATCTGATTAGATCATTGTGTGGTCTGGGTTTTGTCTAATGACATAATTGGCTTACCAAGAGCTTCTACCTGGACTGGAATTAACAACCCTAAAAATGTCCTTGATCATCTCTACCCACATTTAGTTGACCTTTGTTCTAATGTGTGGGAGAATCTTTTAAAGTTTGTCCATATGCAGAGGATTTATTAAGGTAAAACTGGATATTTATACTTAAAGAGGCCCAAAGAAATTGCACTTTATTACATTACACAGGAAGCAAATGAACAAGTGGAAGCCACAGCTGTGGGGCCATCACAGACGGCTGAGGACCTCTCAGGACATCTCGAGTATCCTGGCTACCCCATAGAGAACCACAGGAGGGCGCCAGAGTCAGTCAGTATTGTAAATATCCATAAATGCAATTCCTTTCTTAAATAAAATTTGAAGTGTACCAAAATGGACTACTTTGCACCACCCTGGGTGTGTCCATCCTTACTTTGAGATACTGGCTGAAAATAGTGCATTCCAAGTACCCAGGGATCTCCTTAAAATGCACTTTCTGGCCGGGCGCGGTGGCTCACGTCTGTAATCCCAGCGCTTTGGGAGGCTGAGGCAGGCCGATCACAAGGTCAGGAGTTCGGGACCAGCCTGGCCAATATGGTGAAACCCTGTCTCTACTAAAAATACAAAAATCAGCCAGGCATGGTGGTGGGTGCCTATAGTCCCAGCTACTCTGGAGGCTGAAGCAGGAGAATCACTTGAACCCGGGAGGCGGAGGTTGCAGTGAGCCAAGATCATGCCACTGCACTCCAGCCTGGGCAACTCCATCTAAAACAAAAACAAACAAACAAACAAACAAACAAACAAAAATGTCTAGGGTGGGGCTTGAAATTCTGCCTTTCTAACAAGCTCTCTGGTGCTGCCCATGTTGACCCACTGGTCTCCTGTTAGGTTGCAGGAATTTATAATAAAATTGCTTTACAAGTTTAATTATAGATGATAAATATATGGTGCAAGCCTATAGTGAACAAAACCATCGTCCAAGATCTATTTACATAACCTGGGGGAGGAAATGAGAGCCAAGAACAGGAAAAAAAACAACCAATAATTTTACCCTAACTGATATTTTCTTGGAATGTAGCTCCTCGGCACCACTCTATAGACCTTTGAACGTGTTTTATACAATGTTCTGACTGGAAGCAAGCTTTTTATGTGCTGTTTTAGTTTCTTAAGGTTGTAGGTGAGCTCAATAGCAGTGGAGAACACAGTGATGTGACAGCTTTCTTGGTCACATAGTACTGACTTTCTCATTTTTATCGATGCAGTGATAATAATCCTGATCCTGGCAGTGGTGTTGAAAAGATTATATGAAATAATATGGTCAATAATATCTAGTGTGAACCATTTCTATCAATCTTCTACATGCTGTTACATTTAGAGGTTTTGTCATTGCTTTCTTTGAACTCGAGCTAGCTAAAAATATCTTAACTGTCTCAGAAGCACTCTAGAATATTTTAGTATAAATTTAGATAAGGTATTGTGATGGAGAAGAGAAAACAGTGATTAATTTCCATGTGTCACATGGAATAGTAAAAACAAAACAGAAATTCATAGTAAGCCTGCTTTTATATTCATCCTCAAAGTTCATGACTACTCACTCTGAATTCAGTGGGTTTCCTGAAAAATAGCCAACCTTATCAAGGAATACCTAATGTTTACATAAGAATACTAGGGGATAAAACCTGACAACAACTAACAGGGCAATTTTATCTTGAAGGAATATGTAAGCTTAGAGAAGGGGAAGAAACTGAATAAAAATGTGTGCTTATTGAAGTCTTGAAATACAATGAAAATGTCTGATCTTTTCTTTATCCCCGAAAAATCCATAATTTAAGATTATGTTATTTAAAAATAGCTAGAATTTAGTCATTCAACCCACCATGTCATAATGATGCTGAAATCCCAAATTTCTTAGAGACGATATCATATGATATTTTAATAAAATTCTAAACAGGTTATTTTAACTTTTATTAGGAGAGAGGAAACTAGCCCCCCTTCTTCCTCCAAAAAAAAAAAACTCCCTAAAATAACCAAATATGCATGCCATTTTCAAAAGAGATTTTAGAAACATTATTATCCCTGAGGTCTGTTTAAATGGTATGGAGTGTATAAACACAGATGCACACATATATGCCCTTTTTCTTGCAAAAAAAAAAAATACACTTTTAAAAATAAAACTGCCTCCCAAAATGCTTCCTTTGTGATGTTACTAAAGAAATACTTAGCTTTATTCCCTGAATAAATGTTAGCAGCACTGAAGATCCAACAGTATGAAATCATAATGAAAGATACTAAAAAAAATTCCTGCTGAAATAAATCATGAAGTTTTAAGAACAAGTGTGAATAGAATGATTGGATTAACACAAAGCAATTCCTCCTCCTATTATAACTTTTATAAAAAACTATAGGTATTTGCTCTTTCTAGCGTATCATAAAAGTGACAAGCAATTTGTTGAAGCTTTTTAATTGTATTATTCCAGTATAGGGAAAAGAACAAACAACCATTGAGCAACCAATATGTGTTGGACACTGTGTACATGTCCCAGATACATATCTCACGTAATGCTCTCAAAAAATGTAGGATGAAGGTAGAATCTTTACCATTTTATGAAGAAGAAAGATGAGATTCAGAAAGAGTAAGTCATCATGTTAGTGTCAGAAAACTAGCAGGTTGCAGGTGAAGGACCAAATCTCAGAAATATCTCCCTGAAAAGCCCATGATAAAGCTTTATTTTTGACTGATAAAGCAAAACTAGAGATATTAGGTCCATGGGTAAAAAGCACCAAGATGAATTTTCTATAGTAATCACACCACTGCAGACCTGTTCAACCAGAAATACAAAAAGCATGGGTGTAGGAGCACACTGACTATACATTCTGACCCCTCCTCCACATCCTTCACACATGCATGCACACACAAATCAAAAAGACATGACATCAAAAGAACAAAAATAAGATGTCCTAGACAGAGCAATCAAGCAAGAGAAAGAAATAAAAGGCATCCAAATAGGAAAAGAAGAAGTCAAACTATCTTTCTTCAATGACGATATAATTCTATACCTAGAAAACCCCAAAGACTCTGCCAAAAGGCTCCTAGAACTGATAGATGACTTCAGTAAGGTTTCAGGATACAAAATCAATGTACAAAAATTAGTAGCATTTCTATACACTGATAATGTTCAAACTGAGAGTCAAATCAAAAACACAATCCCATTTACAAGAGCCACACAAAAAAAGAAACATCTAGGAATACGGGTAACCAAGGTGGTGAAAGATCCCTACAATAAGAACTACAAAAAACTGCTGAAAAGAATCAGAGATAACACAAATAAATGGAAAAATATCCTATGCTCGTTGATTGGAAAAGTCAATCTTGTTAAAATGTCCATATTGTCCAAAGCAACTTACAGATACAACAATATTCCTATCAAGCTCCCAAAGTCAATTTTCACAGAATTAGAAAAACTACCCAAAAATTCATACAGAATCAAAAAAGAACCTGAATAGCCAAAGCAATCTTTAGCAAAAACAATAAAGTTAAAGGCATCACATTACTTGACTACAAATTATACTCTAAGGCTACAGTAACCAAAACAGCATGGTACAAAAAATACACACAGACCAGCAGAACAGAATAGGGAATCCAGAAATAAAGCTGCATATCCACAACCATCTGATCTTTGACAAAATCAACAAAAACAAGCAATGGGGAAATGACTCCTTATTCAATAAAAAGTGCTGGGATAACTAGCTATCCATATGCAGAAGATTGAAACTGGACCTCTCTCTTACACCATATACAAAAATTAACTCAAGATGGATTAAAGATTTAAATGTAAAACCTCAAATTATAAAAATCCTGGAAGAAAACCTAGAAAATACTCTTTTCAACATCATCCTTGGCACAAAAATGTTTCGCTAAGTCCACAAAAACAATAGCAACAAAAGCAAAAATTAACAAGAGGGACCTAATGAAACTAAAGAGCTTCTGCACAGCAAAAGAAATTATCAATAAACAACCTACAGAATGGGAGAAAATGTTTGCAAACTGTGCATTCAACGAAGTTCTGATATCCAGGATATATAAGGAACTTAAATCAACAAGCAAAAAAGCAAATAATCCCATTAAAAAATGGGCAAAGAACATCAACAGACACTTCTCAAAGAAAGACATACACATGGCCACCAAATGTATAAAAAATGCTCAATATCACCAGTCAAAGAAATGCAATTCTTTGAGATTCGCACTGAGACACCATCTCACACCAGTCAGAATGGCTATTACTAAAAGGTCAAAAACAACAGATGCTGGTGAGGCTGCAGAGAAAAGAGAATGCTTATACCTATTGGTGGGAATGTAAATTAGTTCAGCCACTGCGGAAAGCAGTTTGGAGATTTCTCAAAGAACTTAAAACACAGCTACCATTTGACCCAGCAATCCCATGACTGGGTATATATCCAAAGTAAAATAAATTGTTCTACCAAAAAGACACATACATTTGCATGTTCATTGCTGCTCTATTCAAAATGAAGACATGGGATCAACCTAGGCGCCCATCATTGATGGATTTGATAAAGAAAATGTGGTACGTACACACCATAAAATACTATGCAGCCATTAAAAAGAATGAATTCATGTCCTTTGCAGACACATGGATGCAGCTGCAGGCCATAATCCTAAGTGAATTAATGCAGAAACAGAAAACCAAATACATGTTCTCACATATAAGTAGGAGCTAAACACTGAGTACACATGGACATAAAGATAAGAACAATAGACACTGCAGACTAGTAGAGAGGAAAGGGTGGAGGGCAGGTTGAAAAACTGACTATTGGGTATGACGCTCACTATCTGGGTGATGGGATCCATCCCCCAAACCTCAGCATCATGTAATATACCCATGTAACAAACCTGTACATATACCCCCTAAAATAAAAGTTGAAATTGTTTAAAAAAAAATCTTAAATAGGCTGTGAATGTAGTGAAGTTAGGTAAATTCAGTGAACAAATAACATTTGAATGAAAATCTAGCAATTAAAGAGTTAAAATGGTACCCCACTTCCCCCAGAAGTTTAGAGGGATGGTTAAAAAATGAAATTGAGTCTTTGTTATGTCTTGGGGTGTTATCCTGTTTCTGATATTTATCAGCGAAGATGTTTTGAGCAATGTAGCCACTCAAAGACTTACTTTTATGAGATGTAAATTATGAATAACACCTACTTCACATAGCTGTTGTAAAGAGTAAAAATTTTAATGTATGGCAATATTTCATAGAACCTCTGAAACATAGAAATGCTCAATAATTGGCAGAGTGTTTGTTTTATTTTGTTTATAATCAGAGTTTTAGGCTAAAATTCCAATGCAAAAGAAGCTAATTTGGGCTATTAGGATGCTATCAAGAGATTTTTATCCCATAGATGAAAAAAAATGGATTTCTATGAAAAAAGAACAAAAAATTGTTTGAAATAGGATGAACACAAAACAATAGTACATGAAACAGCCTACTTACATTATAAAATGGCAATCACCCTTGAATTCTAGCTGCAACAGATAAACATTAAATTATCATCATAAAACCAAAATAAACTACAAATGTTATCTGAAGGAGAGAGGTGGAACTTGCTCATTAAATGTGGCTTATCAATCTCAATGTGTCCACTTATAATATGTGCAGGAGATTATACCGCCGAGAGGGGAGAAAAAGGGGGCTATGTATGTCCCCAGAGCGCTGCTGTTAAAGCTAGAATTCACTAAATATCATTCATCCACTTCATAATTCATCCAAAGGAACTCTAAGCCAAATAATTTTGCATCTTATTTTAAGGAATAAATAGTAATGGCTTTTGAAAATCTTAGTTTCTCAAAATAAAAACCATACACGTGATTGGCTGGCAAATGCCAAAGTTTTTCCTGGCAACCCTCTGCCTCCCTGGGGGAGTTCAAGTTTCTCCACGCTCATTGAGATCTCTACCATCACCTTATCCTTACCCAGCACAAAATATCAAATCTGTATCAAGGGACAAATACAGCCGTCAAGGGTTCATAATGAAACTGTTATACAAGGTTGTGAAGCTTTTGGTGTGAGGATGAAATAAGAGCCAAAGTTCACATCTTCTGCTTGTTTCTTCTTCCCCAAAATTCAGCTGGATGACTGAGAAGGACCAGGGGGGGTAGAGGTTTAAGAAAGACACTACTCTTTTGAAAGTTCAAGAGAAGACAGAAGAGGAGGGCAAAGGGATCTTCAAAGTTCACCTAAGGGGCTGGGCCCCTCAACTAGGGCTTGAGTACTTAATGAAGCCTACATATTTCCAAAGGGTTCCATGGTGTACAGCTATGATCAAGCATTCTTAATCTACTCTCTGTTTTCGAGCAACAAGACAAATCTTTGTGAAAACTGGTTTCATCCTTTGGCTACAAGAGATGTTCGGCTGTTCAATGAAGTGGGAAGGGAAGAGATAATGCCTCTTTCTACATAGAATTTGTTAGGTGTAGATTCCTCTATATGCTTCTTGATGCCTTTTCACCCCTGTCTTTCTTTTCCTTCTTATGGCATTTATTTCACACACCCATATCTTCTAATTAGGTAAACTCTGAAACTGAAAATATTTTCTTTAAAAGTAAATAAATAAAACATGTCCCTTTGCAGCTCCTGCTATGCAGCTATGCCCACTGTCTCTCTCCTGGTTGATGCTCACCACTGATTTTATGCTGTCAGGCATTCCATTCACACAGAGTTTAGGTTCTTATCCTTAGTGGCACTGGCCCATCAAGGAGTTTTATTTTTACCCAAACCCCTTAATATCTTTATCTCTAAAGACATTTTCCTTCTCCTAAAGATGTTCTCTATCTTTCACTTACGTCACCTGCAACTATGGCCATAATCTACCAGCCTATAACTGCTGCCTCCAAAATCCCTAAATCAAGGCTCCTGATTTTTTATCACAAAATTATATCATTTCTAGACTAACTTCTAGTATACTTATGAGAACTCTTTAATATGGAAGAGATGTGTGTATGTTTAAAAGCCAGTGAAAATGGTCCATTTGTTTGAGGCCAGCTGAAGCTACAAGAAAACAAAGATACCAGCTGATAAGGTAAAAGTCTAGTCTATCAACACCTCTAACCTCTCTTAGCCCATCAGACCTCCCAATTCATCACTCTATAGATTCCATGAGCCATAAATTTAGTACTTTATTTTCTGAGCCGTGAAACCTTTTCTCCCTTTGTCTTTGCACCCGTTTAGCAAAAGTCTAGCTCCAGTTGATCTCCTTTGCTTTCTCTTCTCATGCCTATGTTAAACATAGGAGACTATCAAAAAACCATTCCATCCACCTGTGCCTTGGATCCTGTCTTTTCTCATCTTCCCATTAATTTGTGCTATTATCTATATCTTCCTCCTTTTGTATATTTAACCTCTCCTATTGACTTCTAAACAGGCTCACATTTCTCTCATCCTAAAAAGAAAGTTAAACTCAAGCTCTCATTCCCCAACTGCTTTCCTGTCTCTTTTTCACTCTTCAAATGCAAATCTCTTAAAAAATTTGCCTTCACCCACTGATTTCATTTTCTCACCTACCTCTCACTCCCCACCCACGCCAATATGACTTCCATTCCCACCACTCAACCAAATAGCTCCAAGCTCACTAATGTTTCCATTCTGATAAATTTGATGGTATTTTGGGGTAGCAAAATACCTTCAAATACCTTCCAGACAGTGTCTTCTATGAGGTTCCATGTTTTCTAGAATGGTATTTTGGGGTAGCAAAATGTTTCCTGGAATGGTATTTTGGGGTAGCAAAATACCATCAAATACCTTCCAGACAGTGTCTTCTATGAGGTTCCATGTTTTCTGGTCCCTCCCATCATGCAAATTCATGTGCAAATTGTACTTCCTCATTCCTTAGGTTCCAGGAGAGTGGCTTTCTTTCAGGTCCGTAAGCCTGCCAAGCTCCTTCTTGCCACAGATCTGGTGCTCTTTACCCGGAATGTTCTCAATATTCTCCTCCTATGTTAATTAGTTGATCCTTCTCAGCCTTCTGATCTCTATCTAAATATTGTTCCTTCTGGGAGTACTTCTCTGACCTAAATCAGAGAAATATTTATTATGAAAATGACCAATTATAAAATTAGTCTTTTTGCAATTCAGTTCCTTTCATTATCTGCTTGGCTTTTAATACTTGAAATTTTATATTTATATTTTATTACTTTCTATTTATGATTATAGGATAATTTTATTAAGGTTTGTTAAACTATAAGGTCCATGAAGGCAGGTGAAATTACTGCTTTCATATTACTGCATTCTCAGTTATTAGCAGAGTTCCTGGCACACAGTAGGTACTCAGAAATACTTTTTAAATGCATATTTGTCAAGACAGGATAGAGCCAGATGATATCCAAAGTTTCTCATTTCTACCAAATGGATAACTTTAAGATATAGATTTTTATTTTAACATTGTTTATGATATTTATTGAGTTTCAGGCTTCCAGGTCTATATTATTCTAAAATTAATATACTTACTTAAATTTATTTAACTTTTTGTTTTTATTTTTGTTCCAGTGGCATTTGATTTTTTAAGTTTTTTGTTTTTTAATAATTATAAAATTATTTTTAAATCAATTCCATTTAGTTGTCATCCATCTCTCAGAAAGTCTTATTTTTTCTTTCAAATTAATATCTTGCCTTTAATTCTATAATAGTAAAAGTGATCATCTGTATCAGGAATTTAATACTTTGGTGGTAACTAGCAAATGTTACTCTGCTCCTCTACACCCCTAGGTCTTTATTTCAATTAGTATAATATGCTCATTAAACTAAGACATCTATTATGTTGCCAGCATTCACATAACAGATGGAAAAATGTCTCATATGGGTCAATTGGAATAATTTTGCTAAATTAACATTGTAGCCTTTTATAAGAGGGTCTTAGTAGCTACTGTTATTAACAGAAATAGGGCATAAATTGAAATGAGGTTTTTTATGTTTGGCCTACTCTGGGTAGATTTTTAATTGACAAGTCTGTGTAGATGCCAGCTATGCTTTCAAAACATACCTTACTCATGCACCCATAGAGCCATTTGCCAATTTGTACAGTATTAAGGATCATGCATTTTTACCTGGCTCACTATAAAATAGAGTAAAGTTCCTAATGATAACTTCAGAAATACTATCTATTTTACCTGAATACCTGAAATGGTCTTTACACCTTTTGGGTCAAAAGATATCCCTGAACAAAAGGCCTCTTTTCCACCTTCCAGGAATATCCTAATTCTATATGATTCAGCCCCTACCCAAGGCACCTTGTTTCACTCTTCCTTGGCCAACATGGTGACCCTCCACTGGTCAGCTCACCGGTCAGGCTTTAATAACAGAAATAAAATAAATCAACAATGATTAGCGACCACCTGTACTCTACTTAGCCCTGCTCTACTTTCTTACTAGTGTAGCCAAGACCAAGTCACCTGCTCTCTCCTCCTTTGTTTTCTCAACTTTAAAACCTACCCTAACTCACACAGTCATTATGAATATTTAATGTGTGAACACAGTAAGATTTTTAAAGGCATTTGACAAATGGATTTCACTTGTGTTGTGACCCATACACATTTCCATTCACTGGCTAGCTTGAGCCCAGGTGACCCACTTGCCCGCCCACCTGTACTCTTCCTCTCCTCCATGTTGCTCCTCAATGAATTAACCTTCCCTAAAGCACTACTCAGGTAGCACTTCACCAATGCAAAGCTTTTAGTGATGCTCCATAACCTAAAAAGTGAGTAAAAATCCCACAATCTAACCCCGTTCCTACCACATATCCCCATCCTCCCATATTTTGACGCCAAAAAATATGTCGATACAATGGGCGGGGATAGTCATTAGTGCTGAGGGGAGGGACTCGAGAAAACTAATTTTACAATTAGTCATTTCTTAATAAATATTTCTCTGTTTTGATGGCCTTTGGTCAGCTTTTGCTGGCTGCCTTCCCAGAAATTGACTGTGATTTGGACCTGGGAAGATATCCAGAAGAACTAGTGAAAGATTATCAGAGAGCAGAAAACAAAACACCTTGTCTAAGAGTCTCTTATTTCTACCATATAGAGTATACTTTTATTATATAATCTTAAAAATACTCCCATAAAGCTTATTAAGCTAAGGCAATAGCTCATATTTGGCAACCAAGATGAACTAACCTAAATGACCAGTGAGAAAAGTTGAGCACCAAGACCTCCTGAGGTCATTGGCTAAAGGAGAAACTTCATGCCCCATAGAGGTGGACAGCACCCCTCATAGATGCCCCAGAAGAGTGTCTGAGTTCTCCAGTGAGAACACATGGACACAGGGAGGGGAGCATCACACACCGGGGCCTGTCAGGGGGTGGGGGAGTCAAGGAGAGGGAGAGCATTAGGACAAATACCTAATGCATGTGGGGCTTAAAACCCAGATGACGGGTTGATGGGTGCAGCAAACCACCATGGCACATGTATTCCTATGTAACAAGCCTGCACGTTCTGCACATGTATCCCAGGACTTAAAGTGTAATAAAAATAATCATCATCATAAAAAGAAAGAAAAATGGATAGGTATAGCAAGAGGGTTGAATGGAAGTGGACACCTGTGTTGGGTAGTCAGAGGACATTAGAGGAACCTTGAGAGCCTCAGAAGGGGAGGTGACCGAACTGGAAGAGGGTGTTGTCCACAGACTGCCTGGAAAAAGATACCTATAGCTAAGATTGGACTAGTTGTACCCATGATCATTGTGCCAGGGACTGTGATAGCTTAGGTCACCGTAGTATGAGAATGCCCTTCATCACTGCTGCAGCCCATGAAGGCTTCCAAATAATTCTGCTCTCTGCTGCCTCCAGCTGCAGCACAAGGGAGCTAGGTCAGAGACAACTTGAACAGTTCACAAAACATTGTTATGAAGATGAAATGAAAACCAGGCAACAAGTATATTCTCTTAGCTTGTGTTGGCCAATTGTTTGCTTATGGGGGAATGACTTTTGAAGACTTGATCTAGAGATGGAATCCACAGTCCTCTTTCTCATTTCATCCAAACTGAGTCTGCTGTTTTGTGTTTTATTTATAGAGCAGTCAGGTTCCTTTCTTCCCTGAAGCCAACCTAGTACCTAGGGCACTAAGATTATGTTAAGAGGCTTTTGTGTGCTAATGTGCTAATTCAAGGCTGATGGAAGTGAATTTTTATCATAATAATGTGAATAAAATACATTTTTCTGAAAAAAAAAAGTGAGTTCTCACCAAAACCAGTGGAAGGAGCCCATGATCCACCAAACAGGGACTTCTCAGCTACAAATGGGAACGTTTGTGTCTCCAGCTGGGCTGCAGCTCCACCTGCAGAATGAGGAGGAAGGGACCACAAAGTAAACAGGTGATAGTCATTACTAACATTTCCATCATCTGCTTTTCCTCTCAATGGCCAGTTAACACAAGATGTCCTCTTGCACAGATGCAGAATCTCATAAGCCATCAACTTTACCCTGAATAGAAGTAAAAAGGTCTTTATTCATTTTTCCTCCCCCCTAAATTTATTAAATACCTGATAGATGTCAAACACTGTTAGGTATGAAGATACAGTCATGAGTGAAGCATGTTCTTGGAAAGAAGACATAGCCCAGCTCTCCATAGAAATGAAATACAGCAATAATATATGTATTTATAATAGGTTAATGGGTTTTTTTGTCTACAAAAAAAAACAAATTTTTCTATCACTTAGCAAAGTGACTAGGTCATTTTACTTTTTTGAACTTGATTATTTGGCTAATATTATAAAATGCCAGAGCTAAAAATAGCTGTACCTGGGGTGAAATGGAGAAGACGTGGGACATAGCTTTAAAAATGGGAGAAGCGCTTTTTCCCAAGCGGCTGCCGAAGATGGCGGAGGTGCAGGTCCTGGTGCTCGATGGTCGAGGCCATCTCCTGGTCCGCCTGGCGGCCATCGTGGCTAAACAGGTACTGCTGGGCCGGAAAGTGGTGGTCGTACGCTGCGAAGGCATCAACATTTCTGGCAATTTCTACAGAAACAAGTTGAAGTACCTGGCTTTCCTCCGCAAGCGGATGAACACCCACCTTTCCCGAGGTCCCTACCACTTCCGGGCCCCCCAGCCGCATCTTCTGGCGGACCGTGCGAGGTATGCCGCCCCACAAGACCAAGCGAGGCCAGGCTTCTCTGGACCGCCTCAAGGTGTTTGACCGCATCCCACCGCCCTACGACAAGAAAAAGCGGATGGTGTTCCTGCTCCCTCAAGGTTGTGCGTCTGAAGCCTACAAGAAAGTTTGCCTATCTGGGGCGCCTGGCTCACGAGGTTGGCTGGAAGTACCAGGCAGTGACAGCCACCCTGGAGGAGAAGAGGAAAGAGAAAGCCAAGATCCACTACCGGAAGAAGAAACAGCTCATGAGGCTACGGAAACAGGCCGAGAAGAACATGGAGAAGAAAATTGACAAATACACAGAGGTCCTCAAGACCCACAGACTCCTGGTCTGAGCCCAATAAAGACTGTTAATTCCTCATGCGTGGCCTGCCCTTCCTCCATCGTCGCCCTGGAATGTACGGGACCCAGGGGCAGCAGCAGTCCAGGCGCCACAGGCAGCCTCGGACACAGGAAGCTGGGAGCAAGGAAAGGGTCTTAGTCACTGCCTCCCGAAGTTGCTTGAAAGCACTCGGAGAACTGTGCAGGTGTCATTTATCTATGACCAATAGGAAGAGCAACCAGTTACTATTAGTGAAAGGGAGCCAGAAGACTGATTGGAGGGCCCTATCTTGTGAGCGGGGCGTCTGTTGGACTTTCCACCTGGTCATATACTCTGCAGCTGTTAGAATGTGCAAGGACTTGGGGACAGTATGAGCTTGCTGTTGTACACAGGGTATTTCTAGAAGCAGAAATAGACTGGGAAGATGCACAACCAAGGGGTTACAGGCATCGCCCGTGCTCACCTGTATTTTGTAATCAGAAATAAATTGCTTTTAAAGAAAAAAATAAAATAAAAATGGGAGAAGCGGGAACTAGGGACTTTCCATTTAACCACGATGTATGGTGAGTGATTGATTCCATTTATAACACACTCTAGAAATGACAGAAGTTATAGATATGGAAAACAAATTAGTGGTTCTCAGGGGTTAGAGATTGTGGGGAGTAGGAGGATGAACACTATAAAGAGGTAGCATAAAGGAGGTTGTGATGATGGGATAGTCCTCTATCTTGCTTATGATGGTTTTTACACAAATCCACAATGCTGATAAAAGGACATCTCACTCATAGGTGATAAAATGGCAACATTGTACCAGTGTCAAATTCCCGGTTTTGACATGTGCTATTGTTACATAAGGTGTAGTCATTGAGGAAACTGCAGGAAGGGGGCGTGAGACCCGTCCATACTATCTCAACTCCCTGTGAATCTATAATTATTTCAAAATTAAAAGATATTTTTTAAAAAGGAAACAAGCATTAGGGACTTTCCATGGAAACATCGGTTAAACATTGGTATAGAAACCAGATCTACTTTTAATTGAAATCAGACGTGGCTCTTAGAGTGTTGGGCACATAAACAGGTGTCTCCATCTCTTTAACATTGACGAGGGAAGTATGCTGCACGCATAAAGGACCACCTGGTCAGCTGGTTGGTGTTACATCCTTGATAATATGAGACTAAACCTAATGTTTAGAAGAGAAAGCAAATAGCTTGAAGCCAGCCACCTAACAGATTCTGTTGCTTCTAATTTCTATCATATAGTTTCTGATTATTACCTTAGGTAAAATAAGAAATATCTCAATTAAAAATTCAAAAACTTTTCTTTGGAAATTGTTAAAAGTGGAACCATTAAAGTCAGACAAATTAGATCAGACACAAAAGTTTAAGATATGCAGAAATTTTTCAGGCTAATGGCCTAAAGTACCTCTTGAGCTTTTCTTATCATCAATGTCTATGGTTATATTATTTCTGTTGAGGTAAAATTATCTACATAATGCTATTACCTAGGTCTCCTGTGTATAAGGATAACGGAAAGTGCTTCCACGCTTTGCAAATACATTATGGTCTGAAAGAATATTAACATTTTGTCTATATAAGTTCCTAATGGGAATATTTCTACAACACTAAAATAATTACTCAAAATGGCTCTCTACTCATAATTGCAACAAATTTTATAAAATTACAGATTTGAGGATATATTACTATATATTGTATCTTGCGTTGTTAAGATACTAGACATTCTGATTCAGTTTAAATGTTCATCAAGTTTACGCATATTTTTATGTGTATCTATGATTTAAAGAAAGACAAAGTGATAAAATAGATCATTGAATAAACTATCTAGTCCACTCTACAAAATAGTACACCTGTTATATCTCAGCTTAAAATAATTATATAACTAGTTACATCCTGTAATTTGCTAACACAGTTTTTGACTACCTACAGGATATGTTCTGTGGATTCATTTTTATAAGCCATAGCTGTTCGGACCCAATGACTAATAGCTTCCGTAAGTGAAAATTCAGAACTAGAGCCAGAAAAGAAATACAACATCTCTAGTACTCTAAAGGTACTTAGAGGATGTACACTTTGGGGTATGCAGGTGTGAGGAGCCAGTGGGATAATAGTAGAAGGCTTCTTTTTAGCCTCAGGATCAAGCCACATTCCCCAACATGTTTGCAAAATACCTTGTAATTTGAAGGTTTTTTTCTTTTTTGAGACGGAGTCTTGCACTGTTGCCCACGCTGGAGTGCCGTGGCCCGATCTCGGCTCACTGCAAGCTCCGTCTCTTGGGTTCACGCCATTCTCCTGCCTCAGCCTCCCGAGTAGCTGGGACTACAGGCGCCCACCAACACGCCCGGCTAGTTTTTTGTACTTTTAGTAGAGACAGGGTTTCTCCGTATTAGCCAGGATGGTCTCTATCTCCTGACCTCGTGATCCGCCCACCTCGGCCTCCCAAAGTACTGGGATTACAGCCGTGAGCCACTGCGCCCGGCCGAGGGATTTTTTTTTAAAGGTACCGGTATGCTTCTTCACCATGTCATTCTGGTGTCTATTGCTCTAGTAAGTTAGAACCATGGGAAAACGAAAGCATTAGTCCATAACTAATACTTGTCCATAGCAGAATTAGTATCTGCCAAACCCCAAAACCATCCTACTCAAATACAAGGTGTACACATAAAATTTGACAATATCTTTAAGAATCATTTGAAACATAATAAAATAGAAACATTTTTGGTAAACATTTCAGGTTACATGTCTTTCTGTTTTTAAAAACTCTAAAAACGGGTCATAATTTCTATAGGTAGACGTTCTTTAATCAAATCAATCAATCCATTTTATTCAGATACCCTATATCTAGTACTAGTTCAGAAAATTCATTTTTCTTTATCAACAAATAAAAATTATATGTATATATTACGTACAACATGATGTTTTTCTACAGGTATATGTTGTGGGATGGCTAAATCAAGCTAATTAACATATCCATTACATCACATACTTATTTTTTGTGATGAGAATATGTAAAATCTACTCTTAGTAATTTTCAAGTATACGATATATAGTTATTTACTAAAATCACCATATTATACAAAGAATTTATACAGAAAATCTTTTGTAAATAAATACTAACTCAATAAATGCAATTAAGTGGCATACTTTTTGAAAATGTCTGACCAGTGAGGAAATAGATAAATAAAATGTGACATAGAATATAATAGATTTCTTTAGGACAAGTAAAAAATAAAAATTTCATATCAAGATGGATATAATACAAAAGTATAAAATGTGGAGGAAGCATATTTCAGAATATGTGAAGATATGCTACAATTTGTATAAAATTTTAAATCATACCAACATCATATTTTATACTGCTCATGAATACTGTTTGCATTAAATAATAAAAAATAGAAAATAAAACATTAAATTTATGATAAAAGCTTTCTTTAAAAAAGGAGAAAAAATAAATTAAGGATGGCAGCTTAAGGGCACTTCAGATTTATCTGTAATATATTTTAGTAATTTAAAACACATAATAAACTTTTTGTGGAAAACAAAATTCAGGTATAGTTTATGTTCATCAAGAAATGAAAATTATCGTTTAACAAATTTCTTCTTACATTTCATCTTATACTTTTTTTAGGGACCATCTGTGATTATTTATGAACCAAAAGAAACAAAGTGTTTCATAAACTATACAGACAAAGTCTGCTTTTGGTCTATATTTTTTTATGAGAACACCATGACTAATCTGACAGAATATGCAGTATAAGAAGTATTTTCTTATAGTTATTTCTACTATTCTTTTCTTTCTCATGAAAGGACTCACTGAAATTGTGCAGGATGGATGGAATCCCTGCCACTAAACTCCTACACATCAAAAACAAACGTGTAATTCAGTAAAATGGAAGCTGGTGAGTCTGTGCTTCCTGCCAACCCCAGGGAAGATCCAAGTTTCTTTTGTGATACTGTACAACTCACTGCTTCTTCAGGAGGTATCATCAACAGAGGTCTTGTGCACTCTGAAAATAAGAATGCCAGCCCAGAGTCACAGCAGGCTTTTTCTTTCCAGAATTTCTACCTCAAGAACAGACTCATGAGGACCACAGCGGTCTTGGTAAGAGACCTCTTCTTTTGGAAAAAACTCATACCTTGGTTTTATACACTGTACTAGCCTCTCATGGGGTTCTGTTATCTACATCCCCTCTCAAAGGCTATCTTCCATTACATAGTTAACCCTGGACCCCGAGTCTAGACTGAACTGTGAGTCCTCAAATTTTGTTTTCATGTCCACCGATAAGCCCTATCTGTCTAGACTACACAGCTATGAAATACTACAAAAATCTCAGTCAATTTCCAAATCTTGAACACAAATCTATTCCATGCAACTCATGTGTCATGCATATTTTACTGTATTCTTATCCTCTGAAAGTTAGTTGTGTTTTAAAACACGTAGGAAAATTCTCTCTTAACCAAATTATTTTAGCAAAATATTATACACATATTTGCAAACATTGCACACATTTATGCTGCTTAAACAGTGACTGACTAATAAGCAAGAACTAGAGTAGACTCTATCCAGCCAGCCAAACGCCAGCTCTCCCTAAGTGCTCTGCTTGTGGCTCTGTCCACCTTCTGACTCTGCTGTCTCTACTCTTTATCATACGTCTTCTAGTTTTCCGGAGAGAGATGTTCTAGATATGTACCTTCTGATTTAAGAAAAAAGCACCTCTATCTCTGCCAATTGTAAAAATTGACAGCAATATATCATATCCATCATTGTTATAAAAATACTGTGTATATCAAAATATACTACTCCCCTTTGTTATGCTGATGATATCTGGTTGCCCTCTATAAAGGGACAAGGGTTTCTATAACCACAAGCCTGCTTCGCCACATGCCCCTCTTCCTTGAATAAGAAAGGTTCAGACCATGAGTCGACTAGACCCCAACACTCAGTTGTCCCAAGAGGCATGATTGAGGGTAGAAGGAATAGCAGAGACAGCATATGCACAACCATTTTTAGAACTTTGGCAACAGGTAGTTTAGGTGAGCTTTTGAAAGGTGCATAGAGGCTCCCGCTCAGTCTTTCACCTGTGTCTCAGTATTATGAAGGCAATTCTGTTTGGTTTGTGTTTTGTTTTGGCAGTGCTACAAAGGACCTCAACACTTCCAGCCAAGGCAGGACCCCTCTAATGAAAAAATATTTGTCCTGAGGGCCCCCCTTGGGGTGGCAGAGACACTGATGTGTCAGTTGAGATTTATGACAATGATGTAAAGCAGAGAAAAGACCATGCAGGGTTGGCTCACAAAACTGTTGGTGGAGTTGGGGGGAAAGGACAGGCCACTGGGCTGCTGCCATTGCTAGGAGTGGGAGAAAGATTCAATCGAGAACTTATTGAGTGCCTACTATGTGGCAGGAACTTAACGGAAGTGATCATCTCCTAGTTCTTATGGTCACTTTTTGAAATGGTTACTACTATCCATATTTTATGGATCAAATTTTCCAAATATTTATTCACACCTTATGTGACATATACTGCACCATGAAGTTATCTGTCTTAAAAGTGAGAACTGGCTGGGCATGGTGGCTCATGCCTGTAATCCCAGCACTTTGGGAGGCTGAGGCGGGTGGATCACTTGAGGCCAGGAGTTCAAGACCAGCCTGGCCAACATGGTGAGACCTGTCTCTACTAAAAATACAAAAAAATTAGCCTGTCGTGGTAGTGCATGCTTGTGGTCCCAGCTACTTGGGAGGGTGAGGCAGGAGGATCACTTGAACCTGGGAGACTGGAGGTTGCTGTGAGCCAGGATTGCTCCACTGCACTCCAGCCTGGGTGACAGAGTGAGACTCTGTCTCAAAAAAAAAAAAAAAAAAAGTGAGAACTAACAATAAAATTCCTAGCCCCCAAGGATGGAATGAACCCCTCTCTTAGCCAATGGGACCCCAGGGAAATATTAAAAACTGAATTCCTAGCCATGATGGAATGGGAGTTCAAACATGTTTCATGATACCCTCCTTTTTGTGGTTTAGACATGAAAACTGACCAGCATTAACACTGAAACAGATCATAAGACTGATGGAACAGACTCTTTGTGGCAATAAGATACCAAATTATAAAGACCTAACACCATACCAGGCAAGGGTTAAGTCACACACCCCTACACTTAAAGAATAAATTCTGTTCTAACTGCCACCAGATTTCTTTTTCCATAGTGGCTAAACGAGCATCGGCCTCAAGATAAGCAATATTAAAAACAATTATAGCTCATCCACCACCAGACGCAGACTAACTCCCTGTTCCACAAGCCGTAACTATAGCTTTGATTGAACCAGAAGCTGATTTCAGTAACTTTCTTCTGATAAGAGGCCACTAACTATAGGATGGTTCTGGCCAGTTTACAGAGGCTGCATGCTAGAGTGCCTCGTTTTTTTCGCTTCACTTTTTTGACCCAATTGTAATGCATTTAAAGGTGAAGTCTCCACTCCCAACGTGAAATGGGACACATGTAACATGCATGTTTATTCAATATGCATGCATCAGGATCTTCTTTGTAAATATTCATAGCTTCTCCTATAACTGTTGAATATATATGTGTAGCCAACCTGTTTAGCGTAAAGCTCCTGCCCCAACCCCCCCTCCTATGCAGTGCCTGTTAACAGTCTCTGCTGGAGGCTACACTTCCCAGCCTGGCAGGATGGCTACCCTGCAGTCTGTAACCCTTTATAAAAAATAAAGTCTCCTTTCCAAAGTACATAGGCAATTGAAGTAGAATATAATAAGTGATATGAAGTATAGAGAAAATGATCACCTGTCTAGCTGGAGGATTGAGAGTAGGCTTCTAAGATAACATCCAAACTGACTCTTGAAGCATAAGAAACCCATTTTACCTGGGATTATCCAGTTGAAAAACCAAGGCAGGGGCAGCCAGGAAACTCCATGTACAAATTAGAGAAAACAAAGTTTAAGTCTCAGTTTCCTTATAAAAGTTAGGACCAGGATTTAAACTCAGCTTTGACTCCAAAGATTGTGTTTATTCTACTTCCACCAAAATTTAGAAAGGAAAATGGTAGTAGATGCATATACAACTGCCTCTCCATCCTTCACAGGTGTATCTAGAGCCAACTCTCACCACTGTGATTTTCCAGGACATGGTTTTCTTACCCTGTTGCTCCCATGAAGAACAAAATGCAGTTTGAACTAGTTGACAACAGTAACATAGAGAGTTCTGAAGTACTTTTTTGACTGCCAAAGCTCCCCTGATGGGAGTTGGCAGCAGAAATACTTTCTGGGTTAGACAATTACTGGTAGTAAAGAATCCCTGAAGGTTACACCTAACTCCAGTTATGCCATTACTTACACCGAATGTTGACCTACCCATGTATAATAGGCAGCAAAGAAATATTTTTTAGTTAGTGACTGAGAGCTCTTTTCATACAATATTATAGTTCTCATATTTTTAACAATTATTACTGATTGTTCTAATTTTAAATAGTTGTTTAAATTTCATAGAATAAAATATGTGTCACCTTGCCAGAATAACGAATATGGTTTTATGATTCAGTGTTTAGCTAATGCAAAATACCTCCTCGAGACTCACCCCAAATGTTTCAGGAAGGAATCCAAACAATTTTTATTAGGAAATGACAACATGTAACTAGAATGTAAAATTAAGGAACTTACAATAAAGCAAGCTTCAGTGCAATCACTTATTTCAGCAGTTGATGGATTCTATTAGCAGAGTCGTTTTGGCACTGGTTTCCAGGTGGAGCATGATTAATCATTACTCCTGCAAGGCACTCATTCATCATTACCCAAGTAAATAAATATTTTTACATCTTTAATTTTAATACCTAAATCAACCAGAAAGAAATTAGTCTATTTACTTGGGGGTGAGAGAACTCTGTAGAAATGAAGGTCTGTGTTGATTGACTAGGAAGGAATCCAGTACCACATCAGCAGCGTAGCCCAGGAATGGGAAGCAGAGATCACAGCTCTGACTCATGTTCGATATGAGGTGGCCCAGAGCTCCCAGTGTTTCTGAGGCTGACTCAGAACTCTGAGTAGGACTGTGGTGAGCCAACAGTCGCCATGGAATATGAACGAGACACATGGGTTTTGATGTGATGTGACCTCATGTGATGTGGTGTAGCTGGAAGGGCCTCCTGGCACAGTGCTGGGCCCAGACTTGGGGGTCAGGACCTGTCAGATGAATTAGCTTCTGAAAGAGTCAGCCATGCTGCCAGCAAACACTGTGGGTGGGCTTGGTATAGAGGATCGCCTGGTCAGTGGTTCTCAAACTCGAGCATGTCAGAATGAACTGGTCTGCTGGTTAAAAATGCAGATTTCAGACCAGGTGCAGTGGTTCACATCTGTACTCTCAGCACTTTGGGAGGCCGAGGCAGGTGGATCACTTGAGGCCAGGAGTAAGAGACCAGCCTGGGCAGCATAGTGAGACCCTGTCTGAACAAAAAAATTTAAAATAAATTAGCTGGGTATGGTGGTGCTTGCCTATAGTTCTAGCTACTTGGGAGACTGAGGCAGGAGGACCACTTGAACCTACGAATGAGGCATTACAATGAGCCGTAATCACACTACTGAACTGTAGCCTGGGTGAGAGTGAGAACATGTCTCAAAAAGAAATGAAGATTCTCTGGCCCAATCCCAGAAGTTCAGATTCAGTAAGATAGGGATGGAACTCAGAAATGCGCATTTTTAAAACTTACAGTGTAGGTTTCTGATGAGAAAGCATAGTCTAGGAGGTAATGAAATAAATAAGATAAATACCTTAAATTCTACCTGGCAGGATGAACAATAATATATAAAATCCAACAAATAAGGTTTCATGGCATAAGTACAAAGAAAGAAATTTGCCATTACCACCCTCTCACTCTGGCTACACTATAGGTAAGTGTAAGCGCCTCATATGTTGTTTCCAATTTTCAGAGGCTATTAAGAAATTACTAATAAGATCTTACATTTATATTTTAATTCAAAAATTTTCATTTACTTTAATATACCAGTTGAGTGCATAACAGGCAGTTCTCTTGTAGTGGAAAAGGTATCATATCAGATACTAAAGGAAAAAAACTGAATTCAAATCACAATTTCATTTCTGGCTAAATTTATCATATTGATATGTGATAAAGCAACTCAATTTCTTTGACTTAAATCTTGGAATAATATTACCTGTGGAGAATGATCGTTATAAGAATTAAGTGAAAAGCGTATAAAAGCTCTGATGATCGTACCTGGTATATAGAGAAATCTCTGAAATTTTTTTGTCTAGATGGATGAATGAACAAACACACACTTGAGTGGATGAGAAACTTTTTTGAAATTAAGTGAATGATGAAAATATTGGCAAACATGACATGTTAGCTTTCAATTTAGTGGCAAACATGATGAATTCTTTCATTATTTTAATTACCAATTACTTCCTTGTCTCAGTGTATTTTTACCCACTAGAATCACAAGTGACATCATTCCTTATTTTTATCCTGCTTTGCTTTGATTTCTTACATAGCCTTGATGTAAATCATTTAAAAATCCCATTTAAACCACAGACCAGCAGAGCCTGGCAGCCTTTGGATTTAGTGCTGTTGAACCATACAGGAAAACTAATTTGTTCCTTTGGTTTTCATTTTGTGCATCCTTCCCATCTTATTCACTACTTTTATTAATTTCTAGAGCATGGTCTGTGAGTAGCTCCACAGAAGTTCGCAATTACGTGGAGCTGTCTTCCATGTTAACTCTTCAAATGGCTTCATTTATAGGCACAGCTGTCTCATCTCGACTTCACTGGGAGAGAGGCAGAACTAGCATTTCCTGTCTCACAGCCCATTTATTTTCAGACACGTGTTGCAGCATACATTAAGTTCAATTTCTGTGGAGCTGTTATCAAGGTATAGAACCATGCACAGTTGGATGGCACCATTCCCTCCAAAAGGGACAAGAACGAATAATGTAGAAGAAATGGACAGACATAGGAAAAGGTAAATTTTCCAATCACTGACATCCAGCACATGCTGTGGAAAAGAACAGGCTGTGTGAATTAGAGGTGGATGGCACTTGTGTATTTATAAACAATTTCACACACATCATTTGATAGTCTATGCTATGACATAGGTATTATCATAGTCCTTATTTTAGAGATGAGAAAATGGAAGCACAACAGGGTTGTGTAAATTGCTCAAAGTCACACAGTTGGCAAACTGCATAGCAGAAATTGGAAATCACTTTTATCTAACACCAAATCCGAGATTTCTTCCAAAATGATCGTATTTCTCCATATTCAGATGTGACTCTAGGGTTAGCAGAATCCTTAGGTAGAAGGGAAGGGGAGGCATATCCAAGACAAATGCAGTTTTTCAAAGTCAACCTGCATAATCTGATTTAAACAAACCCCCCCCCCCGCCCATCACATTATGCTCAAAGGCATTCTGTGGGTCTTACCTTCTTAATTTATTGCTAGTCGGTAACCACAGGAGATTCACTTTTTCAGATGCTCACTGTTACCTTCTTTCTTTTGTCACAGTCAACTGACACTACCAAAGCCGTCAGTATTGGGGGATCATTGGCTTTAGCCTTACTTGGTTGAATTCCTTTGTACCTGAAGGGTCTGAAGTTCATTAGGTTGCAGCAATTGCTTTTTACAGAGGCATTGTTTCACACAATTGAAATTTTACTTAGTACATAATAGCATTTGCCTAAGTAAACTTTGAATAATCTCTAGTTCAAAGAATTCTACAGTTAAAATGCCCACACACACAACCCTCCCTCTTAAAATGGCTGGAATAGGTTCATTATTATATTTTAGTGCATGCAAACAACAGTTAAATGCCAAAATAGAAACATGTTCACCCAAAGGATGACATGCCCTGCATTCTTGTGTAAATCTCAAAGGATCTTGTTTACCTTCTTTTTTTGTGGTCTAGAAAGGTCCTTATATAAGTGAACTACAGACTTCTCTGTCCTCAGCTGAGACTCCTTTACTGAATGTTTGATTAAGCACCTTAAATACATTTTCCAGGTTCAAGAAACTGCTGAACACACCAGGTATAATGAGCTCAAGCATTGTGGGATCAAGATGAAACCTCAAACACATGGGAAATGCAACTAATGCTGACATCTGTAGCAAAGGAAATTCCTCCTGCTCCCCACCCCTCCTCCTCCTCCTCCCCCTCCTCCTCCCCCTCTCCCACCCCTCCTCCTCTCCCCACCCCTCCTCCTCCTCCTCCCACTCCTCCCCCTTCTCCTCCCCCTCCCTTCCTCCTCCTCCTCCCCATCCTCTTCCTACTCCCCCTCCCCTCCCCTCCTCCTCCTCCTCCTCTTCCCACTCCTTCTCCTCCCCCTCCCATTCCCCCTCCTCCTCCTCCTTCCCCTCCCCTTTCCCCTCCCCCTCCTTCCCCTCCCCTTTCCCCTCCCCCTCCTCTCCTCACACTACTACCTATGCCCAGAGTGGAGGATGCATTTTGGGACCTCTCACTTCCAGCCTCTCTCCCCACCCACTTCTGCTCCTCACCCACCACTTCTTAACTCCTCCACAAGAAAGAAGTTGCTGGTTGTCAGAAATGGAGATGATCGTAGGCACATTATACTAAGTACCTTAAGGAGTATCCACGAGAGCTCTCTGCTTTTTCCCCCTACTTTTAAGCAGACCCAGGCAAATCTGACTTTCCAGAATTCATTCTGTCTCTGTCAATCTCTTCCCTTTCTTTCCTTGTGAGCACGCAATCGAACACAGTAGTTCCTACTTACGTTCAAGGGGTACGTTCCAAACCCCTAAGCTTGAAACCACAGATAGCACAAACCTTGTATGCGTGATGCTTTTTCCTGTACGTATATATCTACAAAAATGTTTATTTTATAAATTAGGCACAATAAGAGTTTAACAACAATAACTAATAATCAATTATAACAACATGCCAGCCTCACTACTCTTGGCTTTGGGACCATTACGATGTAAAATAAGGGTTACTTGAACACCAGCACTGCAATATCCCCGCAGCTGATCTGGTAACCTAGAAGGCTACCAGGTGACTCACAGATGGGGAGCATGTTCAGCGTGGATCACCAGGAAAAAGGGGTGATGCCGGCCCCGGGCAAGGTGCAGTGAGACGGCACAAGATTTCATCACGCTACTCAGAGTGGCACACAATTTAAAACTTAGGAATTGTTTATTTCTGGAATTTTCCATTTAATATTTTTGGACATCCATTAACCATAGGTAACTGAAACCGCAGAAAGCAAAACTTCAGATTGGGAGCTCCTACTGTAGTATTAGATCCAGAAGAAAAGAAGTCCTTTCTTTGACTTAGCTAATGAGCCTGTATTGAGAGCGAGTAATAAATTGTCACTTTCTTCTCCTTTTCTCACCACTAATCCTTCAGTTACCTATTTAATACAACACCCGTCAGGGAGAAATTCTAAGTGGTAAAGTTGTTTCCACTCATTCCTGAGACTTCAGTTAGTACCTTTAAAATATACACAAACCTTCCAATCTTCAGTATAATTACTATACTTGATTCTATTCAATCAATCAATCAATCAATCACTGGGCCAACTGCTAATTGTAAAACCCCAAAATGAAGGAAAATGAATATATCATGGGAGTTCACTAAGAGATATTGAAGGCAAATTCACATGCATCCTGTGAATGGCCTTTTAATTTCAATATTTCCACATTCCTTTTATTGAGTGGGTATTACCTACGTCATCACTTCTTCAATAATTTTTTTAATTTTCATTCATATTTTTTATTTTTATTTTTTATTTTGGGGGTACATGTGATAATTTAATACATTCATATAATTTGTAAAAATCAAATAGTGTAATTGGGATATCTATCATGTTAAGTATTTGTCTTTTCTTTATGCTAGAAACATTCATTCTCTTCTAGTTATTTTGAAACCTACGGTAGATTATTGTAATCTGTAGTCACCCTACTGACCTATCAAATGCTAGATCTTATGTTTAATCAGACTGTATATTTGTATTCATTTAAAAAACCTCTCTTCATCTCCCCATTTCCCCTACCCTTCCTTCTTGACCTCTGATAACCATAAATGTCATATATGGCCTTTATTATTTTGAGGTATGTTCCTTCTATATCCAGTTTGTTGGGAGTTTTTATCATAAAGGAATTTTGAATTTTATTGAATGCATTTTCAGCATCAATTGAGATGATTATATGGTTTCGTTCTTGATTCTGTGAGTGTGATGTATCACATTTATTGATTTGCATATGTTGAACCGTCCTTGCACCCTGAAATTAATTCCACCTGACCATGGTGAATGATCTTTTTAATATGCTATTGAATTCAGTCTGCTAGTATTTTGTTGATGATGTTTATATCTATGTTCACCAGTGCCACTGGCCAGCAGTTTCCTTTTTTGTTTTTCTTTGTCTGGTTTTGGTATGAGGGGAATGCTGACCTCATAGAATGAGTTTGGAAGTATTTCTTCCTCTTCCATTTTTTTGAAGAATTTGAGTAGAATTGGTATTAGTCCTTCTTTAAATATTTTGTAAATTTTAGGAGTGAAGCCCTCAGGTCCTGGACTTTTCCTTGAGGGGAGACTTTTTATTACAGCTTCAATCTTGTTACTCATTGTTGGTTTGTTTAAGTTTTCTATTTCTTCATGGTTCAATCTTGGTAAGAGGTATGTGTACAGGAATTATTTATTTCCTCTAGGTTTTACAATTTATTGGTGTATAGTTGTTCATAATATTCCTCTAATGATTCTTTGTGTTTATATCATCTCATTTAATAATGTCTCCTTTATCATTTCTGATTTGAATTCTTTGAGTGTTCACTCTTTTTTTCCTTAGTCTAGCTAAAGGTATGTCAATTTTGTTTATCTTTCTAAAGAATCAACTTTTCATTTCACTGATCTTATTTTTTTCTCAATTTTATTTATTTATGTTCTAATCTTTATCAGTTCTTTCCTTCTACTAATTTGGGGTTTGGTTTATTCTTACTCTTCTAGTTCCTTGACACGAATTATTGGCTTGTTTATTTGAAGTCTTTCTACTTTTTTGATATCGGTGTTTATTGATTTAAGCTCTTCTTTTAGTACTGCTTTTGTTATATCTCATAGGTTTTGGTATGTTGTATTTTCATTTTTGTTTGTTTAGGGAAATTTTTTAAATTTTCTTCTTAATTTATTGACTTGGTCATTCATAAGCATGTTGTTTAATTTCCATATGTCTGTATGTTTTCTGAGGTTCTTCTTGTTATTGATTTCTTGATTAGCTCAATTGTGGATAGATAAGATAATTGATAAGATTTCTGCCTTTTTAAATTTGTTGGGACTTGTTTTGTGGCCTAAGATATGGTATATTCTGGTGAATGTTTCATGTGCTGATGAAAACAATGTGTATTCTGCAGCAGATGGGTGAAATGTTTTATAAATGTCAGGCCCCTTGGTCTAGTGTGTAGTTTAACTCCACATGTGCTTGTTGATTTCTGTCTAGATAATTCTGTCCATTACTGAGAGTGGAGTGTTCAAATTTTCTACTATTATTGTATTGTAATCTATGACTCACTTTAGATTTATTAACATTTGCTTTACATACTTAGGAACTCCAATATTGGGTACATAGATATTTATAATTGTTATATCCTTTTGCTTAACTGACACCTTTATCATTACATAGTGACCTTCTTTGTCTCTTTTTACAGTCTTTAATTGTGGTCTATTTTATCCAATATAAGTACAGCTACTTGCTTTTTTGGTTTCCAGTTACATGAAATATCTTTTTCTATCCCTTTACTTTCAATCTATGTGTGTCTTCATAGGTGTGGTGAGTTTCTTGTAGGCAACATATATGTGGGCCCTGTTTCCTTATTATTCAGCCACTCTATGCCTTTTAATTTGGGAATTGAGTCCATTGACATTCAGTGTTATTTTTTGTAAACAAAGACTTACTGTTGCCATTTCTTGCTTTTTTTCTGTTTGTTTTGAGATTTCTCTCTCTCTTTCCATGTTTCATAATGTCTTCCTTTGTGGTTAAGTGATTTCCTTTTCCTCTGGTAGTATGCTTTATTTTGTTGCCTTTTTTTTTCAGTGAATCTACTATAGGTGTCTGCATTATGGTTACCATGAGGCTTGCCAATAACATCTTATAGATATAACAAGTTATTTTTAAAAGATGACAACTTAAATCATAAAGAAAAGAATGGAAAAAAAGAAAAATAAAAAAAATTGTGCATTTTTTAAACTCAACCCTCCCATATTTTTAGTTTTGTTGGCTTTATTTACCCACCTTTATGTTACCTACCTTTTAACAGGTTGCTATAGCTATTATTGTTTTTGACAGATTTGTCTTTTGGGCTTCATACTAAACTTATGAGTGAGTTGCACACCACAATTACAATATTTGATGATCCTGGGTTTGTCTGTGGACTAGTTTAACCAGTGGGTTTTATACTTTTTGAAAAGTTTTCTTCTGCACATTAGTGTATTTTTCTTTCAGATCGAAGAACACATTTTACCATTTCTTGTAAGATGGGTATGCTGGTGACACATTCTCTCGGCTTTTGTTTGTCTGGGAAAGACTTTATCTCTCCTTTATATTTGAAGGATAGTTTTGTGGATACAGTATTCTTGGGTGACAGGATGTTTTTCTTTCAGCACTTTGAAAATGTTGTTCTATTAACGTTCTTCACAGAACTAGAAAAAATTACTTTAAAATTCATATGGAACAAAAAAAAAAATAGCCTGAATAGCCAAGGCAATCCTAAGCAAGAAGAACAAAGCTAGAGGTATCACATTACCCAATTCAAACTACACCACAGGGCTACAGTAACCAAAACAGCATGGTACTGGTACAAAAACAGACACATGGATGAATGAAACATAATAGAGAGCCCAGAAATAGGGATACATACCTATGGCCATCTGATCTTTGACAAAGCTGACAAAAACAAGGCAATGGGGAAAAGACTCCTTATTCAATAAATAATTCTGGGATAACTGGCTAGCCATATACAGAAGATTGAAACCAGACCCCTTCCTTATACCATATACAAAAATCAACTAAAGATAAATTAAAGACTTAAGTTAAAACCCAAAACTATATGAACCCTGGAAGACAACCTAGACAATACCGTTCTGGACATAGGAATGAGCAAAGATTTTATGACAAAGGTGCAAAAAGTAATTGCAACAAAAGCAAAAATTGACAAATGGGACCTAATTAAACTTCAGAGCTTCTGCACAGCAAAAGAAACTATCAACAGAGTAAACATACAACCTACAGAATGGGAGAAAATTTTTGCAAACTATACATTTGACAAAGGTCTAGTATCTAGCATCTATAAGAAACTTAAACACATTTACAAGAGAAAAACAACCCTATTAAAAAGTAGGCAAAGGACAGGAACAGACACTTTTCAATAGAAGACATATATGCAGCCAACAAGCATATGAAGAAAATCTCACTATCCCTGATCATTAAAGAAATATAAATCAAAACCACAATGAGACATCACCTCACACCAGTCAGAATGGCTATTATTAAAAAGTCAAAAAACTATAGATGCTGTCAAGGATGTGGACAAAAAGGAACACTTATACACTATTGGTAGGAGTGTAAATTAGTTCAACTATTGTGGAAAGCAGTATGGTGATTCCTCAAAGAGCTAAAAGCAGAACCACCATTGGACGCAGCAATTCCATTACTGGGTTTATACCCAGAAGCATATACATCATTCTACCATAAAGACACATACATGTGAATGTTCACTGCTGCACTATTCACAATAGCAAAGATGTGGAATCAACCTAAATGCCCAACCACAACAGTTTGGATAAAGAAAATGTGGTACATATACACCACAGAATACTATGCAGCCGTAAAAAAGAATGAGTTAATGTCTTTTGTGTGAACACTGAAGGAGCTGGAGGCTATTATCCTAGGCAAACTAATGCAGAAACAGGAAACCAAATACTCCATGTTCTCACTTGTAAGTGGGAGCTAAATGATGAGAACTCATGAACACAAAGAAGGGAATAACAGACACCGGGGTCTACTTGGGGATGGAGGGCGGGAGAAGGGAGAGGAGCAGAAAAGAAGACTACTGGGCACTGGGCTTAGTACCCGGGTGATGAAATCATCCGCACAACAAACCCTTGTGACATGAGTTTACCTATGTAACAAACCTTCAGATGTACCCCAAAACCTAAACTAAAAGTTATTTAAAAAATATTGTTCCACTCCCTCACAGCCTGTATGATTTTCACTGACAGGTTTGTTAGGCAAATTGGAGCTCCTTTATACGTTATTTGCTTCTCTGCTTTCAGGATTCTCTCTGTCCTTGACATTTGAAAGTTTGATCGTAATATGACTTTTGGTAGTCTTATTTAGGTCAGACACCTATTTGGTGTTCTCTGACCTTCCTGTACTTAGATATTTTCCTCTTTATTTAGTTTTGGAAGGTTTTCTGTTATTGTGTATTTAAATAAGCTTTCCACTCTTTCCTCTTGCTCAACTCCCTCTTGAACACCAATAATTCTTGGGTTTAGTCTTTCAAGTTAAATTTCTATTTCTTTTTGGTGATTATTTCTTTATATCCTTTTTCTTTTTTCTCGTCTGTGTATTTTCAAATAGCCTATCTTTGAACTCACTGATTCTTTCCTCTGCTTAAGCCATTCTGCTGCTTCTAATGAATTTTTGATTCAGCAAATGTATTTCCCAGTTCCAAGATTTCTGTCTGTTTGTTTTTATTAGTTCAATCTCATTATTAAATCTCTCTGGTAAATTTCTGAATTGTTTTTCTGTGTTATCCTGGAGATTACTGAGTTTCCCTAAAACTGCTATTTTGAATTCTTGGTCAGAGTGATCACATATCAGCATCTAGTTAGAGTCAGTTGCTGGATCCTGGCTTTGTTCCTTTGGAGAAATGATGGTTCCCTATTTGCTATTGTTTCTTGTGGATATATGTCTATGCCTTTGCATTGAAGGATTTATTATTTATTCTAGTCTTTTTGTCTAAGTTGTTCGGGTTTTTATTGGATATGTTTGCTTAGAGATGCTTTGTAATTTCTCTGTTGATTTTCTTTTTCCTCTGCTTGGTCACTGCTTCTTTTCAGTACTAGATGGTGTCTTACACCCAAGTCTCCCTTGATTCTAGGAAACAATCAGAGTGCTGCCATCTCAAATGAGAGAGGTCACAAAGGAGATACTTAATAGTATTAGAATGGTGCCTGTGCCTAAAGATTCACGCCCAGTGACCTGTGGAACAAACCTTTTACAGTTTGATGCTGCTGAACAGCCACTCTGATTTGCCATCTCTTTGACCAAGTTGCAGAGCAGAGCTTCCTGGGCTAAGAACAGTAGTCCAGCCTCTCCTCTTTGTCTCTAACTGTCTTCCAGGATATTTCTCCCTTTAGGTACTCCCAATGCTTCCTGTGGGTTGAGGCAGGGACAGTTACCCTGCCAAAGAACCTGGGATTATGGAGAAGCTTGTTATCACCTTGATCGCACTTTTTCCAGTATAGAAACTGTGAGTTGGGAAAATTTTCCACATGCTTGGTGTTGGGCAGATGGGAGGATGGATGTCATGAATATGAAGGTCCAATTCTCTTACTGTTTTCTTAGAGTTTTTTCACTTCTCTGTGGCCCCAGGAACATCTCAGCCTCATATTTGAGTTCTGAGATATTGCTGGTGATAATCTTCGTACTGCATATTTGTTTTTGGTATTCTATGGGGAAAAGTAAGGCCAGTTTGCTTCTATGTTGCCATTTTGGAACCAGAAGTCTCCTCCAAAGATTGTTTTTTTCATCAAAATTAGCTCATATGATGGTTCTGCTGTGTCTTAACCTGTGATCCCTAAAAAAAGATCCTGAGACAAAGTCTTAGGTGGAGCACTCTATTTGGGAAGTGATTATCCTAGAGAGCAGGAATGAAAGAAAGTAGAACAAGGTACGAGAAAAATTCAATATGAGAATGATTTTTCAAATTGGTGATTGGTTTTTGATCTCCTGGAATCTTTGAAGGACTCTTATGGAATATATGTCAAAACTATCTGCCTGGGGAAAGAGAGAAGAAGCCATTTATCAATTGGTTTTTATCCTTCACAGGGCATTATCTCCTCCAGTGCTCAGATTGCACACTCATGAGAGGTGAGCAAGCTTCCAAGAACATCCAATGCCGATGCTCCAGAAAAGCCTTTAACAAAAGTCAGAGGTCCATGGTAAGGTACCAGGTGAAAACTCCATCAGATGATATCTGTACAGAGCTAGTCAAATCCTGCATAGACCTGGTTGTCACAGAAGTATATGGAATAAAAGGTGGTACTGTGTCCAATACAGTCCTCCTCTAGTATTACACAGTCTGTGGCATGCCTTCTCTCTTGCTCTTTTTTTAATATCTTAGCATTTAATATCTGCAAAAAAAGTGAATTATTTGATAAACACCCTAAAACATGTTAATCATATTTAGATTTAAAAATGTGGCATCAGTGTGAAATAGTGCATTCAGCCCTCTGTATGAGGAGACAAACAGTGATGCCTGCCCAAGAATGCAGAGAGCAGAGACACAGCTGCACTGTCTCAGCACGCTCCGCAACCTTCAGGAAGAAAGATTCCAATCACAGCATATTATTTAAAAGTATTCTAACATAATATTTAGACATATCACATGCAAGCTTTTTCCCCCTTTAAACTATTCTCTAAATTTGGCCAAACAAAGTATTTGACACAAAAATCCTGGCAAAGTGCAGGGGTCCCTGCAGGACTGTGTGGCAAACCCTCTGACATTCTTTTGCCTTGGCAGATAAGTCAAAACAAGGACAATCTAAAAAGAGGCCATTCCCTCCCCCAATTAGCAATTCAAGGGTTAGAACTGAAATAGTGCAAAGGAAACAGACACGTACATACTCAAACACGCCCTACCCCGGCAACTCTCATAGCTGACAATGGCTGGATTTCATAACAAGCAATGATTTAATGATAACTTTGCTATTTTTTAAAAAATCAAGTAGAATACTCAAGCACGGATATTTCCCTTCAATATAAGACAAAAAGCAGCAGTCTGGCATGGCTTCTCTTAAGTCCCAAGTGTTACAGAGGCCTCTTCAATCTCCAACCAACCCCGGTGTCTACAGGGGCATAGTATAAAGGATTGATGGGCCAGTCCCTGATGCTGTCATCAACCTGAGGCCATAACTAATATCCACCATCAATCTTCTTCATCATCTATTTTCAGTTTGCCTTGACCAGTATTTTGGCAGCTCGAGGCTTTTCTGGTTGGATAACCCAGACCTTCATCCTTGAGAAACCTTAGTTTTTATTTGTCTCATCTTGGTTGGGCCAAGGTTGCTCAATTTCTCATTTATAGTTGTCAATGAACATGGAGGCATCCAAAGATAACCCAGTGAATTTCCAAATTCCAGAGCTACTCCTACCAGATACCATGATGCAACATCAGTCCTCATGCAATAATCAGACTCAATTATCCTACCAATATAGAACACCCCCTTTTTGCCTACTGATCCTCTGATTTGGGGATTCAAGAGTGACCAGGGGTAGAGTAGCTTCATTCACTGGAACTCTTACTGTGTCCTCCCATAGGTGTGTTATACCCATGAGAAACCAGACATTTTATTCTGGAAGATCCTAAGGCTGTGAAGATGAATATTCTCCCAAAGTGTATCACTGGAAGTGATAGTGAAAAAGGCCAATCCCACTTCCATCCCTTGGTTCCCAGACCCCAGTTTTCTAGCCATGAGCAAAACAAAAGCAGCATATATTGGCCATTTTTCTCTGAAATCAGAACCTAAGACAAAAGCTCATATTCCATGCCCAAAATGTTTTCATCAACACAAACTGAAACTGTACCCGTTAAACCATAACTCTCATTACCCCTCTCCGAAGCCCTTCGTAGACTATTCTACTTCCTAGCTCTGTGAATTTGACTTCTAGGTGCTTCATAGAAGTATAATCACACATTTTTTTCTGACTTCTATTCAACATAATATTAGAAGTTCTAAAAAAGGAAATAAAATTGGAAATGAAGAATTAAATTTATCTCTGTTCACAGATGATAGGATTATATATTTAGAAAACCCTGAAAAATCCACACAAAAAACTGTTGAGTAGTGATAATTACATAATAATGTGAGTGTACTTAATGCCACTGAATTGTACACTTAAAAATGGTTAGAATAGTAGATTTTACATGATGTCTATTTTACCACTACTTAAAAAGAAAACCAAACTGGTTTTGGTTTTTCTTAAGAATTGAGAAAAATGCCAGCCCAGTAGTCATTAGCCAGCGTCAGAGGTTGTATGTAAAGAGCACACGTGGCCTAGCAGCTCTGTTTGAGGATGTAACACCTGATAAACTAATGGCTACGTGAGTGCAGGCAAGGGACGGAACGTTTTAACTCCAAGAGTCAGGAAATCCATCATGAAGGTATCATATGCTTGAGACCTTGAGGACAGAAGGGATTTCCACAGTGGAAGGAGATTACTCCAGGCTTTCCAACTGCAGATGCAAAGACATTGTCTCTTCCACCTTGAGAATACTGAAATCTTCTTTATTTGATTATCTTTTGGACCTACTCTGAATAGCTGCTAAGGTAATTTTCATTCTTTTTTTTTTTTTTTTTTTTTTTTGAGACAGAGTCTCGCTCTGTCGCCCAGGCTGGAGTGCAGTCACTGCAACATAAGCCTCCCGGATTCACACCATTCTCCTGCCTCAGTCTCCTGAGTAGCTGGGACTACAGGCACCCGCCACCATGCCCGGCTGATTCTTTGTATTTTTTAGTAGAGACGGGGTTTCACCGTGTTAGCCAGGATGGTCTCGATCTTCTGACCTCGTGATCCCCCCGCCTTGGCCTCCCAAAGGGCTGGGATTACAGGCGTGAGCCATCGCGCCCGGCTGGTAATTTTCATTCTTATAATTGCTGACTAGTTGAGAAGAAGAGGTCCCAAACTACAGAGAAGAAAGGAAGAAAGATGTGTCCAGTGAAATCCAGGGTCCCCCCGCTCCCATTCAAGGCCATCTGAAAGTATCTCCCCCTGCTTTTCAAGTTCATCGAATATGTTTAAGAAACCTGGAATTTCCAAGTCCATCAGCCTATTGAAACAAAACAGCTATAACTATAAAATTTAGATCCTTTTAAGATTTTCAATCCTTAGAATTAAAGATATTTATTACAAAATATAGTTGTATTAAATCATATATGTCAAAATATTACAAACGTGTATTTCATATTAGATAACTATCAACAACACAAAATTTCCTATCATTTTTCCTAGTGCTCCATTTTTTCAGACCTTTTCTTAATCTATTTTCTTGTCTGAGACCAAATACAAATGAATCAAAAGCCATTTCAGTGTTACATATTGGGTTTCCACGCATCCCTGTAGCATCTTTATCAGTAGCCTTGCGCAGAGTACACACTTTTGTACCTCCTTCTTATTAGCAACTTCATTTTTTCATAGTACAGAAAAGAATTCATATAACCCCATCAGGTTCCTTACATGGACCCAAGTTAAAACGCATCATCTCAATGTCAGTCTCTTGGCTGTCTGCAGGGTAATATGGTGAATTGCTGCCTGTGCTGTAATTTTGTCAGCTCTTTAGTAAATTACAGTCAAGGATAAAGAGGACAGAGCTGCCTACTGACAAACAACATTCTTTATTCTCCTTTTTCTACAATGTACTGAATAATACCTTAGAGCGTAAGTCATCATATACCCTATATAACAAATGTATAATTACAACACATGAAGCCCAAAAAATGAGCTTCAAAGAATATCACGTTTTTTTTTAAACAGGAAGTGGAAAGATGTTTCAGAAGAGTGAGCACAGGTTTTAGACTCTGAAATCTTTTAGCAGCATGATGCTTTTGAACATCTGATCTAGGTTTTGATTCTGCTAGCTACATGTATATTTTAGCCTTTGGTCTTGCATTAAAACACCAGTTGCAAATAATGTTAGAAAAATGGGGAATAGAGGAAGGAATATTTTTATTTACTTTATTTTTAAAATTCTGCATATATAAAGAACGTTGCTTGTGGCATCCCTGACTCTTTGCAACAACCTTATAAAGTCGTCATTATTAGCCTCATGTTACAGCAGAAGCTGTGAGTTGCTGCCAAAGTTGCTTACTATCAACCTCTGAAGAGATGAAACAGAGAGTCATACAAGATCTGTTTAAATCCAACAGCCTTTGACACTTTAAACTTCAGAACACATTGGATTTACACGTGTAAAATTGCCTTAGAGTTTGTAATTTCATGAAAGCAAAAATTCAACTTTTCCTTAAGAACAAATTTAGCATGTATGCCTTGAAACTGGCTTATTAAATAATATGAAAATGTTCATTGTGGCTATTTGGCCTCCTAATGCTTAGTTTTATTTAGCAAACATCAAAACAAAATATGTATTAATCCAAAGCAAATATATTTTATTTAATTGGATTATTAATAGTTCACTAACATCATACTGTAGGTATTTTTCTTTTCTATAAATGTTTTATATTCCAGTCTATTCAAAACCTTACGAACCAAATCCTTTAAAGGACGTAAGTCACACATATTTTCAAACCAACAAAATAGTAAAATTCAGGGAACATTAGATGGAATAGGGAAGATGAAATAAAGAAGCAACTAAGAGATTTACAAGAATGGAGTTCTTCTGCCACCTTGTGGTTGTTCTGTGTTATAACCTAGAGCTACATTAAAATATTCAGGGAATTCTTCAGCCAGAGTCTCTTTAGCCAGGTGTGGCGCGTGGCTGAGCTCTGGTCAATGGAATGTGGCCTTGGTCTTTATTGACTGTGGTTATCGTGTTTCCATTTTTTTCTTCCTGAATATCATAGCTAATTTTGGTATTGGCGACGACCGCTTTCTTAAACTTTCTCTTCTGCTGGGTTTAGATTTTTCTCTCCTTGTTTTTCTCCTATGAAACAAATAAGCATTACTAGATTTCATCAAAGATCATCACTTCATCACATCAAAGATTTCACTTCACTCTAGCCAAACTGGCCTCCCTGATTCTCCTGCAACACCTCACACATGGTCCCCTTAGGGTCTTCTACAACTTAACATCCCTGGCTGCAACACTTTCCTCTGATACCATATGGGACCTACTCCACCTCTTTCAAGTCTTTGTTCAAATGTTTGTTTTTCAATGACCACCATATTTAGAAATGCAACTTCTGCTAACAAACTCCTTATTATTTTTATCTTACTTTATTTTTTACTGCAGTTATTCTAACATACTACATAATTTTAATACTTATTGTGTTTATTGTCTTTTTTACCATAGAATATAAAATCCATGAGGGCAAGGGAGTTTGTTTACTTCACTGCTGTGTGCTCTGAAACAAACAAACAAAAAAAACTGCCTGGCACATTGTAGGCGCTCAAAAAATATTTGTCCAATTACCGAATGAAAGAATTATAACTCCTTCTGTTGGCTAAAGCAACCTACGGGACAGTGTTTAGCCTCACAAGTATTCAGACACACAAATTAACACAAAGTATCATTTTTTTCTACAATATTAATTAGTCAATTTATGTGACCTTTAAATATAATTTCTAAAGCAAGCGAGAATTCAGTGGATTACATACCCACATGTTTTTGTTAAATTATTTGTAGTTATTTTTAAGTCAGTTTGCATAGTCATTAAAATTTTATAACCTTTGACCCAGTAATCCCAATTTAGGACATGTATTGCAATGAAAAAAATCCAAAACAAAGAAACATGTAGGTTCCATGTGGCCATTTACTGCAGTATTGTTAATAATGATAATAAGCTGAAAGAAACTACATGTTTAATAATAAAAATAATAAATTAAATTAGGTTAACTCTATGCAGTGAACTATTTTGCAACCATTATAATCATAAGGACTGTCCTAGAACCTGAAAAATCATTTATGGAACATGCTATATTACAGTGAAATTTTAAACTATGTAATTACACAGTTTTTACATGTATATAGGAAAAGATTACAAGGAATGTGCAAAACTTAGAATTCTTACACATGGGCAATAAATTAAATCTTACTGTTGCCTTCATTTCCCAAATGTTCCAATTTATCACCAGAGTTTTTGCAACTCTTTAGTATTTGAAAGGAAAAATAATTGTCTTATTCTCAAGTGCTTAACCTTCACCTGAAGTGAATTTGTTCTAAGTTCCAAAAAGCGATTATTACTTGCTTTCATTGTATTCATCAAGAACAATTTACATCTCTGTGGAAATAGCTTTAGTTAGAGTCATTAGTTAGATTTAGTTAAAGTCTTTAGTTAGATTTACTTACATGAAATGAGACATTTATCCAATAAATTCAGGCTGAATTTAACATTAATTCAAGAATTAAAGTGCTCTTCGTTTTTAAATGTGTCTGTTCCACCTAACTACCTGCATGGGTTTAGCTTATAATTGGTTCTATGGATATGACTAGGTCCATCATCCTGTCACATTTGAATAAATAGGACTGTCTATAACCGTCTCTGTTTTACACACATCTGTGCCCATCAGTTCATAGCACATTCCCCAAAAATTAATGGGAAACAGCCAGGAGAACAGGGGGTTAGACAAAGGAACTCAAGGCTTGAAGTGACCTCCTCAAAAACTGGCTTCCCCCGCCCTTGATAGCTGAACTGACCTTCAGCCCTAACCAGATCTTGTTTCCTATCATCTTGCTTCATCTCTCCTTCCCTACCAGCTCTCACTCAGGCCAGCCTTTAGCTTATGTCTGATGTGGCCTGACTTACTGTTGAGACAGGTTTTTTTCCCAGGTGCCTTGCTTAGCAAAGATTTTGGTTGTGTGGATTTTGCTGTGTTTGGATTTTGGCTATGCCCTAGTCCTACTGTTGTAGGATTTTCTCCTTAGTTCACCTAAAAGCCAGGTCCTTGTCACACAGCCATGAAATATTAGGCTCACAGACACTTTAAAGGGTGAGAAAAATGGAATTTATGGGGCAAAAAGGAAAAAATGGGAAACGGACTCAGCAGAGAGAGAGTCCTGCTATACATGCTTCCCTCCTCACAGATTGAATCCCGGTTTCCACCCGGGAAGAGGAGGGGTCAGCCTCCTCCCCACTGCAAACGGTGCAAACTTCTGTGGCTCCACCCCAGTGCTCACTCTTCCCAGTGTGCAGGCTGCCTGAAGCTTCTCTGTGGACCCCTTTCCACTTGGCTGTCTCACTACCCTTACTGATCACTATGAGAGGTAGCGCCCTCCCTTGCATTGTCTCCCGTGTGCGTAACTCTCTGCCACCTGCCACTCCCAAACTGACAGTGTAGGGATTAACTTTTTGGGTCATACTATTAACTCCTCAGTGTGAAATGAAGTCAGACCAACCATTCATTGATTCTCTTCCTTGTAAAGCTAAAGATTCACACGATAAAAACAAACAAAAACAAAAGACAAAGAACCTAAACTCTCTGTATGGGCCCTCTAAAGACCCTCCCTAGTGGGAACATTTCACTCCTCACCCCACTGTCAGGTTTGCCGCATGGCTTACTTTGGATTAAAAAAGGTGAGCAAACTTTATATTCTACATCCAACAGAAGCTTTCGGAGCCATCACATCACCCTTCCATTGCTTTGTATTCCCTCTGCCAAAGACTAACAATATCCTAAATAAGGGCTGCTTCTTCCACTGAAGTCCAGAAATGAATCAGAGCAACTGTCCTGCAATGAAATTTAAAAAGAAAACAAAAAACAAAAAAAAACAGAAAACCAAAACCAAAACCAAACCAAACAAACAAAAAAACTGTGTTATTATAGATTACTAAAATTTTTGGAGTCATATGTTACCACACATAACTCAGCCAACACTGCCTAATAAATCATATTTCTCCCTAACAACACTTAAGGAGACAGCATGTTATAGTGGGCTCACTGGCTACCTGTGTAACCTTGGACAAGTTACCTAATCTCACTGCACCATCTGTAGCATTGAGATAATACCTACTTCGTCAGGCTGTTGTAATACATAAATGAGTATATAATAAATGCTTAATAAATGTTAGCTGCTGCATATTACAGTTATTCTTCAACAGCATTGATTTTATCCTAATCCTGTGTATTCAGTATCCAGCAGAGTGTCCAAATCCTATAGTACTCCATCTAGGTAAATTTTCCAAATGTCTTTAATTGACTATTTCCTTTTGGTTAGTCTCCTCATATGGCCCCTTTCATCGGCTTCCTTTTGCCATCAGTTTTTTCTCTTTTCCCTTTAAACTAGCAAAGACTTTATAACATATATTTAAACAGGATCCAAATACCTTTGATATGGTTTGGCTGTGTCCCCATCCAAATCTTATCTTGAATTGTAACTTCCATAATCCCCACATGCCAAGGGAGGGACCCAGTGGGAGGTAATTTAATCATGGTCGTGGATTTTTCCCGTGCTGTTCTCCTGATAGTGAATACATCTCACGAGATCCGATGGTTTTATAAAAGGCAGTTCCCCTGCACACGCTCTGTTGCCTGCCACCATGTAAGATGTGCCTTTGCTCCTCCTTCGCTTTCCGCCATGATCGTGAGGCATTACAGTTCCACAGCCATGTGGAATTGTGAGTCCATTAAACCTCTTTTTTTAAGAAAATTACCCAGTCTCAGGTATTTCTTCATAGCAGTATGAAAATGGACTAACACAACCTTCAGAATATTCAGCTCATCTTCACTTAATTCTCTGAATTTTGTACTTTCATATATTTCAACCTGTTCTTTGCCTTAAACCAAACTCCAAATAAATAATTTTATGTACCAAAATTTCTGCTCAAAGAACATTCTAGGACATAGTATGCTCAATTTGTAAATACTTAGAAATACCTTAAAAGGTCACAAGTTATGGTGGCAGAGTCTCAAGGAAAACCCTTTTTAGAAACCATTCTTTTCTACTTTCATGTTCTTAAGGGTGGGGAATAATCTTCTTTTCTGTTTTCTCTACATGAGACAATTATACAAAAAGACAACCTTTGTTTCTTAGAAATCCTATAACTTTTGTGTCTTTAGTTTCTTTATAGCCTTCTATTTTTCCCACACAAAACAACTTTAATCATCTGTGACACTGATTTTTATGGCAACCCATTTTCCTGGATTCTATAAACAGAGACACAGGCTTTAAATTACCAAAATCACACTGTTCAAAAACACCTCATTTTTCAAGGCAAGAAAATAAAATAAAAAGTTCTTTCTCAAAGTCAAAACAATTCTTTTCTGCTCAGCTTTCTAGATGCCTAAGGGCTTTTTGGTTGTTATTATTCCCTGACTTTCTAGCTATCCACCTGACCTTCAGCTTCTCTGTCAATCCAATTGGTTCATTATTTCCTTGCCAAAATCATCTTCTTAAAATTTAAATTTGATCATTTTACTTTCTGGGAAAAAAACCTCCATATGCTCTCCAATAGCAATAGAACAAAGGCCAAATTACTTTGCATAATCCTAATCACTATCCATTTCTTTCCTAATGCCCCTTCTTCACCACATTCCTGTGATGTCATCTACTTCCCCTTCTCTGGCCTTATCCCACAGCTCCTTTCCAGTCTCCTCCTCTTCATTCTAGACCTATGAATGTAGACATGCTCCACAAGTACATTTTCAACCTTCTGCTTTTCTCTCTGGATATCCTCTTCCCAGAGAGCTCAAATGTTCCCAAGTTGTCCCTGATAATACCTCCAAACACCACCTTGAGCAGTGCTACCCAACAGAAATACGTCAGCTGCAAACAAAAACTACACATTTTTAAATTTTCCAGTAGCCACATTTAAAAAGTAAGGAGAAGCTGATGAACTTATTTTAATCATATATTTTATTTAACTGAATATATTCAAAATATTATGATTTCAACATGTAGCTAATATTCTTAAATTGACATATTTTACATTTTTTAACTGTCTTGGAAATGGATGTACATTACACTTACAGTATATCCCAGTTAGGATTAGCCACATTTTGTTAGCCACAGTCTTCAATGGCCACATGTGCCCAATGGCTACCATATTCAACAGTGCAGATCTAATGCTCTAAACACTTTCTCAAAGTATGCCTTTGGTAACCCACTCAACATCTACCCAAGAATGCCCTCCCAGCACTTCAACCTCCAGGTCTAAAACAAAATACATTTCCCTCCTACATTTCCTAGTGCCTCACAAAAGCACCAGCTCCCCTTCCTGACTTCCTTGTAGCTACCAGTAGGCCCAAAAATATACCGATATTTGGGTTCTATAACTATTGAAATATTGAGGAAGCAGAAGGAATCTTTCAGGTCATCCTATCCAACCTCTAGGATTTTCCTCTACAGAGTGGTTTCTAACATATGGCTAAAGCTTCTGTGAGCCTCCTGATATTGTAGGCAAAATGTCCATACCTGGATTTTTCTGGCAAAAATGTATCTTTAGCTTTAAACAAGAGTTTAAACACCATGACCCAGGCTCAGCTCTGCCTCTTCTCTCTTCTGTAACGGCCACACCCAATTTATTACCAAATCCTGATCACTCAACTTTCCTGATCTCTCTAATGCAAACCTACTTCTCCCTTCCCACTGCCACTGACTTAGAATTATGTGCATATTTCTTGGAGTGCTTTAGCTACGAGAGCAAGAGACTCTGCCAGGGATCAACAGGGCCAGTCTGCTATTAGCAAAAGAGCAGCTATAGCATAATCACACATGAATACCCATAATAGATTCAGCTAGGCCGAAAAGATTAGAAAACAGAATCAAAACCAGGGCAGCAGGAAGATGAACTCTGACTAGTGCTGCAAGCCAGACTGTACCAAGGGATGTCTCAGCCATTGAAGAGGTCATGTCTGACACACCACTGGGGTCCTTGGTTTGTAGATCTCAGTGCTCTGAGGAGAGGATGGCTGAGTTGTTTTGTTTTGTTGTTTTCAGGAACCCTCAGTATTTCCCTGTTCAGGTACCTGGGGCAAACTTGGCCTTCCTCTCCTGTGCTTGCACCCATGCCAAACAGATTGGTTCTCATTTGCACAAGATATTTTCTGGTATCCTCAGGTTACCAGAATTGGGGAGGCATTTTAGGGGAACATTCTCTGTGTCTGAGTAGAGATTGCTTCCCTCCAGAGTCTGGTGATTCCTCCAAGTCTCTACCTTTTCCAGATTTGATAACAGATTTCTGGAAGTTGGACTTTGGACTACAGCCTCAACAAATGATATTATCTCATTTATTTATTTATTTATTTATTTATTTATTTTTTGAGACGGAGTTTTGGTCTGTCACCCAGGCTGGAGTGCAACGGCGTGATCTCGGCTCACTGCAGCCTCCACCTTCCAAGTTCAAGCTATTCTGCTTCAGCCTCCCAAGTAGCTGGGACTACAGGTGCATGCCACCACTCCCGGCTAGTTTTTGTATTTTTAGTAGAGACGGGGTTTCACCATGTTGGCCAGGCTAGTCTAGAACTCCTGACCTCAAATGATCCACCCACCTTGGCCTCCCAAAGGGCTGGGATTACAGGTGTGAGCCACTGTGCACAGCCTGGAATGCACTTATTTTAAAACAAATTTATTCAAAAGAAATACACTTATTTGAATCTGGGCTAAATATGATAGATGAAATGGTAATTTAGAATGTCCAAGCTCTTCTCAATAATGTAAGAAATCTCTCTTATAGCACACATTAATATTATGACTTAAAGGTCCTTTTCAAAAAACTAAACAACAAAATAAAAAAGGAAGAAATTGAGGGGAAAAGGAAGGGAAGGAGAGGAAAAAGGCAGAAGAGAAGATGGGAGGGAGAGAAGGTAGGAGGACAGAAGGGAAATAAGAAGCAAGAAGAGAAAGGAAGGAGAGAGGGATAAAATGAGGTTAAAAAAAGGAGAGAAGAAAAGTAAGAAAGAAGAAAGGGAGGAAGGAGAGAAGGAAGGAAAGAAAGAGGTAGAGAGAAAAAGGAGGGAAAAACACATCTCAAATCACGTTAATATAGTAGATGCAATGCTTTATTAATCGTGTAGAAAATTAGATCAATTAATCATTACTTTTCCAAGTGTAATTAAAATATTAAATTATTTTGCTTGCATTAATCATGGTTAGTGAAAAGCTACTAACACCACTTTTTCTGTAAATTTTTGTTAATAAATCTAGGGAAAATGCAGTTATTTGGAAAAATTAAACAAAAGCTTTTAAGCTGAAGGATTATAATTTGAAATTCTTTGCACCTGTGATTCTTCCAAAACAGCTGGAAGATGGGATCTTTGTTGCCCTCATCTTATTCTGTGTGTGCTGTATGATGCAATGATGAGGTTCTCTAGATTCTGAAGTCAAATCTGGACTCCAGAGGGGAATCTGGAATTTTCAACGTTTGCTAATAGATAACATAAATACAACTCACTCATTCAGTCTTATTGCTTAGCAACAGCAGAAAATGCATCTGGTATGTGCCTTGCCCTTAGTAGTTCAATACTCATATGTGAAAAATTATTATTTTTTGTGTTTTGGAATATTGCTAATGAACTACAGATAAGGCAGAGAGTGTAATGAAAACAAAAATAAAATGGAAATATATAAATAAAAAAACACAAATTACCATTTCTTTCTGTAAATCTTTGTACATTTGGGGGAAATCTATATTTGCAGGAATTTGGAGGAAAAATCAACATGAAACAAAGGTTTTTCAGGTGTTCATTAGAGTGTGACAGGTAGGGCTCTCTGGAAGAAACAGGGAGGTGGGGTTTGAGGTCACAGCCTATGAAGGGAAGGGAGGGGAAGCAGGATTATGCAGAAGCCACTCTGGGATGCAGGTTCCTCCAAGATGATCCATGTGCTTTGTTTCCTCAGAAAATAATACACTGGAAACACTTTGGGGCCTTTTGTTTTTTTTTTTGAGACCGAGTCTTGCTCTGTTACCCAGGCTAGAGTGCAATGGCGCAATCTTGGCTCACTGCAACCTCCACCTCCTGGGTTCAAGCAGTTCTCCTGCCTCAGCCTCCCAAGTAGCAGTGATTACAGCTCACGCCACCATGCCTGGCTAATTTTTTTTTTATTATTATTTGTTGGCTAGGCTGGTCTCGAACTCCTGATCTCAGGTGATCCACCTGCCTCGGCCTCCCAAAGTAGGGGACATTGTTTTTAAAAAGTTAAAGGATACAAAATTAAAAAGCTAGATAGGAGGAATAGGTTCTAGTGCTCTACACTACTGTAGGATGATTATATTGAATAATAATTAACAGTAGAGTTTCAAATAACTAAAAGAAGGATATTGAATGTTCCCAATATGAAGCAATGATAAATGCTTGATGACAGATATGCTAATTACCCTGATCTAAGCACCATATATTATATGTATCAAAATATCAATATGTACCCCACAAACATGTACAGTTATTGTGTGTCGATGTTAAAAAGAAAAAAGAAAAATAGTTTGGATGGATCCTCAAAATGTTCTATCTCATTCAGCTTCCATAAGTGACATTTATTAAAAGTTTTTGATTAAAAAGGAAACTTTTTATGAATTATGATTGTGACAAAGATTCTGTGCTTGACCAAACTTTGGTCCAGCTTGTGAATGTTCTCCGAGGCCTATCTGTGCACTTTCTTATAAAACACGGTTTTAGAAGAACCCTGCTAACTTTAGCAAGAACCCTCCATCCTTGATATCTGATCAGGTTCCTAACCCTCCACCATCCCCCAGATGATATCTGATCATCCTGGTCTATCCTCAGCAAGAATCTAATTAGTTCAGTTTGGCCAGAATCCTGCTTACTCCTGGTGTTATTTCTTAGCAATTTTTCATGCATGACTCCCGCCTTGCACCTTGGCTATAAATTCCCTCTTGCCAATACTGTATTTGGAATTAAGCCCAATCTTTCTCCCCACGGAAAAATCCCGCTGCAATGGTCCCCATATTATAATGGTCCTGGATAAACTGCCTGTTTATTTGAAGTATGGTAGTACTTTAAAGTGTCATTGAGTTTTTTTTCTTTAACCATTATTAGGGAAATACACCAAAATGTTAACATTGGTTGTATTTTTTCTGCTTCTATGTACTTGTCTTCATTTACCTGTTATCAAGAGTAAGCATGTATAACTCTTAAGGAAGTTATAATTATACAATAAAAACCCAACACCAAAAGGGGTGAGACAAGTGTTTATGGGGCAAAGAGTGTGAAATGAGAAAGTTTGGATCTAAAAAATTAAAAATTAACAATGGTTTATTTTGATTGACTGGAATTATAAATAATTTTATTTCCAAATTTCTTTCTTTCTTTTTTTTTTAATGGAGTCTTACTCTGTCTCCCAGGCTGGAGTGCAGTGGTGCAATTTTGGCTCACTGCAGCCTCCACCTCCCGGATTCAAGCGATTCTCCTGCCTCAGTCTCCAGAGTAGCTGGGATTACAGGCAACTGCCACCACGCCCAGCTAATTTTTGTATTTTTAGTAGAGACAGAGTTTCACCATGTTGGCCAGGCTGGTCTCAAACTCCTCACCTCAAGTGAACCGCCCTCCTCAGCCTCCCAAAGTGCTGGGGTTACAGGCATAAGCCACCGCGCCCAGCCTACTTTTCCAAATTTCTTATAGAGAGGAGTTATTACCTTTATCATGGGGAAAAAAGCAAGTCCTTCAAACACTTTTGATCTTAAAATATATTTAAAATATAAAATAATGAACCTGGTGGAGACGTTAACCTTGGGTAGCTGACACAGGTACTTCTCCAAGGAGAGAAATAAACAGTTGACATAGCTTTAAGTCTTCCTAAACTCAGGTTGCAATAGGAGCAGTACAGTTTGCTGAGAGGGACAGTGAACAGCAGTATTCGGAATAGAGGAGCGGCCTCCAGTACAATGACTAGTTAGAGGTTCTTTCGGGGATTCTCAGGGTTTCTGAAAGTGGAAATGCCTCTTCATCTGGAGCACTTTTGAAAGGGACCTCGATCTATCTTTCCTCCATGCAGGGGGCTTTCCAAACACATCATATGAAAATTACAGCAAGTGGCATCTGTCCTGTTAACATCCCTCTCCCCATGAGTCATTCAGGTGTTCATCACACCCACAGACCCTCCACTCACACCACCATCTCCCACCATCAAAATTATTCGTACCAGTGTGACTAGAGGCCTGCTGGATTCTCCCCTCATCCACTCAGAGGATGTCTCTTAGAAACCATGCCAAGCAGGGTGCGAACCATCCAACTCCAAGCAAAGCCTGTGCTGCCGCAACTCTGCCTCACGGACTCAAAGACTGTCACTGGTGGTCACAGAATTAGTCAACAGGAACTTGACTGTACTGGGGGAAGTTTTCCAGGCCTCATCTCATCTCTCAGTTCCAAAGAGCTAATCTGAGAAATAAATTAAACCTTTTACAGTATTGCTGCTGTAAAATCAAAAGGAAAATCATAAATGTTGTAGAAATTGCAATCTTGATGCCATTTAAAATGCCATATCTTTTCAGTCAACGCAATGCCTAGGTTATATTTTTCTCCTTTAAATCAAGTAGGCCACTTAAAGAGATAATCTGAATATGAATACATTCTACATTATAACACAGAAGAGATAGAGATTAAATGGATTTTTAAAATTTTAGAAACTTGGAATGAATTGATTCCATAATATATATATATCTCCTTCAGAGAATTATTTTACTTTAAAATCTCCAGTGAAAGATATTTGAAAGCCATCTTTGTTTTTATGTATATTTGAAATTTCTGATTGATTTTGCAATGTAATCTTTTAATAGTCTTAGAATATATTCCATTTTTTAAAAATCATTTCTTTTGTTTCTGAATTTAAGATGTATAATCATCTTATAATTGTATAAAATATTCTAAAAAGCATTGCAATCTAATATCTGATTTTACGGAATTAATTTTTTATTCTATACAAACAGAGTCTTAACTAATTTCAGGGAGAATGATCTGTTTGTAATTTAACCTTCAAATTAAAATCCAACTAGCTATAAGCTTTTAGATGCCTGCCTCATAGGGAATGAGATATTTATGAGGGAAGTCTAATGGTTAAGTCCTAAAGTCTTCCCTTGGAAGAAGGATAAAAGGTTTCTAATCATTGAATTTTTAAAAAATCATTAATGAAGGTATTAACTGGACTAAGGCATAAGGGGTAAAGAGTGGCCTTTAATGAGATTTGAAGACTTGTTCTAGAATATATGTTTTGCCAGAATAAAACATGTATCTTCTGATGGGATTTGGAAAGGTAGCTACCAAACCAGGGAAAAGAGTCCATTGGAGAGGGGAGAATGGAAACACTTCTACCTGGCGCATGTAGGGTACAGGTGGGTATGGAAGGCGCGATATGCGAATATAGGGTTTATCCCCAGGCGTCAAGGTACATGAGAGGTGGGAAACAGTGCTCAGCACAAGTGAGTGCCATATACTGTTTATTCTTAACAGGTCAAAAGACAACAAGAATGTATTAGGCAGCAAAGGGGTATTACATCACTCTGAGTAACACCATGTGTGTTAGAGCTGACTATTCTAGGTATATTTGTAGCCACCCTTGGTGTAAAAGATTTTTTTTAATTTATTTATTTAGGTATGGTTCATTGCCCATTTAAACTTAAAGCAAATGTAATTTTTGGCAATCTATTTCCCTAGTTTAAATTTGTCGCTGTTGATTTGGTGAGAGCCACTCACAACATAGATGAAAAGGCATATGGCCAGGCACAGAAAGACAGACACTGCATGATCTCACTGAAATGTAGAACTAAAAAAGTCGAACTTATGGAAGCAGAGATTAGAATGATGGTTACCCAGGGTTGAGGGCAGAGGGGAGAATCGGGCAAAGGATACAATATTTCAGTTACATAGAGGGAATACGTTCAAGAGATCTACTGTACAGCATGATGACTAGTTAAAAACAATGTACTGAATACTTGAAAATAGCAAAGAGAGTGGATTTTAAATTTTCTTACCACAAAAAAAGTTTACTATCAGTATGCTAATTAGCTTGATTTAGCCATTCTACAATGCATACATATTTCAAAACATCATATTTTATACCATAAATACATACAAATTTATTTTCAACTAAAAAAACTAAAATAGCATATGGGTTAACACAAATTATCATTTAAGGCGCTATTTAATTGAAGCAGTTATTTCATCTAGGCTTGAGGCATCACTGTATTCTAAAAATGAATGGTTTCAAGTTCTAGATCCACACACTGCTGGCTTAAATAAAAGTCTACATGGGGACCTTGAGTGTAACAGAAGAGCAGCAGACACAGAGGGCCTGAGGGTAAGATACAGATAGTGGGAGAGAATAAGCAGGCTGGGCCAAGGATTAGCTTTTATCCGTGACCTCCAATTACAACTGATTATCTGCGTTGTGACCACAGAAGAATGAAAATTATTTGCAGTTAGAATCAGGATCCATGAAGTTACACTTTATGTTCATATTTCTGAGTATAACATTAAATATATTTATTGCTCTTTTCTCCTACAAAAGGGGAAGTGACCCCCTTTTTAAGGACCTGCTTAAAAACATACAAAAATCCTGGGCAACTTTCTTGGTGTAGGAATTGCTTTATAGTAGTCGAACAGAAGTGATTATTCCATTGGTAATTCTGCACCCAGACAAGCTTGATATATCTATTGAGGACATATGTAAAGTAAAAAAAAAAAAAAAGTTCTCATATAGTCCTCAAAAATGCTAATTGAAATAAATTTGTACTTTCCTTGGGCTGGATTTATATTAGAACATTTAATTTCAATTAAACAGACAACCTTTAAGTCATGAGATAGCTGAATAGAACCCTCCAGCAATTATTCCCAAACAGGAGCACCAAATTGAAAAACTACTCAAGCAAAAAAGCACCTTCATAAAAGCCAAAATCAGGTGAACGATCACAGTACCTGATTCTGACATCATATCAAGGAAAGAGGCACCGATGGGGTTAGGAAAGGCAGGCCTGCCCTGTATACAGCACTTCTCCCTTACCCTCCAGCAGCAGCAAGTGGAGGGAGAATCTGTGTGCCTGGGGGAGGGAGAACAGAGTGACTGTGGAACTTTGCATTGGAACTCAGGGCTGCCTTGTCACAACGGAACACAACACAAGCCAGTGCTCACTTAGCTGAATTCTGAAGGAAACACCAACCCCAGCCAGAGAGGAACGCTGTGTCCCAGTGGTAGGAGTTTGAGACCCAGCTAGCTCTGCTACCAGCTGACTACAGGGGCCTGGGGCCCAGGATAAATTTAAAAGGCAATCAGGGCCGGGCGCAGCGGCTCACGCCTGTAATCCCAGCACTTTGGGAGGCCGAGGCGGGCGGATCACGAGGTCAGGAGATCAAGACCATCCTGGCTAACACGGTGAAACCCCGTCTCTACTAAAAATACAAAAAATTAGCCGGGCTTGGTGGCGGGCGCCTGTAGTCCCAGCTACTCAGGAGGCTGAGGCAGGAGAATGGTGTGAACCCGGGAGGCGGAGCTGGCAGTGAGCTGAGATCGCGCCCCTGCACTCAGGCCTGGGCAACAGAGAGAGGCTCCATCTCAAAAAAAAAAAAAAAAAAAAGGCAATCAGGCCACAAGGGTTTCACAAGGACATTCCTGGTGCTGTGCTGAGCTTGAAGCCACTAGGCTTGATTTACCTACAACCCAGTGAAACACCAGCTGTGGTGGCTAAGGGATTGTTTGTGTCAACCTCTCCCCCAACTCCAGGCAGCGCAGCTTTCAGCTCCAGGAAAAACTTTTTCCACTTGCAGAAAGGAGAGGGAGGAATACAGAGGACTTTGTCTTGCAACTTGGGTGCCAGCTCAGTCACAGTAAAATAAACCACAAAGCAGATTCTTAAAGCCTCTGATTCTAGGGCCCGGCTCCTGGACAGCATTTCTAAACCTGCTTGGGCCAGAAGGGAACCTGCTACTCTCAAGGTAAGGACCCGGTACTGGCAGCATTCCCCACTTGCTGATCAATCGTCCCTTAAGCCTTAAATCAGCATCCGCTGTAGCTCGGCAGTAGTTGCCACAAGCTTTGGGTGAGACCCAGTGCTGTGCTGGCCTCAGGTGTGACCCAGCATAGTCCCCGCTATGATGTCCAAGGGACTGCTCACATCACCTCTCCCCCAGCTCCAGTCAGCCCAGCACAGAGGGAGAGACTCTTTCTGTTTGGGGAAAGTGAGGAAAGATAATGACAGACTTTGCCTGGTAATCCAGATAATTTTTCTAGATCTTATTCAAGCCCACCAAGGCAGCACCTCTAGGAGTCTGTAAGAATTACTAAGGTACTGGGCTTGGAGCAACCCCTAGTGTGGATACGGATGTAGTGACCAAAGACTTAGATCACAACACTCAATTCTCTTTGAATACATGAAAAGCCTTCTCAACAAGGACAAGTCCAAACAAGCCCAGAATGTGATGATTAGAATAAATCTTCAGTTCCCAAATATCAATGAACATGCACAAGTATTTCCATAAAACACATGGAAATTAAATAATATGGTCCTGAATGACCAGTGAGTTAATGAAAAAATTAACAAGATAATTCTTAAAAATCTCTTAAAACAAATGAAAGTATCACATACACCTATGGAATACAGCAAAAGCAGTCCTAAGAAGAAAGTTTATAGCAAGAAGCACCTACATCAAGAAAGCAGAAAAACTTAATGTGCACCTAATGATGAATCTTAAAGAACTGGAAAAACGAGCAAACTGAACTCAATATTAGTAGAAGAAAAGAAATAAGAAAGATCAGGGCAAATACAACTGAGATTGAAATTTTTAAAAACACAAGAGATTAATAAAACAAAAAATTGGTTTTTTGAAAAGATAAACAAAATCAACAAACCTTGTGATGTTTAATACTGAATGTCAACTTGATTGGATTGAAGGATGCAAAGTATTGATCCTGGGTGTGTCTGTGAGGGTGTTTCTAAAGGAGATTAACATTTGAGTCAGTGGACTGGGTAAGGCAGACCCCCCCCCTTAATCTGGGTGGGCACTATCTAATCAGCTACCAGCATGGCCAGAAAAAAAAGCAGGCAGAAGAACATGAAAACACTAAACTGGCTTAGCCTCCCAGCCTACATCTTTCTCCTGTGCTGGATGCTTCTTACCCTCAAACATCAGACTCCAAGTTCTTCAGATTTGGGACTCAGACTGGCTTCCTTGCTCCTCAGCTTGCAGATGGTCCATTGTGGGACCTTGTGATTGTGTGAGTTTCTTAATAAACTCCATAGATATATATATATCCTGTTAGTTCTGTTCCTCTAGAGAACCCTGACTAATACAGATATTGGTACCAGTAGAGTGGGGCACTGCTGAAAAGATACCCAAAATTGTGGCAGTAAGTTTGGGGTTGGGAAATAGGCAAGGGTTGGAACAGTTTGGAGGACTCAGAAGAAGACAGGAAAATGTGGGAATGTTTGGAACTTTCTAGAGACTTGCTGAATGTCTTTGCCCAAAATGCTGATAGCGATATGGATGGTAGGGTCTGGGTTGAGGTGGTCTCAGATGGAGATGAGAAACTTTTGGGGAACTTGAGCAAAGGTAACTCTTGTTATGTTTTAGCAAAGAGACTAACAGCATTTCGCCACTGCCCTAGAGATTTGTGGAACTTTGAACTTGAGAGAAATGAGTTAGGGTATCTGGCAGAAGAAATTCCTAAGTAGCAAAGCATTCAAAAGGTGACTTGGGTGCTGTTAAAGGTATTCAGTTTTATAAGGGAAGCAGAGCATAGAAGCTGAGAAAATTTGCAGCTTGACAATGCAATAGAAAAGAAAATACCATTTTCTGAGGAGAAATACAAGCCACCTGCAGAAATTTGCATAAGTAACAAGAAGCTGAATGTTAGTCCCCAAGATAATGTGGAAAATGTCTCCAGGGCATGTCAGAGGTCTTCACAGCAGCCCCTCCCATCACAGACCGGAGGCCTAGGAAGAAAAAGTGGTTATGTGGACCGAGCCCAGGGTCCCCCTGCTGTGTGTAGCCTAGGGACTTGCTGCCCTGGTTCCCAGCTGCTCCACCTGTGGCTTAACGGGGACAATGTAGAGCTCAGGCTGTGGCTTCAGAGGGTGCAAGCTGCAAGACTTGGCAGCTTCCACATGGTGTCGAGCCTGCCAGTGCACAGAAGTCAAGAATTGGGGTTTGGGAACCTCTGCCCAGATTTCAGACAATATATGGAAATGCCTGGATGTCAGGCAGAAGTTTTCTGAAGAAGCAGGACTCTCATGAAGAACCTCTGCTAAGGCAGTGCAGAAGGAAAATGTGGGGTTGGAGTTCCCACACAGTATCCCTACTGGGGCACTGCCTAGCAGAGTTGTGAGACGAGTTGTCCTCCAGACCCCAGAATGGGAGATCCATTGATAGTTTGCACTGTTTGCCTGGAAAAGCCACAGACACTCAACACCAGCCCATGAAAGCAGCCAGGAGCGAGACTGTACCCACAAAGCCACAGGAGCAGAGCTGCCCAAGACCACAGTAACCCACCTCTTGCATCAGCGTGATGCAGATGTGAGACATGGAGTTAAAGGAGATCATTTTGCAGTTTTTAGATTTGACTGTCCTGCTAGATTTCAGACTTGCATGAGGCCTGTAGCCCCTTTGTTTGGCCAACTTCCCCCAATTTGGGACAGGTATATTTACCCATTGCCTGTACCCCATTGTACCTAGGAAGTAACTAACTTATTTTTACAGGCTCATAGGCAGAAGGGACTTGCCTTGTCTCAGATGAGACTTTGGACTGTGGACTTTTGAGTTAATGATGAAATGAGTCAAGACTTTGGGGGACTGTTGGGAAGGCATGATTGATTTTGAAATGTGAGGACATGAGATTTGGCAGGGGGCAAGGGTGGAATGTTATGGTTTGTCTTTGTTTCCCCACCCAAATCTCATCTTACATTGTATTCCCATAATTCCCACATGTTGTGAGAGGGTCCTGGTGGGAGATAATTGAATCATGGAGCCGGTTTCCCCCATACTGTTCTCATGATAGTGAATAAGTCTCACAAGATCTGACAGTTTTATAAGGAGTTTCCACTTTTGCTTCATTCTCATTCTCTCTTTGCCTTGCTGCCATCCATGCAAGACTTGACTTGCTCCTCCTTGCCTTCTGCCATGATTGTGAGGCCTCCCCAGTCATGTGGGACTGTGAGTCCATTAGACCTCTTTTTCTTCCCAGTCTCACATATGTCTTTATCAGCAGTGTGAAAATGGACTAATACAAACCTTTAGCCAGACTATGGGGAAAAAAGGGAGAAAAGTCAAATAAATAAAATTGAGATGAAAAAGAAGACATTACACTAAAACCACAGAAATTCAAAGAATCATTAGAGACTACTATGAGAAAATGTATGCCAAAAAATTTGAAAACCTAGAAAAAAATGGATATATTCCTAGATACATACAACCTGCAAAGATTGAACCATGAAAAAATCCAAAATCTGAATAGACAAATAACAAGTAATGAGATCAAAGCTGTAATAAAGTCTCCGATCAAAGAAAAGCCCAATACCTGATGGATTCACTGCTGAATTCTACCAAATATTTGAAAAACTAATACCAGTCTTACTCAATCTATTCCAAAAAATTCAAGGAGGAGGGAATACTTCCAAACTCCTTCTATAAGGCCAGTATTATCCTGATACCAAAACCAGAGAAAGGCACATCAAAAAAAGAAAACTGCAAGCCAATATCTCTGATGAATATTGTTGCAAAAATTCTCAACAAAATACTAGCAAACATTTTCAACAATACATTTAAAAGATCATTCATCACGACCAGGTGAAATTTATCCCAGGGATTCAAGGATGGTTCAACAGATACAAATCAACTGATATGATTCATCATATCAGCAGAACAAAGGACAAAAAGTATATGATCATTTAAATCGATGCTGAAAAACCATTTGATAAAATTTGACATCCCTTCATTCATGATAAAAAAAAAAAACTTGGTATAGAAGGAACATATCTCAACATAATAAAAGTTATATAAGACAGACCCACAGCTAGTACCATACTGAATGGGGAAAAACTGAACACCTTTCCTGTAAGGTCTGGAAGACAACAAGGATGGCCACTTTCACCGCTGTTATTCAACATAGTACTGGAAGTCCTAGCTAGAGCAATCAGACAAGAGAAAAAAATAAAGGCCATCAAAATTGGAAAGAAATAAGTCAAATTATCCATGTTTGCAGATTATATGATCTTATATAGAGAAAAACCAAAAACCCTAAAGACCACAAGAAAACTGTTAGAACTGATAAACAAGTTCAGTAATGTTTCAAGATACAAAGTTCAACATACAAAAATCAGTAGCATTTCTTTTTTTATATTTTTTTTAAGACAGAGTCTCACTCTTGTTGTCCAGGCTGGAGTACAATGGTGCAATCTCGGCTCACTGAAACCTCTGCCTCCCAAGTCGCTGGGATTACAAGCATGTGCCACCACACCTGGCTAATTTTGTATTTTTAGTAGAGACACAGTTTCACCATGTTGGTCAGGCTGGTCTCAAACTCCTGATCTCAGGTGATCACCCCGCTGGCCTCCCAAAGTGCTGGGATTACAGGTGTGAGCCACTGCACCGGGCCAAAAATCAGTAGCATTTCTATATATCAACAATGAGCAATCTGAATAAGAGATAAAGAAAATATCTCATTTATAATAGCTACAAATAAAATAAAATACCTAGGAATTTACCAAAGAAGTAAGAGATCTCCACAATGAAAACTATAAAATATTGATTGAAGAAGTTGTCTATAGTTCTTCATGACTTTTAAAAATAATAATAAATGTAGAAATTGAAGAGGACGCACAAAAAATGGAAAGATGCTCATGCTCATGGATTGGAAAATTTGATATTGTTAAAATGCACATACTACCCAAAGCTATCTACAGTTTAAATGCAGTCACTACCAAAACACCAATTCTATTCTTCACAAGGAAAAAATAATTCTAAAATTTATATGGAGCCATAATAGAGCCTGAACAGGCGCTATCCTGAGCAAAAAGAACAAAACTAGAGAAATCATATTACCTAACTTCAAATTATACTGGAGAGCTATGGTAACCAAAAGAGCATTGTACTGCCATAAAAACAGATCCATAGGTCAAGGCAACAGAATAAGGACCCTAAAAATAAATCTATCCATTAACAGTAAACTCATTTTTGACGAAAGTTCCAAGAACATGCATTGGGAAAGCATAGTCTCTTTAGTCTCTTTAATAAATGGTGCTGAGCAAACTGGACAGCCACATGCAGAAGCATGAAGCTAGACCTCTATTTCTCACCATATATAAAAATCAAATCAAAATGGATTAAAGACTTAAATCCAAGACCTGAAACTTTGAATCTACTAGAAAACTTCACGAAAATCTCCAACTCATTGGTCTGAGCAAAGATTTCTTGAGTAAGGCCTCAAAAGCACAGACAACCAAAGCAAAAATAAATAAATAATAAATGATAATAGGTAAAACAAGTTAAAAAGCTTCTGCATAGCAAAGGAAACACCAACAAAATGAAGAGACAACCTGCAGAATGGAAGGAAATATTTGCAAACTACCCACCCGACAAGCAATTAATAACTAGAATATATAAGGAGCTTAAACAACTTGATAGAAAAAAATCAAATAATCTTATTTAAAAATGGGTGAAGAATCTAAATGGACATTTCTCAAAAGAAGACATACAAATGATCAACAGGTATTGAAAAAAAGGCCAAATATCACTAATCATCAGACAAATGCAAGTCAAACCTGCAATGAGATACCACCTTACCCCAGTTAAAATGGCTTTTATATAGGCAATAACAAATGCTGGTGAGGATGTGGAAATAGGGGAAGCCTCATACACCACTGGTGGAAGTGTAAATTAGTACAGCCACAGTGAAGAATAATCTGGAGGTTCCTTCCAAAACTGAAAAAGGAACTACCATATGAGGCAGTAATATCAGTGTTATTATAGTCTGTGTTTTTCTGGGTACTTACTATTACCAGTAAGTTTTGTACCTTAAGGTGATTATTTATTGTTCATTAATGTCCTTTTGTTCTCATTGAAGTACTCTTTTTAGTATTTCTGTAGGATGAGTCTGATATTAATGAAACCCCTCAGCTTTTGTTTGTCTGGGAAAGTCTTTATTTCTCTTTCATGTTTGAAGGATATTTTTACCAGATATACTATTACAGGATAAAAGTTATTTTCCTTAAGCACTTCAAACATGTCATAACACTCTTCCCTTCAGGGCAGCAAGGTTCCCCAGGCCCTGGATGGGTCCTGAAGTGCAGTCCAAGAGTCAAAGACTAGAGTCAAAAAACATAGAAGTCTACAGGTAGAAGTCTACCTGGTATTCTATTGTGACTGAGCTGACACTCAAACCACAAGATGCAGTCCTTCCCACTTTTCCCTCCCCTTTCCAAAGGCAGAGGAGCCTCACTCTGTAGCAACCACCACCATCACTCCTGGCCATAAGGAGTACTGCCAGACTACCACTGATGTTCCCTTAAGGCCCAAGGGCTCTTAAATCAGCTTGCAGTAAATGCTGCATGGCCTGGGACTCACACTTCAGGGCAGTAGGCTCCGCTCTGGCTCAGGGCAGGTCCAGAAATGCCATTTAAGAGTCAAGTCCTGGAATCAGGGACCCCAAGAACCCACTTGGTGCTCTACCCTGCTGTGGTAGTATAAGTATCTGAAGCCAGCAAGTCTCAGACATTCACCAAGTCCCTTGATTTAGAATATGGGTATCACTGCTTGTTATTCAGAGCCCAAGGGCTCTCCAGTTAGCAGGAGATACATGCTGCCAGGGCGGGGTCCTTCCTTTCAAGGCAGCAGCTTCCCTTCTGGCCCAGGGTGTGTCTAGAAATGTCGTCTGGGAGCTAGGGCCTGAAACAGGGGCCTCTTGATTCTGACCAGTGCCCTATCCTGCTGTAACTGACCTGGTATGCAAGATGAAAGACAAAGTCCTCCCCACTCTTCCCTCTCCTCTCCTCAAGCAGAAGGCAGGCGTGTCTTTTGGAGCTGTGAGTTGTGCCACCTCTGGGCTAGAGGAGGAATAATGCCAGCACTCCCTTGGCTGCCCCAGCTGGTGTCTCAGTATGTCACATGCCCCTCACAATCCACTGTCTCTGGGCTTAGTTTAGCCCTAGGACTTGCCTATGAGTCGCACTCCTTAAGGCCTAGACTCCCTTTCAAGTTTACTTATGGACTAAGAGCACTTTGGCCCTTGATGGGAGGTTTGCAGGCACTCAAGTTTGGGATCAGCACTTTGGAATCAAATTAAAATGGATTAAAGTCTTAAATCTAAGACCTCGAACTATGAAACTGATAAAAGAAAACATTGAGAATCTCTCCAGGACACTGGGCGGGGCAAAGATTTCATGAGCAATACCCCATAACACAGGCACCAAAGCAAACATGAACAAATGGGACTGCATCAAGTTAAAAAGCGTCTGTAAAGCAAAGGATACAATCAACAAAGTGAAGAGACAACCCAAAGAATGGGAGAAAATATTTGCAAGCTATTCCTCTGACAAGGGATTAATCACTAGAATATATAAGGAACTCAAACAACTCTGCAGAAAAAAAAATCTAATAATCTGATTTTTAAAATAGGCAAAATATTTAAATAGATGGTTCTCAAAAGAAGACATACAAATGGTAAACACACACATGAAAAGGTGCTCAGCATCACTGATCACCAGAGAAATGCAAATAAAAACTACAAGGAGAGATTATCTCACCCCAATTCAAATGGCTTATATCCAAAAGACAGGCAATAACAAATGCTGGCTAAGATGCGGAGAAAAGGGAATCAATCCTTGTACACTGTTAGTGGAAATGTAAATTAGTACAACCACTATGGAGAACTGTTTGGAGGGTTCCCAAAAAACTAAAAATGGAGCTACTATATACTCCAGCAATCCCACTGCTGGGTATATACCTAAAAGAAAGAAAATCAGTATACCAAAGAGATATCTGCACTTCTATATTTCTTGCAGCACTGTTTACAATACCTAAAATTTGGAAGCAACCTGAGTGTCCATCAACAGATGAATAGATAAAGAAAATGTGGTACATATACACAATGGAGTACTTTTCAACCATAAAAAAGAATGAGATCCAGTCATTTGCAACAATGTGGATGGAACTGGAGATCATTATGTTAAGTGAAATAAGCCAGGTACAGAAAGACAAACATCCCATGGTGGGATCTAAAAATCAAATCAATTGAACTCATTGACATAGAGAGTTGAAGGATGGTTTATGAGAGGGTGGAAATGGTGGTGAGGGGTTGGGGGGGCAGGTTGGGGTGGTTAGTGGGTACCAAAAATTTAGAAAGAATGAATAAGACCTACTATTTGATAGGACAGTAGGGAGACTATAGTCAATGATAACTTAATTGTATGTTTTAAATAAACTTAAATAATGTAATTAGATTGTTTGTAACTCAAAGGATAAACGCTTGAGGGGATGGATACCCCAATTCTCCATGATGTGCTTATTTCACATTGAATGCCCGAATCAAAACATCTCGTGAACCTCACAAATACATACGCCTACTATGTACCCACAGAGGGTTGAGGAGGATGTGAAACCCTTATACACTGTTGGTAGTATTGTAAGTTAGCACAGCTATTTTGGAAAACAATAAGGAGGTTCCTCAAAAAACTAAAAATAAAATTACCATATCATCTAGCAAACCCACCTTATATGTATATGCCTTTTTTAAAAAATAAAATTATGTTATTTGTGACAACACGGATGGACCTAAAGGACATTATGTTACATGAAATAAGCCGGACACGGGGAAGCAAATACCATATGATCTCACTCATGTGGAATCTCAGATAGTTGAACTCATAGAAGCAGGGAGTAGAATGGTGGTTTTACAGGCAGGGGATGAAGGGATGGTGTGGATGCGGAGAGTTAATAGGTACAATCTTTCAGTTATATAGGAGGAATCAGTTCTGGTGTTCTATGGCACAGTACAGTAACTATAGTGAATATTAATAACTTAATATTAATATTAAGGTATTTTAGATTTCAAAAAGCTAGAAAAGAGGATTTTCATGACAAGGAAATGATAAATACTTGTGATCAATATGCCAATTATCCTGATTTGATCATTCCACTATGTATGCATGGAACATCACATTGTATCCCTCCCATAAATATACACAATTATTGTCAATTTAAAATAATATAACACTTAAAAAGACAAAGAAATTTAAAATAAATACAATAACATGGTAAGACCTGTATTTAAAGTTCTGGTCCAAATATATGGCAATGATTTTGATCATTACAGATGTTACTACAAACATTCAAACTGATACCTACTGAGAAGCACTCTAGGCTAAGTGGTTTGGAAATTCTGCATCCCCCAGAATGCTTCAATGCTTCTGATGAAAGCCCTGATATATGGGATTCCTGTTGTGAGATCCTAGGTGAATAATCCTAACTGCAGGACTAATATTGGACATACTCAGAGACAGACTTCATAAGGCCACCCTCACTTTTCCACATCAGGTGGAAAGAGAAAAATGAAATTATTACCTTTCAAAATATTTGTCTGCTTGAATTATTTCACTCTTACCCTTAATAGTAACACCAACTATAATTTACTTGCTCCAGAGACAAAATCAGGTCTTCACATATCCTTGAGGCAACTCTATGTGTTGCATGCACACATACACACACACACATACACACACACATACATTCTTTGCTCAGCCTGTTCATTATTTTATTATCTAACCCTTTCATTATTTCATTGCTCTCCAACTTGGGGACACTTTCAAGACTGTCAAGAAGTTACTGACTTCTGAGTCTTTATTATCAAAGCAAATGAAATAAACCATGGTTTCCTGCCCCTGACACTTCACCATATGGTATTGATGCAGTGACTAGCCACAAAATGCCAGATGGCCCCAAGATATCAGTTATTCAAGAATAACATCATACCCACTCAGAATACATGTATAACTCCTCCCAAAGGGTAGTATTACTCTTAATTATAAATTCCTTTATCCAGTACTGAAGATATATGTCCAAAGCCTAGGACATACTTGTCTAAATATTTGGACATTTAGAAAAGCAATATTAAATTCTCATCATATTGTGTTGTGTCACTGAAAATACTGGTGTTAGAACATATCCCACAGGTGTCTCGGGGGTTGGTAAATTATCTTAAGGCTCATGTGGAGAGGATATCTAGTAGAGAAACTCCCTGGAGAATAAAAGCACTTATAAATAGAAAATCTCCTTCCAAATGGAACTCATCCATGTTGTTCATCTTACATAGCTAGATCAGGAATGTATTTCTATGAAGGCACTGACTGAAAGTGGAAATCTACCAACCCGTTAATTGATTTTTATATTGAATAAAATTTTTTACCATAACTATTTTTATTACAATAATTAGGAGCAGTACAGTTCATGACAAAAATATTACAGATCTCAGATCGCTTCACAGCATGAAGTTATTTTAAATGCTTATACTCTTATAAACACTTAAAAGTTAATTTTAATTTAAGAATGGTCATTTTTAATGTTTGATATGACCAACATTCCTAATTTAGCACAACGAAATGATGGAAAACAACTGGGTCACACTGCGTGTGTCCCACCAAAGAAAAAAAAAAACAAAGCACAATGTACAAAATGTGCATGTTTCTATTGACAGTATATGAAAATAGTTAAAATACATGTTACAGGTAAACATGTAATATTAAGAAATAGTACTAGTAAAAAGTTGGCATGCAAAAGAAAATGCAAAAAAAATTCAACATGGCAACACAAGACAGTAGAATCGATAACTTTTGGATAAAATATTTATATTGAATAAAATATTAACATAGTATATGCTACACAACTTTGCACAAACCTTCCAAAAGTGATTTTATGTCACTGAGAAGTGACCGAGAACCTTGGACAAGAATCAATATTGATTTTCCAGGAATATTCCAGGAGAAAAAAGTCTGGGTTGAAGTAATTTCCTTTGTAAGATGAACGGCAAGACCCATACGACCATATTAAAATGTTGCCACTACAATCTCAGAATTGTGATTGCCAGACACTAACATTTCTGCCAAATAATCTAAATTTTGGTTAGTTAAGCTACAGGAATTTGTACAGAAATTTTTTTTCCAAGACATGAAAATGAAGAATGCAAATGAATAAAAATGTACTGAGGTGCATTGCTGGAGGAAAATAGCCAAAGTGAAATGACCGATATAGGGTCTTTATCAATTTACAATTGTATAGCAAGTTGTAAAGTAATGCAATGTATTGTCATTGTCACCAGTTGTTGAATTATAAATTATTTTTCCCTAAAGTTCCCACTTTCCCTTTCCTATCTATTCAGCCAATTCAGGCAAATAGTCCATTCTGAGTTATTTCCTGAGGATGCAGGTGTTACAGGGTAGAGTGCAAAAAGGAAACTTCCTCTAAGTCTCTGATTTATATGTTTCCAAAATCTTAAAGCTAAAAGGGGTTTATTTTTAGGGGCAAAAATGAATTTGGGAGGAACCTATCAAGATGTGAACAGGAAGGGATTTCCCCAGAAGGCTAAAAGCATAGGGAATAGCAGAAGAAAAACAAATTAAGGTGGTTTAGAGACAGAACATTGACTCCACTCTCCAAATTAGAATTTCAGTGAAGGAGCAAGATACCAATTTAGTATTAAAGCCAGAGAATAAATTTGGATATTTGCCCCTCTTCTTAGATAATAAACCCCGAGAAGTGATAAAGCCCCACATTCCATATGAAGGCAAATAGGGTCATAGATAAGTCCCAGGATAAATCCTTTGCCAGAGAATAGCATGGAAGAAATGGAATGATGCCCCAGTTTTCAAGCATAGCATGAAAGTACCAGAGTGATCCATTAGACCTGAAGTCCAAGGTAGACAAGAATGAGAATTGTCTTGACAGTTTACTGCATGGATTGGTGAGCAAGGACCAAGTGGCACCATGGAATGGTCAGCAGATATCTGTGTGGACAGATGGCTCAAGGACAAGATGAGTCATGCAATACCTCACACTTACATAAGTCTCCCTTGAACTTAAACACAGCCCAGGGAAAAGAGAAAGAGTTTTAGTGTCTGATATCCTAGGGAAATGGAGGATTCAAAGAAAAATTCCATTAATACATAGAAAAATAATGTTTCTTACACACCTGGTTTAGTTTGGACTGAGATTTGTACCTGTTATGATAGAAAATATAATTACCATTTATAATCTGAATTACAGGATATGAGTTAGCTTCCACATATCTGATGCCCAGATTTTCCTAATATGAACACAGTTAAACTTTCCTACATGATATGTGGACCCAACATATCTTCCCTCACATATGTTCTGTAGCTTCATATATTTTGTTCACCGTGTGCATTTCACTTCTCTTTTATTCCTGATTCTCAGAACAACTGTTCTGTGCAAAGCATGACAGCATAAAACCTCTCTGTCCTTCAAGGCCTGTGTTCTATTAAGTCTTTTATATGAACTATCATTTATTGTACATCAACCATACCAGGAACTTTACAAGGACTACCTCTTCTTCACAAACATAAAAACATTCAAATTCAGCATCATAATCCCCTTTTTACAGGCAGAAAGCATGGGCTTGGAAAGGCTAAGTAACTCCCTTACTTTGGTAAGGCAGGCAAGCTTCAAAATCTTTTCTATTTCTAAACCTCCAGCCCAAGTTGATTTTTAGATGGTAACCTTTTGAATGTATTGTCCATTCTACCCAAATGTCTCCATAATACATACTACTTAATTTTCTTTTTTTACTTTTTTAAAATCATACAACTAGGCTCTTGTCCTAGTCATTATTTGTATATTAAATTTACCTTTTAAGCCAAATTGGAAATCATCAAAATTCACAGATGAGGCATCATTTAGGAAAAACTTTTTCTCTATTTTTAACTTTTTGCAAAATACTATTGCTCTTCCAGAAATATTTAAGCTTGCCATGGTCTCAAGTGGTAGTTGAAAAATGAAAACACATGGACACAGGGAGGGGAACATCACACATGGGGGCCTGTCAGGGGGTGAGGGGCTAGGGGAGAGATAGCATTAGAAGAAATACCTAATGTAGGTGACGGGTTGATGGGTGCTGCAAACCACCATGGCACGTATATACCTATGTAACAAAACTGCACGTTCCGCACATGTACCCCAGAACTTTAAGTATAATAATAAAAAAGACATTTTTTTTCCTCTTTTCTTCTAGATGCTTACACTATCTCTCTTCTTGCCCCGACAACTAAGATTTTTAAGAGTGGCTGCATTCCCTGTAGTCTCTAGCTCACCTCCTATTCACTCCCCACCCCGCTGCAATCTGGTTTTCTCTCACTAAGCCACTAAGGGCTCTTTGTGATGTTACCAGTGAGCTACTTGCTGCTAAACCCAATGGACACTGATTTGTCTTTATCTAATTGATTATTGTGACACAAAAATATAACTAAGGAGGAAGAAGAGAGATTATCTGCCTTGAGCACTTTTTCCATAAGTGAAACATTTAAAGCTTTATTATTGAAGTAATATGTTCACATAACCAAGATAGTTGTCAACACCATGGTGCAAGGAAATAAAAGGAAAGAGTGTAAAAGCTAAATAGCAAGACCCAGAAAGAAGAGAGTGGAGGTATTACTCCTTTTTGAACAGCGAGTTCCCCATTACCTAATAATGGCCACGCAGGACCTGCTGCATTGATAGAGGAACTTGGAATCCTCTTCTTAAACACTGTGTCCCTTGGCTCTCAGGCACCTCTCAGCCCCACATCTTCCCCATGTACCACTTCCATTGCCTGGACCTCTGTTATCCCAGAAAATTTCTATTAGAAATCCTTCTAATTTCTACTCATGTTTCAAGTCTTCACTTCATATCTCCTCATCATAGAGGGCTTCCATGATTCTCCAGGATTAAATTCCCCTTGCTTTAGACAACTTTACAACCTCTTTTGCAATGCTCATCACAGTTGTTACCACTAATGAATTATTCAATAATATTGAATATCTGTCTTGGCTGACTGTGATCTTCAGGAAGACAAATGGAGATCATCTTTCATGTTCACTGATATAGCCCTAGGGCCTAATAGAGTGCCTGGCAAATTATAAATGCTTGATGATTGTTCCCTGCATTGTTGAATTGAATTGTGCTGAATTGAAATTTTCTTAAACCAATATTTCTATCACATTTTAGAAGGTGCATTTGCAATATAGGGAGTGTCTTGATCAGTTTGGGCTACTGTAACAAAATACCATAGACTAGTACTTAAACAACAAACATTCTTGAGGCTGGAAGTCTGAGATCAGGGTCCAATCATTGTGGGATTCTAACAAAGATCCCCTTCTGGGTTGCAGACTTCCAACTCCTCAATGTATCCTCCCATGGTGGAAAGAGAGCAAGAGCTCTCTGTCCTCTTCTTATAAGGGCACTAATCCCATTTGTGAGGGCTCCATCCTCATGACCTAATTACCTCCTGAAGACTCCACCTTCAAATACCATCTGTGTTAGGCCATTCTTGCTTTGCTATAAAGAAATGTCTGAGACTGGATACTTTATAAGGAACAGAGGCTTAATTGGCTTGGAGTTCTACACGCTGTACAGGAAGCATGGCCCTGGCATCTGCTGGGCTTCTGGGGAAGCCTCAGGGAGCTTTTACTCATGGCAGGAGGCAAAGCGGGAGCAGCCTTCTCACATGGCCAGAGCGGGAGCAAGAGTAACAGTGGGGAGTCGGGGAAGGTGCTGCACACTTGTAAACCACCAGATCTCACGTGAACTCAGTGCGAGGGCTCACTTATCATGAAGGGGATGGCCCAAGACATTCCTGAGGGATCCACCTCAATGATCCAAACACCTCTACCAGGCCCCACCTGGCCCCATGTAATTGGGAATTATATTTCAGTATGAGATTTGGGTGGGGACAAATATTCAAACTATATCACCATCACATTGTGGGTTAGATTTTGAAATACAAATGTTAGACACAAACATTCTATCCATAACAGGGAACATTGAAGGAAGGAGATTATTATGATGGTAAATGTCTACAAGTTCTGTCAATAATGAATAGTCTACTGAAGAGATCTTACAGAAGAAAAAAGCATTTAAAGTCTATCATATGTGTTTATTAAAGGGCAAAATATTTCTGTTAGATAGGAGGAATAAGCTTTAGTGATCTATTGCACAGAATGGTGATTATAAAAAACAATTAAAGAGTAGATTTTAAATGTTCCCACCACAAAAAAATAATGAGTATGTGAGGGGATGAATTTGTTAATTAGTTTGATTTAATCATTCCACAATGTAAACAAATATCAAAACATCACATCAAGACCCCATAAATATATAATATATACCAATTATTTATAATATTTGTTAATTAAAAATAAAGTTAAAAAACATTTTAAAGACTGCATAGAGACAATTGAAGAACTTTTTCTAAAGCCTATATATTAGATAATGGTATTATATCAATTTTAAATGTCTTGAGTGTGATCACTGCATTGTGGGTTTGAGGAGAATCTTCTTGTTCTTCTGAGATACTCATTTAAGTATGTAGGAGTGAAGTGTCATGAATAAGGAGTGAAGTGTCATGCAAAGCTAAAGCAACTAATTCTCAAATAATTGAATTTAAAACATGCGCATGTAAAATAGTAAATAAAGCCCATCGTACAGAAGAGATACTGGAAGAGATTTGCTGCATAAGACAAAACTAGAACACAGAGGAAAAGTTCAGCTCCATATAAGGAATGACTTTAACAATCAGAAGCTAACAAAAAAGTGGCATCCATTTTAATAAATAAGAGCAGTCCCCCCACCCCGCCCCACTCTGCTCTAGTGGAGACAAGCATGATCTTGAGAAGGTATTTTCTCATTGAACAGGCAGTTGTAGAGTATGAATCCTATGGTCTTTCCACCAGGTTAGATTTCCTTTATAAGTGAAGGAATAGTAGAAACTCATATTCACCCTTCTTTCCTTTAAGCTATCCCAAGCATAAAAAGTTGCATAGAGAAAAGTTGAACATGAACTCCATAGAAAAGAACTGTGTTTAACACACACTGTTGTCATGTTTTTTTGTTCTAATAGAGAATAAACTTGTCTTATGTTCATTGTGTTTTCAGTTAAGGTTTGTTTGGTTGATTGATTGGTTTATTTGTTTTTTATTATCTATAGATGTATAATCCATGCAAACAACTTAGCATACTTTGCTCTTCCTTCTGAATTCTCTAACCCAAATTTGTACTTCAACTAGGAACAGTTGCTCAACAAACATGAACATGTGCTTGCTTATTGTTTGGTGGATAACCTTATTATTCAAAAATTCAATAAATATTTCTATGGATGTCCAAAGTTTCCAGTCAGTTCATATCCATTGAGACATGGCTGGTAGCAAAAACTAGCTTGTCAAACACTTTAGAGAGGGAAAATTAATTTTTAAACAAAATCATGAAGCCATAATATTAGTTTAACTGATATTAGGATTCTGGGGTTAAACACACTTTCTGCATTAGTAATCACTCTATTTCACTTTCTTTCTGTCTGGCCTTTCTTAATTCTCATTACCAGGGGAAAAAACAGTAATTTTGTGAATACTGCGGCATTTGGAATTAAAAATAATTACACAAACAGTTTTCCAACAGCACAGAGACAGTATCTGAACTGAGACCTTTTTTCTGCATGCATTACTTCCAACATTACTTTGTCTTTCTCTACCATTCAGCAATATAACACATACACACTTTTTTTATGAAGAGAATCAAAACGTTTTCTTTTAAGAAAAGTTATTTTTCTGTTTTTAGAAAAGTTTAAAAAGCCCACTTGAAGGGGGAAATTACTAAATTAAATTTGATATGAACAAACATGCCAAATAATAGCATAATTATAATTATTTTCTCCCTTTTGGTACTCATTCTTTAGACTACAGAGTATTTTTATTCAATTTTTCAATGTAGTACAGAGATAGACCAGACATTGGGAAATACATAGGGAAAGTAAGTGAAAAGACACATATCTAACAATAAAGGGTAGAGAGATGGAAGTATGGGTTGGGATATGGTAGAAATCAGGGCAGGAGAAGGCACCATCCCTTCTACAGCCAGAGACTTTGTGGTTCATGGGTAGCCTAGATCAAGTAACCAGACAGTGAGAGTCTGGTCAGAGCCCAGTGATCCTCTACAGCTCTGAAGATTGGTTAGATGAGTGGCACACTTCAAAGGCTCTAATCCCACTCTATCTTAGAGTTCTCTAACTTAAATACATCAGACATTCTCACTACTGGAAAAATGAAGTAGATGTATTTTTCCCCATTCCTCCTGCTCTTCTCCCAACTACGAGTTAAAGAAAAGAAAAAAAGACACTAGGACATTATATAAAAAACAGACATAAGAAGACTTTGAAATGTGGAAGGAAGAATGCAGGCTGCCTAGGGACCTCGGGACCCAAGGAAAGACATAGTAGTGAGTTTTCTAGGCTTCTGTTTCTTTGGGTTTTCTATGCCTCATCTATCCCAAGTCAACAATCCAGAAATACCAATATGTATGGGCAAAAAAAAAAAAAAAAGCCCAAAGAAAGCTTGCTCTTATTATCCAAAAAAGAGCATCCCGGAAAGATAGAAAATTTTTAGAAAATAAGCATTCTACTCTAGCCAGGCACTATAGAAAATAACTGTATGCTCCCAAACAAAGGCCAAGTTGGGCACCTTTGCTAACTCTAATGAGGCACCCCAAGCCTCCCACCAGAGTGATATCAAAGAAAGCCCAGATGGAAGCAGAGGTTTTTATGATGCCAGGCAATGAGAAGACCTCACCTTCATCCCTGAGGTGTTGGCAGGGAGGCTGGACTTCCAGCCTCACTCCTCAAGTCCCCACTAGCTTATCAACAGAGGAGGTCCAGAGGAAACTTAGAACAAGCTCAGTGGTAAAAAGGACATCCTTGTCTCATAGTGACAGTGGAGCCACTCCTGCCTCTCCATGCCAGGGTGATGTCACAGAGAACCAGGGAAAAGCCTGAAGTCTCCTGCCCATTCAGCAGTAATAAGAATTGCCTATCTTCAGGAGTCAACAGAGGCTGACTTGGGAACTGGGACTTCAATACTTGTAGCCCCACCTGGAAATAAGGAGACAGTGCCCCTTTCACCCACCAAAGCATTACCAGAAGAAGACTGTTATACCAGATCAATAAGATCCAGAGTCTGATAATACCCTAAATGTCCAGGTTTCTATCAAAAATCTCTTATACTAGGAACTGGGAAAATCTCAACATAAATGAGAAAAGATAATCAACAAACACCAACACCAAAATGACACAAAGGCCAGGAATATCTAACAATAATTTTAAAACAGCAATTATAAAAAAGCTTCAATAAACACTTATGAATGTGTTTGAGACAAACGAAAAACAGAAAGTCTCAGTGAAGAGATAGAAGATATAAAGAAGACCCAAATGGAAATTTTATAATTGAAAAATACTATACCTTAAAAAAATTAATGGATAGTCTCAACAGCAGAATGGAGAGGAAAAAAGGATCAGTGAAGTTGTAGAATAGGACTTTTCCAATTTGAACAACAAAGAGCAAATCGACTGGGAAAAAACTGAACAGAGCCTCAGGGACCTATGGGACAATCACCAAATATCTAATATCTGTGTCACTGATTAGTCTCAGAAAGGAGGGAGAAAGAGATTGGGTCTAGGAAAAGTATTCAGAGAGAGTCTGAAGATCTCAGCAATACTAGCTCCCTGCATTTCCCACCCCACACATCCTCAGAAGCTAGAGCCTGGATTGCTGAATTTTAGAAAAGCTCTATTAGCCTCGTGATGCAGCAGTCCAACAGCAGTCAGTGCCACACCATAAGCCCAACTCAAGAAAAGAGATTTTGGCCGGGCACGATGGCTCATGCCTGTAATCCCAGCACTTTGGGAGGCTGAGGCGGGCGGATCACTTGAGGTCAGGAGTTCGAGATCAGCCTGGCCAACATGGTGAAACCCCATCTCTACTAAAAATACAAAAATTAGCCAGATGTGGTGGCACATGCCTGTAGTTCCAGCTACTCAGGAGGCTGAGGCAGGAGAATCACTCGAACCCAGGAGGCGGAGCTTGCAGTGAGCCAAGATCGTGCCACTGCACTCCTGCCTGGGCGACAGAGTGAGACTCTGTCTCAAAAAAAAAGATTTTGATAAAGTGTGTATGAGTTTAAAACTCCTTTTCTGACCCTAAAAATTTCCCAGTTCACTTTCTTTTATTCTGGTCCCTGACCATGATGCAAACCTGAGAAATCCACCAGAGACATAAAGTGGAGCTGTCAGTAGGACTGCACCCCAAATCAGGCAGTCTAGGCTGTGTTTGACTGTGGAAGAGAGGGAGGCAGGTGGGGCCACTCTGACCCGCAGATTTTATGTCCCGAGAAGGAGCAAAGAACTCTGCCACCATCCTGCTTCCTCTAACAAAGCCCCTGACAGAGCAGTCATGAGTAATGCTTCGACCTGGAGACCACCTAAGAATTTTATCTTTAAACAGTTAAAGAAGAGCTGTGATTTTCAAAGTTTCTGCCAATCCTTATATTGTTAAATGTGCATTGCCAACCCGCAGTTTGTTTGAGAGAACATTTTATTGGGACTTTTTGTTACAAAAGGCAATGTCTAGGGCAGAGTCTGGAATGAGAAGGTTGACACAAAGGAAGCTAAATAGCTAAATTGTTCCATTTAACAAATGATCGGTAAGTTCCACATGCAGTAATAATGTGTGTTGTAAAAAGGTTTTGTCTGAAATGGGTGGGAGGTGAATTTAAGGACTTGAAGAAAAGGGGGAAAAGACTGTGGCACAAGAGAGCAGACCCACAAAAATAGTAGCAGGCCAGGAGCCAAAAAAAAAAAAAAAAGCATAAAAAATATCAGTCCCCTAAAGCAGAAATGGCTAATGAACTTAGGAAAGGTGATTCACTTATTCTATTTGAGGTCGTTTCCTTATTTGTGCTACATGACCAAACCTTCAGGTAAAGTAAATTCTCTGTTACAGCCCTGAGTTAATGATACAGAAGGTTTTGAAGGAAAGGTACTCCTTTCTGGCTTGGAATGAATTGGTATAGGCAGGAGACAGGTACCAGGAGGATAATAGCTCCAGAGCTAAAGAAAGTGATATAGGAAATGGATACTAGGAAGTTTGTCAAATGGGAGAATATATAAGCCAAGAGCATCTTGTACCCACTTCTTTTCACTCATTGACTCAGGGAAATACGAGAAAGGGTATTAGTCAACTGCATCACTTATTGAATTTGTGGAAGAAGGGCTCATTTATTGAATTTGTATTTGAAAGGACAGCGTAACCTCAGAAGGCTGAATGACTTGGAGCTACTTGGCTCACAAATTTCTTCTTCCTGAATATTTTTGAAATCTTGCAACTTACAGTACTTACCATTGAGCATCCCAAAGATTTCCAAGTAGATGTGGGGAACCTTGTCCCTTAGGGTATGGCATGAGTTTGTGCATGTGTTCTGCTCAGGGTTCCCTGTCAACAAATGAGACAAATACAAAAATTACATAAATCTTGCCTAGTAAATAGAGGGAAGATATTCTAAGACAATGACAATTAAAAAAAAAATAGTCCGTCAAGTTGTCCTTGGCTGGACCTAACCATCAATGAGAAAATGCATGCACAGGCTGGGAGGAAAATCATATTACGTGTTATGTGGAAACAAAACAGAAAAGTACTGGCCTTATTAGGTTACCACTTAAGAACCCTGCCGCTTAGGCTGGTGTCTTGGTTTGAGTCTTCCCCATAGCAGAGCCTAAGACAAGGACTTAGACTTGGGGGCAAGTGGTTTATTTGGAAGGAGATATCAGGAAGCTGAAATAAATGAGCAGAAGAGTGAGAAGAAGGAAAGGAAACATAAGGCTGTGTTATAAATGTGGGTTTTTTCTGCCGGGCCCTCTGAGAAGCAAACCAAACGCCCTGCAGTCATCCCCTTCCACCTCTCCCACTTCTGGCCAAAGACAAGAGGCTGAAAATTTTCTCCAACAGCTTCCCATTGTCCTTGGTTAATGATTGCCCAAGGACAAAAATCCCTGCCTCTTCCAGTGTCCTCTTTCCTGAGCCAAATCCCAGGAAAACAGGAGATAGCTGCCAGCAAGAGATGAGTCTCTGAACTCTGAGAGATTGTCCACTGACACAGTGGCTGAAATCAGTAAGGGGCCGAGAGGAAGAGATGCAAAGTACCAAAAGCATCTGCCACTGCTCAGCGTTGAAAGTGGCCATACAAGTTCACATGGTGTCCTTGTTTTCAGTTCCTATGTACTTGTAAGTGGCAGCCACAGAGTAGAATTCAGACTTCCTGTCTCCAGAGAAGTGAAGCTTTTCTTCTTCATCATGCCTCCTGCAAGAATTCAACCTTCAGCAAATCAACTCATCCACTTTTCAATTGCATCATGATGAGTAGGGTTGAAAGATAATATCTGTCACCACCCTCAAGAAGTGTGTAATTCACTGATAGAAACAGACATATAAAGAGATCGATTTTAATAGCATAGTGAGGATGAGAGAGGTACATACACAGACACAAGGCACTAGAAAAAGGCAGAGATGGCTCCCTGAGCCCAGCCTAGAAAGTGGAACACAAATGCCTGAAGGGGGCGTTACAGGTGCATAGAAGAACATGAAAAAGACCGTAGTAAAAAGCAAACCACCATGCTGTGTGCTTCTGTTTTTCTCGTTTGTTTCTTCCAACTGTTTTTGAATTGACAAATAAAAATTTTATATATTTATGGTGTACAACGTGGTTTAATTTTATGTGTACATTGTGGAATGGCTAAATCAAACAAATTAACATATGCATTACCTCACACTCAGTAATTTTCAAGTATACAGTATATTGTTATTAATTATAGTCATCATGATATATAATAGATCTCTTGAACTTATTCTTCCTGTCTAACTGAAATGTTCCTCCAACTTTTGGAACTGATGATAGCTTTTTCTTCACAGTTTTTAGGTGTAATAACTTTCACGTTTCATCCCATGAAGACAGGCTATTTCTGTCTTTCTTATTTCTCTACTCCCACTACAAACTTAAGAGACTCTCCATATTTGGTAAATGATTTAAAGAATGAAGGAAGGAGTGATTTTTATAATCTCTTTAAATTCTATAACCTACAAGAATATTAGGATCATTTCTTATTAGAAAAGACAGATTCATCAATTGGTGGCAAACATGAAACCCAGGAGGTTTCACACTGTATCTCTAAGACACTTAATATTTATCTTCCCTGAAACCATAGGGAATTGATGTTCCAGAAAAAAAATCATTTTACGTGTGTTTTTGTCATCTAAAAAGTATGTTTTGAGTAGTTTATTAGAATTATTTGGATATTTATGAATATTAAGGCTTTATTCATCACAAACAATACGGAAATAAGGGGAAATATGAGAGTCCCTTTGCTTCTCTCTAAGTTTTTAGCCTCTTCTTGAATATGTGCCCATGGTGCCTGGTGCCTGCAAGTGTTTTTTGTGAAGGTGGGTGGTTTTGATGCCCTGCTCATGGCATTGGCCGTTAATTGAACCTGACCTTGGCAAGTACTGTCGACAGTAACAGTAGCTTGTCTACATTCCCAATTCAACAACAGCCATGTGCTTTAAGGTTATGTTTTTTATTTTTACTTTTAATTTTGTATACTTTGGTAGCATTCAATTTATATGTCTGAATTATTTTTTAATTTAAATATAAACTAGTATATCAGTTACTTATCCAAAGGAATAATTCTTGGTCTATTTTTAAAGCATTTTTGTTGAATTGGTGATAGATTGGTTCAGACACATCTATAGTTAAGAGGCTTTGGTTTAGTTCTGAATTACAGCAGGAAGTTGCAAAATACTATATAAGCTCAGGAAAGTAGTCTATTTTCATGGAGCAAATTTCAGCTAGCCAATTTTTCTAGAACAGTCAACTTGAAGATTTCATCCTTTCCACAAAAACTAATTGATTATCTACTATGGGTCAAACATTGTGCTACATGTTTATTCCAAATATCAATAGGTTCAAAATTAAATTTGCTATTTATATTATATTGGAAAACATTTTGAAGCTTCATAATGTATGCTAGGTCTATAAATATACTAGAATGAAGGACAGCAATCAGTCAGCATGAAACCATTCTTTTTGTATTCTACAGCTAACTGAACAAGGAAGGAAGAAAAGTGATGTCTGAGTTTGCTAATATGTTACATATCTATGAGCACCAGAAATGAGGTCTAATAGTTAACAATTTATAAATCAAAGAAAGATTTATCCTGGGAAATTGATTTCTATTTGAACACGAATGTATTAATAAAAATTCTGATATAAGTAGAATAGTTTCATATTTACCAGTATCTTGGCATGGTCCCTTTAACCACTCTATTTTTGATTATTTAAATTAAAATGATAAAGAGAAAGGGAAAAGAGATAGAATATTAAGAAAATTACCACTGGAATAAAGACGTTTGAATAGATTTAATTTAAATGACTTTAAACCATTTTAGAGAATTATTCTGGTCTGATTCATTAATCTAATATTATTATAAATGATTACATTAATTTTACTAAATCCTTTTTATCAACAATGTGATCAACTTGGTAGATAGATGAAGAAAAACACAAAAATCAAATCTAACTAAGTTCAAAGTTGTGACCAGAACCTAGTCATGTCAGTTATTTATAATCATAGAGTTTGAGCTTAGGAAATAAAAATATAGTTATGACCTTTAAAAATTGTTATGGAAAATATCCTATCTCACCAATTTCTCTCTTCTTAGTATTCCCTTATAGCCATTTTTTTCTACTTTGCATTATTTTAAGCTTTTATGTTTTAAGTATAGATGAGCTTTTTTATTTACCAAAAACTCTCCTTTCTGCCTCAAACACCTTTTTCTCTGTGTCTCTTTCTCTCGTTCACTTTTACATACACACATACCACACATGCAGTCTTCTTATTTTCGGTCCTATAATCAATGAACCGTGAAACATTTGTTCTTTGTCGCTTCCCTTTTTCACTTTTTAGAAAAGGAATATTATATCTGTTTCTACATAAGAAAGTCAGTGGAAATTTGAAGTAAACTTCTAGATGACTATCCATAGTATACATTTTTTTAATATCAAGAAAACCAAAGCACATGTCAATTTTATGCCCCTAATTATTCAAAGTTTGCCTTCACTATACTTATTCCAAATGATAATTGTGAAGAAAAAGCAGCATTTGTAGCCTTTCTTCTCAATGATATTGAACATACCTTTTATCGTGGAGCTGCTGGAGAAAAACAGTAGAATTCTCCTGTTGTTGAATCAAAATCAAATTCCATTTTCCAGAGATTGTTTCATATTTGTTCCTAAAATAATAATGACAGCTCCTCACATCCAAATAACATGCAGAAAAAAATATACATGCAATTGCCAGGAAGAACTAAAAATTTTTTCAAAACCTTTCTGGGTTCTCTAATTTCTATTTAGAAAGTCACTGAAGTGGCAAGACTTCAAATAAGGAAATTCCCCACTGATTGTAAGTTTTGTAACTTATACTGGATCAGAGAAGCCTGAAGAAGCTGGGATCCCTGGGGACGCACCCTAGGAGGTTATCTCTTCTGCAGTAGTGACTTTCCTCTCTACATAGAGAATGTTCTATAGGACTGACAAGCCCCTATGAAAATAACTTGGATTTTAGATATCATAAAAAAGTGCGATGCAAATCCTCTTCCCTTCTATTCTTTCTATTCCTAGCTTCATGGAATCAACCTATTTCCAATCATTTTTCTCTACAATCTTGTAACTTTAACTATAAAAGGAGACACCATCCCATTGTTTATTTTGTGTTTATTTAGAAACTTCTATGATTTCTAATTATTTACAAGGAAAAGGAATCACTCTTTTAAAATATGCAGAGTGTAAACATAAAGGACAATAAGAGAGAGAAAGGAGACACAATATCAAGAAACGCACAGCTGGAATAAAAATATCTTGAAAAGAATGAACCTGTCTATAATTATGCCCACTTCTTCTGTAGTTATTTAAAGATTACCCCATGAATTGAAAGAGGAAGCTTAGGTGATTCATTACAGTAAGAAAAAGAATAAAAAAACAGAGTTATGCTAACTTTCTTTTGGGTCTCCCACCTTCTACATCTCAACTACTACCTAAATGTATATCACAGCATCATTAGCCTGGTCTTGTAATTCACAGTGGCCATCTTCCCCCACTCCGGGAGGACTTGATCTATTTAAAATGGGCTTCAGCCTTTCCAAGTTCTACCTCTTTTTACTGAATTCCTTGGTGTTTCCAGTATAGAGACAACAGAGGAAATACAATGGGTTCAAAAGCCAGATACATATTTTCCCAACTGTAACTTCCATGAATCCCACAATCCCCAAAGTATAAAACCCACATTCACACCTTGTGATTCTTGCAAGTGACTCCCATCTGGGAATAAGGTGTGGGTAAAGATGAATGAGAAGAACTTAGCGAGAGTCAGGGCTGTAACTTCACTTGCTTTAGAGGCAATGCCAATCATTGGTATCTGGTCACATATTTGGTATTTAATACACTTATTTTTGTTTTTTGGTTTTGGGGTTTTTTATGATTAATTCATTTTATTTTATTTTTTTAATTTGTCAATTTTTTATTTAAATAGGTTTTTGGGGAACATGGGGTGTTTGGTTACGTGAATAAGTTCTTTAATGGTGATTTCCAAGATTTTGGTGCACCCATCACCCAAGCAGGGTACACTGTACCCAACATGTAGTCATTTATCCCTTGCCATCCCCTACCTTCTCCCCTAAGTCCCCAAAGTCCAATGTATCATTCTTATGCCTTTGCATCCTTATAGTTTAGCTCCCACATATTAGTGAAAACAACGATGTTTGGTTTTCCATTCCTGAGTTACTTTACTTAGAATAATAGTCTCCAGTTCCATCCAGGCTACTTTAAATGCTATTATTTCATTCCTTTTAATTGCTGAGTAGTATTCCATGGTATATCATTCAGGCTGGTTCCAAATTTTTACAATTGCAAATTGTAATACACATATTTTTGATAGAATAAAGAAGTGAAGAAATGAAAGTACAGTAGCAACACATCAAATAAAACAGATACCTGGAGGCATAAATATGGCATCTTGGAGACACATTTTTTTTTGGATAGACTAAGATAAAACATTGATGCTGTTGACTTGTCTCAGCTGTAAGTCAGCCACATCTGGCCCTCATCTCTCTCTTGGCAAAATTTCTGCTAAACTTTATTAGTTTTCAACTTTTCTCTTGTTAATGACTTCAAATTTTTCTCATTATTAAATAATTTAGTATAGTGTCTGATCAAAATCCTTCTTTGAATTGTGATAGAGAAATCAAAGTGAAAAAATAAAAGTCATTTGCAAAATCACTGTGGTGACTCAGCTGTCGAAAATAATTCAAACTGGACTTTCGATATACTAACATATAGCCCCAAATAGTATCAAAATTATTATTTGACCACCGGAAGAGGCCTACTAAGTATCCCTATCCATAATAGAATTTAAGTCATTTCTTAACCAGAAAATACACAAAACAAGTCTATGTACTGAAATTGACCTGTATACTAAGTAGGAATAAGGAAATTTAGTCCTTTTGTTCAAATCTATGAAAAATTGCTTCCTTTTTGGGCGGATCTGTTCCAAAAAGTGTTTTGTTTGACTTTACCAAATCTACCATTTGTTTGAGATTTAGTCTGGATCTTTTCAAATGAAAAACATGAAAGTTTAAGAAAGCTTTGCTCAATACCACACAAAGCAAAATATTTCTTCAACATAGAATTTACTACTCAAGCATTTTTTTTCTAGTTAACTGCACAAATCAGATTTACTGGATTTTAATGAAAGTAATTATATTAAGAATTAACAACATTCTTCAAATTGTGGCTCATAAAATGTTTGCTAAATACCCCATTTAATACTTCCATTGAAAATTTCCTATTCATTTCTTAACCAGAGTTACGGAGAAACACATTAAATTATATTAAGTTCAAGTGCCAAGTAATTAACAAAAAAAAAAATTTGTTTAGTATGTCTGTTTTATATGACCCTCAATATTTAATCATTTAAATCTCACTTCTAATTATGTCTATTAATATTATTAAACAAACTTTAGCCTGACAATAAATACAAATTCCCAAGTAAGTATTAGACCACTCTAGGGTATAATAGTATTTCTAATCTGATGTTTACCTATGTTTTGTTTTTCATCTACAACACTGACTTTTTTTTTAAGTGGACACAGTAGTTGATTGTGAAGTATTTGAATGTCACACAAGAAATATAAATGTGGGTGCTGACCTCAAAGCACACAGAAGCTAGGGATGATAGGGTTTTCACATAGTTTAAGGCAGATTCTAATCTGAATGGTACAGCCAAAAAATAATTTTTTTAAGGGTAGAAGTCTTTGTTGACTGAAAAATAGTTAAGCTCAAAAAAAGGGTGAAAGTCGACCTTATCTACTGAAGACAATGAGACAATGACAGGAATTCTAGGGGTCCCATATTTGCAGATACGGAGGTTGGGTACGAGTTAAAAGGTCACAACACAGATGTAGATGTGATGCTTTTCATCATCAAAAGCATGGTAAAAACTCTAAGTAGATAAAACTCTGTGAAGGGATTGGTGTAAAAAGGAGAAGAGAAAGCTAAGGACCAATCCTTGAGACACTCCAATGACTGTGATGTAGGAGGGAAAAGCGGGACCCGTGAAGAAAAGATTGAAGATGTTGTGGTGACACATAATAGAAGAGCAAGAAGTTTTTCAAAGACGAGGTTCTCAAGAAAATCACATGCAGCTGAATGACCCAAGAGGTGGAAGATTTTAAAAGGCCATTTATTTTCACTAGCAATATGTCACCAATGAGCCATTTCAGGAGTCTATGTTCCAGTAGGCTAAGATTCAATTTCAAAGTTTACAAATAAAATGAAATGAAAAAAATGAGAGTAAGCATAGACTACTCATTATAAGAGTTGATCATGAAAAGAAATAAATTTTAAGTTTATTAAATAGGTATCAATATCCAAAGAAAAACGTTGATTTCTTTAAGGCAAGTGATCCCTGGGCATGACTGGTAACAAGAAAGAATTTAAAAAGGAAAGACTGAGGACCCTAAGAAGAGTGGAGTGTGGCAAGGTGTGGGAGCAATGTCTGAAAAGCCACAATCAAGGATGTGTCCCAAAGCAGAGAAGAAAGGTTGACTTTTAAAATTAGAATAAAAGTAATACTGGTTAACATTTATTGAGCAGTGATTATTTGCACAGAACTGTTTAAATGCTGAATGTACATTATCTCCTTAACTACTTATGAAAACCTTACAAGGTAGATATCATCATTCCCACTTCCCCTACAAAGAAAGTGAAACCAAAATAAATTAATTCCCCATGATGTCCTAGAAAGTGTGAGGTGGTGTCCAAACACAGACCTATCTGACTCAAGCTCATGCACTGAAAATTTCTGTTTCTGATTCATTGCTCAGTGTCACAAGGTGTAAGAACACAATTCTAACTTTGTTTGAGTGGTAGAAGTTATGTTCTTAAAGCTAATATACTAACATATAATTTGAACACTCACAGCTTCTGAAACTGAAAATACACATTCTTCATCCAATGTTTGCTGTATAGTGTATGCTCAGAGGGGACTCTGAAAGTGGAAAGGGATAAATTCTTACTCCTAGGGCAATTCCTTCTAATGAGGAGAAATCCCTTGATTTCCTTGGGTGGGGTACACAAACAGAGAAAGATATTAAATAAGGCTTATTTTTATAATTTTATTTCAAGGAGAAAAAAAAATCTCTTCTACTATGCCACCTCTTTTGTGAATATTGGAGTGGTGTATAAACCCTGAACTTACGCCTCTCTCCTGAGCCAACTCTAACCACACTAAGCCCTATCACCATGAGGAGGTGATAGGGCTTTTTTAAATAACTTTTTGAGAAACAAAAGTTATTAAACTGAAGAGAAATGTTATCTCAATCATCATTCTGGTGCTAAATCCAAAAGATTCTTTTCAGACTTTTTCACTTCTCTGTAGAATATGAAGCTGCTCCTCATCCCTTCTAGTCGTTCTCACCTCCCTTTGTTTTATTGACTATAGTCATTTAATAAATCTACATGCTTTTCACATACTTTTCACAGGCTCCTCTCCTCTACCCACCCTCTAAATGTTGGAGCTTCTTTGCTCATCTTCTCCTTTCTGTTTCTTCACACTGTCCCTAAAAGGTCTCTTCCTCTCTACTGACTTGAACTACCACCTCTATGCTGATGAGTTCCAGAAGCATATCTTTAGCTTGGACCTCTCTGCAGAGCTCCAGATACATATGTACTATCCTAAACCTCCCTCTCTGGGTGTCCTGTAGAGGTACCCCATCATTTTCACAATAAACTGTTCCTCCTGTATAGCCATTCGTTTGATCAAACACTCAGTCGAGACAGAAAATTAGTTATTACCTTTGAGGGTGTTTTCTTCTTTATTCATCTCCTCTTCACATTCAATTCAACCAGTAAATTCAGTAAATTCTGTTCTAAGTATTCCTCAAATCTTCTCTTCCTCTTCATCCTAATGATCACTGTCTTATTTCAGGAGTCATCTTTTCTTGCATGGACCAGTTTTTAACAGAAAACTCTGGTGTCCCTGCCTCCAGTCTTGGTCACTTCCAAATCTGATCTGCACATGGCCTCCAAAGTGATATTTCTAAAATTCAGATTTAATCATATTACTCGTATTCATAAAATCATCAACATCTTCCCATTGATTTATAGAAAAATTCAATCTGTTAAGGGTGCTATAAATGATGCCATACAAGGCTCCTACCCTTTACTCTCATCCTCAATCACTCCCGTATTTTCACTCTAGGTCCCAACTTTACAAAAATGATGTGTTGTTTCCAGAATGTGCACACTCCCTGCCCAATGACTGAAATATGGCTGCCCTCCATCACTGTGGGTTGCCTGTTACTCCCCCACCACAATTACCTTCTCCAGAATGCCTTGTCTCATCCTGTCAACCCAGCTTATGTGCCTTCTCTATAGCCTCTTAGAGTCTATACTTTCTTTCATTGTAACCTGCTCGGTTTATTACTAACAGGTTTACCAGTATCATTAGAATCTCAGTCACTTAAAGGTAAATAATGGTATCTGGAAGCAGTAGAATATATTAATTAAGAGAAGCAGATTTGGAACAAAATAAACTTGGATTTGACTCCCGAAACATCCACTTACTTAATAATTGTTTATGTGCAGAGGGGGCCAGGTAGGTTCATGTCTCTGAACTCTAGCCTCTGTATCTATAAAATATACCCGATCATACCTTCTTCTGAGTGTTTTTTTTTTTTTAGGATTAAAATGAAATAGTACATAGTAAGACCTTGACATAGTACTTGAAGCATGTTAAAATGATATTGTCTTATCCCATTTTGCCCAACATGTAGCCACCTAGCTACTACATCGTAAGTATTTAGAAAGTACATACATTTGTTACCAGTGCCCCATGATAGCAGTGCCTGATGAAGTCATAATGCAATGGAGAGCAAATAGAACAAGTGGAGTCTTCTGAATCCTAATGCACTTTACTGATTCTAGAAAGAATAAATGAGAGGCTATGCAAAATCTCAAGCTCAGCTAAGGAATATATTTTGTTGAAGGTTTGTGCTTCCATTTTATGGTGATTGGAAAGGGACTGAGCTAGAAAGAAACTGAGCTAGAAAGGAGCTCAGTTCCTCTCCAATCATCACAAAAATTTACATTCCATAGTATGCAACATCTTGTCAGGAAAAACAAATATAATCCTTCACATGCAATCTTTGCTCACAATTATGAGATACTGTCTTTATGGGTCTAAATCAGAAATACTGTCTTCTTACAGACTCTTGATGTGATCTGTGCTCATCCTTAATCCTTGGTAAAGTTCCAAAATGGCTCTGGATCCTACTGACATCTGTTACTAAGGATAATGCATGAAGGAGATGAAGATATCTGTTCTCAATAAACAGAGAAAACATTACTAAAGAAAATGTAGATCAATTTCAGATCTCCTTATCCATAGATAAGGAAATGCAAGTTATTAGAGACCTATGAAAAATTGCTGTTCAGACATAAAGATGCATCTTTTTATTTCAGATCTTTACCACTTAAGTTTAGCCTAGTATTTTTTAAGGCCAATGAAACAGTTGGTGAAAAAGAATAAATGCATTTGTGATCTCCAGTGTGTTCTCTCCATTCTAGCAAAAAAAAAAAAATTCCAAAAACACTTGTTCATACAGCTACAAGTTTGAGGCTTTTCATAGGAAATAAGATTTGAGGTCTAGACTAATTGATTTTATAGCTTCACAACTGAATTTTGTAATGTAGCCACAGGTCCATACACAGCAGAAGCTTAGATTAATCCTTTCCAAAAATAAAAGGAAAAAATCCATGTGAATCACTTCTAAATGCCTCTGTATTGCAAATGAATGATGTTTGGGTGTGCATTTATACTACTTGTCTAAGATAAGACCTATTTAACAAGATATAGTTTATACCTCATTAAAGCAACATCTACTTCTCTTGCTTGGTTACTGGTCTTTCACAGCCAGTCCAATTGGCCAATATAAAATACACTTCCATTCTGAAACCTAAGTTCCACAAGAGAAAGAACATTTTTCTTTTTAAGTAGATGTATTTCATTATCTTTAAGAGTTTATATTATATACATGACATTACCCCCATTTAATTTTTGTGCTGGTCAGGGATTATTCAGTGATGAAAAAAGTTTTCCCAAATGAGGGCAAATAAAAACATTTTTGCTGGAAGACTATAAAGGACAACTTCATAGACATTCAAAAGTGAAAAATAAAATACACCCAGACCTCTTATAAATATATTGGGAACTGGAAAATCAGAAACTGAGATCATCTCTCTTAATTCACATGATTTCTCATCTCCTTCTCACTAGTACACTTTACCTCCTGATTTCTGGTCCAATCCATTGAACCCATTTTTTTCACTCAATGTGAGTAAATGTCATATAAAAGGTTGCAGGAAGATGCTGCTTCAGGCCATTTTCTCTAAAAGAGACTTGTAAGTACAGAGGTCATTGAAGTTTCATGAACTTCTTTATCCTTTTTGATCAAGTAGCAGATTACCTCTAACTAGTCCACAGCTTCCACATGGAAGATGGACAAACATATAGAAATGGGGAAGAAAGAAGAACCAACACACTTGTCAGCAAATTCAACCTAAGTCAGCCTCTTTTCAATGGGCTCATGGGAAATGAAGCATTTCCTGGGACACAGAGGAGGGAGAGAAAAATCTCCCATTATTGGGGATTGAACCATAAGAAAATGTTGTTTCATGGCCCCAAATGGCCAAATACCAACATATTATGTGATCCAACTAAATCACAATGGTATAATCAAACAAGTTATTCTGATTATTACCAATAGAGACACTAAAATTTTGGCTGTGTATTAAACCCTCTTGCTTTTCACATCTTCTCAATGTATTTATTTTATAGCACATCTGGAACAATCCTTTTATTTATTAATGAAGATCGTCTCAATTGCCAAAGTCTATATTTTTCTTCCACTTAATGAAAAATATCCAAAGTTGCTGGTTATGGGCCCATCAGAGATTATTTTCTCTTAATCATATTTCATTTAAAAAAAACTAGTCAGTTCATTTTTCTAAAAAAAAAATGCATGTTCAGAAAAAAATACAATCACTGAAAGCCCAAATTTCCAGTACAATTTAATAACAAAAAAGGACGGAGTGGAGTAGGATAGTCACATGGTTCCTGTTATCCACCCCCAAGCTTAAGAAACAGGGAGGTCTAAAATGTAGTGTGGAAGAGTAAAAACAGCATGACCTGCTTTCAGTTCCAAGTTCTTCCTTCTACTGATTGTGCAGTCTTGGGCATGCTGATGAATCAAATCAACCTCTCTGGCTGCACATGGAAATTGAGGAATGAAAATACTTCTGAGGTAGGGTTGATGTGAGCATTGGTTGAGACAATGCCTTCATTTGTTGAGTTTCTGTTATGTGCCAGCACTTTACTACAACAGAGATGCAATAGTGAAGGAAAAGAGAAACACAAGCCCTTTAAGACTTCTTGGCATTTCTGATCTGACAGGTGGACACAGACAATAATCAAAGGATTATATGAATAAATCCCAATTATGGTAAATTCTCTGAAAGAGAATAGTGTCCTGAGAATGAGGGGTGGGAGGGAGAGGGGCAAGTAAACAGAACAGATTGTATGGCCAGAAAGCATATGATTGGACCAAGGAGAACACAAAAGACCTGTGTAGCTAAATGAGGAGAAGCTAGATGTGAAATGGGGCGTAGAAATTAGGGTCCAGAAATTAAAACTTTACCGTAGATTTTCTGGGACAATAATTTTTGAACTTTACTCAATAAAATGACAAACAATTCAATATTTTTAAAGAGTAATGATACGATGAGGCTTGAAATTCAAAATGCCAGCCTTGCTACAGTGCAGATAAGAAATTAGAAAAGGGTCGAAAGGATGCAGGAAGCTAATCTATTGATCCAGGTGAGGGACATGGCAACCTTGAATCATGTACTGGAAAAATGATGTCTTACTCTCTAGATTCCTCCTCTCTGAGCAGGGCGTCTCCGAAAGAAAGGCAGCAGCCCCAGTCAGTGGCTTACTGATAAAACTTCCATCTCCTTGGGACAGAGCACCTGGGGGAAGGGACAGCTATGGGGGCAGCCTCAGCAGACTTAAATGTTTCTGCCTGCCAGCTCCAAAGAGAGCAGCGGATCTCCCAGCACAGCACTCAAGCTCTGCTAAGGGACAGACTGCCTCCTCAAGTGGGTCCCTGACCCTCGTGCCTCCTGACTGGGAGACACCTCCCAGCAGGGGTCAACAGACATGTCATACAGCAGAGCTCTGGCTGGCATCCAGTGGGTGCCCCTCTGGGAGGAAGCTTCCAGAGGAAGGAACAGGCAGCAATCTAGGCTGTTCTGCAGCCTCTGCAGGAGATACCCAGGAAACAGGGTCTGGAATAGACCTCCAGCAAACTCCAGCAGACCTGCAGTAGAGGGGCCTGACTGTTAAAAGGAAAACTAACAAACAGAAAGGAAGAACATCAACATCAACAAAAAAGATGTCCAAACGAAACCCCATCCGAAGGTCACCAACATCAAAGAACAAAGGTAGATGAATAAATGAAGATGAAGAAAAACCAGGCCAAAAAGGCTGAAAATTCCAAAAACCAGAACACCTGTTTTCCTCCAAACGATCACAACTCTTCGCCAGCAAGAGAACAAAACTGGACGGAGAATGAGTTTGATGAATTGACAGAAGTAGGCTTCAGAAGGTAGGTAATAACAAACTCTACTGAGCTAAAGGAGCATGTTCTAACCCAATGCAAGGAAGCTAAGAACCTTGAAAAATGGTTACAGGAATTGCTAACTAGAATAACCAGTTTAGAGAAGAACATAAATGACCTGATGGAGCTGCAAAACACAGCACGAGAACTTCGTGAAGCATATACAAGTATCAATACCTGAATCAATCAAGCAGAAGAAAGGATATCAAAGATTGAAGATCAACTTAATGAAATAAAGCGTGAAGACAAGATTAGAGAAAAAAGAATGAAAAGGAAAGAACAAAGCCTCCAAGAAATATGGAACTATGTGAAAAGACCAAACCTGTGTTTGATTGGTGTACCTGAAAGTGACTGGGAGAATGGAACCAAGTTGGAAAACACTCTTCAGGATATGATCCAGGAGAACTTCCCCAACCTAGCGAGACAGGCTGACATTCAAATTCAGGAAATACAGAGAACACCACAAAGATAAGTCTTGAAAGAGCAACCCCCAAGACAAATAATCATCAGATTCACCAAGGTTGAAATGAAGGAAAAAATGTTAAGGGCAGCAAGAGAGAAAGGTCGGGTTACACACAAAAAGAAGCCCATCAGACTAACAGTGAATCTCTTGGCAGAAACCCTACAAGCCAGAAGAGAGTGGGGACCAATAGTCACCATTCTTAAAGAAAAGAATTTTCAACCCAGAATAGCAGATCCAGCCAAACTAAGCTTCATAAGTGAAGGAGAAATAAAATTCTTTACACACAAGCAAATGCTGAGAGATTTTGTCACCACCAGGCCTGCCTTACAATAGCTCCTGAAAAAAGCACTAAATATGGAAAAGAAAAACCACACCAGCCCCTGTAAAAACATACCAAATTGTAAAAACCATCGACACTATAAAGAAACTGCATCAACTAACGGGCAAAATAACCAGCTAGCATCATAATGATAGGATCAAATTCACACATAAAAATATTAACCTTAAATGCAAATGGGCAGAATGCTCCAATTAAAAGACACAGTCTGGCAAATCTGATACGGAGTCAAGCCCATCAGTGTGCTGTATTCAGGAGACCCATCTCAAGTGCAAAGACATACATAGGCTCAAAATAAAGGGAGGGAGGAATATTTACCAAGCAAATGGAAAGCAAAAAAACAAAACAAAACAAAACAAACAGGGTTTGCAATCCTAGTCTCTAATAAAATAGACTTTAAACCAACAAAGATCAAAAAAGACAAAGAAGGGCATTACATAATAGTAAAGGGATGAATGCAACAAGAAGAGCTATCTATCCTAAATATATAGACGCCCAATACAGGAGCACCCAGAGTCATAAAGCAAGTTCTTAGAGACCTATAAAGAGACCTAGACTCCCACACAATAATAGTGGAAGACTTTAACACTCCACTGTCAATATTAGACAGATCAATGAGACAGAAAATTAACAAGGATATCCAAGACTTGAACTCGGCTCTGGACCAAGTGGACCTAATAGACGTCTATAGAACTCTCCACCCCAAAGCAACAAAATATACATTCTTCTCAGCACTACATCGCACTTATTCTAAAAGTGACCACATAATTGGAAGTAAAACACTCTTCAGCTAATGCAAAAGAACAGAAATCATAACAAACAGTCTCTCAGACCACAGTGCAATCAAATTAGAACTCAGGATAAAGAAACTCACTCTAAACCTCACAACTACATGGAAACTAAACAATCTGCTCCTGAATGACTACTGGGTACATAACAAAATTAAGGCAGAAATAAATAAGTTCTTTGAAACCAATGAGAACAAAGATACAATGTACCAGAATCTCTGGAACACAGCTAAAGCAGTGTTTACAGGGAAATTTATAGCACTAAATGCCCACAGGAGAAAGTGGGAAAGATCTAAAATTGACACCCTAACATCACAATTAAAAGAACTAGAGAAGCAAGAGCAAACCAATTTAAAAGCTAGCAGAAGACAAGAAATAACTGAGATCAGAGCAGAACTGAAGGAGATAGAGACACGAAAAACCCTTCAAAAAATCAATGAATCCAGGAGCTAGTTTTTTGAAAACACTAACAAAATAGATAGACCTCTAGCCAGATTAATAAAGAAGAAAAGAGGAACAATCAAATAGACACAACAAAAAATGATAAAGGGAAGATCACCACTGATCCCAGAGAAATACAAACTAACATCAGAGAATACCATAAACACCTCTATGCAAATAAATTAGAAAATCTAGAAGAAATGGATAAATTCCTGGACATATACACCCTCCCAAGATGAAACCAGGAAGAAGTCAAATCCCTAATAGACCAATAACAAGTTCTGAAATTGAGGCAGTGATTAATAGCCTAACAACCAGAAAAAGGCCCAGGACCAGATGGATTCACAGCCAAATTCTACCAGAGGTACAAAGAGGAGCTGGTACCATTCCTTCTAAAACTATTCCAAACAACAGAAAAACAGAGAATCCTCCCTAACTCATTTTATGAGGCCAGCATCATCCTGATTCAAAAAACCTGGCAGAGACACAACAACAAAAGGAAAATTTCAGGCCAATATACCTGATGAACATCGATGCAAAAATCCTCAATAAAATACTACCAAACTGAATCCAGCAGCACACCAAAAAGCTTATCCACCATGATCAAGTGGGCTTCATCCCTGGGATGCAAGTCTGGTTCAACATCTGCAAATCAATAAACATAATCCATTACATAAACAGAACCAATGACAAAAACCACATGATAATCTCAACAGATGCAGAAAAGGCCTTCAATAAAATTCAATACCTCTTCATGATAAAACTCTCAGTAAACTAGGTATTGATGAAACATATCTCAAAATAATAAGAGTTATTTATGACAAACCCACAGACAATGTCATCCCGAATGGGCAAAAGCTGAAAGTGTTCCCTTTGAAAACCAGCACAAGACAAGGATGCCCTCTCACCACTCTTATTCAACTCAGTATTGGAAGTTCTGGCCAGGGCAATCAGGCAAGAAAATGAAATAAAGGGTATTCAAATAGGAAAAGAGGAAGTCAGATAGTCTCTGTTTGCAGATGACATGATTGTATGTTTAGAAAACCCTATCATCTCAGCCCCAAATCTCCTTAAGCTAACAAACAAGCAACTTCAGCAAAGTCTCAGAATACAAAATCAACGTGCAAAAATCACAAGCATTCCTATACACCAATAATAGACAGAGAGCCAAATCATGAGTGAACTCCTATTCACAATTGCTACAAAGAATAAAATACCTAGGAATACAACTTAAAAGGGATGTGAAGGACCTCTTCAAGGAGAACTACAAACCACTGCTCAAGGAAATAAGAGAGTACACAAACAAATGGAAGAACATTCCATGCTCATGGATAGGAAGAATCAATATTGTAAAAATGGGCATACTGCCCAAAGTAATTTATAGATTCAATGCTATCCCCATCAAACTACCATTGACTTTGCTCACAGAATTAGAAAAAAAAACTTTAAATATCATATGGAACCAAGAAAGAGCTGGTATAGCCAAGACAATCCTAAGCAAAATGAACAAAGCTGGAGGCATCATGCTACCTGACTTCAAATTATACTACGAGGCCACAGTAACCAAAACAACATGGTACTGTACCAAAACAGATATTTAGACCAACAAAACAGAACAGAGGCCTCAGAAATAACGCCACATGTCTACAACCATCTGATCTTTGAAAAACCTGACAAAAAGAAGCAATGGGGAAATGATTCCCTATTTAATAAATGCTGTTGGGAAAACTGGCTAGCCATATGCAGAAAAGTGAAACTGAACCCCTTACTTACAACTTATACAAAAATTAACTCAAGGTGGATTAAGGACTTAAACGTAAGGCCTAAAACCATAAAAACCCTAGAAGAAAATCTAGGCAATACCATTCAGGACAAAGGCACGGGCAAAGTCTTCATGACTAAAACACCAAAAGCAATGGCAACAAAAGCCAAAATTGACAAACGGTATCTAATTAAACTAAAGAGCTTCTGCACAGCAAAAGAAACTATCATCAGAGTGAACAGACAACTTGCAGAATGAGAGAGAATTTTTGCAATCTATCCATCTGACAAAAGGCTAATATCCAGAATCTACAAGGAACTTAGGCAAATTTGCGAGAAAAAAAAAAAACAACCCCATCAAAAAGTGGGCAAAGGATATGAACAAACACTTCTCAAAAGAAGACATTTATGTGGCCAACAAACATAAGAAAAAAACTCATCATCACTGGTCATTAGAGAAAGGCAAATCAAAACCACAATGAGATACTATCTCATGCCACTTAGAATGGTGATAATTAAAAAGTCAGGAAACAACAGATGCTGGAAAGGATGTGGAGAAATAGGAGCGCTTTCACACTGTTGGTGGGAATGTAAATTAGTTCAACCATTGTGGAAGACAGTGTGGCGATTCCTCAAGGATCTAGAACTAGAAATACCATTTCACCCAGCAATCCCATTACTAGGTATATATCCAAAGGATTATAAATCATTCTACTATAAAAACACCTGCACATGTATGTTTATTGCAGCACTGTTCACAATAGCAAAGTCTTGGAACCAAACCAAATGCCCATCAATGATGGACTGGATAAAGAAAATGTGGCACATATACACCATGGAACACTAAGCAGCCATAAAAAAGGATCAGTTCATATCCTTTGCAGGGACATGGATGAAGCTGGAAACCACCATTCTCAGGAAACTAACACAAGAACAGAAAACCAAACACCACATGTTCTCACTCATAAGTGGGAGTTGAACAATTAGAACACATGGACATAGGGAGGGGAACATTACACACCGGGGCCTGTCGGGGGTTGGGGGCCTAGGTGAGGGATAGCATTAGGAGAAATACCTAATGTCGATGATGGGTTGATAGGTGCAGCAAACCACCATGGCATGTGTATACCTAGGTAACAAACCTGCACATTCTGCACATGTATCCCAGAACTTAAAGTATAAAAAAAAGGCCTGGCGTGGTGGCTCACACCTGTAATCCCAGCACTTTGGGAGGCTGAGGCGGGTGGATCATGTGGTCAGGAGATTGAGACCATCCTGGCCAACATGGTGAAACCTTGTCTGTACTAAAAAAAAGAAAAAAGAAAAAAGAAAAATTAGCCAGGCTTGGTGGCATGCACCTGTAGTCCCAGCTACTCAGGAGGCTGAGGCAGGAGAATCGCTTGAACCCAGGAGGCAGAGGTTGCAGTGAGCTGAGATCATGCCACTGTACTCCAACCTGGGCAACAGAGGGAGACTCTGTCTCAAAAAAAAAAAAAATCCTCAATATATTACTCATCTTTTAACATCTTTTACTCTTCCTTTTTTAAAAAAAAATCTCTATCTCTCTATGTATGCTATAGAGAAAACATTTTTGTATTTCCTTCAAATTCCCTAATTCTCTTTTTAATTATGCCCAGTCAAGTTATTATCCTGTTGAATTTATTAGATCAACTATAAGAAAAAAAAACTAATGTATTGATGTGTTGGGTTGAATGTGGAGAATAAAGGGAAGGGATAAGAGCTAACTCAAAAGTTTCAGGCTTTGGAACTAGATACAAGTTTGAAACACTGAAAAAGAACAAGATGTGTGATAGGAGGCCTTGGAGATTGTGATATTTTGGGGGACATGTTGAAAATGGGATGTTTCTGAGACATACAAGTGGAAGAATCAACCAGGCACCTAATTATTCATGTCTGGAGCTCAGTAGGAAAGCCAGCACTACAAAGACAAATTGTGAATTCTATGATGTCTTTGTATTAACTCAGGCTGTACATGAAAGTGTAAAGAGATTTCCTAGCAGGGAGAGCATAGAGTGTGAAGAGGAGAGACAAAGATTGAGCTCGACCCAGGAAAGGACGGAATGTGCAAAGGAGTCAGAGACAGAGCATCTCAGGCAGTAAGAGCAAACCAAAAAACAATCATGATAAAAATTCATTATTTTAAAAAGGAGACTGTGGCTACAACCACCACTAACATTTCTTCCTCTGCTGTCTCCACATTGTAAAAGGAACATAAACTCAGATTGCCCCAGAGCCGTGGTGGGCAGTTCAGGAGTGCCAAGCTGGGCTCTACAGCCAGCACTCAAGTGGGAGAGGAGCCTACACTCAGAGTATTGAGAGGGGCATGGCTGCAACTGTGAGAAAATATAAGGAAGCCACATGACTGAGCAAGAGCCCACCAACTGATCAATACACCTAAGTACCACCTACTCGATCACACCTCAAGGCTTCAACACCAAAAATACCTCATTAACAGACTCCTTTGAGAAACCAAAGACAAAAAGTCAGCTACAAATAAAGACCCTGCACAAAGGCTCAGCTCCATGAAAACACACAGAAAAGAAGTTTATTGACTGTATCAATCTACACTACAGTTAAAGGAACACCCACATGCAGAGATGAGAAAGAACCAATGCAAGAATACTGGTAACCGGTAACTCAAATGGTCAGAGTGTCATATGTCCTCCAGATGATTGCACCTGTTCTCCAGCAAGGGTTCTTAACCCTGTTGAGCTGGCTGGAATGACAGTATTCAGAACATAAATAGAAATGAAGATCATCGAGATTCAGGAGAGTGGCAAAGCCCAATCCAAGGAAACTAAAAACCACAATAAAATGATACAGAAGATGAAAGATGAAATAGCCAGTATATATAAGAACCTGAGAGAGCTGACAGAGCTGAGAAACACACTAAAAGAATTTCACAACACAATTACAAGTATTAATAGCAGAACAGACCAAGCTAAAGAAAGAAAATTAGAACTTGAAGCCTGGTTCTCTGAAATAAGACAGTCAGACAAAAATAAAGAAAAAACAATGAAAAGGAATGCACAAAACCTCCAAGAAATATGGAATCGTGTAAAGAGGCCAAATATATGAATCACTGGCATCCCTAAAAGGGACGAGGGGAAAGCAAACAACTTAAAAAACATATTTTAGGATATCGTCTATGCAAACTACCTCACCTTGCTAGAGAGGCCAAAAGTCAAACTCAGGAAATACAGAGAACCCCTGCAAGATTCTCCCCAACACACATAATCATCAGAATTTTCCAAGGTTGAAATGAAAGGCAGAATGATAAAGACAGCTAGAGAGAAAGGGCAGGTCACCTGCAAAAAGAGAACACCATCAGGATAACAGCAAATCTCTCAGCTGTAACCCTACAAGCAAGAAGAGATTGGGAGCCTATATTCAACATTTTTAAGGAAGAAATCTTCAACCAAGAATTTCACATCAAGCCAAACTAAGCTCCCTAAGCAAAGGAGAAGTAAGATCCTTTTCAGATAAGCAAATGATAAGAGAGTTTATTACCACCAGACCTGCCTTACAAGAGATCTTGAAAGCACTAAATATAGAAAGAAAAGACCACTACCGGCCAATACAAAAACACTTAAATACACAGACCAGTAACACTATAAAGCACAATACAAACAAACCAGCATAGTGACCAGCTAACAACACAATGAAAAGATCAAAACCACACATGTCAATACTAACCCTGAATATAAACAGGCTAAATGGCTCCATTTAAACGGTACAGAATGGCAAGCTGGATAAAAAGGCAAAACTCAATGGTATGCTGCAAGAGACCAATCTCACACATAATGACACCCATAGGCTCAAAATAAAAATAAAAAAATGGAGGCAAATCTACCAAGCAAGTGGAAATCAGAAAAAATCAGGGGTTGAAATCCTAATCTTAGACAAAACAGACTTTAAATCAATAAGGCTTTTAAAAAAAAGACAAAGAAGGGCATTACATAATGTAAAGAGTTCAATTCAACAAGAGTTCAATTCAACAATTTAACTATCCTAAATACATGTGCACCCAACATAGGGGCATCCAGATTAATAAAGCAAGTTCTTAGAGTCATACAAAGAGACTTAGACTCCCACACAATAATAGAGACTTCAACATTCCACTGAAAGTATTAGACAAATCATTGAGGCAGAAAATTAACAAAGATATTCATGACCTGAACTCAACATTGGACCAAATGGATCTGCTAGACCTGTACAGAACTTTCCACCCAAAAACAACAGAATATACATTCTTCTCATCGCCACATGGCACACACGCTAAAATTGACCACATAATTGGACATAAAACAATCCTCAGCAAATGCAAAAAAAATTATACCAAACACACTCTTGGACCACAGTGCAATAAATATAGAAGTCAAGACTAAAAAAAAAATTGCCCCAAACCATGTAATTACATGGAAATTAAACAACATGTTCCTGAATGACTTTTGGGTACATAATGAAATTAAGTCAGATGTCAAGAAATTATTTGAAACTAATGAGAACAAAGCTACAACATACCGGAATATCTGGGATACAGCTAAGGCAGTGTAAAGAGGGAAGTTTATAGCACTAAACACCCATGAAAAAAAGTTAGAAAGATTTCAAATTAACAAGCTAACATCACAGATGAAAGAATTAGAGAAGCAAGAGCAAATCAATCCCAAAGTTAGCAGAAGACAAGAAATAACAAAAATCAGACCTAAACTGAAGGAAATTGAAACCAAAAAACCCTTAAAAGATCAATGAATCCAGGAACTGGAATTTTGAAAAAATTACTAACATAGAGCACTAGCTAGACTAATAAAGAAAAAAAGAGAATAAATCCAAATAAACACAATTAGAAATGATGGAAAGGATACACCACTGGCCCCACAGAAATAAAGATAACCATCAGAAACTACTGCAAACACCTCTACACACACACACTAGAAAACCTAGAAGATATGGATAAATCCCTGGAAACATATGCTTTCCCAAGGCTGAGCCAGAAAGAAATCGATTCCCTGCACAAACCAATAATGAGCTCTGAAACTGAATGAATAATAAATAGCCTACCAAGAAAAATAAAAAGGACAAGATGGATTCACAGTAGAATTCTACCAGATGTACAGAGAGAGCTGGTACCATTCCTACTGAAACTATCACCAAAAATTGAGGAAAGGGGACTCCTCCCCAACTCATTCCATGAGGCTAGCATTATCCTGATACCAAAACCTGGCAGAGACACAACGAAAAAAGAAAACTTCAGGCCAATATCCTTGATGAACATTGATGCAAAACCAACATCCTTGATGAACACTGATGCAAAAATCCTCAACAAAATACTTGTAAACAAAACGCAGCAGCACATCAAAAAGCTAGTCTACCACAGTCAAGTAAACTTCATCCTTGGGATGCAAAGTTGGTTCAATGTACACAAACCAATAAATCTAATTCATCACATAAACAGAACTAAAGGAAACAAACATGATTATCTCCATAGATGCAGTAAAAGTTTTTGATAAAATTCAACATCTCTTCGTGTTAAAAACTCTCAATTCACTAAATATTGAAGGAATATACCTCAAAATAATAAGAGCCACCTACAACAAACCCACAAACGACAGCATACTGAACAGGGAAAAGCTGAAATCATTCCCCTGGAAAACTGGCACAACACAAGAACGCCCTCCCTCACCACTCCTGTTCAACATATTATTGGAAGGTCTGGCCAGAACAATCAGGCAAGAGAAAGAAATAAAGCATATTTAAATAGGAAGAGAAGAATTAAAAGTATCCGTTTTTGCAAATGACATGTTTTTATATCTAGAAAACCCCATAGTCTCAGCCTAAAATCTCCTTCAAATGATAAACAACTTCAGCAATGTTGCAGGATACAAAATCAATGTACAAAAATCACTAGCATTTCTATACACCAACAACAGCCTAGCTGAGAGCCAAATCAGGAATTGAATCCCATTCACAATTACCACAAAAAGAATAAAATATCTAGGAATACAGCAAACCATGGAGGTGAAAGATCTCTACAATGGGAATTCCAAAGTGCTGCTCAAAGAAATCAGTGATGACACACACAAAAAATATGAAAACATCCCATGGTCATGGACAGGAAGAATCAATATCATTAAAATGGCCATACTGCCCAAAGCAATTTACAGATTCAACGCCATTCCTGTCAAACTACCAGTGACATTCTTCACAGAACTAAGAAAAAAAAACTATTTTAAAATTTATATGGAACCAAAAGAGGGCCCAAATGGCCAAGGCAATCCTAAATGAAAAGAACAAAACTGGAGGCATCATGTTACCCAACTCCAAACTATACTATGTGGCTACAATAACCAAAACAGTATGGTACTGGTACAAAAACAGACACATAGACCAATGGAACAGAATAGAGAGCCCAGAAACAAGCCCACACACCTATGACTGTCTTTGACAAAGCTGACAAAAACAAGCAATGGGGAAAGGACTCCCTATTAAATAAATGGTGCTGGGATAACAGGCTAGTCATAAGCAGAAGATTGAAACTGGACTCCTTTTTTACATCATATACAAAAATCAACTCAAGATAAATTAAAGATTTAAATGTAGAACCCAAAAACTATAAAAACCCTAGACAACTTAGGCAATACCATCCTGGACACAGGAATGGGCAAAGATTTTATGACAAAGACAGTAAAAGCAATCATAACAAAAGCAAAAATTAACAAATGGGATCTAATTAAACTTAAGAGCTTCTGTACAGCAAAAGAAACTATCAACAGAGTAAACAGACAACCTACAGAATGGGAGAAAATATTTGCAAACTATGCATCTGGCAAAGGTCTAATATCCAACATCTGTAAGGAACTTAAACAAATTTACGGAAAAAAGCAAACAATCCCATTGAAAAGTGGACAAAAGACATAAACAGGTATTTTTCTAGAAAAGACATACATGCAGCCAAAAAGCATATTTTAAAAAGCTCAGTATTGCTGATCATTAGAGAAATGCAAATTAAAACCACAATGAGATATTGTCTCACACCAGTCAGAATGGTTATTATAAAAAAGTCGAAAACTTACAGATGCTGGCAAGGATGTGAAGAAAAAGGAACACTTATACACTATTGGTGGTAACGTAAATTAGCGCAACCATTGTGGAAAGCAATACGGTGGTTTCTCAAAGAGCTAAAAGCAGAACCACTGTTGGACACAGCAATTCCATTACTGGGTATATACCCAGAGGAATATAAATCATTCTACCATAAAGACACACGCATGTAAATGTTCATTGCAGCACTATTCACAATAGCAAAGATATGGAATCAACCTAAATGCCCAACAATGACAGATTGGATCAAGAAGATGTAGTACACATACACCATGGAATACTATGCAGCTATAAAAGAGAATGAGATAATGTCTCTTGCAGAACATAGATGGAGCTGGAGGATATTATCCTAGGCAAACTAATGCAGGAACAGAAAACCAAATACCACATGCTCTCACTTATAAGTGGGAGCTAAATGAGGAGAACTCATGAACATAAAGGGAACAACAGACATTAGGGCCTATTTCAGGGTAGAGGGTGGGAAGAAGGAGAGGAGGAGAAAAAAATAGCTATTGGGTACTAGGCCTAGCACCTAGGTGATAAAATTATCTGTACAACAAACCCCCATGACACGAGAGCTTACCTATAAAACAAACCTGCACATGTACCCTCGAATCTAAATTAAAAGTTTAAATAGTAGAAAATCACAAAATTTAAAAAAAGAAAATAGCCATACTTACCATGCTTATGGATTTGCTGGTGTTCATACTTCTTAAGGGTAGAATATTTTAAACAATTGGGAGAGGAATGGGACCAGGTAGGAGCTTCCCTTTGGCATAGCTTCCATTCCATAGAAAAAGAAGAATCAAACAAGAAGGACAAAACACCCAATGAAGCGATCCATTGATGTGCTTTGTGTAAACGCAATTGAAAGCTTAGAATCCAAATATTTTATGAGCACAAAGTGTAAGATAATCACCAAACATGGACTAAGCCTTTGAACTTTGGATAAATATTTTTTAATCTTTGATAGACTTCCATCTACAGGCAGAAATAAAAACAAAAGTCAATTTGGTATTGATCAATTGCTAAGTTTTCACTGGAAATTTCAACTAAAGGTAACTCACTTTTATAAAAATATGAACAAATTAAAACCAAAATTAGTAGAAAGAGTGAAGTAATAAAGCTCAGAACAGAAATAAATGAAATAAAGATTTTTAAATAATTTATAAGATCAACAAAATAGTTATTTTTTGAAAAGATGAACAAAATTGACTAACATTTATATAGAATAACTAAGATAAAATTGAAAAGACTCAAATAAATAAAATCAGAGGTGAAAAAGAAGACATTTTGACCAACACTAAAGAAATACAAACGATCATAAGAAGGTATCATGAGTGGCTATATGTAAACAAAACTGAAAACATAGAAGAAATGAATAAATTTTGTTACACATACAACCTACTAAGGTTAAATTATCCTTTCTGATCCAAAAAAATAGAATATTAAGAGCAAAAATTATGTAGAATGTCTGGGACATTTTTCATTTGGATTAATTCACTTTGAATTAAAATAACAGCAACTAAAAGTCATCTGAGGATTCAGTGATAATTCAAATTGCATTTTAGTTCTAAAGCAATTAACTTTCAAAACTCTCAGTTTTAGAAGGAAACACTATCAAATGGACATGCTGCCTAGGATGGTGCCTTTAGACGAAGGGGCTGAGTAAACATTCGATGAATTAATACATGCATTTTGAAATTGATAGTTGCACAGACTATGTTTTGTAAACTGGAGTGTTATAATATGGGAGCTCAATGTATTCAGTTGAAATTCCTGACTTAGCTACGTACTGTTTGTATAAACTTGAACATTTACTTAATTTTGTTAAGCTGCAGGTCCTACTGTAAAAATATGGGTAAACATTTAAGTACCTCTCAGGATTTTTTGAGAAGTAAGTAGGTGGCCCACAATAAATAATTTGCATTGTTTTTGGTCAGCAGTAGGCTTTAAAAATCAAATACTATTATTAAATAGTAAAATTATGTAAATCTGTATGCTAAATATTAATTTCATGCTTCAGTTCATTTTATTTTGTAATATTTGGATTTTAATGTCTCAACTAGTCCCCAAAGGAGTGGAATGCAAAATTTGAAGTCTTCTTTGAGTAAATGAACTGTATAAATCTCAATGTCAAGTTTGTTTAAAAAATTGAATTGCTGTGTGACCGACAAATGTCTTGCAAATATCTTTTAGTCTTTCATTTTCCCATTTTCAGTGTTTTCACTCCTTCCTCTCTCCTCTCTGGCTCCATTTACACACATTTTAAGAAATAAAAGCAATATATTAAAAAATGAGGCTGTGTCCTGCAGGGATGGGTGCTGCTGAGATCAGGTAAAATGAGTAAAAGGGATGCCAAGCACTTTGCCAGACACATGTTGGTCATTCACCAACTGACGCAAAACTCAATGCCAAGTGGTTGAACGCTTAGCCACAGAACATACTGAGACTCTACTGCTGATCTTCCTGTGGTAAGACAGAAAGGGAAGCCCAAAGAAGAGAGTTACATGTTCCCTCCCTGTGAAATTCATCCCTTTTCAATAATCCCTCGGGGAACTGCCCAGCCCCTCATCTGTCCAGTTTTTGGTCAGGCATGACCTTCTTTAACATTTATAGAGATTTACTGTCTCAGATACTATTCTAAATGCTTAAGTGTATGAAATCATTTAACCTTTACCACAATCCCATGCAGAAGATCTAATTACTACCCCATTTTACAGATGAAGAAAATGAGGCACAGAGAGGTTAAGTTTCTTGCCCTGCATCACAGTGAAGTGGCAGAGCAGAGATTCAAACCTAGGCATTCTGATGCAAGGATTTGTGCTTTCATCATCTTACCATCTCTGCAAAGCCTTCACCAATTGCCTCAAGCATATTTTACTGTAATTCCTCCATACTCACTTGGAATACATTTGTTTTCATAAATGTCTAGAGCATCACTGTCCAATAGAAATAAAATGTGAGTGATGTGAGCCACATACATAATTTTGAATGTTCTAGTAGCCACATTTTAAAAAATTAAATGGAACAGGTGAAAATAATTTTAAAGCTATACTTTATTGAACCCAATTGTGATGTTTAGTTTTATGTACCAACCTGGCTACCCTATTGTGTCCAGTTGCTTGGTTGAACAAAAGCCTAGATGGCACAATAAAATATTTTTCAGATGTGATTAACAATTAAATCTGTATAGTAGATTACACTCCATATTGTGCATGGGCCACATCCAATCAGTTGAAGGCCTTAAGAGCTAAGACTGTAACATAGAGGCTGGTGTGGTGGCTCATGCCTGTAATCCCAACACTTTGAGAGGATGAGGCAGGAGGATCACTTATGCCCAGAAGTTCAAGACCAGTCTGGGCAACACAGTGAGACCCTCCCATCTCTAAAAAAAAATGTTTTAAATTAGCCAGGCATGGTGTCATGTGCCAGTTGTCCCAGCTATTCAGGAGGCTGAGGTGGCAGGATCACTTGAGCCTGGTAGGTTGAGGCTGTAGTGAGACATGATTGTGCCACTGCACTCAGCCTGGGCAAAAGAGTGAGATCCTATTTCAAAAAAAAAAAAAAAAAAGACTGTAACATAAAAAATTTACCTGTATTATCTTTGCTAGGACTTTGTATTAGTCCATTTTCACACTGCTATAAACAACTGCCTAAGACTGGGTTATTTATAAAGGAAAGAAGTTTAATTGACTCACAGTTCCACCTGGCTGGGGAGGCCTCAGGAAACTTACAATCATAGCAGAAGGTGAAGGGGAAGCAAGCACCTTCTTCACAAGGTAGCAGGGAACAGGTGTAGGGGACTGCCAAACACTTTTAAACCATCAGATCTAGTGAGAATTCATTCACTATCATGAAAATAGCATGGGGAAACTGCTCTTTGATTCAATCACCTCCCTCAACACAGAGGAATTACAATTTAAGATGAGATTTGGGTGGGGACACAGAGGAAATCCATATTATTCCACCACTGGCCCCTCCAAAATCTCATGTCCTTTTCAATTTCAAAACCAATCATGCCTTCCCAACAGTTTCCCAAAGTCTTAACTCATTCCAGCATTAACCCAAAAGTCCAAGTCCAAAGTCTCATCTGAGACAAGGCAAGTCTCTTCCACACAGGAGCCTGTAAAATCAAAAGCAAGTTAGTTACTTCCAAGATGCAATGGGGGTACAGTCATTCCTGTTCCAAATGCCAAAACAAAGGAGCCATAGGCCCCATGCATGTCCAAAACTCAGCAGGGCATTCATTCAATCTTGAAGCTTCAAAATAATTTCCTTTGACTCCACGTCTCACATCCAGGGCATGCTGATACAAGAAGTGGGCTCCCAGAACCTTGGGTAGCTCCACCCCTGTGGCTCTGCAGGATACAACCCCCACAGCTGCTTTCACGGGCTGGTGTTGAGTGCCTGTGGCTTTTCCAGGAGCACGGAGCAAGCTGTCAGTGGATCTACCTTTCTGGGGTCTGGAGGATGGTGGCCCTCTTGTTATAGCTCCACTAGGCAGTGCCCCAGTGAGAACTCTGTATGGGGGCTCCAACCCCACATTTCCCCTCTACATTGCCCTAGTATAAGTTCTCCATGAGGGCTCTGCCTCTGCAGCAAACTTCTATCTGGACATCCAGGTGTTTCCACACATCCTCTGAAATCTAGGCAGAGGTTCCCAAAGCTCAACCCTTGTCTTCTGTGCACCTGCAGGCCCAACACCACACGGAAGCTGCCAAGGCTTGGGGCTTGCACTCTGAAGCCACAGCCTGAGCTGTACCTTGGCCCCTTTTAGGCATGGCTGGAGCTGGAGAAGCTGGAATGCCGGTCACCATGTCCCAAGACTACACAGAGCAGCAGGGCCCTGGGCCTGGCCCATGCAATCATTTTTCCCTCCTCTCCTCTGGGCCTGTAATGGGAGAAGCTGCTGTGAAGATCTCTGACTTGCCCTGGAGACATTTTCCCCATTGTCCTGGCTCTTAACACTCAGCCTCTTGCTACTTATGGAAAATCCTGCAGCTGGATTGAATTTCTCCCCAGAAAGTGGGTTTTTCTTTTCTACCACATGGATAGGCTGCAAATTTGCCAAGCTTTTATGATCTGCTTCCCTTTTAAGCATAAATTCTGATTTCAGATCATCTCTACATGAACACATATGACTGTACGCATTCAGAAAAAGCCAGAATAAGCATCTTCAATGCTTTGCTGCTTAGAAATTTCTTCTGCCAGACACCCTAAATTACCTCTCTCAAGTTCAAAGTCCTACAGAACTCTAGGGCAGGGATAAAATGCTGCCAGTCTCTTTGCTAAAGCATAGCAAGAGTGACCTTTATTCCAGCTTCTAACAACTTCCTCATCTCCATCTGAGACCTCCTCAGCCTGAATTTTATTGTCCATATCACTATAATTTTGGTTAAAATCATTCAACAAGTATCTAGGAAGTTTCAACCTTTCCCACATCTTCCTGTCTTCTTCTGAGCCTTCCAAACTCTTCCAACCTCTGCCCGTTACCCAATTCCAAAGTCTCTTCTACATTTTCAAGTATCTTTATAGCAGTGCCTCAACTCCCAGCACCAATTTCCTATATTAGTCCATTTTCACACTGCTATAAAGAACTACCTGAAACTGGGAAATTTATGAAGGAAAGAGGCTTAACTGACTCACAGTTCTGCATGGTTAGGGAGGTCTCAGGAAACTTACAATCATGGTGGAAGGCAAAAGGGAAGCAAGCACCTTCTTCACAAGGCAACTGGAGAGAGTGGTGGGGGGAGCTGCCAAACACTTTTAAACCATCAGATCTAGTGAGGACTCACTCACTAACATGAGAATCGCATGGGGAAAACTGCCACCATGATCCAATCACCTCCCACCGGGTCCCTCCCTCAACATGTGGGGATTACAATTCAAGATGAGATTTGAATGAAGATACAGAGCCAAACCATGTCAGGCTCCCATAACAAAACAGCACAGACTGAGTGGTTTAAACAAGAGAAATGTATTTTCTCACAGTTTTGGAAACTGGAAGTTCAAGATCAAGGTATTGGCAGGTTTGGTTTCTCCTGTGGCTTTTTTTTTTTTTTTTTTTTTTGGCTTGCGGACAAGGCCTTTTCTCTGTTCAAGAACATCCCTGGTGTCCTATCATATTAGCCCCCCACCCTTACAGTCCCATTTAATCTTAATTGCCTCTTTAAAGGCTCTGTCTCCAAATACAATTCCACTGGGGGTTAGAACTTCAACATATGAATGTGGGGAAGAGACACAATTCAGTTCATAACATTGCCTGAGTTACCAGCCTGACTCATCTGCCCTGTGGATTTCTGACTCAAAACTGCAACATCAACTCTTACCTTAATCTCCAGGCTGCTGACACAGTCTACAAATATCAGAGTTGGCAGCCTCCATAATTACATGAGCCAATTCCTTAAAATAAATTCCTTTCTCCTCTCTCTCTCTGTCTCTCATTCTTTGTGTGTGTGTGTGTGTGTGTGTGTGTGTGTGTGTGTGTGTAGTATATATGTAACAGGATATTATGTATATACAGATGTATATACACCTACATATATACACACATATATTATGTGTATATACACATATGTATGTCTATGTATACATATGTATATATACATATACATGTGTTTACATATACATAAGTATATGGCACATACATGTGTGTTTACATATACAGAACATGTGTGCATTTACATATATGTATAATACACATGTTTTTGTATATACATAAATGTATATACATGTTTGTATGTGTATATATCCTATTACATATATAAATTAAATCATTTAATTATAATCTATTAGCTCCACTTCTCTGGAGAGCCCTGATACACCAGTATATCTTAAGTGTTATTATTCCTACATGTAATCAATATAAAAATTATTAATGAGATATTTTATGTTTTATGCATGCTATGTTTCTGAAATCTTGTTAGTATTTTGTGCTTATAGCACTTATCAGCTTGGACTGGCCACATCTCAAGTGCTGGATAATCACATGTGGCTAGTGGCCATCATATTGGGCAGTGAAGGTCTAGAGCAGACAGGCAAGGTGAAGCGGAAAGAAGAACAAAAATGAAGACAGACCAGGGTTTAAACTCCACCCTGTGACTGAAGCTCAGTGAATGCTAGCTATAATTTCTATGCTCCTAACTGGAGAACCTTCCTGAGCCTTGGTTTTCTCATACATAAATGAGGGATAATAGTACCTCCCTTAAAGAGCTGTTATAAAGATTCATTGGAAAGCCCCTCACAGAGTGCTTGGTAAAGTGTAGATGCTCTATTCTCACTCATAGGTGGGAATTGAACAATGAGATCACATGGACACAGGAAGGGGAATATCACACTCTGGGGACTGTGGTGGGGTCGGGGGAGGGGGGAGGGATAGCATTGGGAGATATACCTAATGCTAGATGACACATTAGTGGGTGCAGCGCACCAGCATGGCACATGTATACATATGTAACTAACCTGCACAATGTGCACATGTACCCTAAAACTTAGAGTATAATAAAAAAAAAAAAAAAAAAAAAAAAGTGTAGATGCTCAATAAATATCAGGCACTTTTCTTTTCCTCTTAGTCTTCATATCTGTTTTCCTACCTTCCCTCTTCAAGGAAAAAGTCTGCTTATTTTACCTTTGTTTCCCCAGCCTGGCCCACTGGTAGGTGCTCAGAAAGTCGTTGTAGAATTAATGAGTGGTCTTAAGTTCCTATAGTGGAATATATCCAATTGCTAATTTAGATTTTCCTTTAATAAATCATCCTTTAAAACACTTTGGCAAGACTTGCAAGTTGTGGAGCTGTTGACATTGTAGCTGGTGGTCCAGTGGAGAGATGGTCCAAGGTCTAGTTTGGGGATTGGAGGGAAGAGCCTGTTAAGGGAAAGGAAATGTGGCAGCATCACAAACAAAACAAACCAGATGAGATGAACCACAGGCATCTGTGTCATAAGATTACAACAAAATTTTTTAATTCAGTTACTGAAGATAAATTTGAAAACTGTTAATGAGATGTATCCTTATGAAAGGAAAAAAATAGGAAACACATTCACCCTGGGTCACAAAAATCTAGTTTAGATGAAAAGAATTTGCCCTGCCAGTGAGTACATTAAAGATGTGATTCATTTGCAAAAGTAAAAATTCCTGGTAATATGACATATTAAGAAGGCATCTGATGTATTAGTCTGGGTTGTCTAGAGAAATAGAACCAATAGGAGATATGGAAATATGATATATTATATGGAAATGGCTCACAAGAGTATAAAGCTGACAAATCCCAAGATCTGAAGTCAGCAAGTTGGAAACCTAGGAGAGCTAATGGTTCCAGTGCTCAGGCTGGCAGGCTTGAGACTCAGGGCAAACCAATGTTTCAGTTAGGGTCCAAAAGCAGGAAAAAAAAAATGTCCCCTCTCAAAGGCACTCAGGCAGAAAGAGCTTCCTTTAACTCATGGGAAGATGAGCCTTTGTCCGCTTCAGGTCTTCAACGAACCAAACCATGTGGGCCCACCCACATCATGGAGGGCAATCTGCTTTATTCAGTCTATCAGTTTAAATATTAATCTCATGCATCCAAAAACACCCTCACTGATATACCCAGAATAATGTTTGATCAAATGCCTGGGCACCCCATGGCCCAGTTAAGTTGACGTCTAAAATTAACCATTACACCTGATATATACTCATGACAGATTTCTTTCAGAGCTTCCCATGTCAGTAAAATGTGCTTGCAACAAATAGGTCTCCTTTTTCTCCCTACTTTGCTTCTTCTCAAGTGCATTATTTTCTTTCCCTCATCCTCATACAAGCTATTGGAGAAACACTTTGGAATGGGAACTAACATCTACAGCACACCACCACCCCATGCCATGCTTATTACCAGGTACTCATCACACTGTGTCCCCGCCAGAAGCTAGAGAACAGGAGAAGTCATCCAAGTGGCAACAACCTTGGGAAGCCATTGCAGCCCTAACTCTCTTGCTCAGCCTTGTCATTTCAAAAACTCAATCTCGTCAGGGTGTCAAATTCGGTCAAACTTGGGCATTATAATTCACAGAAACTCGATTCAAGATACTTCTGTACAAACAAACAAAAAGCCATCTAATTAATTACAACAAGAAATACAACTGCCAAGGGGGATCTCTAGCTAAAGCATCCCTTCCTTGTAAAATTATATCAGAAGTCAAATTAGAATTGAAATATTAGGTTAGGGCAAAAGTAATTGCAAGTAATTGCATTTTTTGCCTTTCAAAGTAATGGCAAAAACTGCCATTACTTTTGTACCAACCTAATGTTGATTACTTGAATTGAATCTAGAGTAAGTGGAAGGTTGATTTAAACAAGATGCTCAATTACACCAAGCGAAGAATGGCTGATGCTACAATTTCAACAATCATCAGACAGGAAAAAACTTGGAACCCAATTTTGCTAGATTTTTCTGCCATAATGTACCTCATAGATTCTTTGTTTTATTTTTTCATATGCCAGGTGAACCAACTCCCTATCTGTGTAACACATTATTTGTTTCAAAAATATTTAACAAGTTACAAGTCAAGTCTTACTGGCCCATAAACTATTTTATCTCATTAAGATGACCCATCTTGCTGCACTCAATTTCCATAAGCTTTCAAAGAAAATCTCACTGTTTGACTTTCTTTTCATTCATATCCATTTAATTCTTATAACAATTCTGTTCTGGTAATCAATTGCTGATTAATAAGTGATCGCAAAATGTCATTACTCAAAATAATAAGCATTTTTATTAATATCATTATTATTCTCAGCATATTCTCAACATCATTTTCAGATCAGGTTACTGATATAACTGACATTGGAATATTATAACATTTTTAAGTGATGTTTTGAAGTCCTCTTGACCATTCTTGGAAGAAATAACTTTTCTATTCTCTACTAAACATTCTTCACATTTCATATTGGCTACTGCAGATATGCAGACATTCTTTTTATTCCTCATACACCTCTTCTGTTCTTAGAAATGCAGGGAGTAACTGCTTCATTGGTCTGTTGGACTATTCCATCTTAAAATGTTAATGAATGTTAAAACAGGTGATATCCTCTCTTAGACAAACCATTCTTCAATGCCTTAACCTAAAGGAGTTGGTATATTTGAAATATAATCATCAAAGCAAGGTTGGTAGAGAAAAAAGTTGGTCTGGGAAGAGGAGATTTGAAGGTGAAGAGTTAATTTATTCATTTAAAAAACACATATTGCCAGGCATGGTGGCTCACCCCTGTAATCTCTGCACTTTGGAGGATGAGGCAGGGTGGAATGCTTGAGCTCAGGAGTTCGAGACCAAGTTTGAGCAACATAGCCAGACTCTGTCTCTACAAAAAAAAAAAAAAAGAAAAAGAAAGAAGGAAAGAAAGAAAGAAAGAAAGAAAGAAAGAAAGAAAGAAAGAAAGAAAGAAAGAAAGAAAGAAAGAAAGAAAGAAAGAGAAAGAAAGAAAGAAAAGAAAAGAAAAATCAGCCCGGCATGGTGGCACATGCCTATACAACTCAGAAGGCTGAGTGGGGAGGATCATCTGAACCCAGGGAGGTTGAGGCAGCAGTGAGCTATGATTGTGTCACTGCACTCCAACCTGAGTAACAGTAGTGACACCCTCAAAACATAAATACATAAAATAAAATTTAAAAACACATATTGACCCACAAAACGTAATTATTTGTTAAGAATGGCCATTTGGTGACAAGCAGCCCAAGGAGGCAAATTTACTCTTAATAAGTTTTTTTTAACTTGTTTTTGAGACAAGGCCTTGCTATATGCCACCCAGACCATAGTGCAGTGGTGCAATCACAGCTCACTGCAGCCTCCACCTCCTGGGCCCAAGCAATCCTCTCACCTCTCAGCCTCCCAAGTACCTGAGACTACAGGCGTGCACCATCACACCCAGCTAATTTTTGTATTTTTTGCAGGGATGGGGTTTCGCCATGTTACCCAAGCTTGTCTCGAACTCCTGGGCTCAAGGGATCTGCCCACCTCAGCCTCCCAAAGTGCTGGGATTACAGTGTGAACCACCTTACCTGGCCTAAGCTAACAATTTTTAAAATCACATTAATGTTTATAAAGGTGTTATAATCCCTGGCAAAGTTCCCATGCTACAAGTCCAGCTTAATAAAAAATGAGACGCCATTTAGGCATCTAGCCTTAAACCTCATACCTCATGATACTAATACTTTAAGCCTCTCATAAGGGGAACTCATACAAGTCTTAATACTTCACAGTTACTAGAATGCTGAGACCTCAGATGAAATTTTTTTCTTGTGGCTTTCTACAGAAAACCATGAAGTACAAAAATTTGCTTTTAAGCTACTGTACTCATTTATTCAACAAATATTTGTCAGGCGTTGCTATGTGCCAGGAACTGAGGTGCAGGGAACACAGCCAGAGCAAGCGTGACCCCTGCCCTAAGAAAATTTGCAGTTTGAATAAATGTTCTCAGACCTGCAGTCATTCTGGGACTTTCCACACCTTCCTTCCTTTCTTTTCTTCTTTCTTTCTTTCTTTAGTGTTACCATCAAATTGCTACTACAGTGTGATACTTAAGAGAACAAATTCTAGAATTAAAATGCTAGGGTTCATAACCTAGTTCCACCAAGAAAAACAATTTTTTAAAGAGTCATAAATAATAAATAAATAAATAAATAAATGCCAGAAGAAATCAATACTTGATAATTGAATAATTATAAGTATAATAATTATTACTTCATCAATGCTCTTATGTGAAGCAAAACTCTGACAGTAGACACTCTAAAGTTCCAGAGAAACTCTCAAAGAGCATTTTTTTTGTTTTGATCCCAACTACATTGCTTTTCCTTAAGAAATGGTTTTTACAGTATTCTCAGACCACAATCCTTCAATATTTTAAAAATCATTCCATTAAACTCTGCTTTTCCATCTCCCTTGTGAACTCTTGGCCAGTGAGACACAGTTTCATTTTCACTTTTTCAAAATGATAGTATGAAAAAACAGAAGTGAAAGTATGAATCATAATATAATCAGGAGTTCATACTGAGATACCCATTTATAACTCAGAAAACCACGGGGTATTTCCAAACTGATGTCATTCATAGAAAGAATACCATGTGTTGTGGAAGAATAAGAAAAATTACCTAAACCAACTGGGGGATTTAGAATACATGTGGGATATTCCCAGCTAATTATTTTCATTAAAAAATTTTTTTACAAAGATCAACTGTGTTTCAAATACTTACAGTGATAGTCATCTTGGAAATTACAAACTGGATTCTGGGTTATACTTTTTAATTATGATCAGTGAGACAATGGACATTGAGATTTTGCTTTAGAGCACATAATGCCATTATAACTGTATATAACTCAAAGTTATTTATATAACTCAAGGTTTTATATATATAACTAAAGTTTTATTTTCCTTAAAGAGTTATATAAATACCAAAATAGCCATGAAATCCCATGTAGTTGTTTTACTTATAAGGAAGAATTTTTATAGGAAAAACTGTGAGCCCTGCTCAAATTATTAAAATTGGGCCGGACACAGTGGCTCATGCTATAATCCCAACACTTTGGGTGGTCGAGGCAGGCAAATCACTTCAGGCCAGGAATTCGAGACCAGCCTGGCCAGCATGGTGAAACCCCATCTCTACTAAAAACACAAAAATTACCCAGACTTGTTGGCTTGCGCCTGTAATCCCAGCTCTGAGATCACGCCACTGCACTTTAGCCTGGGTGACAGGGTGAGACTATGTCTCAAAAAAAAATTATTAAAATTTATTACTTTTATTGTATTATGTTTTGGGGGGGAAATACATATGAATCTCATTTTTCCAACCAAACAATTAAAAATGATTTTTCCCTCTCTCTACTACATCCCACTACATTAAAATTTTTTAAGAACTTAAAAATGTTACGGTGTACATGGCATAAATTAATGATCTTACAGGGATGAAACCTTTCCCAGGAAATATTCTCCTTTAGGTTGTGTACACTGGCTTGGAAAACACTTTGGCTGTGTTAGTTCTGCCATAGTTGCTCCTATGGTGGCAGCTTTGTCAGTTGTTTTGACAGATCCTAATATCCAGTTGTAAGGACAGGCCAGCTATATCTCTTTTCAATCTGAATGCCCCTGTTGCCTAATCAGCCAACATCCCTGACATGGAAAAGTCATGCCACTCACTAATCTTGGTAATACCCTGGCCTGTTCTTTGGTTTCTGAGACCTATCCAAGAGTCCAGTGATAGACCCACAATCTCCTGTCCTAACACCTGTTATGAACTGCTTTGTTATCCTGAATCTTTCAGCGAGGACACAGGTGAATCTGCTAGTAGGATGGTCTGGCCCCATGTAATTTAGAAGTAGATTTTAAAATGTATCAGAAAATCAAGTTTCTCTTCATTCTATATACCAACAGGAAGTCCACATGGATTAAAGACTAAAAGCAAACCTTAAAAATTTTAGGAGAAAATGTAGGAGGCTCTCTCATAATACTAAAGTTAAAAAAGATTTATCAAAATATAAAAAGGTTTATCAGTTGTAACAAATGTACCATTCTGGTGCAGGATATTGAAAATGAAGGAAATTATGCCTATGCAGGGGTGGAGGTAGGTATAAGGGAAATCTATGTATCGTCTGCTCTATTTTACTATGAGCCTAAAACTGCTCTTAAAAAATTGAGTCTATTGAAATAAAGAAATAACAGAGCAAACCATTAAGTACAAAATAAAAAAGAATAAATTTAATGACATTACCATTTTAAATTTCTATATATTCAACACTATAAACCAAGTTAAAAGGCAAGCAAGTGACAGAAGATATTTACAAGACATTTGAAAAATATTTGCAATCTAGAATATTTTAAAAATCCTATAAATGAGGAAACTGCAAAAAGTGCAGTAGATAGAGAAATATAAACCTTCAGTTCACAGAAGAGAAGCTCTATATGGCCAACAAAGATATGTGGAAAAAAGCTGTCACTTGCTGGTAATAGAAACATGCAAATTAAGACAAGATACTCTTTCATGTCCATCAGACTGGAAAATTTTCAAAAGGCTGACAATGACAAGTAATGGTAAGGAAGTAGGGGAGAGGGATAGGAAACTTACAAATTCTTAATGACTGGTAATTAATGAACATTGACATTTCACTAAGGCAGTGTAGCATACATTTGAGAAGAAAAATATAAGAGGTTGAAAGAGTACACTGGTATGATTTAGAAAACATTTTTGCACTATCTAGTAAACTTGGAAATTCAGGACTCAGCAAGTCAACTTCTAAAGCATAAAATCCAGAAACACTTTTGCACAGGGACACAAGAATGCTCCCTGCAGCACCCTTTTTTTTTTATTTTAAATTCCAAAATGTCTGCCATTGGGAGAATGGCTCCTCTTAGTTTCATCTGCCTCAACACTAAGCATCCACTTTCTCTTTAGGCTCTTTCCATCCCTTTCTTCATGTAGTTGGAAGCAGGGCACTGACCCTATCCACTCACTCCCACTGACATTCCTCTCTCCTCCTCCCTACGCTCCCCTATTCCCACAGGGATCTCTTTCTACCTTGGAAAATTCACCTTCCATCCTGCCTCTAGCCAAGACATGTCATCTAGGCCCACAAATCCTCCTTAATGTTTCCTGCTCTGGAAATGTTGCCTGACTTCTTCAGATTTAAGGAACTGAAAATTAACAGCCAGAACATTACCTGTCTTACAATTCCCAGGGCCAGTTACCTTCCTGAATGAGGAGGAACAGGCAGAGAAAAATATGTATAGAGAGAATAAAAAGCATAGATTAATAACTTCAAATATTATCTTACCATATTCTTCTCCTAGCAAATCTTTGGACAGTGACACCCCCACACGCAAACTGGTGCTTGTTTCTGTGGGGAGAGGAAGAAAGGGAAGCCTGGACATCTGGTGAATTTCTTGGCTCACCTGAAAGTTTCTGCTTATACCTGGAGTATATGCACCCTCTTTCAACAATATCCCTTTACTGCTCTTATCCTCCCCACCTTGGGAACTTGGCACAAGTATGGGCAGAACTTCCCCCGAACATAATTAGGGAGAGAGGTGTCCTGCCAATATAAAAGACAACTGTACAGGGGAGGGCCCTGTCAATAACTGCAGGTGACTTGGGTTCCAGCCATGTTTTCTTCCTCCTCAGTCACCATCCTCCTCTGAATCTCTGTGCTCAAAAAGTCAGAGACAGCCACTCGTTTCCATTTAGGAGAGTGGAGTGAATATGGCTGTCATATTGGTGTCCAGCCCTTCTCTCACCCACCATCCATCAACAGGATGGTGTTCCTCTTCTTTTCTTCTCTGCCCCTTTCCACTTCTGATATAATAAGTGAATATACAAATGAAGGAAAAGTCAAAAATCCTCCCATACCTCCCTTAGTTTACATATGTGAAGAACTGGGTATGTAATTGACCCCATTTTCTCTTTGGCCAGCACATAAGCTGTTTTTAGGTGTTTTTTGTTTGTTTATTTGTTTTTTGTTTTGAGATGGAGTCTCACTCTGTCTCCCAAGCTGGAATGCAGTGGCACGATCTCTGCTCACTGCAACCTCTGCCTCCCGAGTAGCTGGGACTACAGGCATGCACCACCACACCCAGTTAATTTTCGTATTTTTAGTAGAGATGAGTTTTCACCATGTTAGCCAGGGTGTTCTCAAACTCCTGACCTCAAGTGATCCGCTTGCTTCGGCCTCCCAAAGTGCTGGGATTACAGGTGTGAGCCACCGTGCCCGGCCCCATGTTTTTAGATTTTGATTTTTTTAATTTATTGGTATTATTCGTTTCACTCTGATTTTGCTTTTCTAAATCTCACTGTGTATTGTGAACATCCCTCCCATTTGGGACATTTATATGTCCCAATACAACTAAATATGATTCTCTTTAAGAGCTGCCCCATTTTCCATTGCGTGTGTGTGTGCAAGAACATGCACAAGTGCCATGATTTAATCAGTTACCCATTGATGGACATTCAGACAGCTTATGATTTATTGTTACTACAATGATACAAATGGTATTATGTCTATACACGTTCTATATCAAGTGTGATTTTAATATGTAAGAATTCAATAATTTGAATTCCTGTGTAACATATAGATGTTTTAATTCAAATAGTTGCTGCTAGATTTATTTTCCAAAACAAATGGAGGAATTCACGTGTCTCTCATAAAAGTGAGGGAATGCTTATATCCTTGACAATTTGCCAGCATTGGTTGTTATTGCTGGTTTGAACATTTGCCAGTCAGACAAGTTAAAAAAAAATATATTGTAATTCCAATTCAGTATGAGAATAGAGTAAGGGTAATGATGTCAGTCCCAAACAAAGCAAACAGTGCCCAAGAGCCTGAAATATTTGGTTGTACACTGGTATCTCTTTCTCTGCTTGACCCTGGCTCAAAACCTACATTCCTCCATACAGAGGTCTGAGAAAGTTGGAAATATCCTGTGTTTTCCTTAGTAGTGTTTTCTTTCAGTTCAACAGGATTATGTCAACTGTTATTACAAGGAAAGGCCATCGACACACCAGTGTAAAAAGGAAAAGGTGGGTCCACTGACTAAAATTAATAAAAGGGCAAACACACACAGAAACAGCTTTAAAACCTAACAGTCACAATAATACCAAGGAAACTGGCAGGACAGGGCTAGCCTCAATGCTTATATACTCAGGGTATCTCCTGAACTTTTACCACCTAAGTTAAGAAATTAACCACAAGATAGCCTTGCAAAGGTCTAACAGGGGTATTGATATCAGAGTGGGTTTTAAAAGTGTATTAACTATAATCTTACTTTTAGCCTATTTGATTCTACTTATTTCAGAACTATTAATGACGTTTGTGGAGATATATATATATATATATATACATATATATACAATCTGGACTATCGGACTATAAGCTTAAAATCAGAAGACTCTTTTATATATTTTTATAATGCCTCAAATCTAGCATAGTATCAGGTACAGAGTATATGCCCCGAGTCTAGCAAAGTGTCAGTACAGTTCTGTAAATGTTGATTGCAGAAACTGAAAGACCATCAGCATGATAAACCACTGGAAATACTGACACAGATCTGTTGACAGATCAGTGCAATGGACTGTATTGTGTTCCAATTCATACGTTGAATTCATATGTTGAAGCCCAAAGTTCATATGTTGAAGCCCTAACGCCTTATGTGACTATCTGGAGATAGGGTCTTTAGGAGGTAATTAAGGTTAAATAAGGTCATAAGGGTGGGGCCCTAATCTGATAGTACAGTGGCTTATATGAAGAGGAAGAGAGAGAGAGACCTCTCTCCTTCTCTCCAGGCACGTGCACCTGAAGAGAGGCGATGTGAGCACACAAAGAGAAGGCAGCCATCTGCAAGTGAGGAAGCAGGCTTTCACCAGGAACCCAACTGGCTGGCATCTTGATCTTGGACTTCTCAGCCTCCAAACTGTGAGAAAGTAAATTTCTCTTGTTCAAGTCAACCAGTCTATGGTACTTTGTTATGAATGCCCAATCAGACTAAAACAATCAGAAACCCCATGACAAGTCTAATGCTTTTGATTGGTTTAATGACAATGAATGAAAAAAAGAATAATTACTTTTTTCAAATCATTCTGTAATATAGTCATCATCCAAGAATGAATTATAGCACAATACATGGCATGTATGAATTTAAGAATAAGGACTAACCCAAAGGCTTGAGAATAGAATGTAACAAAGTAGGGAAGTGAGAAAAAAATATTAAAATGTGCCATAAGTCACATTCAACAACAAAAAAAAATATTTTGTTCTATGTGGAAACTTTTACTCAGCCTACATATTATTTGACTCTAAGTTTGATTAGCTGTGATAAAGTTCGAGAAACATTTTAGCCCCATTTTCCTAGAGTTCATCAAAGATTGCTAAAAAATCACATAAGTGTTGCTTTTAAGCTGTAGCCCCAATATGTTTTTCTAAACTGGAATACGGAAACTCATCTAGTGTTTCTTATGAAGCACAGGATCCCACCAAGAAAAAGAAATGTCATTTATTTCTCATATTTGTCTCATATTACATTTTTTATAGAAAGTTGGTTAGAAATTTGCAACCCAAAATTAGCAAGAAAAGTCTATGACAACCTCACCCTCACTATATATTCCTTGAATAAAGGTTGCCTTTATAGAGGAATTAACTGAAAAATTTGAAACATGCTTTACATATTTACCATTATGATGCCTAAAATAAACATACCAGTGTAGATTCAGAAATCTAGATCAAAGACACCTTTTCACATTTTACTCATTTTTTAAGTAGTAAATAGAAGGATGTTCTAAGCAATTAGCCCAGAGATGCTTGACATTTTCACAGCAATCCAATCAACTTAACAGGGACATATTTGCAATGGCTTGGTTCTTCTGAAGGTAACAACTTTTTCTCTTCTTTTCTCTTTTTCTTTTTTTTTTCTGTTCAAAATTCAGAATTACTTCTCTCACTTGCTAAAGTGATACCCTTAATTTCTAGGGCATTCTGACATATTTGTCAGCACCATCTCTCCAACAACCTTAAAAATTGTCACAGGGATAAATGAATTTTTGAAAGCTAAAACTCAAAACTTTATTCTGTCATCCTTTATATACTTTTTTATTGATGATCATGAGCCTTATTAATTGGATTCGTCACCTTTCCCTGTGGCCAAAACTTTGAAAGTAGAATTTTGAGTTTTATTCTTTACTATATCATTTTACTCTAAAATATGTTCAAATAGATTTTTCCACACTGTGTAGTACTGTACTGTGTAAAGAACGTTTGTAACTAGGTCAACATACACTGTTTCTAGGCACCACTAAGGAAATAACTGTGTTATACCCATAATAGAAAATTACCAGAGTAACAGGATTAAAATGACTCATTAGGCCTTTGATTGGGGTGCTCTGTGCTACAGGTAGTGCCAAATCGAGGGCTCTGAAGACTCATGTTGTGAAAGTTTCCTTGAGAGGTCAGAAGTCACTCTTTCAAAATACAAAGACTCTTTCAAAAAACAGATGAGTGAGTGCATTGGATCTTGAGAAAATGGAATATGGCCCTTCTTTCTCTCTGAGAATGAACATGCAGTTTGAGTAGTCTGAATCTTGGAGGAAACAGAAGAAGCTGGTCTACACAACACCTTTCTCTGCATTATCTAGAAAGGTAAAGAATAACCAACCACAGCCCTGCAGGGTGACAGCCACCAGAGTGAGACTGACAGGAGGATATTTGGAAGAAGCACCTGAATCCGAAAAGGAAGAATCCATACATCTTCCATCCCTGTGCCTGAAAAAAGCGACTTTCAGAAAGATCAAGAATTTGGTAGCCTAGAAAAGAGGGATCTCTGCTTTATATACAAATTCTGATACAGTGTCCTACATGAATGTTTTATTCATTCATTCAGTACTTCTTATTGCTGTCTGTGAACTAGATACTAGAAAAGGATAAAATACTAAACAATCATTTATGACTCCTGTCCTCATACAGCTCATATCTAACTAGGACATGTAAATTTGGGCACCATTCTGTATGTCTTTCCTTATCTACACAAAATTTGTCAATGCGCCCTACTTTCTCTATCTTCAAAATAGATCCAGAATTTGGCTGTTTATCACAAAACATCAACTTGGTACACAACACAATAATTTTTGCCTGTATTATTGCAACTACCTCCTACCTGACCTACTGTTTTATAATAAGTTTGTCCAGCTTCAGCATATTCTCCAAAGAACAGACATAGAGATTCCATGAAAACATAATCTCACTCCTCTATTCACAACCTTTCAATGGCTTTCCATCTCACTCAGAATAAAAACTAAGAGTCCTTACCATGGTATACCAGGACCTACATGAGCTGGCCCCATTACTTCTCTGACTACATCTCCTCCTCCCTCCTCCCTTATTCATTTCACCTTAACTAAACTGGGCTCATCACTTGTCACTGTTCTTTGAACAGAGCAGGCAAGCTCCTTGCTCAGAGTATTGCACTTCATACACCCTCTGCCTGTAATGTCCTTTCCTCTGCTATCCAAATGATCTCAGGGAGCAATGGAGTGAACATGTAAAAGCTTAAAATTTGCATTTCTTTTTAAATGTTTTTCAACTCAAACTGTTCATTATTTGGTACTGACCTCATGCCCAATTTGGTTATATTAGCAAAATTCTTTATTATATGAATGCTATACAACTGCTTTAATCCTGGCTTAAAGTCTTTTTCTCCACCTAGAGGGCATATATTCTGACTCTAATTCTAACTATCAACACTGTATACTTAATAAATATTCACTTTTGTCAGACCTTAATTTTAACATAAATCATAATTAATACAGCCTCACTGGTGGCATCAATTAAATCCACAAATGCCAAAGTTGAACAAATTTTCTTTAAAATTCTATCAATTCTAGATGCAATTTTGCACACATATTTGTCTCCAATACCTCACAAAACCCTACTGATTAAAAAAAGGATACAAGTATAAAATAGAACAGTCATATAAAAAAGATAACGTGGCAGAGAAATGGAGGTGTGTGTGCATATTTTACCAACAAATAAGAAATGTCAACATATTTCTGCAAGATCAAAAATAAATGGAAATGGGTTGATAAAACAAGCAGGAAAAGTTACTGCAGTAAACTGCTAAGTATCTGCAAAGCTAAAAGCCAATCATATAGATGAAACATCTTGTATCGTGATTTTCTAGGGCAGTCTTTAACTTATTTTCCTAGAATAATTAATAGAAGCCCCCACTTTTCTCAAAATATGCCTGTTTAGAAGACAATTAAATGACCATTATCCCTATGGAAATTCAGTTTTAGTTTCATAAGAAGCAAGAAAAATGTACACTGATTACAGCACAGGTGTTCTAGAAAGAATACTAACCCACCTGGCAAACTTCATCAGCTTCTTCCACCCCATTCAGAGTCACGTGCTTTTGTCTCCTGGGTAAAAATAAAACAAAAGCCTTTTCTTTATAAACTGAATGTCTAGGTAAGTGAATGTTTTGAAGGTGAATATTGATGCCCACAGTAAATCTCTCCTCATCTGGAATTTTGAGACCCACAGTCTAGCAGCCTACTCCTTTTCATCCTGAAGTGAAGAATGCCACTTCCCACTCAACTCTATCACACACAGAGAGAGCTTGCCATCACATCACCACTGCACCAGGAAGCGGGAGCTGCACTAGCAAGCCAGTCCTCTTCTCTTAAATATGAGTGGCCAACCAATGATCACCAGGCACATAAAGTACACCAGCTGCCTGAGGAGAAAGATCAAAATACCAAACAAAATGACTGGTCGCACAGGAAACTCCACTAATTAGACAGTATTTTTATTATTTTACACAGATAGTTTTTGTTTGGGTTTGCCTACATGTTCTTTCTAAGCTACCCAGTATAGGGTATTTTGTTAGAGCAGCTCAAACAAAGACAGGCAGTAATGTGGTTTAGCTATGTCCCCACCCGAAATATCATCTTGAATTGCCATCCAACTTGTAATCCCCATGGGTTGTGAGAGGGACCTCGTGGGAGGTGATTAGATCATGGAGGCGGTTCCCCCGTGCTGTTCTCGTGATAGTGAGTGAGTTCTCATGAGATCTGATGGTTTTATAAGGAGCTTTTCCCCCATTCACTCTGCATGTCTCTCTCCTGCCACCATGTGAAGAAGGATGTGTTTGCTTCCCCTTCTGCCATGATTTTAAGTTTCCTGAGGCCTACCCAGACATGCTAAACTGTGAGTCAACTAAACCTCTTTCCTTTATAAATTACCCAATCTCAGGTATTTCTTCATAGCAGCACGAGAACAAACTAATACAGGAAGCTAATACTGATATTTCAGATTTACTACAGAAAAACACACTTGTCATGTATTGGTAGAACTCAGTGTATTAAGTACTTACTTTGTGTATATTGGATGTTAACTTTTAAGACGATTATATATTAGAATTTAACTTTTCATTGTTATCATTCATTGGTTCATTCAACAATATTCAGTAGTTGTCCATTATATACAAAGCCATGGCATAGGCACACAATGTAACCTTAAAAAATGTATAGATTACCCTGAAATGTTCCAGGAGGAATTTTAAAAGGGTGCAACCAGTTTAAAAAATAGTTTGGCAGTTCTTGAAAAGGTTAATCATATAAGTTACTATAGGACCCAATAATTCTACTCCCAGGAATATGTCAAGAGAAACAAACCCATATGTATATTCAAAAATTTTTATGTTTATGCCAGCATTATTCATAATAGCAAAAAAGTGGAAAAATTTCAAATGTCCATCAACTGATGAATGGATAAATAAAATGTGGTGTATTCACACAATGGATACTTACTTGGTGACAGAAAGAAGTGAAGTACTAATACCTGCTACAACATGGATGAACCTTGAAAATATTTTGCTAAGTTAAACAACATATTGTATGATTCTATTCACATGAAATATCCAGAACAGGTAAAATATAGACACAGAAAATAGATTAGTATGTGCCAGGGCTGAGTCAAGGAGTCCATTCCCTTACCTTCAAGTTTCCCTTGAGATCAGCACAAGAATGAAATTAAGAAATTCTGTGTTGTGAGATCATTAATGCAAGATGTCAATGAATCATAATGTTGATTGTGTAAGTCAGGCAAGATTTTAATGCCCCAAAAGTTATTTTCCATCCATTAAATAAAAGGAAAGCACTAGTATTCTTTTTGCTTTGTTAAATTATTATCCTTTTGTTCTTGTATTTGTACTATATGAAAGTTCAATAAGTTAGTAGAATAAAATACATTCCTCAAAAAAAAAATAGGTGTGGAATTTTAGGTCAAAAGTCAAGTACATTATCCTGACTTCTGAAATGTATCACCAATTACTCCCCCAAAACTTTGGACCAATTTATATGCCCACCAGGGGCTCATGAATGCTTTCATTTTTCTGAAGGCTTACCTACTGTAGATATTATTTTTGCTTATCTAAACCAAGATTTTAAAAACCAGATTCTTTAAACAGAGGTTGTAATGACAGAGAAAGTAAATAACAACAAATTATAATGACAAATCATCTGAGCTACTTTAGAGTATATATACCTTCATTCAAATCCAACTCTCACTATACGTGGTTAAATCAAGCCAGGATCTGATTATATTTATGATTTTGTCAGATTGTAGCATTTAGAAAAATGGTTAGCTTGTTCTTTTGAAATATCATGGTGAATACCATGAAGCAATGAATTTTGCTACCACAACTTCTTTTTACATATTTCCCAATGTGACAGGTAAAATATTAGAGTATAATAATTTCTCATTGTCCTGCCTTCTGAGTTAGGAATAAATGTTTTTAAACATTGTTCAGCCAATTGGGTCTTTTGATGTAAAGTATGACGTATTTATGACCTATTGCTACCTTATAATAACCACAAACTTGGCTACTTTAACCAATCAAATTTATTATCTCACAGTTCTGTAGCTCAGAAGTCTGGTGAGCTCAGCTGTTTTCTCTGGCCTGGGTTTTATAGGCTGAAATCAAGTTGTTGGCAAGCTGGACTAGTATTCAGAGGTTCTGAGGGAGAATCTTCTTCCAAGCGCATTCAGGTTGGCTGTCAGAATCCAGGTATTTGGGCTTCAGAGGTGAAGTCTTTGCTTCCTTGTAGGCTGTGAACCAAGAGCCTCTCTCAGAGATATAAGGTGGCCTGAATTCCTCCATCTCCAGATAAGCTAGTGTGCTTTGAGTCATTATTACACTTGGAATCTCCTTCACTTCTCCTTCTACTGCACCTCTTCTGCCTGCAGCTAGAGAAAGTTATCTGCTTTTAAGGGATTACATGATTAGAGTGTGTCCATCTTACATCAAGTATTTTTCATCAGATTAAAAATACGGAGATCAATAAGATAGTAATCCTGCCCCCAAGGAACTCACACACAGTTTAATGGAGATATTACTTTTTAAAATTATACTTTAGATTCTGGGATACATGTGCAGAGCGTGCATGTTTGTTACATAGGTATAGCTGTGTCATGGTGGTTTGCCGCACCCATCAACCCATCATCTACATTAGGTATTTCTTCTAATGCTATCCGTCCCCTAGCACCCCACCCCAAGACAGGCCCCAGTGTGTGATGTTCCCCTCCCTGTGTACATGTGTTCTCATTGTTCAACTCCCACTTATGAGTGAGAACATGTGGTGTTTGGTTTTCTGTTCCTGTGTTAGTTTGCTGAGAATGATGGTTTCCAGTTTCATCCATGTCCCTCCAAAGGAGACGAACTCATCCTTTTTTATGACTGCATAGTATTCCATGGTCTACATCTATTTTTTAAGGAAATAATTCTAGTAGTGTTCTTTGACCCAGTAACTCTATGTTAACATACTAAGGAAATGTTAGATGTAGCTTATATAAAAATAAATATTAAAATGTAAAAAATAGGCTATAAAAATTGTCATTATAGCAGAGTATACAACAGCAAAATTGCTAACAACCTAAATGTTCAGCAAAAGTGATAAGGTACACCCACATAATGAAGTGCTGTAAAGTCAATTAAAAGTATGTTGTAGATAGGTACTGATTAACATGTAAAAGGTTTTTTTTTTTCCACATCGTATGGGTAATGTGTCAACGTTTGAGTGAAGTACATCTCACACATGAATGGGAAGACCCAAGCATCACACTTATGAACTACAAAAGGATCAACATATAAAAGTAAAACAAATCAACAACAAAATAATATTACAGTGAAGCGTCTGAAAGCACATGCTCCAAAATGTAGGTTTTTTTCTGTCAGTCTGCATCCTTTGACATTTCCATTATGATCATAAGCTTAGTAATAATAAACTAACAAAAATGTTATTTTTAACAAGTGAAGCTTATATTTCTGTGCTTTTATATAAATTTCCAGAAAGTTGTTTATCGAATTAGAACAAAAATGATTGTTTATATTTTAGGAAAAATGATAAAATAGCTTTTTATTGGGAGCAAAAAATTAAGACAAAAAATATTCTCCTTGTCCTCAGATGTTTATATCTCTTGTATTAAAAAAATCATCAGTTTTATTACTTACCAAAAACATAACTAATATCCCCTCCCACCATTATATCATAATTTTGTTTAAATTATGCACCAAATTTCATTAGTCAGACTCATTCATTTGAAAATGTTGCACAGTTCCACCTCTTCCTTTACCACTACAGAAACTTTATCTGAAGGTTTTATGTCCAAACATTGGCTAGAGAAACAAACATGATTCTATGGGCTCTGAACATATCAAAGATTACAAAACAATTTGACTTCAAGGGAGAAAGAAAGTGAAAACTTAGCTTTTGGAGATAAGTATCTATCTGAGACAAATCTGAAATGTACATTTTATCAGATTTTTCTCAATTTCAATTTTCATTGCTTGTATTGACTGGCATAGGATGATGTTTTTCATGAAAAATCAAAGGAGGTCTTAGTGATCCAAAGGATTGCAGCATTTGAAATATGTTGTGGATTTACTTGTTGCTAAGTCCTTAATTGCTCCTCAAGCGTAAGGAGTAAAAAAAAGTTGGGACACCACCTTCATGATCTCATCTAAACCTAATTGCCTCCCAAAGTCTCCACCTCCTAATAGCATCCCATTGGGGGTTAGTGCTTCAACATATGAATTGAGGATGCAGTCCATAATACCTAGTTGGTAAGATTGCTTGAGAATTAAATTGAGTTCTGCATATAACCCACAGCCTGATATAATAAGGGCCCACACTGGATAGCAATGATTACTGGTAGGGGAAGTTAGTGGGTGAGGGTATGTCAAGAAAACAGTATGAGCTGTATGAGCAGAGGTGGGAATGGATCATTTGTGTTCAGGCAATGGCAAGCAGGTAAGACCAGCTGGGATGTAATATTCATGTTAGACAGAGGAAGGAAATATCAGAAGATCTGAAAGTGCATTGGGAAGAACCCTGGATTTCTTTGGATACCTTTTTCTTCCTAATTGTCTAATGTTTCTGGCAAATATTGGCCTCTACTTTCTCTCAAAATGCCCATTACTTCCAGAAGAGCAACAGGAGTATTCAAACAACTAGCCAGCAATCATAAAAGTGGAAATTACTTTAGCTGCTCATTCAGAGCATGTCCTAAAGATAATTGAACTAAGGAAAGCTGAATATTCCCAAGGCAGATGTGCAGTGGAAACCCTAGCCCCAAGAACTCTATTACTGTCTCAAGAGGATGTGCACAATGAGGCTATGCAGAGAACAACATTACAGAGAGGAACTTAAGCTTCCTTTTCATTAATTTCGGAATGCGAGCTGCCTATCATTATGCTTTGAAATTGGCCCTGATGGATTTGCGGTTCGTGTTGGAAACATCTTTATTTTAGTAGATAGATCTATTCTTTCAACTCTTTTTGCTTTGTGTTATTACGATTAAATATGATAGAATGATGCAGTAAACAAAGCAGGTAAGCTTCAAGTAGCTGAGGTACAAGAAAATAGGGTACATTTACAATCAGGAAATTGATAACATTCGTTGGTTCAACTGGCAGGATAGTGGTGTTCTAGATCCTTGCTGCTACTCAAAGTGGGTTCAGAAACCAGCAGCAAGAGTATCACATGAGAATTGTTAGAAATGCAGTGTCTCAGACATCATTCCACACCTACTGAATCAGAATTTGTATTTTAACAAGGTCCCCTGGTAATTTGTATGTACACTAATGATTGAGAGGTACTATTAGTTAATAATTGAGAGGCACTCACAATTGTGTTGTTGCTTTAGAAAGGCCCTCCCAACGCTTCCCTGCCCTCCCAACTCCCGTCAGTTAGAAATGAAATTCAGCTGCTAGTCACACATTTGGGGTTTTATTTTTCTGATGTATGAAAAGTCAGTAGTTAGTGCAGAGCTGAAAGAGAAGCCCCATAATGTCATCAGAAACTCAAGTTCATGCCATCTTTATGATCAGTGATCCTAATATATGTTTGTCACCTAAGGTCACAAGAAGAAAGCTCCAAATCTTGTCTGAGTTCCAAACAAAATGAAAGAAGTGTAAAATCAAAGTGCCTGATACAGTTTGGCTCTGGGTACCCACCCATATCTCATCTTGAATTATGATCCACATTTGTTGACAGAGGAACCTGGTGGGAGGTGATTGGATCATGGGGGAAGTCTCCCCCCCATATTGTTCACGTGATAGTGAGGGAATTCTCACGAGAGCTGATGCTTTAAAAGTGTTTGGCATTTCCCTCCTCACCCTCTCTGTCTCCTGTCACCTTGTGAAGAAGGTGCTTTCTTCCCCTTCACCTTCTGCCATGATTGTAAGTTTCCTGAAGCCTCCCCAGCCACGAAGAACTATACATCAGTTAAACCTCTTTTGTTTATAAATTACCCAGTCTCAGGTAGTACCTTTATAGCAGTGTAAAAATGAACTAATACACAGAATTGGGGCAGTGCTATGAAGACACTTGAACATGGGGAAGTAACTTTGGAACCAGTAATGGGCAGAGGTTGGAATAGTTTGGAGGGCTCAGAAGAAAACAGAAAAATGTGGGAAAGTTTGGAATTCTCTAGTGGCTTCTTGAACGGTTTTGACCAAAATGCTGATAGTAATATGGACAAGGAAATCCAGGTTGAGGTGGTCTCAAATGGAGATGAGGAATTCATTGGGAACTGGAGCAAAGGTCCCTCTTGCTATGCTTTAGTGAAGAGACTGGCAGCATTTTGCCCCTGCCCTAGAGATCTGTGAAAATTTGAACTTGAGAGAGATGATTTAAAGTATCTGGCAGAAGAACTTTCAAGCAGCAAAGCATTCAAGAGGTCAATTCTGGCTTATTCTGAAAGCATTCAGTTATATATGTTCACAAAGACATGGTTTGAAATTGAAACTTATGTTTAAAAGGGAAGCAGAGCATAAAGGTTTAGAAAATTTGCAGCCTGTTCATGTGGTGAAAAAGAAAACCCCATTTTCTGAGGAGGAATTCAAGCCAACGAGCTGAATATTAACAGCCAAGACAATGGGGAAAATGTCTCTAGGGCATGTCAGAGACCTTCAAGACAGCCCCTCCCATCACAGGCCCAGAGGCCTAGGAGAGCACAATGGCTTCTTGGGCCAGCCCAGGGCCCTACTGCTCTTTGCAGCCTCCAGACATGGTGCCCTGCAAGGCAGCTGCTCAAGCTCCAGCCATGGCTAAAAGGGGCCAAAGTACAGCTTCAGCTGTTGCTTCAGAGGATGCAAGCCCCAAGCCTTGGCAGCTTCCAAGTGGTGTTGGACCTGTGGGTGCATAGAAGACAAGAATCGAGCTTAGGGAACCTCTGCCTAGATTTCAGAGGATGTATGAAAACCCCTAAATGTCCAGGCAGAAGTCTGTTGCAGGGGCAAAGCCCTCATAGAGAATTTCTTCTATGGCAATGCAGAGGGGAAATGTGGGGTTGGAGCCCAAACACAGAATCCCCTCTTGGGCACTTCCTAGTGGAGCTGTGAAAAGAGGGCCACCATCCTACAGACCCCAGAAGGGTAGATCTACTGACAGCTTGCACCATGCACCTGGAAAAGCCACAGGCACTCAATGTCATCCTGTGAAAGCAGCCATGGTGGCTATACCCTGCAGACCCACAGGGACGGAGCTGCCCAATGCTGTCGGAGCCCACTTTTTACATCAGTGTGACCTACATGTGAGACATGTAGTCAAAGGAGATCATTCCAGAGCTTTAAGATATAATGACTGCCCTGTTGGGTTTCGTACTTACATGGAGCCTATGCCCCTTTGTTTTGGCCAATTTCTCCCATTTGGAATGGAAACATTTACCCAATGCCTGCAACCCCATTGTATCTAGGAAGTAATTAACTTGCTTTTGATTTTAAAGGCTTATAGGTGGAAGTGACTTGCCTTGTCTCAGATGAGACGTTGGACTGGACTTTTGGGTTAATACTGAAATAAGACTTTGGGAGACTGTTGGGAAGGCAGGATTGTGTTTTGAAATGTGAAAAGGACATGAGATTTGGGAATGGCCAGAGTAGAATGATATGGTTTGGCTCTGTGTCCCCAACCAAATCTGATCTCAAACTGTAATCCCCATGTGTTGAGGCAGGGACCTGGTATGAGGTGATTGGATTATGGGGGCAGTGCCCCCCATGCTGTTCTCATGATAGTGAGTGAGCATTCATGAGATCTGATAGTTTTATAAGGGGCTCTTCACCCTTCGCTCTTTGTCTCTCTTCTGCTGCCTTGTGAAGAAGGCCCTTGCTTTCCCTTCACCCTCTGCCATAATTGCAAGTTTCCTGAGCCATGTGGAACTGTGAGTCAATTAAGTCTCCTTTGTAAATTACCCATTCTCAGGTAGTATCTTTATAGCAGTGTAAAAATGGACTAATGCACCCACAATTACTAGAGATCCTATAATCGACCCCTTATCTCATGATGATCATCATGACCGTTTTCCCTGACTGAGCTCTGACAAATATAATCCCAACAGTGAGGTCTTTCCAAGCCCATTGTAAAACTGAATCAACTCAAATACAAGTTAGATAAACATACAAAAATGTTTATGCATTCAAGTATTTAAAAAAGTGGGTACTGAATATTTAGTTCTCATATAATTTCAGTGAGACGAACTATCCCTTGATATTTATATACAGTAATTTTCATTGTTTGGTTGTACACCATATATTTTGATCTTCCACTGGTCTCTCTCCACTCAAATATATCTTCCCCACAATGGCCAGAGTAACTTTATAAAACAGAGATTTAATAATGTCTGTTCATTGGTTAAAATCCACTGGTGACTGACTGTACACTGCCTGCTGGATAGAATTCAACTTATTACACCACAAACAAACGTCTTTCCTGAAAGTCCCAATATTTCTTTAGAACAACAACTCTCATGGCTGTCCCCCCAAGTACTCTAATCTCCTTTAACACCAAGCTCATTCCTCTTTTTCACACATCTTACCTTTTCCCACGACCATGCCTTTGCATATAATATAACATACCATCTGTCTAGTCCTTCCTCCCTTCCCTGACTGGTGAACTCTTACTAATCCTTCAAGGTCCAACCCAAATACTAACTCCTCAGCAAAGTCTTTTCAGCCCTGCTGGGTTAACAGGTGTCTCCAGTGTATGTGTGTGACATTGTTTCAAAATTTATTTTGCATAAGTATCTACGGACTTCACTCTGTTTTGAGAAGTAGTACCACCGGCTAGCACCGTAGCTGACACATCACAGGAATACATTAAAAGCTGACTTAATTAACTAATCTGCTCAGACATTCTTAGAAAATGTTCCTCTTCCTCAGCAGTGTTAGTTTTGCTCTTTTCAGGTCATTCAGACACATAATGGAAGCTGGGTTCAAATATACATGTGAGGTTTCAAATACTACATGATACAATTTAGATCAGTGTCCCCACCCAAATCTCATGTTGAAATGTAATCCCCAATGCTGGAAGTGGGGCCTGGTGGGAGGTGATTGGATCATGGGGATGGTTTCTCATGGTTTAACACCACCCCCACTTGGTGCTGTTGTCATCATAGTGAGTTCTCATGAAATCTGGTTGTTTAAAAGTTTGTAGCACCTCCCACCTCTCTCTCTTCCTTCTACTCTAGCCATGTGAAGTACCAGCTCTCCCTTCACCTTCTGCCATGATTATACATTTCCCAAGGCCTCCCTAGAAACCGAGCAGATGCCAGCATCATGCTGCCTATACAGCCTGTGGGATCAGGGGCAAATTAAACATCTTATCTTTCTTTTATAAATTATCCAGTCTCAGGTATTTCTTCTTTTTTTTTTGACGGAGTCTCACTCTGTCACCCAGGCTGGAGTGCAGTGGCATGATCTCAGCTCACTGTAACCTCCGCCTCTTGGGTTCAAGTGATTCTCGTGCCTCAGCCTCCTGAGCAGCTGGGATTATAGGTGCACGTCACCACACCTGGCTAATTTTTGTATTTTTAGTAGAGACGGGGTTTCGCCATGTTAGCCAAGCTGTTCTCAAACTCCTGACCTCAGGTTATCTGCTTGCCTTGGCCTCCCAAAGTTCTGGGACTATAGGCATCAGCCACCATGCCCAGCCTCAGGCATTTCTTTATAGCAGTGTGAGAATGGACTAAACCAGTGCAGTAAATTTTTTTTTTAATTTGTGAAAGTGAAAATATATGCTGTGTGACCATAAAAGAGGGGTGTTCAAAAAAACTGATCATGTTGACTTTGAGTAGATTTAATCCATCATTTAAAACTTTTCCCCAAAGCGAGCTGGTCACAGTGGCTCATGCCTGTAATCCTGGAACCTTGGGAGGTGGAGGCAGGAGGATCACTTGAGCCCAGGAGTTCAAGAAAAGCCTGGGCAGGATAAGGAAACCCCATCTCTACAAAATTTTAAAAATTAGCCTCGTGTAGTGGCATGTGCATGTAGTCTCAGCTACTTGGCAGGCTGAGGTGGGAGGAATGCTTGAGCATGGGAGGTCAAGGCTGCAATGATCATGCCACTGCACTCCAGCCTGGGCAACAGAGTGAGACCCTGTCTCAACAACAACAATGACAAAAATCTATCCCACAAAGAAAACTCCAGACCCAAGAGAACTCTTATCAACATTAAAGAAAGAAATGATATCAAACCCACACACTCAGAGATTAGGAAAAGAAGGGACACTTCTCAACTCATTTTATGAAGCTAACATAATGATGATACATGCAAGAAAAGTAAAGATCAATATACCTCATGAATGTAGATACAGAAATCTTAAAAAAAGAATAGCAAGTAGAGTCAAATAATATATAAAAAAGATAATACAGCAAGAGAAAGTGGAATTTATCTCAGCAACACAAGATTGTTTTAACATTTGAACACTGATCAATATAAATTAACATATTGACAGAATAAGGTGGGAGGGAAATGAATATATCAAAGGACGCAGAAAAGGCATTTGACAAAAAGTGACACTTGGTCATGATAAAAACTGACAGCAAAAAAAAAAAAGAAAAGGAATTAAATGAAAAATTCCTAATCAGGTAAATAAAAGTCCCTTAATCTGATAATCTGATAAAACCACATCTACACATTACCTACATTACTATTATATTAATGGTGAAATATTGAATGCTTTCCTAGTGAGATACGATATGGTAGGGAAACATAACAAAGATGTCTACTTATTACCACCTCCATTTAATACTTAAATTCGAATACATGCAATAAAGCAAGGGTGGGAAAGTGTATAAAGATTAGAATGAAAGAAGTAAAATGGTCATTATTTGCAGATGACATGGTTGTATACACAGAAAATTTTTTAAACTATTACAAACCATTAGAATTATTAAGTAAACTTAATAGCTACAAGAATAATATATGAAAATCAATCATGTTTCTCCTATATTAACAACAATTAGAAAATAAAATTATTTAAAATTCACAATGGCACCATAAATAAAATGCTTAGGAATAGAAATAAACCTAAGAAAAGTTAAACAAAACCTCTAAAATAAAAATTATGAAACATTGCTTGACAACATTTAACTTCATGTTCTAAAAAAAAAGCTAAAAAATTTTTAAATTGTATTTGTAATTGACAGATAATTATATTAATAGGGTAAAATGGGATGTTATAATAAATATATACATTATGGAATGATTAAATCAGGCTAATTAGCATAGCCATCGCCTCATATATTTATTATTTCTTTGTAATGAGAACATGTAAAATCGACTTTTTAGGCAATTTTGAAATATACAATGCATTATTATTAACTGTGGTCCCCAGACCATGCAATAGATCACTAGAACTTATTAATCCTGCCTGATTGAAACTTTGCACCCTTTGATTAACATCTCCCCTTTCCCCATCCATCCAGCCCTCCAGGCTTTGTAACCACTATTCTACTCTCTATTTCCCAGTTCAACTTTTTTAGATTCCACTTATAAGTGAGATCATGCAGTATTTTTCTTTCTGTGCCTGGCTTATTCAATTAGCATAATGTCCTCCAGGTTCAACCACATCATCACAAGTGACGGAGTTTCCTTCATTTTTAAGACTGAATAATAATCCTTTGTGTATATATACCACATTTTATTTATCCATTTATCCACTGATGGGCACTTAGGTTGTTTTCATATCTTGGCTATTGTGAATAATGCTGCAATTAACATGGGGATGCAAATATTTCCTTGACATATTGTTTTTAATTCCTTTGGATATATATCCAGCAGTGGAATTGCTGAATCATATGGTAATTCTGTTTTTAGTTTTTTGAGGAGCCTCCATACTGTTTTTCATAATGGCTGTACTAATCTGCATTCTCGCTAACAGTGTACACAGGTTCTTTTTTCTCCACATCCTCTCCAGAATTTGTTATCTTTCACCTTTTTGATACTAGCCATTCCAATAGGTGTAAGGTGGTTTTAAGTGGCATTTCCCTGATTAGAAATGTTGAGCTTTTTTTTTTCATTTTTTTTTTTTTTTGGCCACTTGCATGTCTTCTTTTATGAAATGCCTATTCAGGCAGGTCTTTTACCCATTTTAAATCAGGTTTTTTGTTTTCATGCTGTTAAGTTTCTTATATATTGTGGCTATTAGCCTATCAGATGTATGATATGCAAATACTTTCTTACAATCTATAGGTTGTCTCTTCCTCTCTGTTGTTTCCTTTGCTGTTCAGAAAGAAACTTTTTAGTTTAGCACAATCCCATTTGTCTATTTTTACTTTCATTGCCTGTGCTTTTGAAGTCATAGCCAAGAAATGATTGCCCAGACCAATGTCATAGAGCTTTTCTTTATGTTTTCTTCTAGAAGTTTTACAATTTTAAGTCATACGTTTAAGTCTTTAATCCACTTTGAGTATATGGGGTGATATAAGAATTCAATTTTATTCTTCTGCATGTAGACATCCAGTTTTCTCTTTACCATTTCTCGAAGACACTGTCCTCTCCCCAGTGTATTCTTGACACCTTTGTCAAACATCAATTGATCATAAATGCCTGGATTTATTTTGGGGCTCTCTATCCTGTTCCATTGGTCAGTGTGTCTGTTTTATGCCATTACCATGCTGTTTTGATTACTATAGCTTTGCAATGCATTTTTCAATAAGGTAATGTCATGCCTTTTGGCTTTTTTCTTTTTGCTCAAAATTGCCTTGGTTATTTGGGGTCTTCTGTGGCTCTATAAAAAAAAATGTAGGATTGCTTTTTCTATTTCTGTAAAAAGTGATATTTAAAGTTTGATAGAGATTGCATTGAATCTGTAGATCACCTTAAGTAGTGTGGGCATTTTAACAATATTCATTCTTTCAATTCATGAACACAGTATAGCTCTCCATTTGTTTGTTTTGTCTTCAGTTTATTTCAATGTTTTATAGTTTTCCTTGTAGAGATCTTTTACCTTGTTGGTTAAATTTACTCCTAAGTATTTTTATGCTATTGTAAATGAAATTACCTTCTTAATTTCTTTTTCAGATAATTTGTTATTAGAGTATGGAAATGCTACTAAATTTTGTATGTTGATTTTTTATTCTGCAACATTACAGGATTTGTTTTTCAGTTCTAACAGTTTTTTTAGTGGAGTCTTTATTGTTTCTATATATAAGATCATGTCATCAGCAAACAGACAATTTCACTGCATTCTCGCCTATTTGGATGCCTTTTATTTCTTTTTCCTTCCTAATTGCTCTGACTAGGACTTCCAGTACTATGTTGAATAGAAGTGGTGAGAGTGGGCATTCTTGTCCTTGACTGGCATGCCCCCAGGCTAACACAGCAGGCTTGTACATACCTCCCAGGCCTGTAGCCCTACCATCTGCCTCTAGCAGACATGCTCCCACGTTAGCCAAGCTGACATGCACCTGTGTCCCAGGCCTGAGAAACATGGCCAGGGGCCACCCAGGATAGTCAAACAGCTATGTAAAGCATCCAGGCCCAATCCATAGGCCACCCCTGGCAGGTATGCCCCCAGGCCAGCCAAGCCACTACACAACCATGCCCTTCCTGGCCAAAGTAACAGCCCCATGACCCCAACCCAAGTGAGCCAATGCCAAGTTGGCCAACCACTGTGTGCATTAATGCTTCTCTGGCCTGAGAAACAGTTCAGTAAACCCACCCCCAGCAAAGCTGCACCACCACTACCATAAATTCTTTTAGCCTAGGCTACTGGGACACTTGCAAACATCACTAGCCTAGTTTACAACCGAAAAAACTTCATGGAGACTACACTACTGTACCCACCTTAAACTAAAGTCAATTCACCCCCACTGAACTGACACGTCAAGACTCATGTATATAAATACATTTTTCCCTATGAAAACCCTGTAAAATTGGAAGAGGTGACTGACTATTCCACCAGATGCACAGAAATCAACATAGAAACATATCAAACATTAAAAACAAAAAAATGACACCTCCAAATGAACACAATAATTTTTCAGTAACAGACCCCAATCATAAGAAAATAAACAAAATGTCAGAAGGGGAATTCAACATAGTGATCTTAAGGAAACTCATTGAAATATAAAAGAATACAGACAATTCAACAAAATCAGGAAAACAATTCATACTTTGAATGAGAAATTCAACAATGGGATAGATATTTAAAAAAATAGAAATCCTAGAGCTGAAGAATCAATAAATAAAATGCCTAAATACAATCAAGAGTTTCAACAACAGACTAAACCACGCAAAGGAAAGAATTTCTGAACTTGGGGACAGTCTTTTGAAACAACACAGGCAGACAAAAAAAAGAAAAAAAGTTAAAAAGGAAAAAAGAAAATGTACAGGATTTACGAGACATCAGTAAGTAAACAAATATTCACATTATGGGTGTTACAGAAGGAGAAAAGTATGAAGAAGTGTAAAAACTTATTTACTAAATTAGTATAACAGCTGAAGACTTCCTAAGTTGTGGGAGAGAGAAGGACATCTAGATCAAGGAAGCTCGAAGAACCTCAAATAGATTCAGATCAAACAGGGCCCCTCCAAGGCAGATTATAGTCAAATTGTCAAAAGACAAACACAAAGAAAGAATTCTAAAAACAGCAAGAAAAAAAGCATCAAGTCACATATAAGAGAATATGCATTAGGCTAACAATAGATTTCTCAGCAGAAATTACAGGCTGGGAGAGAGTGGGATGCTACAGTCCAAGTACTGAAAGAAAAAACAGATAGCTAAAAATTATATACCCAGCAAAGCTATCTTTCAAAAATGAAGGAGGAATCGAACCATTCCCAGATAAGTAAAAACTAAGGGAATTTTTTACCACTAGACTGGCCTTACAATAAATGCTCAAAGGAGTCTTACATCTGGAAGTAAAAAGACAATAACCACCATTATGAAACATGCAAAACTATAAAACTCACCAGGAAGGCCAATACACAAAAGAGAAAGAGAAAGGAATCAAAACTTATCACTACCAAAATACCACCCAACCATAAAAATAAACAATAATAGAGGAAGAAAGAAAGAATATATTAAACAATCAGAAAAAGAAACAGTAAAATGACACAAATAAGTTCTTACCTATCAATAATAACCTTGAATGTAAATGAATTAAATTTCCCATTTAAAAGATATAGATGAGCTGAACAGATTTCTTTTAAAAAATACCCAACTACATGCTGCCTATAAGAAATTCATCTCAGCTGTAAAGACACACATAGATTGAGAGTGAAGGGATGGAAAAAGATATTCCACACAAATAAAAACCAAAAGTGAGCAGGAGTAGCTATACATATATCAGACAAAACAGTTCAAGTCAAAAAACCTGTGAAAAAGAGGCAAACAGCGGCAATATATGATAATAAAAGGACCAATTCAGCAAGAAAATATAGCAAATGTAAATATATATGCACCCAACACTGGAGCACTCAGACATATAAAGCAAATATTATTAGATTGAAACAGACAGATAGACCCCAATACAATAATATTAATAGTTAAAGACTTCAATACTCCACTGTCAGCATTGGACAGATCATCTAGACAGATAATCAAAAAAAGAAATATTGGATTTAAAATGCACCATAGAGTAAATGGACCTAATAGTCATTTACAGATCATTTTACCCAATAGCTGCAGAACACATATTCTTCTTATCAGTGCAAGGAACAATCTCCAGGATTGACCACATGTTAGGATATGAAACAAGTCTCAATTTTTTTATTGAAATCATATCAACTATCTTATCTAACCACAACAGAATAAAACTAGAAATCAATAATGAGGATCATTCAAAACTATACAAATATGTGGCAATTAAACAACAGGCTCCTGCATGAATAATGGGTGAATGAGGAAATTAAGGATGAAATTCTAAAATTCCCTGAAACAAATGCAGATAGAACCCAAACATACCAACACCTATGGGAGATAGCAAAACTTGCCTTAAGAGGCAAGTTTAGGCTGAGCACGGTGGCTCATGCTTGTAACCCCAGCACTTTGGGGAGCCGAAGCTGGTGGATCACATGAGGTTGGGAGTTCAAGACCAGCCTGGCCAACATGGTGAAACGCCATCTCTACCAAAAAAAATACAAATATTAGCCCAGCCTAGGTGACAGAGCAAGACTCTGTCTAACGAAGAAAAAAAAATACCAGAGACTGGGTAATTTATAAAGGAAAGAGGTTTAGTTGACTCACAGTTCCACATGGCTGGGGAGGCCTCACAATCATGGCAGAAGGTGAATGAGGAGCAAAGTCACATCTTACATGGTGGCCTGGCCAATATGTGAAACCTCGTTTCTACTATATGAAAATTAGCCGGACATGGTGGCATGTGCCTGTAATCTCAGCTACTTGGGAGTCTGGTATGAGAATTACTTGAACCCAAGAGGCAGAGGTTGCAGTGAGCCAAGATCATGCCACTACAATCCAGCCTGGGCAACAGAAAAAAAAAGAAAAAGAAAAAAAAGAGGCAGTAATAGTGATAAATGTCTACACTAAAAAAACTAGAAAGATTTCAAATAAACAACTTAATGTTACATCTCGAAGAACTATAAAAGCAAGAATAAACCAAACCCACAATTAGTCGAAGGAAAAAAAAATAAAGATCAAAGCAGAAATGAAATTGAGATAAAAATACAAAAGATTAACAAAACAAAAAGTTGGCTTTGTGAAAAGATAGACAAAAGTGACAAACCATTAGCTAGACCTAAGAAAAAAGAAAGAATATCTAAATTTAAAAAAAATCAGAAACAGGAAAGATGTCAAAACAGATACCACAGAAATACAATGGATTATTAAAACTATTATGAACAACTATACACCTGTAAATTTAAAAATCGAGATAAAATGAATAAATTCCTCAACACATACAACATACCAACATTAAAGCAAGAATAAATGGAAAACCTGAACAGACCAACAACAAGCAATGAGATTGAATCCATAATAAAAAGTCTTCCAGTAAAGAAATATCCAAGACCAGATGACTTCACTGCTAAATTCTACCAAAATTTTAAAGAATTAATATCAATTCTTCTCAAATTGTTTCAAAAAATTTGAAGTGGAAGAAACTCTTCGTAACTCATTTAATGAAGCCAGCATAACCCTGATACCAAAACCAGAGAAGGACACAACATAAAAAGAAAACTATAGGCCAATATTCCTGATCAACACAGACACAAAAAATACCTCAACAAAATACCAGCAAACCAAATCCAACAATACACCAAGAAAATAATACGTCATTATCACTGGGATTTATCCCAGGAATGCAAGGATGGTTGAACATATGCAAATCAATAAACATGATACATCAATAAACATGATACACCACATTAACAGAATGAAGGATAAAAACCATATGATCATCCCAATAGATGCAGAAAAAGCATTTGATAAAATTCAACATCCCTTCTTTATAAAAACTCCTAATAAATTAGGGATGGAAGGAGAGTACTTCAACACAATAAAGGCAATAGATTACAAACCTACAGCTAACATCATACTAAATGGGAAAGGGCTGAAAACGTTTTTCCTAAGAACTAGAATAAGACAAGGATGCCCAGTGTCACCATTCCTATCTAACATTGTACTAGAAGTCCTTGCCAGAACAATTAAACAAGAGAAGGAACTAAAGCACACTAAATTGAAAAGGGGGAAATCAAATAGTCTGTTTTCAGATGACATGATCTTATACATAGAAAAACCTAAAAGCTCTACCTAAAAACTCTTAGAACTAATAAATTCAGTAAAGCTGCAAGATGCAAAATTCACATAGAAAAATCAGTAGCATTTCTATGCACAAACAACAAATTAGCTGAAAAAGCAACCAAGAAGGCAATCTCATTTACAATAGCTACACACAAAAAAATACCTAGGAATAAATTTAACCAAGGATGTGAAAGAACTCTACAAGGAAAACAAAACGCTGATGAAAGTAAGTGAATAGTATACAAATAGAAAGACATCCCATGCTCACAGATCAGAAGAATTAATAGTGTTAAGATGACCACACTAAGCAATCTACATATACAATGCAATCCTTATTAAAATATTAATGACAGTCTTCACAGAAATAGGAAAAAAATCTTAAAATTTGTATGGAACCATGAAAGATTCCTAATAGCCAAAGCAATCCTGAGCAAAAAGAACAAAGCTGGAGGCATCACACTAACTGACTTCAAAATATGCTACAAAGCTGTAGTAACCAAAATAGAATGGTATTGGAATAAAAACAGACACCTAGACCAACAGAACAGGATAGAGAACCCAGAAATTCATCCATGTATCTATAGCCAACTGATTTTTTACAAAGGTGCCAAAAACACTCAGTGGGGAAAGGGCAGTCTCCTCAATACATGGTTCTGGGGAAAATGGATATTCATATACAGAAGGATTTAACTAGACCCCAATATCTCACCCTATACAAAAATCAACTCAAAATGGATCAAAGACATAAATGTGCAATCTAGAACTATAAAACTGTTAGAAGAAAACACAGGGAAAATATTTTATGAATAAGACCTCCAAAGCACATGCAACAAAAGCAAAAATAAACAAATGGGATTATATCAAACTAAAAAGCTTCTGCACAGCAAAGGAAA